>NC_000015.10:100065908-100704335 GCF_000001405.40 Homo sapiens
TGTTCCCCTCTCTGTATCCATGAATTCTCATTGTTCAACTCCCACTTATGAGTGAGAACATGCGGTGTTTGGTTTTCTGTTTTTGTGTTAGTTTGCTGAAAATGATGGTTTCCAGCTTCATCCATGTGACTGCAAAGGACATGAACTCATTCTTTTTTATGGCTGCATAGTATTCCATGGTGTACATGTGCCACATTTTCTTTATCCAGTCTATCATTGATGGGCATTTGGGTTGGTTCCAAGTCTTTGCTATTGTAAACAGTGCTGCAATAAACACACGTGGGGACATTCTCTTTTTGAATACTTAGTGTGCTAATAGCTTTTATCATGAAGAGGTATTAAAGTTAATAAAATGTTTTTGTGCATCTACTGAAATCATCATACTGTTTTTCTCCCAAACCATACCAAGAACTCAGAGTTGAACTGTGATCACGCTTGTCAGGGCTTAGATGGCATATGGATACACGTCTTAGATTTTTTTTTTTAAATTATTTCATACATGTGGTGTTTGCTTAGTTTTACATAAACATTTATCATTTTTTTCTCACCATTTCTTCCCCACATCAGACCATTCTTCTGATATCTTTTTTTCTTCCTTAAATCCATGTGAAGGTCCTTTAGTGTAGGTCTCTTGGTTGTTGTAAACTCTCTGGCTTTATCTATAAATGTCTTCATTGACATTCTCTTGGCTTTGAGAAATGGTGTTCTTGGGCATTTGATTCTAAATTGGTTGTTATTGTCCTTTAACACTTGAAATACATTTTTCCACTGTCTTCCCTTATGATACAGAGAAGGCAACCATCCTTCTACGTGTCGTTCCTTTCTAAGTGGCCCATCTGTCTCAGCAGTATTCCTTCAACACTTGAAATACACTTTTCCGCTGTCTTCCCTTATGATATTGAGAGGGCAGCCATCATTCTAAGTGTCCTTCCTTTCTGTCTCAGCAATATTCCTTCAACGCTTGAAATACACTTTTCCGCTGTCTTCCCTTATGATATTGAGAGGGCAGCCATCCTTCTAAGTGTCCTTCCTTTCTGTCTCAGCAATATTCCTTCAACGCTTGAAATACACTTTTCCGCTGTCTTCCCTTATGATATTGAGAGGGCAGCCATCCTTCTAAGTGTCGTTCCTTTCTGTCTCAGCAGTATTCCTTCAACGCTTGAAATACACTTTTCCGCTGTCTTCCCTTATGATATTGAGAAGGCAGCCATCCTTCTAAGTGTCGTTCCTTTCTAAGTGGCCCATCTGTCTCAGCAATATTCCTTCAACACTTGAAATACACTTTTCCACTGTCTTCCCTTATGATATTGAGAAGGCAGCCATCATTCTAAGTGTCGTTCCTTTCTAAGTGGCCCATCTGTCTCAGCAATATTCCTTCAACACTTGAAATACACTTTTCCACTGTCTTCCCTTATGATATTGAGAAGGCAGCCATCATTCTAAGTGTCGTTCCTTTCTAAGTAGCCTATCTGTCTCAGCAATATTCCTTGGTGTTCTGCAGTTTCACCATGACATTTCTAAGCACGGATAACAGGGAAATACCAGTTGTCAAATTTTTCCAGTCACATTTTACCTTTAACGTCTAAGAACTATTAGACTACTCATAGTTTTGTGTCAACCTTTCTTGGGACACAAAGCTATATTATTAGTACACATTTTTTTTTTCTGATCTATTTGGTTTTCTTTTGAACATCAGAGTACATATGTTTATCTCTTTTGTCTTCTGCAGCACTTATCTTTTATTTACCCTGCTTGGATGACTTTGTGCTTCCCAGGTCAGATCAGATCAATCCCTTGGATTGTTTCCTACCTTTTATCTTTTAACCGTTTATTAATTTGTACAAAAAATGCAACTGGAAAAAAAAGAGCCAAGATGGCCGAATAGGAACAGCTCCAGTCTACAGCTCCCAGTGTGAGTGACACAGAAGACAGGTGATTTCTGCATTTCCAACTGAGGTACCGGGTTCATCTCACTGGGGAGTGTCGGAAAGTGGGTGCAGGACAGTGGGTGCAGTGCACTGAGCGTGAGCTGAAGCAGGGCGAGGCATCCCATCACCCGGGAAGCGCAAGGGGTCAGGGAATTCCCTTTCCTAGTCAAAGAAAGGGGTGACAGATGGCACCTGGAAAATCGGGTCACTCCCACCCTAATACTGTGCTTTTCCAACGGTCTTAGCAAACGGCACGCCAGGAGATTATATCCTGCGCATGTCTCGGAGGGTCCTACACCCACGGAGCCTCGCTCATTGCTAGCACAGCAGTCTGAGATCAAACTGCAAGGCGGCAGTGAGGCTGGGGGAGGGGCGCCCGCCATTGTCCAGGCTTGAGTAGGTAAACAAAGCCACCGGGAAGCTCGAACTGGGTGGAGCCCACCGCAGCTCAAGGAGGCCTGCCTTCCTCTGTAGACTCCACCTCTCAGGGCAGGGCATAGCCAAACAAAAGGCAGCAGTAACCTCTGCAGACTTAAATGTCCCTTTCTGACAGCCTTGAAGAGAGTAGTGGTTCTCCCAGCACACAGCTGGACATCTGCGAACAGAGAGACTGCCTCCTCAAGTGGGTCCCTGACCCCTGAGTAGCCTAATTGGGAGGCACCCCCCAGTAGGGGCAGACTGACACCTCACACAGCTGGGTATCCCTCTGAGACAAAACTTCCAGAGGAACGATCAGGCAGCAACATCTGCTGTTCACCAATATCCGTTGTTCTGCAGCCTCTGCTGCTGATACCCAGGCCAACAGGGTCTGGAGTGGACCTCCAGCAAAATCCAACAGACCTGTAGCTGAGGGTCCTGACTGTTAGAAGGAAAACTAACAAACAGAAAGGATATCCACACCAAAACCCCATCTGTATGTCACCATCATCAAAGACCAAAGGTAGATAAAACCACAAACATGGGGAAAAACAGAGCAGAAAAACTGGAAACTCTAAAAATCAGAGCACCTCTCCTCCTCCAAAGGAACGCAGCTCCTCACCAGCAAGGGAACAAAGGGACAGAGAATGATAAGCTGAGAGAAGAAGGCTTCAGATGATCAAACTACTCCGAGCTAAAGGAGGAAGTTGAAACCTATGGCATAGAAGTTAAAAACCTTGAAAAAAGATTACATGAATGGCTAACTAGAATAACCAATGCAGAGAAGTCCTTAAAGGACCTGAGGGAGCTGAAAACCAAGCCATGAGAACTACGTGACGAATGCAGAAGCCTCAGTAGCTGATTCGGTCAACTGGAAGAAAGGGTATCAGCAATGGAAGATGAAATGAATAAAATGAAGCGAGAAGAGAAGTTTAGAGAAAAAAGAATAAAAAGAAATGAACAAAGCCTCCAAGAAATATGGGACTATGTGAAAAGACCAAATCTACTTCTGATTGGTGTACCTGAAAGTGACGGGGAGAATGGAGCCAAGTTGGAAAACACTCTGCAGGATATTATACAGGAGAACTTCCCCAATCTAGCAAGGCAGGCCAACACTCAAATTCAGGAAATACAGAGAAATCCACAAAGATACTCCTTGAGAAGAGTAACTCCAAGACACATAATTGTCAGATTCACCAAAGTTGAAATCAAGGAAAAAATGTTAAGGGCAGCCAGAGAGAAAGGTCAGGTTACCCACAAAGGGAAGCCCATCAGACTAACAGTGGATCTCTTGGCAGAAACTCTACAAGCCAGAAGAGAGTGGGGGCCAATATTCAACATTCTTAAAGAAAGGAATTTTCAACCCAGAATTTCATATCCAGCCAAACTAAGCTTCATAAGTGAAGGAGAAATAAAATACTATACAGACAAGCAAATGCTGAGAGATTTTGTCACCACCAGGCCTGCCCTACAAGAGCTCCTGAAGGAAGCACTAAACATGGAAAGGAACAACTGGTAACAGCCACTGCAAAAACAAGCCAAATTGTAAAGACCATCAAGGCTAGGAAGAAACTGCACCAACTAACGAGCAAAATATCCAGTTAACATCATAATGACAGGATCAAATTCACATATAACAATATTAACCTTAAATGTAAATGGGCTAAATGCTCCAATTAAAAGACACAGACTAGCAAACTGGATAAAGAGTCAAGACCCATCAGTGTGCTGTATTCAGGAAATCCATCTCATGTGCAGAGACACACATAGGCTCAAAATAAAAGGATGGAGGAAGATCTACCAAGCAAATGGAAAACAAAAAAAGGCAGGGGTTGCAATCCTAGTCTGATAAAACAGACTTTAATCCAACAAAGATCAAAAGAGACAAAGAAGGCCATTACATAATGGTAAAGGGATCAATTCAACAAGAAGAGCTAACTATACTAAATATATATGCACCCAATACAGGAGCACCCAGATTCATAAAGCAAGTCCTGAGTGACCTACAAAGAGACTTAGACTCCCACACAATAATAATGGGAGACTTTAACACCCCACTGTCAACATTAGACAGATCAACGAGTCAGAAAGTTAACAAGGATATCCAGGAATTGAACTCAGCTCTGCACCAAGTGGACCTAATAGACATCTATAGAACTCTCCACCCCAAATCAACAGAATATACATTCTTCTCAGCACCACACCACACTTATTCCAAAATTGACCACTTAGTTGGAAGTAAAGTACTCCTCAGCAAATGTAAAACAATAGAAATTATAACAAACTGTCTCTCAGACCACGGTGCAATCAAACTAGAACTCAGGATTAAGAAACTCACTCAAAACTGCTCAACTACATGGAAACTGAACAACCTGCTCCTGAATGACTACTGGGTACATAACGAAATGAAGGCAGAAATAAAGATGTTCTTTGACACCAACGAGAACAAAGACACAACATACCAGAATCTCTGGGACACATTTAAAGCAGTGTGTAGAGGGAAATTTATAGCACTAAATGCCCACAAGAGAAAGCAGGAAAGATCTAAAATTGACACCCTAACATCACAATTAAAAGAACTAGAGAAGCAAGAGCAAACACATTCAAAAGCTAGCAGAAGGCAAGAAATAACTAAGATCAGAGCAGAACTGAAGGAAATAGAGACACAAAAAACCCTTCAAAAAATCCATGAATCCAGGAGATGGATTTTTGAAAAGATCAACAAAATTGACAGACCACTAGCAAGACTAATAAAGAAGAAAAGAGACAAGAATCAAATAGATGCAATAAAAAATGATAAAGCAGATATCACCACTGATCCCACAGAAATACAAACTGCCATCAGAGATACCATAAACACCTCTATGCAAATAAACTAGAAAATCTAGAAGAAATGGATAAATTCCTTAACACATACTCCCTCCCAAGACTAAACCAGGAAGAAGTTGAATCTCTGAATAGACCAATAACAGGCTCAGAAATTGAGGCAATAATTAATAGCTTATCAACCAAAAAAAGTCCAGGACCAGATGGATTCACAGCCGAATTCTACCAGAGGTACAAGGAGGAGCTGGTACCATTCCTTCTGAAACTATTCCAATCAATAGAAAAAGAGGGAATCCTCCCTAACTCATTTTATGAGGCCAGCATCATCCTGATACCAAAGCCTGGCAGAGACACAACAAAAAAAGAGAATTTTAGACCAATATCCCTGATGAACATTGATGCAAAAATCCTCAATAAAATACTGGCAAACCGAATGCAGCAGCACATCAAGAAGCTTACCCATCAAAAAGCTTATCCACCACAATCAAGTTGGCTTCATCCCTAGGATGCAAGGCTGGTTCAACATATGCAAATCAATAAACGTAATCCATCATGAAAACAGAACCAAAGACAAAAACCACATGATTATCTCAATAGATGCAGAAAAGGCCTTTGACAAAATTCAACAACTCTTCATGCTAAAAACTCTCAATAAATTAGGTATTGATAGGTATCTCAAAATAATAAGAGCTATTTATGACAAACCCATAGCCAATATCATACCGAATGGGCAAAAACTGGAAGCATTCCCTTTGAAAACTGGCACAAGACAGGGATGCCCTCTCTCGCCACTCCTATTCAACATAGTGTTGGA
Source organism: Homo sapiens (assembly GCF_000001405.40). Lineage (NCBI taxonomy): Eukaryota > Metazoa > Chordata > Mammalia > Primates > Hominidae > Homo > Homo sapiens. Next base: position 100,071,894 of record NC_000015.10, read on the forward strand.
AGTTCTGGCCAGGGCAGTCAGGCAGGAGAAGGAAATAAAGGGTATTCAATTAGGAAAAGAGGAAGTCAAATTGTCCCTGTTTGCAGATGACATGACTGTATATCTAGAAAACCCCACCATCTCAGCCCAAAATCTCCTTGAGCTGATAGGCAACTTCCGCAAAGTCTGAGGATACAAAATCAATGTGCAAAAATCACAGTCTTTCTTATACACCAGTAACAGATAAACAGAGAGCCAAATCATGAGTGAACTCCCATTCACAATTGCTTCAAAGAGAATAAAATACCTAGGAATCCAACTTACAAGGGATGTGAAGGACCTCTTCAAGGAGAACTACAAACCACTGCTCAATGAAATAAAAGAGGATACAAACAAATGGAAGAACATTCCATGCTCATGGGTAGGAAGAATCAATATCATGAAAATGGCCATACTGCCCAAGGTAATTTATAGATTCAATGCCATCCCCATCAAGCTACCAATGACTTTCTTCACAGAATTGGAAAAAACTACTTTAAAGTTCCTATGGAACCAAAAAAGAGCCCGCATTGCCAAGTCAATCCTAAGCCAAAAGAACAAAGCTGGAGGCATCACGCTACCTGACTTCAAACTATACTACAAGGCTACAGTAACCAAAACAGCATGGTACTGGTACCAAAACAGAGCTATAGACCAATGGAATAGAACAGAGCCCTCAGAAATAATACTGCACATCTACAGCCATCTGATCTTTGACAAACCTGACAAAAACAAGCAATGGGGAAAGGATTCCCTATTTAATAAATGGTGGCGGGAAAACTGGCTAGCCATATGTAGAAAGCTGAAACTGGATCCCCTCCTTACACCTTATACAAAAATTAATTCAAGATGGATTAAAGACTTAAATGTTAGATCTAAAACCATAAAAACCCTAGAAGAAAACCTAGGCAATACCATTCAGGACATAAGCATGGGGAAGGACTTCATGTCTAAAACACCAAAAGCAATGGCAACAAAAGCCAAAATTGACAAATGGGACAAAATTGACAAAATTAAAGTATAGGGCTTCTGCAAAGCAAAAGAAACTACCATCAGAGTGAACAGGCAACCTGCAGAATGGGAGAAAATTTTTGTAATCTACTCATCTGACAAAGGGCTAATATCCAGAATCTACAATGAACTCAAATCTACAAGAAAAAAACAAACAGCCCCATCAAAAAGTGGGCAAAGGATATGAACAGACACTTCTCAAAAGAAGACATTTATGCAGCCAACAGACACGTGAAAAAATGCTCACCATCAGTGGCCATCAGAGAAATGCAAATCAAAACCACAATGAGATACCATCTCACACCAGTTAGAATGGCAATCATTAAAAAGTCAGGAAACAACAGGTGCTGGAGAGGATGTGGAGAAATAGGAACACTTTTACACTGCTGGTAGGACTGTAAACTAGTTCAACCATTGTGGAAGTCAGTGTGGCGATTCCTCAGAGATCTTGAACTAGAAATACCATCTGACCCAGCCATCCCATTACTGGGTGTATACCCAAAGGATTATAAATCATGCTGTTATAAAGACACATGCACACGTATGTTTATTGCGGCACTATTCACAATAGCAAAGACTTGGAACCAACCCAAATGTCCAATAATGATAGACTGGATTAAAAAAATGTGGCACATATACACCATGGAATACTATGCAGCCATAAAAAATGATGAGTTCATGTCCTTTGTAGGGACATGGATGAAGCTGGAAACCATCATTCTCAACAAACTATCACAAGGACAAAAAACCAAACACCGCATGTTCTCACTCATAGGTGGGAATTGAACAATGAGAACACATGGATACAGGAAGGGGAACATCACACACTGGGGACTGTTGTGGGGTGGGGGGAGGGGGGGAGGGATAGCATTAGGAGATATACCTAATGTTAAATAACGAGTTGATGGGTGCAGCACACCAACATGGCACATGTATACATATGTAACAAACCTGCACGTTGTGCACATGTACCCTAAAACTTAAAGTATAATTAAAAAAAGGCAACTGATTTCTATGTATTAATTTTGTACCCAACTTCCTGAATCCTTTTATAATATGTCATATTTTCAAGGTTAATTCTCTTAGGTTTTCAAGATAAATAATAATATCACAATAATATCTACCACAGTAATAGTTTTACTCTTTTGAACTGTTTATGGTATAAACATATATATTTCTCACCCATCCAAGTACTAACCAGACCTGACCTTGCTTAGCTTCTGAGATCAGACAAGATCAGACACATTTGGGGCGGTGCGGCCGTAGTCATTTTTCTTTTCTAAATGCATTGGTGAGCACCATCAGAAAAATGTCAAATATTCCTGGAGAGAATGTACACCTTTGTTTTGTTTTTTATTACAACAAGAATGCTTACAGTGTTTTGCTGTTGAATATAATGCGGGCTTACGGTTATATAGAGTGTATAATAACATCTCATATATAACATATTTTATGCATAATATAATCATATTAAAGACATATACATTATTCTCATATGAAGAGTTTTGTTAGGAATAAAGGTTGAATTTTACTGCATGCTCTTTCAGCATCTAAGGGCATAGTTTCCTCTTGCTCTCACACCTTGTTCTATTAACAGTATAATTATATTAATATATTTTCTAATATAAAACCATCTTCCCATCTCAGAATAAACCTCACTTGGTGATAGCATATTATTTTAATATGCTGCTGAATTGTTTGCTAATATTATATTTAGAACTTTTGCAAAATTATTCCTAAGAATGCTCTGTAATTGTTCTTATGCTTCCTTTGTTGGATTCGGTTTTGGTATCAGTATTATTCTTGCTTTAATTAGGAGTATTTCTATGCTTCTATAATAACTTATCTGTGTTGATTTTATATAGAGGCACGATTGGGAAATTTTTTCAATCATTCATTTCAAACAGGTTTTAAACTTATTTACAGAACCGAGCAATGTAATCTCTTATGACTTATTAATTTCCTCTATACTTTATTTCCCTATTCTCTATTATTTTACATATTTGTACTTTCCTACCCCCATTTGGTTCATTAAATGAGAAAACAGTGGAGCTGTATACTATTTAGTTGGATTTCTTCATCCTGTCCCCTACCAATAAATTCTAGTTGTTATTTTTGTTTTATTTAATGTTCTTCCATAGGCCCGTATATTTATACTTCTATTGTGTAACTTATGAGATGCAATTTTGTCCCTGGATATTACAAAATAAGGAAATGAGAATAATTATGGTGCATCCTACTTTCTCACATCCCATTTCAACTTTTATTATATCATTTTGACATTGTATTAGTTTGTCATATTTACTTTTTACTCTCTAAGGTAATTCCTATAGTTGTTTTAGTTTTCATCCTAAAAAGGAATTTAATGTTTGTTATGCATTTTTCTGCCAGTTTCTCTAATAAATTCTTGCTGGTCTCAAATGTGTTCCCTTTGAGATGGGCTTATGGGAATTCCATTTTCTGAAATATGATACTGTACAGCAAAAAATAACTGTTCATTGTCCTTATCCTTGAATGTCAATTTGGCTGCTGTAACATGTTGAGGTCATACTTGCTTTCTCTGAGGCTGTTGTATGAGTGGCTCCATAAAATGTGACCGTGGAGAAGTCTGAGGACTGCTGGTTACTGCCCTATTATTAGGTTCTCTAAAATTTAGATGGGATGCTCAAAAGAGTCTTACCTTTAATGTCTAATAACTATTAGGCTATTCATAGCTTTGTGCCAACTTTTCCTGGGATACAAGGCTATATTATCTGTACACATATCTTTTTTCTGATCTATTTGCTTGGTTTTCTTTTGGGGGGGATATCAAAGTATATACATTTGTCTCCTTTGCCTTCTGCAGTGCTCATTTGATCTTTTATCCTGGGACTTTTTGTTTATTTCCATTTTCCACTGCTGTTTTTCTCAATCCTGTCCTCCAGGTTTCTTACTGCACTCTCATAGTGCTGATTTTCTCTGTCTGCTTCCACGTAGACCTGGTTTCTGTGATGGATTCAGTGACCTCTCCTACGTATGTCCTCAATTCTGCTAAGTCACGTTTCATCTCTCTTTCTTGCTTCATTGTATCACTGTTTCTTTCTTGAGGTTTTGTATCTTAGCTATGAATTCTTATTTTCTTTCTTTTTTTTTGTTTTCGAGATGGAGTTTTGCTCTGTTGCCTAGGCTGGAGCACAGTGCCGTGATCTCAGCTCAATGCAACCTCCACCTTCCGGGTTCAAGCAATTCTCCTACCTCAGCTTCCTTAGTAGCTGGGATTACAGGCGCCCACCACCATGCACAGCTAATTTTTGTATTTTTAGTAGAGATGGGGTTGCACTATGTTGGGCAGGCTGGTCTGGAACTCCTGACCTCAGGTGATCCACCTGCCCCGGCCTCCCAAAGTGCTGGGGTTACAGGCGTGAGCCATTGTGCCTGGCCTATGAGTTCCTATTTTATCAAGGCTACTGTTGATCAATTTCTGAAATTTATGGCAGTAACTCTGGGTCACAATTTTCATCTTTTCCTTGGTAAGATTTTGCCAAGATTTTTAAAAAGTCATATGTTTTCCTTGTCCCCTTTATCTTTTTCCTATTGCTGGATACTTGTATAGATCCTGTGCTGGTAAATTTATTTCAAATTTTAAAGTGAGACAAGTTCTAATCATACTGACTGCTTGCAGTAGGTGTGGTAGGGAGAAATAGCACAGTGTTGTAGGCTAACAGGACTTTCCTTGGTTTACAGTGAAATTCGTTAGGACATAGATTTATTGATATCAGTGTGTTCATTGTCATTTTCCTTTTAAAAAACAATTTATATATTTTGAATTTATACAAATACACTTGAGTATACTTTCTCACTGGAAGAAGTTTAATACTACACAAACAAAAACATAGCATAGTATTTTCATATTTACATTTGTCTCAATTCTATGTTAGGAGTAACTCAATATTATATCATACTACATTTGCAATTTTTAAAAACATGTCTCAGAGATCATGTATGTTATTATGTATAGCTCTATTTTTTTGCTTAAATCGCTATGAAGTTTATATATCTACTCACCTACTAATGGACATTTAGGTTGTTTCAAAATTTTCACTATAAGAAACAACACTGTATCATATATGAATATGCACAGAAAACCCCTCCACAAAATACTAGCAAGCCCAATCCAGCCACATATAAAAAGGATTCTACATTATGATCAAATATGATTTATGCTAGGACTCAAGCTTGGTTTAACATATGGAAAAATCAGACTGGGCACACTGGCTAACCCCTGTAATCCCAGCAGTTTGGGAGGCTGAGACAGGTGGAACACTTGAGGCCAGGAGTTTGCAACCAGCCTGGCCAACATGGTGAAACCCTATCTCTACCACAAAAAAAAAAAAAAAAAAAAAAAAAAAAATTAGCCTGGCATGGTGGTGCGTGCCTGTAATCCCAGCTACTCAGGAGGCTGAGGCACGAGAATCGCTTGAACCCGGTGGGCAAGGGTTGCAGTGATCCGAGATTGTGCAACTGCACTCCAGCCTGGGCAACAGAGTGAGACTCCCTCTCAAAAAAAAAAAAAAAATCAATCAATATAATCCTCCATGTTAATAAGGAGCAAAATCCACAAGATCATCTCAATAGGTGCAGGAAAAGCATTTGACAAATTTCAACACTCCTTCCTGATAAAAATACTCAACAAACTAGGAATAGAAGGGAGCATGCTCAACCTGATAAAGGGCATCTACAAAACTCCACAGCTAACAGCATATTTAATGGTGAAATACTAAATGCTTGTCCCCTAAGATAAGGAACAAGACAAGGACGTCCTGCTACTCCCATTCAACACTGTACTGGGAGTTCTATCTAGGGCAACTAGGCAAGGAAAAGAAATATAAAGCATACAGATTGGAAAGAAGAAGTAAAATTATCTCTATTTGCAGATGCTAAAATCTTATATACAGAAAATCCCAAGGAATCCATTAAAAAACCTATATGACAGATTCAGTAAGATTGCAGGATACAAGGCCAATATATAAAAATCAACTGCATTTCTATATGTTAGCAATGAACAGTTGGAAAATGAAATTTAAAAACAATTCAATTTAAGTAGCATCAAAAAGAAACACTTAGGAATACATTAAAAAAAGACCTGGAGGGTTTGTAAGATGAAGACTACAATACATTGCTGAAAGGTATTAACAAATATCTAAATAAATGGAAAGATATTTTATATTCTTGGATCAGATGACATTGTAAAAAATGTAACTGCTTCACAAATTGGTCTACAGATTCAACGTAATCCCTATAAAAAAATCCCAGCTTTTTTTTTTTTTTGCGAAAAATGACAAGCTGTTCCTAAAATTCAGATGAAAATGCAACAGACCCAGAATAGCCAAAGTAATACTTCAAAAGAAGTTGAAGAACTCAGATTTCCTGATTCCAAAACTTTCTAGCTATCTGTAGCAATCAAGACAGCAAGGTAATGGCATAAGGACAGTCGTTTCTAACAATGGAATATAGAGTCCAGAAAACAATTTTTTTTTAAACAAAGGTGCCAAGAATATTCATCGGGGAAAGAACAGTCTTCAACCAACAGTGTTGGGACAACTGGATATCCATATGCGAAAGGATGAAGTTGTACACCTATTTCAGACCATACAAAAAAATTAACTAAAAAATGGATCACAGATGTAAATATCAGAGCTAAAACTAGAAACCTCTTGGAAGAAAACATAGGGGTAAATCTTCATGACCTTGAATTAGGCAATAGTTTCTTAGACACAGCAGCAAAAGCACACGCAACAAAAGAAAAAATAGTTTAACTGGATTGCATCAAAACTGAAAACCTGTGTTTCAAAAGATACCATCAAGAGAGTGAAAAGCCAACTCATACACTGGGAGAAAATCTGTGCAAAGCATTTGTCTGATAAAGGAACTGCATCCAGAATATATAAAGAAAGCTTGCAGCTCGACAAGAAAATGACAATCCAATTTAAAAATGGGCAAAGGATTTTAACAGGCACTTCCGCAAAAAAGATATATGAACAATCCATAAGCAAATAAAAAGATGCTAATGATATATTAGTCATTAGGGAAGTGCAAACCAAAACCACAAGGACATACCACATTGTACCCACTAGGATGACTCTAACAAAAAACAGTAAGTTGGAGAGAACATGGAGAAACAGTAGCCTTCATTCACTGCTACCAGAAACGTAAAGTGGTGCCGCCACTTTGGAAAAGAGTTTGGCAGCTACTCCAAAAGTTAAACACAGAATTCTCACTCACCAATTCCATTCCCAGGTATATACACAAGGGAAATGAAAACATGTCCACATGGTAACTCGTACACAAAAGTTTATATCAGCATTATTCCTAACAGCCAAAAAAGTGGAAACAATCCAAATACCAATCAACCAATGACTGTATTTATACAATGTGATATCTCCAAACAATGGAATAGTATTTGGCAATAAAAAGAAACATTGATGTATGTGACAACATGCATGACTTGAAAATACTATGCTAAGGGAAAAAAGCCTGTCAGGAAGGACCACGTATTATACTACTCCATTTACATGAAATGTCCAGATAGGCAAATTTGTAGATACAGACATTAGATGAGTGGTTACCTAGGGCTTAAGAGGGAGATGGGGAATGACTGCTACCAAGCATGGGGTTTCTTTTGGGAATGACTGTGGTGATATGGCACCATTCCTTGGGGTGATCAGCCAGCAACCTGGTGGCAAGTTGATTATATTGTACCTTTTCCATCATGGAAACGGCAGTGGTTTGTCCTCACTGGAATAGACACTTACTCCGGATATGGGTTTGCCTATCCTGCACGAAATGCTTCTGCCAAGACTACCATCCGTGGAGTCTCGGAATGCCTTATCCACCATCATGGTATTCCACACAGCACTGCCTCTGACCAAGGCACTCACTTTACAGCTAAAGAGGTGTGGCAGTGGGCTTATGCTCATGGAATTCACTGGTCTTACCATGTTCTCCATCATCCTGAAGAGGCTGCAAAGAACGGTGGAATGGCCTTTTGAAGTCACAATTACAATGCCAACTAGGTGACAACACTTTGCAGGGCTGAGGCAAAGTTCTCCAGCAGGCCGTATATGTTCTGAATTAGCATCCAATATACGGTACTGTTTCTCCCATAGCCAGGATTCACGGTCCAGGAATCAAGGGGTGAAACTGAACTGACACCACTCACCATCACCCCTAGTGATCCCCTAGCAAAATTTTTGCTTCCTGTTCCCCCGACATTACATTCTGCTGGCCTGGAGATCTTAGTTCCAGAGGGAGAAATGCTGCCACCAGGAGACACAATGATTCCATTAAACTGGAAGATTGGTACCCACCTGGACACTTTGGGCTCCTCCCACCTTTAAGTCAACAGGCCAAGAAGGGAGTTACAGTGTTGACTGGGGTGACTGACCTGGACTATCAAGATGAAATCAGTCTACTACTCCACAAAGGAGGTAAGGAAGAGTATGCATGGAATACAGGAGATCCATTAGGGCGTCTCTTAGTATCACCATGCCCTGTGACTAAGGTCAATGGGAAACTACAACAGCCCAATCCAGGCAGGACTACAAATGACCCAGACCATTCAGGAATGAAGGTTTGGGTCACTCCACCAAGAAAAAACCCACGTCTTGCTGAGGTGCTTGCTGAAGGCAAAGGGAATACAGAACGGGTAGTAGAAAAAGGTAGTTATCGATACCAGCTACAACCATGTGACCAGCTGCAGAAATGAAGTCTGTAATTATTTCCTCCTTTTTTTGCTAAAAACATGTTTGTGCATGTATACACTTGTACTAAGAAAGTATATTTCCTTTTCCTTTATCATGTGACATAACATTTATTGACTTCATATCAGCATGTTAAGTATTGTTAACTTTATGTAATAGTATTTGGGTTGGGGATTGGTGTATTTCTGGTTGTACGAAGGATAGCTGTAGTATGTTAGGGGTAATTATGACCTTATTATTGTCTTTATTTGAAGACTATGTGTGTTCTCAGGAGATGTGTATGGGTTCAAGTTGACTTGGGGTGGACTTGTGATGGTTGATACTGAGTGTCAACTTGATTAGATTAAAGGATACAAAGTATTGATCCTGGATGTGTCTGTGAGGGTGTTGCCAAAAGAGTTTAACATTTGGGTCAGGGGGCTGGGGAAGGCAGATCCACCCTTAATCTGGTGGGCACAATCTAATCAGCTGCCAGCAAATACAAAGCAGGCAGAAAAACATGAAAAGGAGAGGTGGGCCTAGGCTCCCAGCCTACATCTTTCTCCTGTGCTAGATGCTTCCTGCCCTGGAACATCAGACCCCAAGTTCTTCAGTTTTGGGACTGGGACTGGCTCTCCTTGCTCCTCAGCTTGCGGACAGCCTATTGTGGGATGTTGTGATTACGTAAGTTAATACTTAATAAACTCCCCTATATATATATGCACACATACATACACACACACTACTTAATAAACTCCCATATATATGTATGTGTGTATCTCCTCTACAGAACCCTAATACATGGCTGCATGACCTTGTGCTAAAACTCATTCAATCGCACACTTTAAATGGGTGAATTATATGGCATGTGAATTCTATCTTTATAAAGCTGCTTAGAAAAGAAACAATACTTCTATGAATGGCTTTGTACATGTCTTCTTATGCATAGATATAATGTCCTACCAGGTCAGCTACTGTGAGAATCACTGAGACAAACACAGGTGCTGCTTAGTTGACCTTGGTTTAAATACTATTTAAGCCAACCAACACTATACGAGAGTAAACGTTTACTCAAAGATTTCTAAATACTTGACAAAATCAATCTTCTTAGTATTTGCTAATCCATTTGGTGAAAAGATGTTGTCATAAGTTGAATTTGCATTTCCCTGATAACCAACAAGGCTCAGCGTCCTATACACTTATTGACCATTTGTTTTCCCTTTTCAGTTAATGGCCTTGTTCTTAAGCTTTGCCCATTTTTCTACCATCTTTTATTTAGTTATGATGCAGTAGTTTAAAAAATGTCCATAACATATATTACTATAATTTGATAATATTTGGACTCAGACTCTTTACTTACTAGACATGTTGCAAAAATTGTCAGTCTATCAGTCTATCATCTGTTGTTTCTTTGCTTTTATTGATTTTTTTGTTTTCTTTGAGACCAAGAGTCTTGCTTCTGTTGCCCAGGCTGGAGTGCAGCGGTGCAATCTTGGCTCACTGCAACCTTCGCCTCCTGGGTTCAAGCGATTCTCCTGCCTCGGCCTCCCGAGTAGCTGGGACTACAGGCACGTGCCACCACGCCCAGCTAATTTTTGTATTTTTGGTAGAGATGGGGTTTTACCATGTTAGCCAGGATGGTCTCCATCTCTTGACCTCATGATCCACCCACCTTGGCCTCCCAAAGTGCTGGGATTACAGGCGTGAGCCACCGTGCCTGGCCTTATTGCATGGTTTTGATAGTCTTTTTTTTTTTTTGAGACAGGGTCTCAGTCTGTTGCCCAGGATGGAGTGCAGTGGCGTGATCTCAGCTAACTGTAACCTCTGCACCCCCACCCCAGCTCATGCAATCCTCCTGCCCCCGCTTCCTGAGTAGTGGGGACTTCAGGCACACACCACCGTGTCTACCTGATTTTTTTGTATTTTTTGTAGAGGCAGGGTTTCGCCATGTTGCTCAGGCTGGTCTGATAGTCATATTTTTAATTTTTGAGATCTCTTTTTTGTTTTCTGATTGTTCCTTCCCATGGCATTCTGTTCTTGTTTTGTGGCTACGATATCATCTTAAATCTTTCTACAAATAGTTATTAGAGAACTTATATTATTTGAGTTACTTTTTCTCGTTAGTCTTTTTTTTTTTTTTTTCAGTTCATCTTGGTTTTTCTCATTTGTGTTGCAGACTCTCCTTCAAGAACCAGGAGGCTGCAGCTGGGTGGTCTCCCGTGGGGATGCGCAGGGTTTGCTTACTCTCAGGATTGGCTTTCTGCTGGGTGCAGGGAGCTGTTGCTGTGTTGGCAACCAAAATACCAGAATGAAGAGGCGTTTCCTAGAGGTGCTGTGTTGTGGGAAAACTCCTAGAGCTGCTGTGTTATGGTGCTGGCCACAAATATTTCCAAGTCTTTCTCTGGAAATATGGAAGTAACACATTTCACCGGCCACTTAAACGTGTGTGACCATGTGACTTGAAGAGTAAAATGTAAGTGAAAATGAGGTGTGTCGCTTCCCCGCAGGAGCCTGAAGCACCTCAGGGCCTGGTTTGCCATACTCCCTTTCCTTGCCAAGGTGACTGTGGCAGCCTGTGAACAGATAAAGTCTCTGCCAGCCTAGTTCCAGGAGTGACCTCACTCTGCAGGGCCTCCTGCTGACCCACAGTGTGCAAGCAGCAGGGGCTGGAAGCAGACTTTTGTGTTAAGCCACTGAGATCTAGGAGGCACTTTTACTTTAGTTTTGTTTGCTTGTTTATTTCAGCAAAACCAAGTATATTCATTCTGTTCCATCCATAGAGGAACTTCCACCTGAGATGTCCTTCTTCTCCCTAAACCTTTCAAGAAGTTCCTTTTCATTCATTTTCAGGTTATCTTTTGAAGACCTGAAAACAACCACATGTTCAATCATCCAGAAAGAAAGTTTCTCAGTCAGAAAGTTTAGCAGTGTCCTTCAGCCTTGACAGCAAATGCCTTGGCATTGTTACCACAGACCTAGCCTTGGATGTTTACAAATAAATGTCCTGCAGGATGTTTGGAGAGACTTCACAAATGTAAACAAAGTCTAGTTTGAGGGCAGTTGGTGCCTTATTGTTGTGCCCTGATCCCCAGGCAGTTGTGTGGTCATCTAGTATGATGCTTTCCAACCACATGTGACTTGGGAATAGTGATGCTGGCATGCCAGAGCAGCTGGCACTTGGCCCTTCCCCCTCCAGTGGCTCTAGAGCAAGGGCAAGGTTTTTGAGCCAAGATGACCAAATAGGAACAGCTCCAGTCTACAGCTCCCAGTGTGAGCGATGAAGAAGACGGGTGATTTCTGCATTTCCAACTGAGGTACTAGGTTCATCTCACTGGGGAGTGCTGGACAGTGGGTGCAGGACAGTGGGTGCAGTGCACCGTGAGTGAGCCGAAGCAGGGTGAGGCATCACCTCACCCGGGAAGTGAAAGGGGTCAGGGAATTCCCCTTCCTAGTCAAAGAAAGGGGTGACAGACGGCACCTGGAAAATCGGGTCACTCCCACCCTAATACCACACTCTTACAATGGGCTTAACAAATGGCACACTGGGAGATTATATCCCGCGCATGGCTGGGAGGGTCCCATGCCCACAGAGCCTCGCTCATTGCTAGCACAGCAGTCTGAGATCAAACTGCAAGGTGGCAGCGAGGCTGGGGGTGGGGTGTCCGCCATTGCCGAGGCTTGAGTAGGTAAACAAAGCCGCCGGGAAGCTCGAACTGGGTGGAGCCCACCACAGCTCAAGGAGGCTTGCCTGCCTCTGTAGACTCCACCTCTGGGGGCAGGGCACAGACAAACAAAAGGCAGGAGAAACCTCTGCAGACTTAAATGTCCCTTTCTGACAGCCTTGAAGAGAGTAGTAGTTCTCCCAGCATGCAGCTTGAGATCTGAGAACAGGCAGACTGCCTCCTCAAGTTGGGTCCCTGACCCCCGAGTAGCCTAAATGGGAGGCACCCCCCTGTAGGGGCGGACTGACACCTCACACGACTGGGTACTCCTCCAAGACAGAACTTCCAGAGGAACGATCAGGCAGCAGCATTTGCAATTCACCAATAGGCGCTGTTCTGCAGCCACTGCTCCTGATACCCAGGCAAACAGGGTCTGCAGTGGAACTCCAGCAAAATCCAACAGACCTGTAGCTGAGGGTCCTCACTGTCAGAAGGAAAACTAGCAAACAGAAAGGACATCCACACCAAAAACCCATCTGTACATCACCATCATCAAAGACCAAAGGTAGATAAAACCACCAACATGGGGAAAAAACAGTGCAGAAAAACTGGAAACGCTAAAAATCGGAGCGCCTCTCCTCCTCCAAAGGAACACAGCTCCTCACCAGCAATGGAACAAAGCTGGATGGAGAATGACTTTGATGAGCTGACAGAAGAAGGCTTCAAAAGATCAAACTACTCCAAGCTAAAGGAGGAAGTTCGAACCCATGGCAAAGAAGTTAAAAACCTTGAAAAAATATTAGATGAATGGCTAACTAGAATAACCAATGCAGAGAAGTCCTTAAAGGACCTGAGGGAGCTGAAAGCCATGGCACAGGAACTACGTGACAAATGCACAAGGCCTCAGTAGCCGACGTGATCAACTGGAAGAAAGGGTATCAGCGATGGAAGATGAAAGAATGAAATGAAGTGAGAAGAGAAGTTTAGAGAAAAAAGAATACAAAGAAACGAACAAAGCCTCCAAGAAATATGGGACTATGTGAAAAGACCAAATCTACATCTGATTGGTGGACCTGAAAGTGACGAGGAGAACGCAACCAAGTTGGAAAACACTCTGCAGGATATTATCCAGGAGAACTTCCCCAATCTAGCAAGGCAGGCCAACACTCAAATTCAGGAAATATAGAGAACACCACAAAGATACTCCTCGAGAAGAGCGACTCCAAGACACATAATTGTCAGATTCACCAAAGTTGAAATCAAGGAAAAAATGTTAAGGGCAGCCAGAGAGAAAGGTCGGGTTACCCACAAAGGCAAGCCCATCATCAGACGAAGAGCTGATCTCTCGGCAGAAACTCTATAAGCCAGAAGAGAGTGGGGACCAATATTCAACATTCTTAAAGAAAAGAATTTTCAAGCCAGAATTTCATATCCAGCCAAACTAAGCTTCATAAGTGAAGGAGAAATAAAATATTATACAGACAAGCAAATGCTGAGAGATTTTGTCACCACCAGGCCTGCCCTACAAGAGCTCTTGAAGGAAGCACTAAACATGGAAAGGAACAACTGGTAACAGCCACTGCAAAAACAAGCCAAATTGTAAAGACCATCAAGGCTAGGAAGAAACTGCATCAACTAATGAGCAAAATAACCAGCTAATATCATAATGACAGGATCAAATTCACATATAACAATATTAACCTTAAATGTAAATGGGCTAAATGCTCCAATTAAAAGACACAGACTAGCAAACTGGATAAAGAGTCAAGACCCATCAGTGTGCTGTATTCAGGAAACCCACCTCATGTGCAGAGACACACATAGGCTCAAAATAAAGGGATGAAGGAAGACCTACCAAGCAGATGGAAAACAGAAAAAGGCAGAGGTTGCAATCCTAGTCTCTGATAAAACAGACTTTAAACCAACAAAGATTAAAAGAGACAAAGAAGGCCATTACATAATGGTAAAGGGATCAATTCAACAAGAAGAGCTAACTATCCTAAATATATATGCACCCAATACAGGAGCACCCAGATTCATAAAGCAAGTCCTTAGTGACTAGAAAGAGACTTAGACTCCCACACAATAATAATGGGAGACTTTAACACCCCACTGTCAACATTAGACAGATCAACGAGACAGACAGTTAACAAGGATATCCAGGAATTGAACTCAGCTCTGCACCAAGCAGACCTAATAGACATCTATAGAACTCTCCACCCCAAATCAACAGAATATACATTCTTCTCAGCACCACACCACACTTATTCCAAAATTGACCACTTAGTTGGAAGTGAAGTACTCCTCAGCAAATGTAAAACAACAGAAATTATAACAAATTGTTTCTCACAGTGCAATCAAACTAGAACTCAGGATTAAGAAACTCACTCAAAACCGCTCAACTACATGGAAACTGAAAAATATGCTCCTGAATGACTACTGGGTACATAACAAAATGAAGGCAGAAATAAAGAGGTTCTTTGAAACCAATGAGAACAAAGACACAACATACCAGAATCTCTGGGACACATTCAAAGCAGTGTGTAGAGGGAAATTTATAGCACTAAATGCCCACAAGAGAAAGCAGGAAAGATCTAAAATTGACACCCTAACATCACAATTGAAAGAACCAGAGAATCAAGAGCAAACACATTCAAAAGCATGCAGAAGGCAAGAAATAACTAAGATCAGAGCAGAACTGAAGGAAATAGAGACACAAAAAACCCTTCAAAAAATCAATGAATCCAGGAGCTGATTTTTTGAAAAGATCAACAAATTGATAGACCACTAGCAAGACTAATAAAGAAGAAAACAGAGAAGAATCAAATAGACACAATACAAAATGATAAAGGGGATATCACCACTGATCCCACAGAAATACAAACTACCATCATATCTTATAAACACCTCTACACAAATAAACTAGAAAATCTAGAAGAAATGGATAAATTCCTCAACACATACACCCTCCCAAGACGAAACCAGGAAGAAGTTGAATCTCTGAATAGACCAATAACAGGCTCAAAAATTTAGGCAATAATTAATAGCTTACCAACCAAAAAATGTCCAGGACCAGATGGATTCACAGCCGAATTCTACCAGAGGTACAAGGAGGAGCTGGTACCATTCCTTCTGAAACTATTCCAATCAATAGAAAAAGAGGGAATCCTCCCTAACTCATTTTATGAGGCCAGCATCATCCTGATACCAAAGCCAGGCAGAGACACAACCAAAAAAGAGAATTTTAGACCAATATCCTTGATGAACATTGAAGCAAAAATCCTCATTAAAATACTGGCAAACCGAATCCAGCAGCACATCAAAAAGCTTATGCACCATGATCAAGTGGGCTTCATTCCTGGGATGCAAGGCTGGTTCAACATACACAAATCAAGAAACGTAATCCAGCATATAAACAGAACCAAAGACAAAAACCACATGATTATCTCAATAGATGCAGAAAAGGCCTCTGACAAAATTCAGCAATGCTTCTTGCTAAAAACTCTCAATAAATTAGGTATTGATGGGACGTATCTCAAAATAATAAGAGCTATCTATGACAAACCCACAGCCAACATCATACTGAATGGGCAAAAACTGGAAGCATTCCCTTTGAAAAGTGGCACAAGACAGGGATGCCTTCTCTCACCACTCCTATTCAACACAATGTTTGAAGTTCTGGCCAGGGCAGTCAGGCAGGAGAAGGAAATAAAGGGTATTCAATTAGGAAAAGAGGAAGTCAAATTGTCCCTGTTTGCAGATGACATGACTGTATATCTAGAAAACCCCACCATCTCAGCCCAAAATCTCCTTGAGCTGATAGGCAACTTCCGCAAAGTCTCAGGATACAAAATCAATGTACAAAAATCACAAGCATTCTTATACACCAATAACAGACAAACAGAGAGCCAAATCATGAGTGAACTCCCATTCACAATTGCTTCAAAGAGAATAAAATACCTAGGAATCCAATTTACAAGGGATGTGAAGGACCTTTTAAGGAGAACTACAAACCACTGCTCAATGAAATAAAAGAGGATACAAACAAATGGAAGAACATTCCATGCTCATGGGTAGGAAGAATCAATATTGTGAAAATGGCCATACTGCCCAAGGTAATTTATAGATTCAATGACATCTCCATCAAGCTACCAATGACTTTCTTCACAGAATTGGAAAAAACTACTTTAAAGTTCATATGGAACCAAAAAAATAGCCCGCATCGCCAAGTCAATCCTAAGCCAAAAGAACAAAGCTGGAGGCATCACACTACCTGACTTCAAACTATACTACAAGGCTACAGTAACCAAAACAGCATGGTACTGGTACCAAAACAGAGATATAGACCAATGGAACAGAACAGAGCCCTCAGAAATAATACCACACATCTACAACTATCTGATCTTTGACAAACCTGACAAAAACAAGAAATGGGGAAAGGATTCCCTATTTAATTAATGGTGCTGGAAAAACTGGCTAGCCATATGTAGAAAGCTGAAACTGGATCCCTTCCTTACACCTTATACAAAAATTAATTCAAGATGGATTAAAAACTTACATGTGAGACCTAAACCAGAAAAACCCTAGAAGAAAACCTAGTCATTACCATTCAGGACATAGGCATGGGCAAGGACTTCATGTCTAAAACACCAAAAGCAATGGCAACAAAAGCCAAAATTGACAAATGGGATCTAATTCAACTGAAGAGCTTCTGCACAGCAAAAGAAACTACCATCAGAGTGAACAGGCAACCTACAGAATGAGAGAAAATTTTTGCAATCTACTCATCTGACAAAAGGCTAATATCCAGAATCTACAATGAACTCAAACAAATCTACAAGAAAAAAACAACCCCATCAAAAAGTGGGCAAAGGATATGAACAGACACTTCTCAAAAGAAGACATTTATGCAGCCAAAAAACACATGAAAAAATGCTCATCATCACTGGCCATCAGAGAAATGCAAATCAAAACCATAATGAGATACCATCTCACACCAGTTAGAATGGCAATCATTAAGTCAGGAAACAACAGGTGCTGGAGAGGATGTGGAGAAATAGAACACTTTTACACTGTTGGTGGGATTGTAAACTAGTTCAACCATTGTGGAAGACAGTGTGGCGATTCCTCAGGGATCTAGAACTAGAAATAACATTTGACCCAGCAATCCCATTACTGGGTATATACCCAAAGGATTATAAATCATGCTGCTATAAAGACACATGCACACATATGTTTATTGTGGCACTATTCACAATAGCAAAGACTTGGAACCAACCCAAATGTCCAACAGTGATTGACTGGATTAAGAAAATGTGGCACATATACACCATGGAATACTATGCAGCCATAAAAAATGATGAGTTCATGTCCTTTGTAGGGACATGGATGAAGCTGGAAACCATCATTCTCAACAAACTATCACAAGGACAAAAAACCAAACACCGCATGTTCTCACTCAAAGGTGGGAATTGAACAATGAGAACACATGGACACAGGAAGGGGAACATCACACACTGGGGACTGTTGTGGGGTTGGGGGAGGGGGGAGGGATAGCATTAGGAGATATACCTAATGTTAAATGACGAGTTAATGGGTGCAGCACACCAAGATGGCACTTGTATACATATGTAACAAACCTGCCTGTTGTGCACATGTACCCTAGAACTTAAAAGTATAATAATAAAATTAAAAAAAAAAAAAACAAAATAAAATTCAGAAATAAATTGGAAAAAAAATTGTGTTTGCTCTAGGATTCCTTCTCTACTGAAAAATTCTGGCCACAAGAAAACCAGCTTTTAGGATTGTGGCACAAAATATTCTACAGCAAATCTCTCTTAGAGAAATCCATTCCTTCTGGGGAGTTTCAACTGTGATTGGATTCCAGGCATATGGAATCCAAGGCAGTAAAATGTCAAAAACTGAGATAAAAGTTGTTCGGGGTCAAAGTGATTAGAATCTTTTTCAGAGGAATCTCCACTCAAACTACCAAACATACCTGCAAACAAGATCCGCTTGTGGGGGATGAGCTGTTCTTGAAGGAAGCTGCTGTTGTATGGAAACTTTTGCAACTAACAAACCTTGGCATTGGGATCACCGATCTGCAGAATCCGACAGAGCTGATGGGGCCCTGATCAATTCCTTTCCCTCATTCCACAGCAAGGTCCCTGTGCAGCTGATGCATGGTATCCACATCTATTCTTAAGCTTAACTTTGCCACAGGATGCATCAGTGAAAAGACATCCGTTTTCTGTCTTTTCTCATGTGCCCCTGGTGGAGGTGCTGATGAAAGGCAGTTCAGGGCGGACTCGGTACCCAAGTGAGCCCACCCTCAGGTGACCTCTCAACGCAGGGCAGTCCTTATGCATGCGCTCTGCTAACCGTCCTACGACAAGTTTCTCTGTTCATGATAAAAAGGAAACCAGCTGGGCGCAGTGGCTCACGCCTGTAATTCCAGCACTTTGGGAGGCTGAGGCGGGTGGATCATGAGGTCAGGAGTTCAAGACTAGCCTGAACGACACGGTGAAACCCCATCTCTACTAAATAATACAAAAAATTAGCCAGGTTTGGTGGTGCATGCCAGTAATCTCAGCTACTCAGGAGGCTGAGGCGGGGGAATAGCTTGAACCCGGGAGGCGGAGGTTGCAATGAGCCGAGATCGTGCCACTGCATTCCAGCCTGGGAGGCAGAGTGAGACTCCGTCTCAACAAAAAAAAAAAAAAAAAAGGGTAACCAATGAAAAAGACAGTCCCTGAACTGAAAGGCAGGCCCTCTGTC
This sequence comes from Homo sapiens, assembly GCF_000001405.40. Lineage (NCBI taxonomy): Eukaryota > Metazoa > Chordata > Mammalia > Primates > Hominidae > Homo > Homo sapiens. The sequence continues at coordinate 100,091,080 of NC_000015.10, forward strand.
CACAAACCGGGGAAACTGCCTCGAGCTCACAGTCCTCCAACCCCTGCTCTGACCCAGAGCTCAAAGTCCACCTGAGGCAGGTGTGAAGAGCCACCAAGAAGGGAAAGAGTACCACCACCAAGTCCCAAAGCACCCTGGCGTCTCTCAGGCCAGATACCCCCGATGTGGATGCCAGATACCACCACACTGCCGAAGCATGAAGAATAATTATGAGGTAGGATTTACTCTCAGAATTTACAAGGTAGATTCACATTTTAGGTAAGGCTTTATCTTTGGAGTGATTTCCCATTCCAGCTTCAGCCACCAAGCAGGAGAAATCCAGTTACAGGAACATGATTTGGTTTCATGAGGAAGCCATGGATAAAATCCAATGCCTTTGCCGTGGTTCCAGGAGAACATGCCATTTCTGCCCTAAGGACCAGCAGTAAGAAGGAACTTCAAAGTGATGTTGACCTTTAACCTGTCTCAAATCTTCCAGAGTTACTATTACTAGGCTATGAGCAATTTCCCTGTGAAGTCATTTGTGTCTGAATTTCTCAAGTAGACTTGCTGTGAGATGTCTTGGGGCTCCCATTTTTCCTCATGTTTTCAGGAGCATTAACCATCTTTGGAAGAAAACCATCGGACTGAAAAGGTACCATGATGGACTAGAGGTAAAACTCTGGCTACGTGTACTTGGACTCTTTCCCCTGAAATCAGAGTTCTTTTTTTTTGTTTAGTAAATAGATCATAAAATATTTGGAGAGGCATTTGTTTTATTTTTCTCTTCTTACAAAAGTTATTCACAAGAATATTACTATCTTACGTTTCTCCCTAATGGTGGTTCCTGGGTCTAATGGAAAAGAACTCATTGTTTGGGAAACCCGTGAGGCTAGACTGTGCCTTGGTTCGCCCCTCAGAATGGGAGGTCAGTGTAGACAAACGAAGACCAGAAGGGTGTTACCAAATGCCCCTCTGCCTGTAGGGACACCAGTCCTGAAATATGAAAACTTTTCTATGGAAGAAGGTGCCAGCGAAGGCTAAATTCTCTGGCATGTCTAGGTATTTTCTGCCAGAGCACACGGTGTGCTTGAGGGGAAAGAAAACTTACCCCCAGCAGGCTAGGGTACGTTTCCATTTGACTCTGTCTTTTATAGCTTTAAAATTGGTTTCATCTTACAGTTTTTCTGATGGTAATCAGTCTTCAACGTCAGTTTATGTAAGCATTTAATGGCCTCTGAGTTTATCCATGGCTTCGCACACAACTTACTCCCATTGATTCTATTCAGAAAACACTCAGACGCGTGAGCCAGGCAAGAGCCACACCAAGCATGTCACTGCTGGGACGACACGTAACATCCAGCATCTTACATGAGAAACACTTGGGAACAGCCTCTGCCATCACACATGTGGATACCTTCGTACAGAGATCATTCTTAACTGAGAAAAAGAAATACGTTGTAATTGGTTTATGTGCACATTTTACGATTCTTCATCACAGTGTAAAGAAGCCTCATTTTGTACCATAAGCCCCAACAGTGAATTTCCGCCCCCACGAGATTCCACACCCCACACTACACAGAGCATGGAACCTGGCATGTGGCAGGGGCTCTAGAGGTAATTACTGAACAAATATGTGACACATGGATCTATCCACATTCAAAAGGGATCCTCACCCCACCCTTTCTTTTAAGGATTACGTGAAAAGGTTCTCGCAAGAACACAAAGCAAAGGGATCCGAAGCCCACAGGTATCCTTGGCTGGTTCTCAGTGAGGACTTCAGTCCAGGTGTGTCCTGGCTGTCCATGGGCTGGTCACCTGGAGACTGACCAGCCACCTTTTTAGTGCCAAGGAGCAGGGCGGAATAAAGATAATATTGTTAAAATGGCAATTTAATGAAATGAAAGCATCATACTCAAATTACTAGGTTCAGATAACTCAGCTGTCTTGAGCCAGCCCAAGGCATGAGCATTTTGAAGCCCATCCATCAGAAAAGCAATATGATAGCCAAGTTGAGTTGATTCCTTCCATAGATAAGTAGCTGAGGACCTCATTTGTTCAAAGTTTGGAAGCAACAGGCTGGAGGGCGATAAACGCCCTACACTCAGGATGCCACTTCCCCTGGTGCCACACTGGGACCTGTCATGACAGAGAGGGAGATTTGGCTCTGCTGGGCTGGACACTTCGCCACGTGTGGGTCTGCCCTGGATTCTCAGCTCAGGAACTTTGGTAAGAGGACCCACAGGAGTTCAGGCAGGGGTCAGGACTTCACAAAATTGGGCAAAAATCCAGCATTTGATTCCGCTTTATCTTTCTGGTGTGGAGTTTCTCTTTGATATTCACCGTTAAGGGTGATAAGGCACTCCTCCTTCCCTCATTCTTTAGGGGCAAGCAGAGATGAAAGTCAGCTTCCTATCTAAACTGATAGGCCTGGTGAATCCACCCACTCAGCTGCACTTGGCGTCACCAAGATGCCTCTTGACCTGGGGGCTTTCTACGATTTCCATGCTGGGTCTCGCAAGGATATGTTTCCCCTTCAGCCTGAAGTGTCCTCCCCCTACCCCCACTATCAGCTGATTTCTACTTGTCCTTTAGTGCTGGGGGCCACCCTCAGCTTTTGGAGGCCTAGGTCTGGTGCCCCACCAGAACCTGGGGTCTCACAACACGCCTGCTGGGCTGCCTCCACCTCATGCTCACATAGGCTGATGCTGTCTGTTTGCCCGGGGGTCCCCTCCCTCGACTGTACCTGGGGTGGGGACAATAACTTATTTCTGTATACCTAGCGGTTAAAATGTAGTCATGCTGCATAAATAACCATTGCGTGATTGGGCTTGGGGGTAACCATTTGTATCTCTAAAGTGCATTCCAGTATGTCAGACCATGATGACAAGTTTGTGCTGAATGAAACTATACTAGATAGGCAGCCAGTGACTCATTCTTGTGCAAATGAGTACTGCAGGCAGATTTTCAATATATACAATCCACATGGATGTGGGCTCGTGGTCACAGACTCCAGCTGTGAGGATTTGAAAAACAAAAAACTGCTGTGTACCTTAAAATGAATGTGTGACAATTGGCAATCACTCAGAATGACAGTCCAGGTAGGTGAAGCGAACGTGTGCTTATTTTTGCCTGAAGGTTTGCTGAGGCTTCTGTGCCTTGGCAGCTGGAAGGACACACACTAGGCTGCAAGCCAGGGTGGGAGCAGCTACCCAAGGAGGCTTCCAGTATGGTCCATCCTTCCATGGGGGACTCACTGTCATGGCCACAGGGGTCTGACCTCACATTCCAGACAGGGATGTGGCCCAGGCCGGAGTGGATGGAGAAGGGAAAGGGGTGAGCAGGAGAGGAGGACATTACTGTGGCCAGATGAACAGGTCTGCCTAGGTCAAATCAAGGGCTGGTATACAGATCAGAGTCTGGGTAAAGGAAGACCACTTTTGACCTTAATCTGGGTTATCTCAGAAGTGAGATCCTATGTTAGTTAGATGTGTGGTAGAACTTTCCTTAGTGTTCTACATACAGAGTTGCCCAGGGTTGGCGATGGGAGTGGGCCTGGCTGTACCTGACTTGTCTTCTACAGAATCACGCACTTGTAGTCAGTTCTCTTTATGGGAGCTCAGTACAATGTTCAATTTAATAAACAAAGGGTTCCAATGCTTCCATTAAAAAAGAAAAGCCAACAGTAAGTAGTAATCCTTTACCAACTGCAGGAGTTTTGCTCCTAAATGTTGCCTCAGCAGCAATAGGCAAGGTCAAATTCTCATGGGAGCCCAGGAGCTGGGGTACCAATAGAGAAAATGGCATTAAGTATGTCAAAACCAGTAGCAGAAATGGGCAACGCTCTGGAGCTGTGCTGTCCAATAGAACCTTCTGGAATGCTGGGAATATTGTCTGCCTGTGCTGCCCAACACAGGAGCCGCTGGCCGTGTGCAGCAACGGAGTACTCAAAATTTTCCCAGTGAGATGGAAAGATGAACTTTTAAGTTGGTTTCATTTTAATGAATTACAGTTTGGATCGTCTCCAGGGGCCAGTGGCTGCTGAACTGGACAGTGTAGCTACGGAGGCCACTTTCCCCCAAACCAACCTGCTCCTGCCTCTCCTTTCTCTGTTGACCTCAGGAGCCACGTGGCAGGCACAGCTTCTCACACTAAGCTCCGTGCCTCACTGACTAGGTACCCATCTTTAAAATCCACCTGAAATTTCATTTTTAAGTTTCATTTTGCATTTGCATTTCCTCTGGTTTTGCTTTCACAGGGTCCTGCAAAATGTTGGCGCAGTAGGCTGTCTTTCCCGCAGGCATCTAGAAGGAACGTTTCTTCCAGACCAGGTTTCCTATCCACACAGAGAAAAGTGGAGAGGAGAGCATGCCTCACCTTACGGGGCTGTTCTGTGAGACAGGGAGGCATAAATGTGCTTCTGTTCTCTTGTTGGGGGAAAATGAACTGAGAAGCTTCTATGCAGAGCAACTTGTGGAAATTAAAATAAGTTTCTCAGCTTCTTCCTCCCAACACAAGTTCTCCTGGTGATGGGGGGTGAGTGCACACTCGCTAAGGCTGCCAGAGCTCCCTCTCCAGCTGGCTTGCCTGCCTCGTGCTCCCCTCACTAGGTGTCAACTACAGACGCTTTCTTAAACATTGTCCTCCAGGACAGGAGATCAGAAAGTTGTGTCCCATGTAAGACAAAGCAGCCTGCAGCTGCAAAAACCATGCAAGCAGAAAGATGAAGCCGGCCCATCAACCGAATCCTGGCATCCCTCTCTAGGGACAGTGCTAAGGAATGTCTGCCCCTGGGGACCAGGAGGCTCAGGTACTCCGGAGTCACAGCTGGCAGTGGCACCTGAGACCTTCCAGACTGTACGGCTTCATGCACGTTTTAGAAATGTGTTATCCTACTTTTACTAACAGAAAATTCAAACACAGAGCAAACGTCTTCCATCGACAGGTAAAATGATTTGGCAGGTGTCTCTCCCACCTTCTCTGCCTGTGCATCAGAAGGCGAGATGCCAGGAAGTGCTGAGCTCCTGGCCCAGGGCAGCTACCAGTGATTCATGGACCTCAGGCTAAGTGGGGAGCTGTTTCCGTTCATGGCAAACTATTCACTACTAGCAACGTGAAGGCATCATTCTTGCTAAAATGTCCTTTCTTGCTTTTCAGAAATGAAACTGAAGTTCCAGGTCACCTATCCACTACCATCTAGCCCTTAAATATGAAATGTAGGGAAGACTGCAATCAATAGCTGTAGGCAAAGGACACAAAACACTGTAGCCACAGCAGCCCCATGGGCCAACACTCACCTGTCCCCCGGGCGTGGCTGAAGTCGCCCTTCACCAAGTGGCAGGTCTTGCCGTCCCCGCTGCAGACCCCGCATCTGTCCTCTTTGGCTGCAGACCCGATGATGCCGTCACAGCCGATTTTCTAAAGAACCAGAGGGCCTCATTATTCTGTGGTTAAGACTCAGAGGAGTTTTAAAGAGGCTGCCCTGCAAGGCTAACTTTTCCATGAGGTGCAGCATACATGGGGCCTGGGGCCCTGATCCATTCAGAGGCCCAAGAAAATATTTTAATTCAGGAGAGAAAAAAGATGCACAGAATCCAACCTAGATTATATTTGTCTTTATACCCGCATAGCTGTAAAGTCTATTTTTTGGTATTTGTTCTGGAGGGAGATCCATGAAGGCACAAGTGCCCATGGGGGTCACGCTGAGGCCTGACGCCCTGACTGCCTGGGGGCAGAGACCCTGGGGAGAGAGTGAAGCCTGAACCCTCACACCAGCAGGTGCAGCCACAATTTCTCATGATGGGGGTTCCCCTCTAGGCTGTGGGGGTCACCTGCAACTTGGCTGAAACAACCAGTAGTCTCAGAACATACAACAGAAACCACAGACTTTTCTAACAAGGTAGGGATGCCCACAGCTCATTCAGGCAGGGCTTGGCACGGGCCCCTCTTTTCTCAGGTAGGAAGACCTAGTCTATGAAGAGCCCCATCTCTCATACCTTTTCAACAAGGCACGTCTGAGAGCAGAGGAGAGGCTGCCTCTACCCTAGGTGGATCTGAGAAGCACAGCCTGTTTTCTAAAAAGCAGAAAAAGGTTTTGGACTCTTTTTTTCTTTTTTAAAAAAGTGAGAATTTTGTATCCTGCAAAATAACCTAAATTTATACTGAACATTGGGTAATTATTTACTAGCCACATTGCCTAAATGTCCCTCCACATTTTCCCCCTATAAAGCTAATGCTTCCAGAACAAGAACTGGGTTTTTCCTACTGCCCTGCACCCCAGATTACATATTGGCACTTCAGACTCCAAAGGGATCTACAGCCAGAACTCAAGAAATCAAGATGCAAGATAATCCTGGTGGAGGTGAGTTAGCCCCTTCCCGTGATGCCTGGACGAGAAGCAGCACCGTGCTTCCCCCTCACAGGTACTCCCACCTGCAGGCAGGGCTTAGAGCTAGCACAGCGCCTCGGGTGCCAGGCTGGCTGCACGCGCATCCCTGGAGGCAAGTGCCTGGCCCCACAACTCCCCAAAGACATCAGCATCCTCTGTTCATCATGGCAGCAGTTCTCCAACTTAAGTGTGCATCGGCCTCATGGGGAGGGCTGTTAAAACACAAACTGCTCTGTCCCAGCCCTAGAGTTTCTGACCCAGCAGGTCTGGGTGCACCTGAGAATGTGCATTTCTAATCGGCTCCCAGGAGATGCTGAGGCTGCTTGCCGGGGCCATGCGATGAGAACCGCTGCATCATGGCATGCTACTCAAAGGAATAGGTGAATGCTCTTCATATTTAGTAATCCTCAGGTCTCATCCTCGGAGCCTTTTATTTTTTTGAAAAAGATCTAATGGGAAATTACTATTGTTCTGTCCAAAAATGATAGCATAACTGGACAGATTCCAGAGAAGACTTTTAGATGTTCTAAAAGCTGAGCAAGTTGAGTCTAAAAATGACCATGATGAAATCTGAAAAAGGGCAGAGCTTGAATAAAAGATCAAACTTGTTCAAAGTTAGTATAAAAAGAGGAAAAGGGTAAAATTGAAGGCTTTAGTGGCCAGAGGACAGCAAGGAGCAAATGGATAACAGTGGGCTTGATGGTGGCTGGGGAGATGTAGGTAACACATCAAGACACATATGGTAACTGGCAACCAACTGCAATGCTTTGCCGGGGCTGACCATCCAGTAGTGACCTGGAGGGAAGCCAGCTGTGATGAGGCACCGTGAGCCTGGAGCGCAGTGCAGGGCTGCCTAGATTCTCGGTGTGGACTGCTAGCCAGCTGCTATCAAGTTGCTCAGTATAAAGATTACAGGGGCTGGCCCGGTGCGGTGGCTCACGCCTGTAATCCCAGCACTTTGGGAGGCTGAGGTGGGTGGATCATGAGGTCAGGAGTTCAAGACCAGCCTGGTCAACATGGTGAAACCCCGTCTCTACTAAAAATACAAAAATTAGCTAGGCATGGTGGCACGCACCTATGGTGACACGCACCTGTAGTCCCAGCTACTCAGGAGGCTGAGGCAGGAGAGTAGCTTGAACCTGGGAGGCGGAGGTTGCAGTGAGCTGAGATTGCGCCACTGCACTCCAGCCTGGGCAACAGAGCAAGAGTCCGTCTCAAAAAAAAAAAAAATTATAAGGGCTAAGAATAAAGAGTAGCCAAGATCAGAAAATGTCCCCCAGCAGTGTTTAGCAAACGCCGAGACCAAATCTGTGAGACCACGTGTCTGTTGCTTTGTTTCACTTCAGAGCTCCAGTGCATGGTCTCCAGACTTGCTTCTGCTGGGGCCACAGGGCCAATGCCCACAGAGCTGGTCTCTCCCACTGGCCTCTTTCCTGGCACCTGTTCCAGCTCCCACCTGGGCTTTCTCATCTCAGGTGCCCTCTGCTGTAGACATTCCTTACACTGGCTTCCTATAATTTTCAAACCACACCCTTGCTTGGTAGGAGTGAGTCTCTGGCTTCAGGCCTGGTTCCTTGTCCTGCACCTCAGTTAAGGTTTCCTGATTCAACAGCTTCTAGATGCCCCATTTGGTCCAGTTTCCTCCAGCCCCAAAGAAGGGGGCTTTTCAGGGCAGGTGCAAACAGGAATGCATACAGCGTTGCCCTTTCAGTTAATTCTGGAGACCATCCAGGGGCTGGGACAGGTCCATGGGTTCTGCCCACTCTACTTGGTGTTATTTTAGAGGCTGTCTGCATCTGGAGACAGGGAATGCAGGGCTGTCCATGTCTGAACAGCAGTGACTCTAAATGCTGACGGGTGACAGCCACAAAATCTGCGAACGGGGGCATTTTCTTCCATTGTTTCAGTCAGCGCAAGCAACTTATAATCTTGGCAGAAACTGGGATGGTTTTCAAATGGAAGCTGCCATAGGACACAACTGAAGTCATTAATTCTGAATATTAGGGGAGCTTTGATGATTGTATTTATGAGGCTTGGTGTTCCAAGAGAACAAGATGACCAAGCCTGAGGAAACTCCAGGCAATAAACTCTCTCAAGTCTTCCCATGTTATCCTGGTGATCCTTAGTTACTTTCCTAGGAATCTTCATCACCCATTTCTCAGCTTTCAAAGCAGGGCTTCAAGTTCCTGGCCAGCATTTGCTGGTCGCGCCCTGTGCCTCTGGCTAAGTCAGGGTGTATGTGACACCAAAGGACCAAGGAACAATGTCCCACGGCATAATTAAAGGCATGGGATGGTATGAGATGGTATGAGATGGGATGGAACGGGGGGAAAAGCACAAGTTCTTCATTGGTCAAGACAGCTCCTGAGAAACATGCAGAAAGTGCTTGGAAAAGCTTTAGTGCTCAGATCCGTGTGCTGAGGAGGGCACAGGATGGGCCGTGGACAGTGGCAAATGTCCATCTTTAGCTGTCTGAGTCCTGGATTCCACCCTGGAACTTTGCCCCTGTTGAAGATAACCAGGGACAACAGCCTCCTGGTCATCACACCTAGTGGACGTGTCTCCAGCCTCATCTTTCACCTCCTGCTCTACAGCGTCCGCTGTGTGTAACGCCCACCCTGTCTCTGTTGTGCATGTATTGATTCACCCGTGGTGCCTGTTATGTGCCTAACCTGGAAATAAAGACATGTAAGATGGAGGGAGACGCCAGTGCGGAAACAAGCAGACACCCCAGAGTGTGTGCTAAAGATGCCCTGGAAGCCAAGGATGGCTCCTGTCTGATTCTCCTCCCAGCCCCTGGATGACTCCTCCCTCCTCTTGCTTCTTCGACTCCGTGAAAGTGGGTAGCTCCCCCGGGGCTCCCTGCTTTTTCCGATTTTTCATTTTCTTGGTAATTTCGCCTTCTCCTTATTTCAGCCATCATCCTCATGCAAAGAGCTCTTAAGCCCACTTCTCCCCTCACTCCACCCTGGCTCTCACTACTAAGAGTCTGCTGAGCAATCTCTCCACTTTCAATGCGACAGCTTCTCCTCCAAAGCTGCCTGACCTCTTAATTCTAGTTGGACACCCCCTGCCACTGTCTTGGAACTGACAGACAGGCATCCTAGCCTGAAACCTCCAAGCCATTTCTGACTCTTCTATTTTGGGATGTACCCAGTTAGTTGGTGAGCTTGGGTTTTTTGTGCCCTGAAAACCTCTGTTGCCTACTTCTCCTCCATGTTCAGCTCCACTCCCTAGTTTACACCCTCCTTAATCAGGACATGAACTATGGGAGCATTTTTCTCCTGCCTGCTGCCAGACTAATCTCCACACAAAAAGAGAGATAAGATCTGTGGCCAAAGATCCCCACTGCCTATCAGAAACGTCCGCACATATGAATTTAAGACCCTCCATGATCTCATTCCAGCTGCTCACCAACTCAGCCTGCCTTCCTCCCCCACTCCAGATGCACAGTGAATCCAACCCCCTCCAGCCCACTCTTGTAAGCCCTCCCCCGGAATGACCCCTCAGCCAGGTGGGCAACCAGAATAGCCTCTTAACTTGTTTCCTGGGATCTACTTGAGTCAGTTATCCATAGCTAAGATCGCTTCACTCCTCTGCATCAATTCTGCCTGGGCCCTGGCTCCTTTGTGCCAGCCTCCGCCCTCGTCTGTTGCTGGAATGCACCCATCTCCCTCTTGCTTCCCTCTGCCTGGAGCTCTCTGCCCCCAACTCTCTGCCAGGCTGGCTCTTCCTCAAAGGCTGTCTCCTCTAAGAGAAATGCCATGCCACCTGCTCACTGTCCTCCTCAGCCACAGTCCCCCGCTGGGTCTCTCTATGGCACCATTTTCTTCTTCACACATACCAATCTCTGGAATGATCACGTTTGTGAGCTGACATGGCCTGTCTGTATGTTGGACAGGGACAGGGATCCTCTTGGTCCTGCTCCCTAATGAAAGCCCAGCACACAATACAGTGTGCAGCACTCGGAATGTGATCAACAAATACCTGATGCAGGAATAAACGAAATTCCACCCTATGGGTTTTCTGCTATGTCTAAGTGGAACCTCTTCTTGGTTGTTAAATCACGCCTTCGCCTCTGGTCGTTGGGTTTCCAAGTGAGTATGTGTCATCTCCCTAACGGACCATAAGCACATAGAGGACTGTGTCTGAGAATTCTTTGTATTCTTGGCCTTCCCCCATCCTCTGACACACACAGTGGCTGGTGTGGTATTAAGCACATGTGTGTTCAGTAAGAGCATACAAATGATGACCTCTTATCAAGCTGGGGAGTCTAGTTTTCTCATATTTGAATTGGGACTTCCTCGTACAAGTTTTGATGGTACTTGTTTTTTCTGGCTGGAATAAGCAGTACTTGCTTTCTTCAACTTATTAGCTATCTTCCAACTACTGCCTCATCCCATCTCTTCGGTTGGAGGGAGGCCACCGACTTCTTGAATGACTTTTAAGCGAGTGCAGATTTTAGGCCAGTTGCGCAGCCGTGACTCCAGGATTTACTGGGTTCCTGGGTGAGTGCCACCAGGGCCTGTAGTGCCCATCTTCCTCTTTCTTGACTTCATTCTTGTTTTGCTAAACTACATGTAACTTCTGCAGAACGCATGCATGGAAAATAGAATTTCTGAGTTCTTCTGTGTCTCAAAATTAGTTTCCCTGCATGCTTGCTTGATAGTTTGGCTGCACGGAGAACTCCATAATTATCTCAATTTTCTGCCAGGGTCAGTTTTTTCTGTTTGTTTTTCTTGGTCTTTCTCCTTCATGCTGCTGGTTTTCTTCAAATAGCAGATGATGTCTGGTTGCCCACTCGTATTTGAGAACAAGCAACAGGAAGCCCGACCGAAGGAGATCTACATTTGAGGGCCGACCGAAGGGGATCTACATTTGAGGGCCGACCGAAGGGGATCTACATTTGAGGGCCAACCGAAGGGGATCTACATTTGAGGGCCGACCGAAGGGGATCTACATTTGAGGGCCGACCGAAGGGGATCTACATTTGAGGGCCGACCAAAGGGGATCTACATTTGAGGGCCAACTGAAGGGGATCTACATTTGAGGGCCGACCGAAGGGGATCTACATTTGAGGGCCGACCGAAGGGGATCTACATTTGAAGGCCGACCGAAGGGGCTCTACATTTGAAGGCCTACTGAAGGAGATCTACATTTGAAGGCCGACTGAAAGGGATCCACATTTGAAGCTGGGCACTGCTGCATGGTAGGTTTCCTTTCGTAACTAGTGCGAGGGAAATTGACCTCTAACCCCAACGCAGAAGGCTGGGCACCGTCCTCAGCACAGAGACCTCCCTGCCTGCTCTGGGTTTCCTCAAACAGTTCATTCCATGACCCTGGAAAGCAGCTCCCTAACATTTTACTTGACAGCCCGTCAAGCTCTGAGTGTGGGATCAGACACCATGAGCATGCCGATGCACCCTCGGACTTGTTTTCAGCCCACTCTTCACTTCCGACCCTCCATTCTCAAGCCCACAGCTCTCGGTTTGGGCTGTCTTTTCAGTGGCGACTCTCCGCCTCTTCCAGCTCTGGCCTCTGCTGCTTTGTTCCTGCATGACACTTCCACCCACTTCTGTCATCCAGAAAGAGGTGGGATCTTTCACCTGGAAGCTCCTGCTTCCCTTCACTGTTTGTGCTGGTTTAGTGGAGTCCCGCATGGAAGAGGCAGGAACATGTGGCTTGGTCTGCTGGCTTCAACCAGAAGTTGTCATGGGAGGTTAATCAGAAAAAAGGGGTGCAGGGAATGACCTTCACGTTTCAGGCACTGCTATCCATAAAGGTTTGGCACCCACAGTAACACACGTTAGAGATGCCAGCTGCAGGGTCACGGTGCAGGGAAGGGCAGCATGTGGGGAGCATCGTGAAGATGCAAACCCAGGCTTAAGTGCCAGGCACGCTTTCCTGCAGGCTTGTTACCTCTGCTTTACCTGGGGGTCCTCTGAGACCAGGGTCTCTTTGAATTCTCCTAAACTTCCCCAGTAATTCTACCTGCCTCACAGATGATCTTTGGACAGGAAATAGGAGGCCAATAAATTCTTGGCAATGAAAGTCGTCCATTGAAATGGGCTCCAGATTCCAGAACCACTGAAATCCTAAGAACACATAATCCATCCATCCAGCCACTCTTTTTTTTTCTTTTCCTTTTTTGAGATGGAGTCTCTCTCTGTCGCCCAGGCTAGAGTGCACTGGTGCGATCTTGGCTCACTGCAACCTCCACTGCCCGGGTTCAAGCAATTCTCCTGCCTCAGCCTCCTTAGCTGGAATTATGGGCATGCACTACCATGCCCGGCTAATTTTTGTATTTTTGGTAGAGACGGGGTTTCACCATATCGGCCAGGCTGGTCTCGAACTCCTGACCTTAGATAATCCACCTACCTTGGCCTCTCAAAGTGTTGGGATTATAGGCATGAGCCACTGCACCTGACCCTTCTTTCAATATGCAATCAAAGGCTTTCCTCTGGGCCAGTGTATAGGGAAGCACAGGTTAATGAGACGTACTTCCTTCACTGAAGAAGGTCACAGGCCCTGAAGGTGTTTTGGCTTGGTATTCATCAAGCCCAGGATATGTATACAAATTATGGTACCAAGGAAGTAGGAACTGAATTGGAGAATGTTGGCTACAGGTGTGCACAAACCAGTAAGGCAAGCATAGCTGGGTCTCAGGTACATCTGGGTCTGTCCATCATCCAATGGGCAAAGCCGCGCGTCAGCTGGACTCGCTCATTGCATGTCAGCAGCTCCAGATGCAGTTGTGTATCAGAGGCTTATTAACCCGGTGTCTCTCCTTCTGGAGGCCAACAGTAGGAATCATTAATGATGGGACTCTTGATTTATAGGAGCTTGCTGAAAAATACACAATGTTTCTGTTACTTTCCCCAATTCCCTCCCAATTTTATGAGTGCTGTTAAGTTTAATTTCAGCATGTTAAATAATTTGTGACTCACTGAAATGAAACTTAATTCAGTCCTCATAAAAACAGAATAAAATGGCATTTCCATGTTTCATGTTATGGTTTGAATCAGCCTGCTATTTGGAGTGCAGTGGAATCTACTCAAAATGCCATTTTGAAGCCTCTCATCCCCTACCAACTAGTTACTATGTTCCTCGACATTTCCCAGAATGCCGTCTGCTACCCCAAAATAGCACAATTTATAGCTGAAGGGGAAAGAGAGGAAAACGCTAGTAGGCAAACCACGGCAATATTTCTGTGAGTGCTGTCTCATATAAAATGTGGGTGATTTGTATGTTTAATCGGTTGTAATTAGACAATTATTATCAATGAATAGATACAGACTTTCCACTCATTAGGCCCCTGAGGTTTTAACATTACAATTACTATTATTTTCCTTAACCATTTCTTTCTTGCTATACACATTCACAAATGCCACAGGAATCCAGAATGTTTCATCTTGACAATTACTGCAACAAGACATAAGTACTATATTTGAATTGAATTTGTGATCTTATTTAAGAATGCCTGATTTTTATAAAAGTTCATTAACTACGACTAACAATTTGGAGTTTTGTGAGCATCGATTTAAGAGTGGGCTGAGGTTAACCTTTACAGTATCTGTCTGAAGAAAGTACTGTTAGACAAATAGCAGATGGCTTTTTAACTTCCTTCAGAAAGCAAGTTGTTTCTCACAGTTTTAACCTGGAGAAGTACATGCAGGTAGGTGCTGTTGCCACCCACCAGGATGGTGGCTCTTTTGTAAAGACTGGTGGTCTGCCTGGAGGCAGCGGGTTACCAGGGTGCAGCCACCCGGGAGATGGTGCTTTCGAGAATTGGTAGGCAGGGTCTCTGCAGTGGCAGGGTGAGGCTCCCAAGGAGCAAAAGACCACCATCGAGCATCATGAAAGGTGCCTCCATCTGCACCTGCGCACCCTGGTGACTCTACTTGGTTAATGTGAGGTGCAGTGCAGGCACCAACCAATCCCTGCAATGATGATGACAATGGTGGAGGCACTGGAAATAGACAGGCTGGTCCTGGGGATGGAGTGACATCTGGGGATGGAGTGGCATCTGGGAACAGGAAGGCGTGCATCCCAATGTCACTCCCATCACATCTGCAATGGACTGGATGTTTGTGTCTTCTAGAGTTCATAAATTGAACCGTTCATACCAACGTGATAGTATTTGGGAGTGAAGCCTCTGGGAGGTGATTAGGTCAAGAGGGGGTAGAGCTCATGAATGTGCTGGTGCCTTTGTAAGAAGAGGCTAGAGAGCTAGCTAGCTCTCTTATTTTTATTTTTTTTGAGATGGAGTCTTACTCTGTCGCCCAGGCTGGAGTGCAATGGTGCAATCTCGGCTCACTGCATCCTCCACTTCCCAGGTTCAAGCGATTCTCCTGCTTTAGCCTCCTGAGTAGCTGGGATTACAGGCACCCATCACCACATCCAGCTAATTTTTTTGTATTTTTAGTACAGATGGAGTTTCACCATGTTAGCTGGGCTGGTCCTGGAACTCCTGACCTCCAGTGATCTGCCCGCCTTGGCCTCCCAAAGATCTGGGATTATAGGCGTGTGCCACCACACCTGGCCTCAAGAAAATGATTTTTTTTTTTCAAGACATGGTCTCACTCTGTCACGTAGGCTGGAGTGCAGTGGCAAAATCTCGATTCACTGCAAACTCTGCCTCTCAGGCTCAAGTGATCCTCCCACCTCAGCCTCTGGAGTAGCTGGAACTACAGGCCTCCACCACCATGCCTGGATACTAGCTCTCTTTATGCCATGGGAGGACACAGAGTGGCAGCAGTCTACAGCATGAAAGTGGGCCTTCACCAGAACCCATCTATGCCAGCCCCTGGATGTTGGATTTCCAGCCTCCAGAACGTTGAGAAATAAGTCTGTTGCTTATAAGCTACCCAGTCTAGGGTATTCGTTAGAGCAGCCTGAGTTGACTAAGACGACACCCAAGTGCAGAACAGGGTTGGGCTCAATGCTATCCTCATGACCACAGACTTAGGCCATTCAAATGTCTGGAGCAGCATTTTCTCTTTGATTCTACGACTAAAGGTTTCATTGTCATAGTATGGAACATCCTCTAGTTGAAAAGGCTGTGATTAAAACCAAGATCATGGATGGAGCCCATTGGCACAGATCGCACAGAGCATAAATTATGTCCAGCCAGTAACACAGACCCCACTGGCTAGACAATTTTAGGATTCTTAGAAATGCCTCCCCATTGGCAAGAACGCTGCAGAAGATGCTGGCAGAGGCTGGGGATGGCTCGGCTGGTGCTGCTCTAAAGGGTGTAAGAACTCTAACTTGGGAGGAACGTTAAGTCGTTGGGCAGGATGGTCTGTGGAAGTGTGTAATTTGGGTCGGACACCAGCCCTGCACTTGGCTGGTTAGAAGTTTACCAAGAACCATCGGCGATGCCTCATTTCAGTAACAATGATAAGGGCTTTGTTCATACTGCCCGACGGGCAGGGCCTTGGACATTCTTTGTTACAAGAAAGCAGCCAGGAGGGGCCAGCTCAACCACTCATCACTGCCTCCCTCCCCGTGAGGTTGCTGTGCCAAGACTCTTGGGCACCAGGCGCTTATCACCCACATTTATCTGTATTTGATAACAAAGCCAGGCAGTGCCAAAGGAGTCTGGGTCTTGTCAAGCTTTTCCCTGAAAAATCCCAGTTTCAGACTGATTTGGCCTTAGCAGGAAAAAGCATCTGTTTGGGTGGAAACGGTTTGCTGCAGCAATCACCCTGGAAGCTGTCTTTGTGTCTGTCTTTATGCCTTGCCTCCTCTTGTTCTGTTTGTCACGCACACTGAAATGTTGATGCCTATGCACTCTGCTAGGCACTGAGCAAGCAAAGAGCATAAGCAGATCTGCTGTCCGCATGGGCAAGTGGACCTGACGCCTGGAAGCCAGCATCTGGCTCACCACAGTTCTGTGAGGGCAACGCATGGTGATCCTGACACTGATCTGCCTGCTCCAGACATCAGGAGCTGCCATTGTCACTAGCTCTTGGTGGGCTCCCCTGTGGAGGACACAGTTGAGGGAACGTGGTCATAGGATGACAGGAACGCGTATGTGTGGCTGAGGGCAGAGCGCTCCCTGGGTGCTGTGGTCTGAATGTTTGTGTCTCCTCAAATCCACATGTTGAATCACCAGCCCTCAAGGTGATGGTGTTAGGAGGTGGATGTTTTGCGAGGTGACTGGGTCATGAGGGCAGAACTCTCATGAACAGGATCAGGGCCCCCATAAAAGAGACTCACAAGAGAGCTCACCAGCCCCTTCCACTATGCGAGGACACAGCAAGAAACACTGTCTATGATAAGCGACCCCTCATCAGATCCCAAATCTGCCTGTGCCTCAAGGCCTCAATCTTGGACTTCCCAGCTTCCAGAACTGTGAGTAATAAAGGTCAGTTGTTCATAAGCTGCCTGGTCTATGGTGTATCGTTACAGGTGCCCAAGCTGACTAAGATGCTGGGGCTCTCTCACAACATGCCCAGCTTGACCCGAGTCACCAGGGAGTATGGTACCTGTGGCATAAGCGAGGCACAGAAAATACAAAGCTTCGACACCCACTCCCCATCCCAGCTGCTGCGCCACCTCAGGAGGTGCTCGTTCTGAGGGACAAAATGGGAGCATGGAGTCACCTCTGCTACCCCAGGCTAGGAGCCCCACCTGGGGAGGGTAAGGGCTACAGGTGGCCCTCAGCTTGGGCAGGGTTAATGCAGGTGGAGGGTAAGCTTCCTTCCTTCTTCTCGCATTCCTTTTTTTTTTCCCCCCGAGACGGAGTCTTGCTTTGTTGCCCAGGCTGGAAGGCAGTGGCGTGATCTCAGCTCACCGCAACCTCCGTCTCCCAGGTTCAAGCAATTCTCCTGCCTCAGCCTCCCGAGTAGCTGGGATTACAAGCGCATGCCACCATGCCCGGCTAATTTATGTTTGTATTTTTAGTAGAGACTGAGTTTCACCCTGTTGGCCAGGCTGGTCTTGAACTCCTGGTCTTATGATCTTCCTGCCTCGGCCTCCCAAAGTGCTGGGATTATAGGCATGAGCCACCGCACCCGGCCTCTCTTTCTTCACTTAAATGGTTTTTATCACTGTTCTAACCAGTCATGGCCATCCAGCCCTCAATGCCTTTGGGACTATATACCAGTAGATGGATGCTCCCTGACAGCTGGGCGCACCTATCTGCCTGGCGTGACCTGCACAGGCATTGGCTCAGTTCTGCCGTCTCTTCTGCACTAAATGGGGCCTGGCTTGTGCAGACATCCTTTAGGCGCATCTTAGTACCCTGCCTACCTTCGTCTTGGTCATGATGTCTAAAGCAATTTTCAAAGTCTTAGAATACGTTGTGCCTGTTCTTTCCACCTCCACTCCTTGTTGGCCTAGCACTCAGTCATTACTGAGCTAGGGTTGGTGCACCAGGCAACACTGGCGGCAGGAGGCGGCATCACTGGGTGCCTTCCTAAGAAAATCCACTCCCCTAGGCCTCCTGAGACCTCTGCTCTACCCCACTCCCTGTCTGGGGAGAGTGAGTCTCCTCTCCAAAGCCCCACCAAGGACCGAAGGAGAAGTACGTCACCTGGCACTTGCCGTGCACGCAGAGATCAGTCTCGTAGGGCCCGCAGGGTGTACCGTCCAGGACCCTGTCGGCCACCAGCAGTGGGGACTCCTTCCCGAGGGGCGAGCAGTAGAGTTCACATGGCTTATCTGAGGAGGGAAAGGTTGGAGGACGTTGACACGGGAAGGTGTGCGTGGGCCATGCAGGGCACAGGTACATGTGGGCAGAGGGAAACCCTGAGGAAGAGAGGTCCGCACAGGTCAGTAAAGGTGCATGAGCTCAGGTACGCGCTCCAGGAAGCGGAAAAAGACCCACAGCCACAGGGGAAGACAGTGCAGGACTGAGCTCTGTGGGGATGCCTTCTCTCATCTCTCTATCCTTTGCAATGATACAGGAAGTTTCCTTTTCCTTAAGGCATCAACTATACCCGGTGAACAAAGGAAGAGTTGTGTGCTAATCTCTACGTTGAATACACATCAAGGGGGAGCTGGAGCCACTCTTATAGCGAGGGTGTGAAGGGAGGGGGAGGGGAAGGGGAACGAGAATGCCTCTGAGTGAGGGCAGCGGCCCCAAGGGTCACCATGACAGTAGCTTTGGTAAGAGCTTCAGTGCTCCCCTAGCTGCTGGGTGACAGTCGAGCTGTGCTTTGGGGTACGGAGATCCCAGAAGAAACTGAGTGGGAGTAAGGTACAAAGGGGACATGTGCGCCGCTAGGACAACTTATAAGAGCCGCATGTGCACCCAGGCAGGATGGAAACCTGGGTTTCCCCTACTCCTAAAAACACATGACCTCCCAGAACGCGCCCAGCTCCCCAGCCTTTGCCCGGTGTGCGCTCTCTGCCTGGAAATCCCTCGCAGCACTTTGCCTTCTACTGCCCTGGAAGCTTCCACCCTGCAGCTCTTCCCTCACGCCAGCTCTGAGGTGGGGCAGGAGCAGCATCTCCACATGCACTGTGCACACACCTCCATTAAAGCAACAGCATCTGCCTGTTGTCCTAGAATTGTTTGGGCACCTCCCATATCTGAAGGGATTTATTATAAGGCAGGTCCCATCGCTAAAAGAGTGTGAAAGGGATGACTTTTATTCATCTTCAGATTGAAGTAATGCTGGGTCTGTGAACTCTTAGAGGGCAGGGGACTTAAGCTTTCATTTTTTTGTCCCCACAGTGGGCCCAGGACCTGGCTCACAGAAAGACTCAGTATATATATATATATTTATATACTGATATATATATATCAGTATATATATATTTTTATATATTTATATAAATATATATATATATAAATACATATATACATATATATATATTTTTTTGAGACAGAGTCTCACTCTGTTGCCCAGGCTAGAGTGCAGTGGCGCGATCTCAGCTCAATGCAAACTCCGCCTCCCAGGTTCATGCCATTCTCCTGCCTCAGCCTCCCGAGTAGCTGGGACTACAGGCACCCGCCACCATGCCTGGCTAATTTTTTGTATTTTCAGTAGAGACACCGTTTCACCGTGTTAGCCAGGGTGGTCTCGATCTCCTGACCTCGTGACTTGCCTGCCTCGGCCTCCCAAAGTGCTGGGATTATAGAAGTGAGCCACCGCGCCCCGCAAGACTCAGTATATATTTTTGAACAAACAGGTTGAATAGATTTTGTTCTTCTGTAAGTAATTGAGCAAGAGGAATGCATTTTTCTCCTCTCTCTCTCTGTCACCTCACCCTAATGCCATCTATGTGGTTACTTTGCACAGGGCGAGAGTCAAAGACCTTCATCCTCCTTGCTGCTCTTTGTCTTCTCCACCAGGCCTCCTCAGTGGGTCCTTCTGGTGGCCCCGGGCCAGCAAGAGCAGGGACAGAGAGAGGCTTCTGAGCCGACCTGGCCTCGGACGACCTTGGCATCCCACCTGCAGAGTTCCTGTCAGAGCAGACGTGCTGTCTCGTGACTGGAGGACTAAACCACCCCTGTGTTCAGTCACCTTCCAGGCCTCCTGTCCCACGAAGTCTGCTTCTCACCAGGCTCCACAGGAAATCTTGTCTTACAGCGCTGGAAAGAAGCTCCAGGAGTGTGCTGGAAATGCTTCCCTCAGTTCTTCCGGTTAGCTGTGGGGGTAAACATCTGCCCACGAGAAGACTGGAGATCTGAAGCCTCCCAGGTAAGGGGAGTAATGATGCCTCACCATGCATCCATTCACCAAGCAGGGACTGACCCCTCCCTCACACAAGGCACTCTGGGGGGCACTTCCGGGGAAAGACAGACACGTGATGTTTGCTTCTGAAGGCCCCAGTGGGCTCATGGACAAGTGTACAGCAAACCCAGGGTGAGGCCACATGTTTCAGGTCTGATGGGAGCTGTCGGAGGGCTGGGTGCAGCCTGGAAGGAATGACTCATTTCCCGTGCTGGCAGGCTAGGGGCAGCTGTCCTTCCACTTGCAGGGAAGGACCTCAGGAGGTGGCTGGTGGAAGGAGAACTCTGGAAGATGGAGACATATACTGAGATTAGCTCGAGGGAGCTTGCTTGACAGGGTCACTGAGGTACCCTCTGGAGCCCTGAGGTTCCCCAAGCATCTTGTGGAGCTGGTGGGAGAAATACAGCAACACAGCCCCCAGCGTGGAGTCTACTCCACACACTGGGCTGCCTCTACTGTTTCGTTGAAAGCAAGGGTCCCTTGGCTGAAGTGGTTTGAAACTGGATTTTAATTACCTTTAGACTGAAATGTTGACTCAGTACTGGGAGTAATTGAGCTTTGAGGTGATTTGCTCAACAGCTGCAGTAGTAAGGATGATGAAATCATAAACGATATTTACTACTACTGTGTTCCAGGCAGCATGCTAAGTAGTTATCTATTCGTTTCAGGTGGGTGCTGTCACTGTTCCATTATACAGACATGCATACAGGGCTCACAGGAAGTGCTCGACTGTCTTCAGTTGGCAGGGTCACGCCCCGCCTCTTGGCTCCAGCCTGCTTCTTTTTCCATCATCGCAATTTCCTCTCTAAACTGAGAACTCCTAGGGCCAAAATTACCAAGAGCAAAGTGGCATTGCTAAAAACAAACCACCAGTTTCATGCATGTTTCTGGCTTCCGAGTGTATCCTCTGATTCGAGTAGAAGTGGAAGTGGGACTTGGGTAGAAAAGCAGAGGCTGTTTTGAGGCAAGTTAGAAAGGCCAGACTTCAAAGGGATGAAGGCTGTTTATCTGGACTCTTTAGGGTGAGCAGAGAAATGCGGACTCTGCAAAGCAGGAAGGCCAACCTCAGCTGGAGGGATGCTGGCCACGAGCCTTGCACGAAGGAACGCTCAGCTCCACCTGCATGCAGCTCTCACCTGCAGACACTGCCCTCCACAGCTTGGACAGCTGGGGACACTCAGGCTCCAGAACAGAGTCTAGAGGTGGGGCTTCCCTTCCCTGCTCAGCCAGAACTCTCCATTTGTCCGTCTCCCCTTTGAGGCCTCTGCTTGGAATTCAGGGCACCCACATCTCTAGCAAACTATATGGCATGATCTCCCAAAGGATAAGGTTTTTAAAATGTGAGGAGGAGGCTCAGAATCCCTCAAAATTCTCTATTTCCCTCCAGGTTGCCTTAGGTGGGAGATTAATCTCCAGGAACAAGACCCCAGTAAATAACATGAGGTGGTGGGATTCAGCTTTGCACCCAGCATCAACACTCTTACATCCCCAACAGCACAGAAGATCACATTTTCTTAAAAGTTATACAACCACACACTTGAAGGAAGGAAGCTTGGAACGTGCCACCTGCATGGCTGGTGTGTGCTGAGATGGAATTCTGACTGAAGCTGCAAAGCCTGGGGCCGGTCTGGCTTCTTGCTGGCCTGCCTGGCATCAGGACTTCTGCTTGGCTGGAGGTGGTCACAGGCAGGGCAGGGAAGATGGGCTCAGAAGCTTGGGAACCACGTGGTCACATGTGCCCGCTGGAGGTTTGGAACATTCCTCTGCAGTGAAGAAGACACTCGTGGCTCTCAGCAGTCTCTCTGCTCTCTCTCTAGGCCAGCAGTTAGAAGGTCTTAGTATGGTGGGGACATTGCTTTGAGTTCATCACAGCACTCATCCAAGTTCTCCCTGGTCCTCTGTGGGGGACACATGCTGACGAGGCTACTCAGACTCCTGTTCCCAAAGCTGCCCAACCCGGCCCCCTCATCAGTCCCCGGCGGACAGGCCTCTGCGGATTTTACCAGCAGTGAGCACCTGCCCATAGCTGGCCCATTCCTCGTCTCTTTCCTGGGAACTCGGTACTGAAATTCAGATGCAGAGAGGTCATGTCTGCTCGTGGTTGACGGATCCCAAAGAAGGCTACACTCCCTTATATGTAATTCAGAAATTCAAAAAGCTCTGAAAACTCTAAGTGTTCTCTTCCATTTGTGGCAAACACATTTGGCAGCAAAACCAGCCTGGACTGATGTGAGCTCTAGGTAGTGTCAGTATCCCCCTTAATGAGGTCACCTGGTGGACAGACCCACGTGACTGACTATGGGGTGCTCTCCTGGAGCCCACTAGCAATACAAATATTTGGTTGATGCACTGTCATTACCTTTTGAACACATAAAATGCTCTGAAGCTTGAACTGTATGTGGCCCAAAAGGATCTGGGTAAAGGATGTGGATTTACATAAGAGGTGCCGTGGGCTACCCTACCAGCTTCCACACGGACAAGTTCTGAGAAAGCCAGTCTGCAGTGGGTGCACGGGGTTGTGACTACCAAATGCAAGCTTCGGAGACCACAGAGCTAAGGTCCTGACATCTTCAGCTTTGCAACAGCTTCCCTCCTTTTCATTAAGCGGCCCCAGCTGGCTTGGCGGAGCTGTCGTCAGAGAGTCCTAACCATCACGCCCCTCATCCCCACGGAGGCTCAGACCTGGGGGGTTCTGCCGTGCCAGGCAGGAGGCGCTGGGAACGCACAGCCACGTCCAGACGCAGCCTTTGCCAAGCTCTCCGACACTTCAGTGGGCCCATGGCCTGCTGGCCTGGGCAAGGAGGACTGAACTCTTGAAGGTTTCCACTTCAATGAGATTCCATGAGAAAAGCAGAAATGGGGTGGGTTTGGCAGTGGGCCATCTCAATGGGTTTCTGTCTAAAGGCTTTTCCATTTAGAAATATTTTCTAAGGAGGATCTTTGTCTTCTTTTGGAGGTGGGATGGATTTGTGGTCCTGAATCCTCCCTTGGAAAATCTACCTCTGCAAGAATTCTTTCTTCTTTTTTTTTTTTTTTTTAAAAAAAGGAAGAGGAAAAAAAAGAACAAAAATACAGCTTCCCTTCTTTTGAACTGTGCGTCACTCGCCAAAGAATTCCGCAGCGATAGCACTGCTATGAATAGGGCAGTCATAATGGGCTTCAGAAGAGCCCGGAGCCCAACCACAGGAAACGTTCCTATCACGGCTCAGCTAGAACTGTGCCTCTTATAAATGGAGTTTTCAGAGGAACACTTATAATCCGTATTCCCCTCCTGCCTTCTAAATTGGCCATCTATTATTTTGTTTTTACCCTTGATGAAGTGCTCCTTTTAAAAATGCTGGCTTCTGTTGGTATTTGAGAGAAATGAAACTGCAGATGCAAGAAGTCAGGGCGATTCTACCCCAGAGCAGGACGTGTCGAGCTACCTGTGCAAAGCCCCGAGCGTGGGGTCTCTCCTTCAAACGCGAGATACTTACTGCCTGGTAGCTGTCCTCATCAAACAGGGCTGCTCTTTTCAGATCAAAGGCGGTGGCACTCTAGTGACAATAACTTAGGACTTAGGCAGAGAGAAACAGAAAGGAAGTGGGTGAAAGGTCACATTCCCAATCCAAGTGGCCCCCCAGAGAGCCACACCGCAAGGCTTCCTGGGTGGAGGATCTGGGCAGACTCAAGTCCCAACCACTGTGGTGATAAGGCAACGAAACAGTCCAGCCATCCAAAAGCGGTCAGAAGGAAAACAGAAGTTTAATCTGGACTTGGAGAAATCTGTGGAAACACAGACATTTCAGTGGGATTTCTGTGCTGAATAAATAAGACGGGAGCATTGAAAACTGAAGCAGGCAACCAAGGAAAGAACAACTTGGGGCACAAAGTTGAGTTGAAATTTGAAGAGCGTGAGTCTGTCCCAGACCTGACCTCTTCTTGCTCCTGCAAAGTGGGAGTGGGCAGTAAAGAGGTCTAAAAGTATCTTTATCTGGCATGCCGGGGAAAGCTGAAGGTTCGGATTCAAGGCTGCTTCTCATGAGAACCAAATGGCAGCTCTCTCGCTTCCAATTAGGGGTCTGCGTGTGCCTGACACAGCGGGAAGCCTCCTGCCACCTCCTGCATCCGACTCACAGCCAGGCGGAGGGAGGCAAAGGCCGGTGTGCAACTGCACGGCTCCAGCCGCACACGTTCCTTCTAGGAGGGCAGGTCTCCCCTCTCCCTCAACTGCAGGGAAAATTCAGGGTGCAAAGGCCGTGTTTCTCTTGAATTCTGCTGGCGAGCTGATGGCGCAGCTACATTACACGGTCCCCAAAGGTGGTGTTCTTTTTAAAAAAGGACAATGATGGGGCTCCCCAATACTTTCAAATGAGTCCTCATCTGAGTGGGCTGGTGTTATCTGCTACAATTTAGAGCATCACATGTTGCTCTACGAGTCAGCTCAAAGAGGATGGGTCAGGCTGTTAGACTAAAAGCTGCAGATCTGAGGCTGCTATTCCAGAGATGCCCGGGCCCACCTTCACACAGCTACGCACACCTGAACTTGCGACAGCAGAAGGCCAAATGCAGATTTCAAAGGCTCTTCCCATCACAGGGAAGAAACATAAGACCTGGCATCAGAACTTCATTCTTCTGCAAAACACTTTTGAGGCTGTCTAAAAATCAGGCCCAGTTTCCTGAGTTCTTCTTCAAGCTCCCTCACTCCACACCCATGAAGTCATGCGGTCTGTCTTCTTCAAGTGTTGGCAGCCAGGCAATAGCTGCTTATTTTCTGTGAGTCAACTGCTCTGGAAGTGAGGTCAGCTCCCGCCCTGGCCTCTTGTCAGCTGCAGGTGCTTAGAGGTGTCCTGTAACCTTATTCCCTCTCATCTTCTGCACAGCTTGTTTTGCGTATTAAATGAGACGATGTATGTAGAGCTAACTTGTGTCTTGTACATGACATACCGATAAACGGGTTCATATGTCATCATTATAGCACAAAGTCTTGTTTCCTAAAGAAGAACAGTTTTAGGTAAAAAAAAAAAAAAAAAAAAAAAAAACCCAACAACCCTGAAGCGGGTCCTGGGGTGTCCTCATCTATTAAGGACATTAATTAAGCAGACATTACAAATGTATACATGACACACCACCTAGAACTTCATCAGCTACTGGAAATGCTTGCAGTGGCCCGATGGGGCAGAGCCTCTTGATTCAGGAGAAAGCTCTTGGAAAGAAAATGGGACCTGTGCTTATTATCATCTTTCCTAAGTTGCAAACTATTCTCAAAATGTTCCCCAACATCCTAGCCAAGGATTAAGAGCCAATTCAAAATAAACCAAGAGAAGCAATACAGGGATCATCCACATTGGAAAGCCAGAGAGCAGCCGCACCAGCACACTGGGATGCCCCTGTAAAGCTCCTTGGTCTCCTCAGCTCGTCCTGGGTCCCTCCACACATGGCGCCAGGGGCAGGATGCCAGCACAGCCTCCTCGCTACAAATGGGGTTGCAGGATGCACCTGGCCTGCTGCCTGCTTCAACAGCTGCAGTTGGAACATCTCAGAGAGCTGGGTCATTCAAGGTCAACCCCACAACTTACAAAGTTGGGCCGCAGCTGAGCTGGGCAGAGGACTGGAGTGTCTTGCTGGGTTGGTTTGGGAAAGGGATGCCCCCCGGCTTCCCTAGGTGGTTTTTATATTCTTAGGGGAGGACAGGAGGCTGCCATGCAAGGACATGCCATATGCCTTTACCGTCAACCACCACGGCTGTCAGCAGGCCTTTCTTCTTGGGGCTCAGCCGGTCGTGTGCCTGGCACTGCTGGTCCCGGAAGCTGGGCAGACCCTTGGGGCAGGGCAGGTTCTCGCAGACCGCATGTTCTACACTGGCACCCGGGCAGTGTGTGCCTCCAGGCCCAGGGCTAGAAGGAAGAAGAAGGTCTGTGTTAACCAGGTGGTGCGACCAAAGGGCAGGAGAGCTGTTTCCGTCTCTCTTGCCAGGGGGAGGAGAGGAAGGGGGCAGGGCAAGGTTTCCAAAGCCACCCCCTCTCTGCTGTTACAGACCAAATGCCCACAATCCCAGACCCACACTGCCGGCATGTTTAAGTGAGCCCTCTGAAAGGTGCATGAGAGAACTGCAAATCAAGGTCATATGGAAAAAGAAGGCAGTGAGTATGAGTTTGGCAAGATCCACACATTGCGTCCTTCATCTGAACTTAAAATTTGGCCATGGGTAACACTGAAAACCCAAGGGACACTTCTGGAGAGGGTGTGTGTGTGTTCTGCAGGGGTCTTCTCTGAAATGAAGACCTTTAAATGCCCCCCCAGGTATACTCTGGAGGTTAAGTTTCAGGATGAGTAAATACATAGCTCATTTACTTTATAATGAAAAGAATAAGAACAACGAGTTCACTGCTCATGGGCTTTGACTGGAGACCAGTTAGATCCGGGCTGTGCTACCTTTACCTGGGCAGGTGTGAGACCACACATGGTCAATGCTATGGTCTTGGATCCTAGATGCTCTGTGCTGAGGCTGGGGTTTTAAGCCATTCCGGAGTTCCAGACTGTGTTCACTGGCCAAGTCCACATGTGTGAGGGCCTGGCTGGCAAAGCATGGCTCTGCCCTGTGCTTCTGCAAGGCCCCAGGGTGTCCTTGACAACCTGGGCAACCTCAGTGGTTCCATTCGTTTCCATGATGCCAAGGTCATCATGATGGAATAAGATTTCTTATCCACTCCCACCCCTCGCACTTTTTATTGAAATTCAGTCTATGAAAGAAAGAAAAGGGCACACATCCAAACAGTTCTGCTCAATGAATTTCCACAAATCACACACACCTGTTGGCCAAATGTCATCTGGACACATTAGCCATTTCGTGTTGTGTATTTCTTTTTCCTCCTTTGCCATTTTCCATGTTCAGAGAGCAAGACCACCCTGTGATTGGTGCTTTAGGGGAGAGATGTAACAGCAGAAGAGGGCAGAAGCCTTTGGGCTTTTGTGTCATAAAGGTCTACTCCAGGGGTTGAAAACATGTTTCTGTGAAGGGCCAGATAGTGAATATTTTTGGTTTTGTGGGCCAAATAGTCTCCAACCACTCAACTGCTACTGTGGCACAAAAGCAGCTAGAGATAACATGTAAAAGAACAGGCATGGCTGTGTCCCAATAAAACTTTATAAACACCTGGTGGTAAGCCAGATTTGGCCCACGGGCCTTACTTTTGCCAACTCCTGGTCTACCCAGTTGTCTTGGAGAAAATATCCTGAGGAGAAAGGCCCCTTTCATACTTCTGTCTACCTCATATACACTAGAAAACAGTTCCCTCCCCCAGGAGAAGAAGAGATCTAGAGAGATTAAACCTACTGGTGGCCCCATAGTGGGGCCTTGAGCTCTGCTGGTCTTCCAGTTAGGCAATGGCTAACCCTCTAGAAGGTTTATGGAATCTGAGAACAGAGGGGCCTTGTGTTCTGCTTCCTGTCTAGAAGGCAAGGGAGGCATCAGTTCCAGAGAAATGACTGCATGGTGTGTTTAGGCAGAAGGGGCCTCGGACAGCCTCCCCAGGCAGCCTGGGCCAGGTACCATTGGCAGACAGAATGAATCAAATCCTGTGCCACGGAACACGGCATGGAAGGAGCACAGAAGGGCTGGCCCCCAAAAGCCACATGGATCAGTAGGAGAAACATCACCCTGGCAATAAGTGAGTCCCCACGAGCGGGCACCGGAGAAGGAACGAGTGAGGCAGCAGATGCAGCATGGCACAACGTTTCAAGCTGAACTGGGCCCCCACAAAACTCTATGCAGAAGTCCTAACCTCTAGTGCCTCAGAGTGCAACCCGATTTGGAAACAGGGTCAACAGGGCACAGACAAAATTAGTTAAAATGAGGCTATACTAGAGTAGGTTGAGCCCCTAATCCAATATGAAGTGTCCTTATGAAAAGGGGACATCTGGAGATACACACACACACACACACAGAGACAGGCAGAGAGACACACAAAGAATGCCAAACATTGTCAGCAAGCCACCAGAAGCTGAGAGAGAGGCCTGGAACAGATTCTCCCTCACAGTGCTCAGGAGAAACCAACCCTGTCGACACCCTGATTTGGACTTCCAGCCTCCAGGACTGTACGACAATAACTTCTGGTTGTTGAAGCCGCCTGGTTGGGGGTCCTTTGTTATGGCAGCCCCAGGAAACTAAGGAACCGGACGACACAAGGACCAGATGCTCCTCGCGGAACTTACATGCAGACTAAGGGAAAGCAGGGCAGACATGAAGTCATGAGGAACAAAACACGGACTGGAAGGGAGTAAAGAAATACAAATTAGGTGGGTTCGTAGAAGAATAAAGAAAGCTACCTTTCCTACACACTTGAGTATAGACTCTGATTGGTGAACATCATGTGATTAACTTCCTGAGTGGTTATCGAGCTTCCTTTTACGCTTCAGTTTCCTCGCCTTTCCAGTAGCTGATTTCTCCAGTTTTACATCTGCCTAACCCGCACACAACAATTACCTTCACCTCTGACAGTGAGGAGGCGGAGAGGAGATATGATGTGATATGATGTAAGAGAACTGGATCCAGAAGCAAGTGGGTCTGGAGGCGGAGCACATGGGATACCACACGTGCCTTGGCACACCTCCCTCCACATCTGCTTCTGCTGCTGCTTCTCCCTGACAAATTCTCCAACAGGCAGTCTCTGTGTGGCCCCTTATCTAGCTCACAGGCCCCGTAATCCCCACTTCCCACCTCCTAACCCTCTGTCCATCTTTGAGGCCACCTCCACCCTATTTTTCCTTCCTACCTGGAGCATCTCCACATCTTGTTTGGGTATCTGCTATGCTGCTTACCACTAACCTTATGAAATGGAGGGCTGTCTTCCTCCTGTTCCTCTTATCTGGAAGGATCTTATCTCCCAAATATCTGGGTTCTGTGTTCTCAGCAGAGAGCATTGCACAGGAGGGTCTCCAATAAGCACTAGACTGACGTGAACTATATTATCAGAGCTGATCTTAAAATGACCAACAGAGGGAATGATGTCGGGAAGAGAGCTGAGGAGGAAGCACCAGGAATCCAGTTCTCCATCCAGACAATAATCACACTGGCAAAAACTACCTGAAGAAACTATTTTGAAACTCTGCAGTCTACTTGAAGGCTTGCAGCTTCCAGGGGAAAGCCAGGTCAATTTCAGTTAATTTTGCTCAATTTCAGCCTTTAGTGTGGTAACAGTTACTGCCCATCCTTCACCCACAAGGCAGGCAGCTATGTCTGTGCTCCTGTTGCAACTTTCTGGAGTCAGGGTGAGCAGTAAGAACCTTATCTTCCAAATATCTGGTTTCTGTGTTCTGACTGTTGATTGCTACTTTCAGTTGTTAAGGTGCAGATGCAGAAGATGGCTGACATTGCTGTAACCTCCACCAGGTGAAGTGGCTTCCAGGGGATTTCCCTCCTTTTTTCTTTTAGGAGCCAGACATTTAGGCACAAAGACATTTAAAAGCAACTTCATCTAGGAGAACTTAGAAAGCCACCAGCAATGGCTAGGAAAAGATACAGGTTCAAAAAAGACCTGATAAGACCTTCAGCTTTCACTTCAGGTTAATTCCTGATCCAGAGATACCACTAAATCATAAAACAAAACAAAACCAAACACCCTGGGGAAGGGGTACAATCTATTTCTAGAGTTACTGCATTCTAAGATTTGAATGTCTAGTTTTTAATGAAAACATCACAAGGCATACAAAGAAACAGAAAGTATGGTTCATTCAAAAGAACAAAATGTATTGGCGGAGCCTGTCCCTGAGGAAACCCAGATGTTGGCCTTGCTAGACAAATACTTTAAAACGACTGTCTTAAAAATGCTCAGGAACCAAATGAAGGCACAGATAAAGACAGGAAGACAATCTATAAACATAATGAGAATATCAATAAAGATATGGAAGTTAAGAAAACAAAGATAAATTTTGGAATTGAAAAGTATAAGAACTGAAATGAAAAATCCACCAGTTCAGAGAAGATTTTAGCAGGCAGAAGAAAGAATTAGCAAACTTGAATATAGGACAATTGAAATTGCTGAGTCTGAGAAGTAAAAAGAAAAAAATGTAGAAAAGTAAGCAGAGATATCTGTGGGACACCATCGAGTGGATCAATGTAGGTACTAAGCGAGTCTCAGGAGAAAAAAGAGAGAAAGGGTTAAGAGATTATTTGAAGAAATAATGGCTGAAGCTTACCAAATGTAAAGAAAGATGTGACTCTATAAATCCAAGAAGCTCGAGAAATTCCAAGTAGGATACAAGGACCCATACTAAGACACATTGTAATTAAACTGCCAAAAGACAAAGAGAGAATCTTGAAAGCACCAAGAGAGAAGTGACATATCCCATACAAGGGATCTTCAACAAGATTATTAGCCAGTTTCTCACCAGAAACCTTGAAGGCCAAAAAGAAGTGTGCTTATATACTTAAAGTGCCTAAGAACAGAACCGTCAAGCAAGAACTCTATATCCATGTAACTGTCCCTCAAAAATCAAGGTGAAAATTAACACATTCCCAGATAAACAAAAAATGGAGAAAGTTTGTTACCACTAGACCTGCATTACAATAAATGCTAAAGGGAGTCCTTCAAGTTCAAATGAAAGGATACTAGATGTAACCTGAATGCAGGAGGAACAGGCTTTTCTCCCTGGTCCTGGTATGTGGCTTCTCTCAGCATGCTTCTTCAGTGGCCTGTGATGCATTCCACCTCCCTGTGGACAGCATTCTCCTGTACTCCAGTGGGTAGCTTCCAAGCACACCAACTTTTTGGATAGATTCCTATCCTGGTTGGAGATGCAGTTTCTTCCCTTGGAACCTTTCCCTGACATCTTAAGTGTGGCTTCCCAGAGAGTTCCACCAGTACAGAACCTCTACAAGCCTCTCCCTCATTCAGTGGGCCCCAGTTGCACCCTCTCTAACAAGGTCCAAGGAATTTCATCCCTGGACAAAACTGTGGTAGCAGCTACTGTCTGTCCTTCACAGTAGCTGTGTGTGAGTCACTGTCATCAAGATTTGTTCCTTCCTTGGGTGCTCTGCCTCAGACCTAAAGACACAGGATGCTACCTGCTTCTGCTCTTCCTGTATTCTTTAGAGTTCTCTTTACCTCTTAGTAAGTTCCCATTACTCCAACCACCTGTTATAGCTAATATTTCCTTGAACTTTCCCTGATTTAAAAATATGACCACAGGAACTGATTTTCTTCAGTTTTAAGTCATTATTTTGAACGACATGAGAAAGGAGAGAAGTAATCCACTAGGTACACAATTTGCTACCTAAATAATCCCCAATTGCTATGCGGCAGGACCCCACATGTGGTCCTTCATTTTTTATGACTGTCTCTATAACACAGGGCCTCTACAGTAACATCAATGCGGGCCTCCTGCATGTGCAGCTGACCTCTGAACAATGTGGGGGTTAGAAATGCTGACCCCTCACATGTAGTAGAAAATCCACATATAACTTTTAACACCCCCAAAATTAACTATTAATAGCCTATTATCAA
This sequence comes from Homo sapiens, assembly GCF_000001405.40. Classification (NCBI taxonomy): domain Eukaryota; kingdom Metazoa; phylum Chordata; class Mammalia; order Primates; family Hominidae; genus Homo; species Homo sapiens. Next base: position 100,122,621 of record NC_000015.10, read on the forward strand.
ATGGAAGTCTTGCTGATCACATAATTAACATGTTTTGTAGGTTATATGTGTTTTATACTATATTCTTATAGTAAAGTCAGCTAGAGAAAAGGTTATTAAGAAAATCATAAGGAAGAGAAAATATATTTCCTACTCATTAAGTGGAAGTGGATCATCATAAAGGCCTTCCTCCTCATCATCTTCACATTGAGTTGGCTGAGAAAGAGGAGGAGTTGGTCTTGCTGTCTCAGGAGCAGCAGAGACAGAAAAAAACCCATGTATAAGTGGACCTGCACAGTTCAAACCCATGTTGTTCAAGAGTCAACTGTACCTTGGTCCTGAGACAACAGAAAGAGGCATCCTCCATCTGCGGCATAGAGAAGACAGAAGGAGAATCCTTGTGGGGGAGGGTGTGGCTGGCAGTTTCCACAGATGGCTACCTGACAGAAGTTCTGGGGGAGGACTCAAAGGAGGCCCCAACTTTCCCAAGGACCCCACACTGGGCTGGGTGGATGAAGCCTGAACTGTGTGGACACGGGGCTTCAGGAGACAGTGTGCGGGGCCAGCGAGTGCAGCAGGGACCAGATCCCCAAAAGCAACCGGAGAGACCACCCTCACACAGTCTCAGTAGTAGAGGGCAGGGCTCTTACTCACTCTGGAAGTTGCTCTGAGCTACGCAGTAAGGAGAAAAACAAAACACATCTAGGGAGACTAAAACGACAGAAAGACAGCTTGACAGGGCTAAAATAAAGAACAGTTAATATAAGAGATTCGTGATAGAGTTATCCCTTCCCAGGAGCTGAAGGTGGGTCCAGTCTTTCCCTCACCCTCTCCTGTGAGGGCAGGAAGGCGCAGCCCTACTGGGCTCCAAGGCTCCGAGGTCCCATGAGGCCTCCAGGGGAAAGCCAACAAGTTGCAATCTCATCCTGAAATGAGGACTGATCCCTGAGGACCGGGAAGAAACTTCAAGGCAAGAGGCACTTTCACATAAACAGTGATCATAAAACAGCCGACACGCCCAGAGGGCTCCCATTTTGCTGGCCCTTCTAACCATTACTTCATTAAATCCACATGCAGAATCAGAAGGTGCTCCTGACTGCACCCTTTGGGTGAGGAAATCAACGCTCCAACAGGTGACATAACCGCTTGGCTGACGAGCAAGAGGTGGAGAGAAGAAATGTAGCGTGCAAGAGCTCCTGGACCCAGCAGGAACAGGCGCCCTGCCCCTGCCTCTGCCTCTGGGAGGGGCTGCCCATCAGCCACCACGAGGCCTGAAGGACAGCCTGACTCACTGACCAGTCATCGGGGTGTGATGGGTTTTTTAATTTGAATTTTTACTATCAATCGTTTCTAGTTTTTCTGTTCTAGGACTTTTTTTTTTTTGGACAGAGTCTTGCTCTGTCATCCAGGCTGGAGTGCAGTGGTAAGATCTCGGCTCACTATAACCTCTGCCTCCTGGGTTCAGGTGATTCTTGTGGGTCAGCCTCCTGAGTAGCTAAGATTACAGGTGTGCGCCACCATGCCCGGCTAATTTTTTTGTATTTTTAGTAGAGATGGGGTCTCATCATGCTGGCCAGGCTAGTCATGAACTCCTGGCCTCAGGTGATCCATCCGCCTTGGCCTCCCAAAGCGCTGGGATTATAGGCATGAGCCACTCTGCCAGGCCTGTTCTAGGACTCCTAAACGTGAATAAAATAGAAGCTTAGATACAAAACCAAACGGCTTGCATGGCTACTTCACAAGAAAAGGATATCCAAATGGCAAATAAGGAAACAGAAGTTCGGCCTCACTGTTGATGAGGAAAGTACCAATTCCCCAGCCAGATACTGCTACACACGCATCCGAACGGCCAAAACCAGAGAGAATTACTGACAACACCGGTGTCAGTGAGGACATGGGGCAAGTAGAAAGCCACCCCAGCCACGGCAATGGAGATGGCACGGCCATTCTGCAAAGCTGGCAGCTGTTATGTGGTCACACATGCGCGCCCCAGGGGCCAGCAACTGCCCTCCTACTGTACTGACATATACCTGCACGTGCGCCCCAACACACATGCTCGACCGTGATGAGCAATACTGTGCACGGAGCTGTGCTTCTTTGTATATTCTACCTTCATAAGTTTGTTTAAAAATAAGCAAAAGAGTAAGGTAGAGAGGCTTTGGTGAGAAACCGAAAGCGTGGAGAGAAAGGTGAGCTCTACCCCAAAATTTCCCAAGCGCCTGCAGAACAAGGACCGTCTCCTGCTGAAGTGGAGTCCTCAGGGCCTTGATAGACACAAGCCCAGAGCAGAGAAGCAGCAAAGGTTTGCTGAGACCAACAGGATCATATGGCAGAACATCTGCCCCTTTCTTTGAGAGTGGATGGACAGGTAGAATCAAGAGAGGCTGGAAGAGAAAGATGCCACTTTTTATTTTCAGGTTTGCTGTATTAAATGAAGACAGACCAGAAGATAAAGTCACAACAGCAGTTCGGACCAGCTTCACCATCCAGAGACACAGGACGCTCAGTACAAACCTGGCAGTTCTGGTCCCTGCCCTGGCGGCCCCTGGCTCTGTGAGCTCTGAGAAGAGAGCAGGGCAAAGCCATAGGGTTTCAGAAGTGCTGCGAGCTGCTAACGCACCCTCAGGGCAGCAGACATCCCAGGTTTAAGGCCTCCTCTGAAAGGTGTCCAAGTAACACATGTAACTTATGCTTCAGTGTAGAATACTTAAATTTTTAAAAATTATCCATATGAATGCCAGATCGCTGGCACATGGAAAGCACATAGATGGGGTTTCACTGTGGAAGCAAAAACCAGTTACAGGCACATAACCTTACACCAGCCGTCCTCCCGCCGTCTTAGCAGGCTAGCCGCCTTCCTCTCCCTTTCTGGTGCATGTGGGCGGCACCTCATGATGACCCTGCTGTGTCCCAGCTCTGCACTCCACTCTCCTGCCCCTGCTGCACCTGCTGGGATGCAGCTGGCTTTTCATACAAGTGCATCTGAGCCTTCCTCTCCCCTCCCTCCCCAGCTCTTCCCCACACACAAACTGTCGAGGGGTAACAGAAGGTAAATTAGAGATGCATTTTCTACCCTGCAGTCTTCTGACGTAACTCCCACCAACAGCAACATAAATTATAGCAGGAAAGGACGGGCCTAGGGAGTCGCTTTGGAAACACCGATGGTCCCTAAGGCCTCCACGTCAGCTAGCAAAAAATAAAAATTCCAAGAGCTGTGAAGACCAAGACTAAAAAAAATAATTGTGTGTGGGGGGACTCTCTTGCCAGTATTTTTGGACAGTGAATAAACCAGCTGCAGAAGACAGGGAGCAGAGCCAGGAATATAAAGTGAAGGGGGTGAGAAGGGGGTCGTGGGAGCGTTCCAAGCCTGAGACCTACATAGCAGTGAATTTGGGACAACCTTGTGAAATCTCTAGGCAGCAGGCCTGGTGATTTAAGGAGTGAGACGGGGAGAGGACGTTGTTTTCGTCAGAGCTTGGCTCTGAGGCCCTGGTCAGCTGCGCTTTGTAACCATCACTACCATCAGGGCATCCTGCAGAAGCAGGCTGGAGGCTGCAGCCTGGACTTCATAAAACACGCCACATCCTGCGTCTCTTTGGGAAGCCCCGGAGATGGCTGGTAATCCACCCACCCAAGGCCTGTCCCGCCTCTTCCCATTCACCTGGGCTGGATCCATGGAGGCAAGAAACTCCATAGAAAACTACATGGGAAAAAGGAGCATGTTGTTTTCATTCACAACAGAAAACAGAGCTACGGTGCCACTGCGAAAGATCGAAGAGACTACCAAGGTGTAAATATTATAGGAGCAAAAAGGTATCACTTCTCTTACTGGGGAAAAACAAGGCTGGGTTCTGTGTTGAAGCTTGTTCTCAAGGTGATGCCGAGCACTCCAGACTGAGATGCCACCTTGCTGGAGAAGGGCAGGCACAACAGGTGACAGATAGGCCTCATGTGGCCGTTTATAGCATCTGGGCCTCAGTGAGGGGAGATGATACAAGGGCATGAGGTCTACCTGGTGGTCTGCCACTTTTGGCCTAATCGTTTATGATCAGCTTTGTGTTTCAGTGAAAAAATGATATTAGGGATGTGTTTTGGAGGCACTGGTATTGCAGAGAGATTGGTTTTCTGGGGCAAGTGCACATCCAGGCAGGAAGGCAGTCAGCACATTTTATGGAGTGGCCGCTCTGCTGTGGGCACGGAAGGCAGCATGGTGTCCAAACAGGTGTGGCCTGTCCCGGGCCTGCACAGAGCTCTCAGCTCAAAGGCCAGTGGGGAGGACACAGTCAAAACAAGTGAGCAAATACATAACAACAATATCAGCTGTTGTAACACGTGTAACGTAAGGAAGAGGTGCCGAGGGAGACTTAAGCAGCACCCCATTTGAAGCAGGCTGTCAGGGGCAGAGATCTCTTGAGAAGACATTTACACTAACACCCAAAGAAAGGAAAAGGGTAAGTTAAGGAAAGGGAAGACAGCACTGGGGAGGGTCCTGGGGTTAGAATGCTGTGGCCGAGAGCACAAAGGAGGCTTCGAGGCTGCAGGGGGCTGAACGGTGGGTCCCCTCGGCCTCAAAAGATAGTCCACTCGGAACCTGCAAATGAGACCTTATTTGGCAAAAGGGCCTTGGCAGATGTAATTAAGCTAAGGATCTGGAGATGAGACCATCCTGGATTTGGGTGGGCCCTAAATCCAATGACAAGCGTTCTTCCAAGGGAAGAAAAGGTGAGAGGACACACAGAGAAGAGACCACGTGAAGTCAGAGGCAGAGATGGAGGTGATGCACCTCCAAGCCAGGGGAGGCCAAGGGTTGCCGGGAGCCACGAAACGGATTCACCTTTGGAGTTTCAAGAAGGAAGCACTGTGCTGACACCTTGATTTTGGACTTCTGGTTTCTAGAACTGGGCTCCAAACGTGGCCTGCCGCTGCCTCGTGTGTGACGTTGGGCAAGTTACCAAACTTCAATGTGATTCTATTTTTTGTTTGTTTGTTTGTTTTGTTTTGAGATGGAGTCCCACTCTGTCACTCAGGCTGGAGTGCAGTGGTGTGATCGCAGCTCACTGCAAACTGCACCTCCCGGGTACAAGCGATTCTCCCGCCTCAGCCTCCCAAGTAGCTGGGATTACAGGCATGTGCCACCGCACCTGGCTAATTTTCGTACTTTTAGTAGAGACAGGGTTTCACCATGTTGGCCAGGCTGGTCTTGAACTCCTGACCTCAGGTGATCCACCTGCCTCAGAATCCCAAAGTGCTGGAATTACAGGCATCAGCCACTGGGCTCGGCCCCCTGATAAAGTTTTTTTTTTTTTCTGTACAATGAAGATAAAAATAATACCTCTCCCATGGGGCTGCATTCAATAATTTCCTACATAAATGCCTAAGGGAACCCAGTGCGTGGTGCAGGTCTGCTGCATTCACCACCCTCCTCATGACCAGACATGGAGGAGGCAGAAAGGATATAAGAGGAAACTGCATGGACTCAGTGGCTTTGGACTCAAGCAATGCAAGGATGGTGGTGCTATTTACTGAGAGGGGAGATGTGGGCTAGGAGTAGAGGTCCCAGTTTAGAAAGGGTCCTGTTTGAAGTGTCTGTGAGAGAACAAAGGGGAGCTGGTGGGACTGCATCCCTTGTGGGTAGGCAGGGATTTTATCTGTGTTTGCTTCTCACTGCAGGCCCACAGCTAGCAGAGTTCAGGCCCTGGCAAGGTTTACTGAAGGCTTCATGTTGGAAAGGCTTCATCAGGAAGGGGCCTGCGGCTGGGAGGAGTGGGAATGCTGCAGGCTCTTTCTGTTCCTTCTGCCATCGCCCTGCCCCACAGGACGATGCTGCTGGACAACAGAGATTGGACGTGAAGATGCATCAATGACTAACAATCCGACGTGCTGAGACCCACAAACCCTCAGCTGTCTGTGTACCGAGGCCCTGCAAATTCTCCCATTCCTCAATGATAAAATACAGGAAAAAGCAAGGGAGAGAACAGCCACGACTATCATGGCGAGGGAGAGGGAGGACCTGATGAAGAAGAAGAGTGAAAGATTTTCACAACTTTGTGATTTACAGAACAGCCTCTCTCCTGGGGCCATGGGACCTGGGGGAATGGGGTGAGAATCCCAATATAAGAAACCCCATGGCAGGCCAGGCCAGCGAGAGTACGAGAGTACACTAATGCCGCTGTCTGAACTGGGTGGTGTTTAGGATCCCCCCAGAGCAAAATGCCCCTGTGGTATCCCAGAGCAACCATGGGTGGGCAGGGCAGGAAGCAGTTCAGATGGTGACAGGGTTCCTGCCAAGACATGAAGGCAAAAAGCTCTGGAAAGCCTTGTCTTTGGGCTACCAATGCCAGGGAAGCCCTAGCTAATGTCATCCCGAGAAGGCAGACAACACCAGTTCCCTTCAAAGAGGCACCTATGGCATTTGCATAGCGTTGATAACGTCTTATTCTTGCAAATGTTGCCCTCGCCTAGAGACAACTTAAATGTTGACAGTCTCAGGACACTGGCTCCTTCAGACATTCAGAGGTTCTGATATCCTCCTGCTATGATGTTTACTGGGTGTCACCTGTTATGAGATAAGACACGTAACGTGCCAAGAAGACCAGTCTTCCACTAGGACCCACAAACTCCAATCACAAACGTGGAGCACCCATGACAACCACAATCCCTGCCAATTTCTCTCTGCACTTAACAAAGCCTTAGACAGGGAAGGGCAACTGGTACCATCCTCGTTCTTCTGTGAGTGCTAATAACAAGAGGGGCTGCTTATTAAATACACACCAAGGACTTTCTGTGCATTCCCATGAATTCTTCCAAGTTTCAGATGAAAAGACAAGTACCAGCCGTCGGCGCTATAAGAAGTCATGCTGGCAGCCAGGCACAGTGGCTCACACCTGTAATCCCAGCACTTTGGGAGGACAAGGTGGGCAGATCACCTCAGGTCAGGAGTTTGAGACCAGCCTGACCAACATGGAGAAACCCCATCTCTACTAAAATTACAAAATTAGCCGAGTGTGGTGGTGCATGGCTATAATCCCAGCTACTCGGGAGGCTGAGGCAGGAGAATCGCTTGAACCTGGGAGGTGGAGGCTGTGATGAGCCGAGATCGCGCCATTGCACTACAGCCTGGGCAACAAGAGCGAAACTCCGTCTCAAAAAAAAAAAAAAGTTGTCATGCTGGGATTTGAAGATTTGTCTGTCCTGGCTTTGAAGCCTGGCTCTTCCCACTCTACCATGTCCGCTCCCTCTAGTGGGCAGAACTAAGGCCAGGGAACAGAAGAGTCGTGAGGTCACATGACCATTAACCAACAGGGTCAGGCCCAATGCCATGACTCCAAACCCAGCCCTTTCTTCACGAGGCCAGAGGTCAAACTATTAACGTCAACACAGAGTAATGCAAAAACTGCAACCACCTATTAATTTCCCACCATTTAGCTAAACAGGGTTTCTAATCATCTACCCACCTATGCCCTTAATTAAGAAGTCATTCCTGGATTGGGCATGGTGGCTCACACCTGTAATCCCAGCATTTTGGGAGGCAGAGGTGAGCAGATCACATGAGGTCAGGAGTTCAAGACCAGCCTGGCAACATGGCGAAACCCCATCTCTACTAAAAATACAAAAAGTAGCTGGGAGTTGTGGTGCACTCCTGTAATCCCAGCTACTTGCGAGGCTGAGGCAGGAGAATCACTTGAAGCAGGGAGGCGGAGGTTGCAGTGAGCCGAGACTGGGCCACCGCACTCCAGCCTGGGGGACAGAGTGAGGCTCCATCTCAAAAAAAAAAAAAAAAAGTCATTCCTAACAGACTAAACACCTATGTGCCCCGCACTCTGCTGGGTGCTAGAGGGAAATGTTTTAATAAGACATAATTAATACATAATGCCAATTCTTATAGCATTGCTGGGAAAATGGTGCTCCTGTCACTGACCAGACTAGGAGCATAACCCTTCCTTTAATCCAGAGGTTCCAACATTGACTGCTGCTGGAGTCACCTGGGAAGATAAAATATCCAATTCCTGGGCCCCACCCTTAGTGTTCTGTGATTTGATCAGTCTGGGGTATGACCTGGGCATCAGGATTTTTAAACATAAGAGGCATTTGCTAATTATCCATCAACAGGACTTAATTGTGGAGATTTCTTTATAGTCACTATTTAGAACTTGCTCGTTTTCAAAATTGATGTGCTGCAACTGCTGACACACAAGGCATAAAACAGATCATTAAAAGAAATGGTAAGAAATGGGAAGCTTCATTTGACCCAGCAATCCCATTACTGAGTATATACCCAAGGATTATAAATCATTCTACCATAAAGACACACGCAGCCATATGTTTATTGTGGCACTATTCACAATAGCAAAGACTTGGAACCAACCCAAATGCCCATCAATGATAGACTGGATAAAGAAAATGTGGCACATATACACCATGGAATACTACGCAGCCATAAAAAAAGGATGGGTTCATGTCCTTTGCAGGGACATGGATGAAGCTGAAAAACATCATTCTCAGCAAACTAACACAGGAACAGAAAACCAAACACTGTATGTTCTCACTCAGAAATGGGAGCTGAACAATGAGAACACAGGGACACAGAGAGGGAAACATCACACACCGGGGCCTGTCGAGGGGGTTGAGGGGCAAGGGGAGGGACAGCATTAGGAGAAATACCTAATGTAGGTGACGAGTTGATGGGTGCAGCAAACCACCATGGCACGTGTATACCTATGGAACAAACCTGCACATTCTGCACATGTACCCCAGAACTTAAAGTATGAAAAAAAAAAAAAAAAGAAATGGGAAACTTCAAGAAGAAAAGGGAAAAATCTGGTGATGGAATTATCACCATCAAGCCCAAAATCGATCCCTGAGTTTCGTGGAACAAATGTACAAAGGTGAACAGGAAAGGTCATGGTGTCATTAGAGTCAATAAAAAGAAGCCAAAGAGAAAAAAACTAAATCACATTTTTTCTAACAGTTACAGGAGGACCCATGGCAAATATTAGGATGAGGAAGACAGCTGCACCCAGACACTCTGTGACTCATGAACCACCAGGCTGCTCCCACATCAGAGACAGCCAGTGTGGAATGACCCTGGACTTGCTAAACCACGGGCAGGCTGGAGGGACTGTCATACAGCTGTCTCCGAAAACCTTTCCACTGAGGCCCAGGGAAGGAATGAGGGAGTCAGCTCACCCCAGACTCTACTGTATCCATGTTCACAGAAAGAGCAATTTAAGCTGAGATGTCATTTGACACACACGAGGTCCCTGCACCCTGGACCTTGGCTGGGTTTCATTTTCCATATCTTCTAATGCTCAGCGGGAGACAGACCCTGCTTTGTGTGAGGCAGCGAGAGCTGCTGTTGGGAAACTCCAATCGTGGCACGTTGGGGTATGGCTGGTCAGGGGACTTACGGGGGGTTGTCACATTTCCTCTGCCTGAAGCGGGCTCCCGTCCCACATGTTCGGCTGCACATGCTCCAGGCGCCCCACGGGCTCCAGTCTCCGTCCACATGCTCCGGGATGGGCGTCTTGCTCACGCACTCCCCCGCGCGGCACCACTGAAACACAGCGGGGAGGGTCGGGGCCCAGGCACTCAGCAGAGCTGCTCACTCCAGCCCGCCAGGCCCCAAAATGCCGTGCTGCCAAAAACCCATTTGCTAAATTTACATAAAGGTACAGTCTATTTCAGGGTTTGCACGTTTGCTAATTTTAGAGACATGCCTTACTTACTCAAACTGACACTCATATCGCTGTAGGGTTTGGATTTTGCCCTCAACTTTCAGATGGATGTGCTCCATGGGGATTTTCTAAATCCCAGAAAAAGGATGAATCTACGTAGCTCTTGAAGAGACCTGGGCTTCTGCAAACTTTGTTTGACGTGAGTGCGTTTCTCGCTGGGAGGCGGCATGCCCCGGTTGAGGTTGTGAACCTGAGAGTTGTGTTTGCTGCTTGGCGATGGCACAGCCAGCTCCACGTGAGGGAACCTTGGTTCTTTCTGAGGATAACTCAAGGCCAGCCCTATAAAACAATTTCTCAAAGTGCACAGCACATACCCTGAGGTGCTAGGTGTGATTTCTGTGGTTCCCAATCACGGCATCAGAGCAAACCTTTACTCCTTTTTCAACTCTTTCAATTCTTGCAATAAGACTGGAGAGAGGTCCTGGGGCTGCAGATCCCGAACACCCCTTCTCTCCAACACCTCCCCATCTCTCCTGCACATGAGGAACAAGCTCATTCTCTCAACATTTAGCTAGAATTGGATAATACTGTTCTCACTGAATTATTTTTACGAGAGCCTACTGTGTATGGCAGGTGATGTTGTTTTTCCATTTGAAATATACTGGTGAAAGTGTTCCTTTTAAGTAAATTTCCTTACATGATGAAAGGAGTTAATCTAACAAAAATATTAAGTAAATGATACTTGTATCTTATAAGAAAAAGGAATGAGGTGATGTAGGCACCACTCTGTGCCCGGAGTGGCCTCCATGGGCATTTCTGTGCCGCCTGGGGGATGTTTCAGGGGCTCCTAAGTAGAGTACAGATTGTGTGTCAGAAGAGGTGCCAGTTGCCTGCAAGATGTGGAGCTGCCTGTTGGGGGCAGTGGGAAGTCAGAGGTTACCTTGTCTGCCCCACACTCGGTGCCATCCAGGGGAGGGTCCAGCTTGGTCTTGCAGGATGTGTCTCCTTCTACCAGGCACCACAGTCCAGCACACATTAGATGCTGCAGGACAAGGGAAGGAACCATAATTGTGGAGAACACCCACACTCACAGGTCACAGCTGGGGTCAGAGGTGTGGCCCAACCACTGTTTCAAATTTGGGATTCGAAACGTATGGGGAAGCCAGAGGGTCATAAGTCTGTATGTCCAAAATATCAGTGCATCACTTGAACTGGCTCATTTAGCTCAACAAAATTCTGTGCATCTACTCCTAGGAGGGCTTGTCTCACGGAGTTGAGTTCAACAGCTCCAACAACCACCGAGGGCCTAGGAGATATCAGAGGCACAGCCCTGGCCAGGAGCAGCAGCCCCTGCCTCCCAGGAGTGATGAGCAAACAGACATCTTCCATTTACAGCAGTGAGGGGCTGTCTAGGGGACACAGAAAGAGGATCTAACCAAACCTCATCAGGGAGGGCTTGCTGGAAGAGGCAACTCTGAAGTCAAGGCCAGATGGGTAGGCAACCACTGTGAGGCCAAGAAATGACAGCCCAAAGGGCCATGAAGGACTGGTACCCCGACAGGGTTACAGGGGCAACCTTCTGTTCTCCCTGCGGTCACCTGTTTCTAGCTCAGCTGAGCTGTGCACAATTTTTTATAGCATTTTACCTACAGAACTTCCAGAACATCTACAAATACACAATTAAAATAATTCCACTAAAACAGGAATTGGCATTTAAACACACAGACTCCCAACTGTATCATTAGGAAATCTGGGCATCGACAAAGTGCTCAGAAGGAGACAATTTATCAAAATCATGAAAGCAGACACAGCCAGTGTCCTCTCTGAAGGAACCACATGCAGACAGTGACCTCAACCATAAGAGACAGGAGCTGGTAACTCCCCACCCGCCCAGGGGACAGGGAGATGATACTGAGGCAAGTTCCACACGCCTCTCAGAGGGTCCTGGGGGGGATGGCCCCGCTGCCGACAGCAGTCACTTACTCAGGATTGCACCTTTCTTGACTGCTCTCTCCCTCACCCCCTCACAGTGCTTCCTGGGATCACTTCCCAGATAAACTACTTGCACCCAAATCCTGGCCTCACAGTCTGAAAATTGAGAACAGATGTACTTAAAGATCTTGTGAAGACGCAGTGATTCCAGGATGACAAACCCAATCATGGCTAAAAGGCCCAAGTTGGAGCAGGAAGACATCACCCTCCAGGGTGTGGCCAGGGACCTGCTGCTTCACACTGAGCAGGATGAAGGTCAAGGAGCTCCTGTAGCTGGTGCAGGGTGGTCACCGTGTGGTTTGCAAAGGGTGTCGAGTTCAGTTTAGAGGTCTGCTCTTCCAAGTAATCTCAAACATCTGCATAGAAGAGACGCACAACTGTGCTGTCTAAAATCAAACAGTTTTTAGAAGTTGAAGGGATAAAAATAAGAGAAAGGGAAGGAAGGCAGAGCTGGAGGGAGCTTTTAAAGAGAGCTAAGAAAAGCCCACAGCTCCTTCTCATTTTTCACGTATGTCGGAGCTGATCTGTGCCCTTTAGGAAGTGGATGGCTCAAGTGGAATACTGCACATGCGCTTCAGAAAAGCCTGCATGTTCCCATGATTGTTCACCCCTCAAAGGAATGGTAAAAAGATGAGAGCCCCAGTGCAGCACAGCTGGTCCTATAAAGACCAACTGCACCTCATCAAACATTTGATTCCATGCACTCTGACCTGCGAGCTCTTTGAGACTGTGGTGTCTGTGTGTGGACATGTGCTCACAAGACAAGGCTGACCCAGGGGGAGAATTTATGGGACAGGAGCGGTTGGGATTAGGAGAAATGACCACTCCATCAGGAGAAAGAGGAAGAAGGTGGTGTCAACTGTTCGTTATGGATTTTATAGACAGGGCTTTCTCATGAAACTTTTCTAACCATCAAAGAAAAGAAGAATGAGGTTAGACAAAGATTTCTTAAACAGAACACAAAAAGGACTAATGATAAAGTAAGAAAACTAATGAATTACACCATATTAAAATTAACAACTTTTTTTTTTTTTTTGAGACAGAGTCTCGCTCTGTCGCCCAGGCTGGAGTGCAGTAGCGTGATCTCGGCTCACTGCAAGCTCCGCCTCCCAGGTTCACGCCATTCTCCTGCCTCAGCCTTCCGAGTAGCTGGGACCACAGGCGCCCGCCACCACACCCGGCTAATTTTTTGTATTTTTAGTAGAGACGGGGTTTCAGCGTGTTAGCCAGGATGGTCTCAATCTCCTGACCTCGTGATCCACCCGTCTCAGTCTCCCAAAGTGCTGGGATTACAGGCATGAGCCACTGCGCCTGGCCAAAATTAACAACTTCTGTTTACCAAAAGGCAACTGTAAGAACACAAGAATATATTTGCAATACATAAGAGATTTGTAATGTGTATAACCAACAAAGTGTTTGTATCCAAAACATGATTTAAAACAACAAAAAACTCCTATAGATCAATTAAGAAAAAGACCCAGTAGAAAAATGGGCAAAAGTCTTGAACAGACACTTCATAAAAGAGAATGTTTAAATGGCTAGTAAACATATGAAAAGGTGCTCAACTTCTTTAGTCATCAGGGAAGGGAAATTACAACCACCATTAGATTAGATACCTTGACACAGCAGCCAGAATGGGTAGAATGAAGAAGATGGAGAGCACCGCTCATTGGGAACAATGGGGCACAATGGGTCCTTTTGGATGCTGAGAATGAGATTTTAACTTGGTTCAACAGCTTTGGAAAACTTTGGCAGTATTTGCTAAAGCTGAAGACACACACATTCTAATACCCAGCAATTCGAATCCTAAGTATATAACGCAAAAAATGTGTATGTGTTCACCAAAGACATTGTCAAGAAAGTTCACTGAAATACTACTTGCATTAGTTCCATGTTGGAAACAACCCAAATGCCCATCAAGAGCAGAACAGATGAATGCTGGTATATTAGAACAATGGAATACTGTATGATTTCATTTACATACAGTTTAACAACAATGTTGAACCACAGTGTTGGGAGTCAGGATAGTGGCTACCTTTGTCGTCAGCTTAAGAAAAAAGAAAACGGGAATGACAGCAAAGGAGAAGTTAGCACTGCAGCGTCTCATCCAAGCTTGGCCACCAGCACTGCTCTCTGCACCCAAGCCAAGTCCTCACCATTCTTGTGATACATTTTCACTACTGAACAGATGCGGTGACTACACGAATGCTTGTCATCACCTTGATGCCTTCTAGATCAACAGCCTGCATTCATGTCATGCATTGCAAATGACAAAGTGCTCAGGTTCCTGTCATCCTGAGCCTCATGGCAGCCCTGGGAGGCAGGCAGGAGGGGGCTTTCTCTATTTTTTCCACTTTTCCAAAGAGGAGGTCAATGTTTGTGAAGGTCACAGAGTCTGAGCTGGGTTAGAAGCACAAGACTCATAAAGAAGAGAACTAAAGTGATGTAAAAGAAAGGGCATTTGAATATAAATTCAAGACCCTCAACTGAAATGATGGAAGGTCTTATTCTCAGATTGCAAAGCAAAGCCCCAAGAAAAAATGGCGCAAAATAATGAGCCCAGAGGCGTGTCCTGATAAAGTCACTGGGTTTCAGAGATACACCAGAACACTCTTTGGGTAGCCAGCACAGATAATGGGAAAAGAGCTCGGGCTGTGCAGATGTCTTTGCAGCAGCCTCTCTCTACAGGCACTGGAGTGAGTGATGCTGATACAGACACAAGGAAAGGCAGAACATGTGGCCCAGGAAATTTATATCAACTAAACGTTTGCTCAAGTACTTAGGCAATGGAAAAAGATTTTTGAACTTACAAGTAGTTAAATCCTTTCTGGAGAAGTTACCACAGGACGACCCTTGGCCAACTAAGAAATGACTGAAGAACCCATAGAAAATGGGCCAGCAGTGAGCACTGATCAAAGTATTGATTGAAACCAACGTAGGAATGGGAGTTAGAGAACAGAATTCATGGGACGGAAACCCAGACAAGGCAGAAATGACAGAGAGAAGAACCGGCTGGGAAGAAGGTGCACTGGGGTGGGAGCTGTGGGAGGCTGTCTATATGTACATCAATGTCTTTATCTTTTCTAGCTGGGGAAAGAGTAAAATATAACAGATAAAATGTGAAAACTGAGATATAAGAACTTCCAAAGGTAAAATGTTAAGCACAAAGAAAAATAACAGAATTGGGTGGTGGAAGGAGTGAAAGGGTGGGGCTTGGAGGTGGAGATGCATTCATCATGCTCAGGAAGCCAGGCACCCTAAAGAGAAGGGTGACTGATGGATGAACCTTCTGCTTTCAGCGAATAGCAGACTTTGTGGCAGACAGGGCTGCTCTTCCAGTACACAACAGCTGGGTACCATAATAAAGGATAGTTCTTATAGCTGAGCTCACCCCCAAGTAAAGGAAATATTCGAGGAAGCAAATACAAAACCCATACCCAGCTGTCTTTATACATATACACTACTGTATAGCAATGTGTGATGAGCACATGCAAGGGTGGGTTCCCCAAAGGGCAGGCGTTGGTTGCCAACACCAACACCCACCCTTTCACTACCAACATCCACCCTTTCACTGCCAACACCAACACCCACCCTTTCACTACCAACACCCACCCTTTCACTGCCAACACCCACCCTTTCACTGCCAACACCAATGCCCACCCTTTCACTGCCAACACCAATGCCCGCCCTTTCATTCCTTCTACCACCCAATTGTGCTATTTTTTCTTTGTGGTTAACATTTTACCTTTGAAAGCTCTTATATCTCAGTTGGCACTGAAGTTGGGAGAAGTCATCTGGGGCTGGCCTATCTCAGATAGAACAAGGTCAGGAGATCTATCTGAGACACCCAGGTTAAACCAGGGAATCTGGAAGGGTGTTTACCAGTTCTGAAAAGGCTAGAAGCAGCCCCTTTTCAGAAAAAGGGGTTCTGGTTGAAACAAATTTAAGTTCTCCTAAAGAGAGCAATTTAGGATCTTAGAATTCCATGGTTATGTCCAATAAAGTATAAACCCATAATCAAACATGGTAATGTGAGTGATGGTCAGCAGCAACAACAAACAGAAGATTTAAACTGTCAAGGTGTTTAGGTAATAAAATTGTCAGATACAGAATTTATAGTAACTATCTATAAAGAAATAGAAGATGAGATTACATAAACAAGCTAGCAGCAAGATATTAACACTGTTGAATATAAGAAACTGGAAATAACATTTAAAAATGAAATATATAATTGTTGAAGAAAATCAATGGATTTTGACAGCCCCGAATGAGAGAATCTGTGACTAGAAAACAGACCTGAAGAAATTATCCAGAATGCAGCCTGCAGAGGAAAGGCGGTGGGGAATATAAAAGATGGGTTAAGAGATCCGAAGAACCAAGTGAGAAATACTGATGTATGTGTCTAATCAGACCCAGAAGGAGAGAATAGAAAGAGTTGGGCAGAGACAATATTTGAGAAGAAAACAGCTGGAACAGAACACATGCCATGTAGAATAAAGACATTCTCCACTTAGGGGCGGGAGGCAGTGTTCTACTATGGCCGCAATGATCTCTGTCTCTTAGGATTACACCCTCGTGTGACCCCCTCCTCTTAAACACGGGCTCAAACTACTAACTTGCCTTTTAAAAAAATTTAAAATGCTTTAATATACATTTTAAAAAACAAGAAGGACAAAAATTATCAGTGATTTCCCGGTAATAGGGGAAGAGACTAGCTTGAAGGCGCATGGGGGGTATTTTGGGCGATGGACCTGTTTTGCAAATTGATTGGTTATATAACTCTGCATTTGTCAAATTTCAAAGACTGGGCATTAAAAAGGGCGAAACAGAAAAGCCAACGAAAAATATAAGGGTTGGCTCTTTGGGGGGAAACTAGATGAACCTTTTGTTAAACAATACAAGAAAAAGGGGAGAAAAGTACAACAAAGAAGAAAAGAAAGGAGAAAATATCCAAAATGTAGAGAAATCTAAAAAAATTATCAGGGGCGACTTAGCTCAGTTTTATGTACATAAGCCTGAGATGAAATGATTTTCTAAGAATGTGTAAGTGAGCAAAGCCATCGCTCGGGAAAGACTAAAAGTGTATGTAGACTCATTGACATAAAAGACCCAGAGGATGTTTGGCAATGTCCGAAGGCATTTTTTGGTTGTCACAACCAGGGGGAGTGCCCCCGAGCTATAGGGGGCAGAGGCCAAGGATACTGCTAAAGATCTTCTATTGTACAAGACAGTGCCCTGCAACAAAGAATTATTCAGCCTAAGACACCAATAGCGCTGAGGTTGGGAAACGGCTACAGAAAAACTCAACAAAAGGAAAAACAGTAAGTTACGGTGGAGTATCCTGCCAGGTAACAGCTTAGCTAGGTGACCAAGGCTAGCATCACCAGTAACGAGACATAATGACCACATCACCTCTGTGGTATCCTTCCCAATAACGCGGAACCTCAATCTAGTCGTGAGAACACATCAGACAAACCCAAAGGCAAACTAATAGACTGGTACTCTTCAAAAGCGTCAAGGTCATGAAAGAAAAGGAAAGGCTGAGGAACTGTTATTGGAGGAGACCAGAGACATGACAACTAAACGTGAAATAGGATCCTGGTATACAGAAAGGACATTGATGGAAAAACTGGTGAAATCTAAATGTATTTTACCTAATAGTATTGTACCAAGCTTAATTTCCTGGTTTTCATTATGGTTCTACGGGCATGTAAGATTTTTTTATTTTTGTTTTTTATTTTTATTTTTGAGATCGAGCCTCACTCTGTCACCCAGGCTGGAGTGCAGTGGTGCAATCTCAGCTCACTGCAACCTCCGCCTCCTGGGTTCAAGCGATTCTCCTGCCTCAGCCTCCTAAGTAGCTGGGACTACAGGCATGCGCCACCATGCCTGGCTAATTTTTGTATTTTTGGTAGAGATGGGGTTTCACCATGTTGGCCAGGCTGGTCTCAAACCCCTAACCTCTGGTGATCCTCCTGCCTTGGCCCCCCAAAGTGCTGGGATTACAGGCATGAGCCACTGTGCCTGGCCGTGTAAGATGTTAACATAACAGGAAGTTGGCTGAAAGGCATATAGTATTTTTTGTAAGTTTTAAGAGTTACAATTGTCTTACAACAAAAAGTTAAAAAATAACACAATTTTTTAAAAATGACGGGACAACTCTACACTAGTCCTGACTAACTCCAAGACACACACACACACACAGACACACACACATACATACATATATATATATATATATATCCAGTAAAGACGTGTGGAATGTATGAATGGGATGAATACTTTCATCTGTAAACCAGTGCCTGGCAAGCTAAGCAGTCACCAAGTCCAGACATCATAGAAGTGCTTTATCAGGGTTGTCTCTTTCCTACCCACATCAACCTTGTGAGACAGACACTTCCTGTTCCCATTTTACAGATGAGGAAATGGGTGGACCTGTTCTAACCCAGAACACAGGCTCCTTCCCACTGGTTACACTACCTCTCCATCAGTCCCCAATTTCCTCTTCCCGCTTCCCCTGCAATCATGCATTCTCGGTGTGAGTGTCCATCCTCTCATCTGCAGTGAGATGGGGCGCTCTGTGCTCAGCGACATGCCGTTCCCTCCGCCTGCAGAGTTCTCCCTGGAAACACTGCTGGGCAGCACGTCCCTGGGCTTCAGCGACACGTGATGCACTAGAACAGGGTGGAAACACACAAAGGGCGGCTGCCCAGGCCAAATCAGGGGTGGGGGTACTAAGACCTCCTCTCCCACTCCCGCCCCCGGCGGCAGTGCTTGAGTTGCGGTGGAAAGTCACAGTCCGTGCACATGGCAAGGAAAATGAAACAGCTCTCTGGTTCTAGCATTTGTCACCTCACTGGCTACGCTTACGGTTTGTCAAGAGTCATCCCCAGCATGTTTTGCTGCATAGTTCCTCGAGCGGCTGCATGATGAGCCAGCAGCAAGCATGCATCCCTGGAGCGCTGTGAAAACGCGGGAAGGTTTGAGCTGCTCAGATGGCACCATTGCTCACGTACACGAGCCTTCGCCACTTTTCTTCAACTGGTGGTGTCCCTGTCAAGGACTGTGAAGGTCATGTTGCTGTTCTCTTGCCTCATCCTCTCTGGGCATCTGCTGAGGGTTTGGAGGGCGGCTCTAACTCAAAATGATACTGAATGAGATGCTTATATAAAGTCTCTCAAAAATGTGCTGCTGATAACACAAGCCAAAAGAGAGAGAAAATCAACGCTAAGAGCTGGATGAAAAAGTGACTCATCCAAATTTTCCACACATACTACTGCAGTGTGAAGTCTTCCCCGGGCCAGCATGCCAGCCCCACTCCTGGAAGGCTTCCTGAGTCCTGGGAGGGCCACTCCTTCCATGTTCCTGAGGGCTACAGAGACCGTCACCTGGCTGGGGTTGGGGGCTGCCGGGTGAGGGTGGGGCCCAGGACTTCAGCTGGCAGCAGGGACAAGAAAGACAACTCACAACTGGCATGGTGTGGAGAGCTCTCTGAAAAGGCAGTCTACTGTAAACTTTCAAACACTTCTGGAAAATTAGGACCATCTGCTGCCAAAGTCCAACGGCTCTGAGAGGCTGCAGATGCTGGGCAGGAAGCGGAGACTGAGACAGGCAGGACAGCTTTCAGCCTGGCATGCAAGTCCACGCACTACCGTACAGCCCTGAGAGGGGCAAGGCCAGGCTCCGGGACCCCGCCAGCCACCCATTCTGGCCAGGTCCACCAGCATTAAAGGGACAGACCTCATTTAGATGAGCAGTTTCCTAACTAAGCTGGATGGAAGAATCTCCAGGGAAGCTGTACGGAAAGACAGATACCTAAAACCCATCTTCCTGAAGACTTTTAAGACAGAAAATCTGGAGTAAGACACAGAAACTTCTAACAGTCTCTGGAGGACTCTAGCAATCCACCAGGTTTAAAAATAACTGGCATCAGAGGAACAAACTTTGTTGTCCCAAGGTAGAATTTTGTCACCCCAAGCATCTCTCTAGCCATCAGATGCCCATGTAAATCTGCAGGACGTGAGAAAGGAGAAAAGCCTGGAGACTGGGATTTTGCCCAGGTAGAGGTACTGGACACGGGAAAGCAATCCCTGGGGGTTCCAGGCTCCCAGAGTACCGGGAGGGATGGTGAGGACAGCACAGGGAAAGATATGGGAAGGGACAGGCCCATGTGATCTCAGCTAAACAGTGTTTCCTCCTGTCCCTCTGGCTCCAGGCGACAAGGAGGCACAGAATGGACACTACCTAACATTTATTGAGTGTGTGCTACATGCTAAGTGCTTTAATTCAGTTACTACTAACTCTCATGTCTTCACAATGATGGATAAGTAGAGTTTATATTCCCATTTTGCAGATGAGAAGACTGAGACATAGTGAGACTAGGCAACCTGTTCAAGAACAGAGGCAGAATGGGGCCCTGGGCAGCCTGACTAGAGAGTCCTTCTCAGGCACTGTGTGATCTAGAAAGCATCTCCACACTGTACCAAAAGGCAATTAACGAGAAAAGAGAAAGGAGGGAGTATTACGTAGAAACAATTGTCTAAGACCTTCCAATGCCTATAACCAGTCTAGATCCTGTCTTCCTGAAATGATTGGCTGACAGCTTTGTGCTCAATAACATTCTTAAACAGCGGCATAACATGCACACCTCGGGTCCTTGTGAATGCTATGACATACAGGCACATATATGCTCGTGGCAACTAACAAGAAGAGTGTACATCCCTTCCAAGCACTACTGTGTGGCAGCCATGCCTGGGCTTTGGAGCCACGATGGTGGAATGCATTCCTGGGAAGCAGTAGGGAAAGGGGTGGTGGTCATTAAACAGCACCTTTCAACTGAAAGCCTCCAGGACCAGGGTGGTGGTGATGGGGCAGATGAACACCTCTCTCATGTGAGAAAGCGGTGGGACTTTGTGAGGCAGGGATCTCACAGTCAGGACAGGACCCTAACTGCACCCCTTCTTGCTCCTTCTCTAGCAGCAATACACACTCTTCCTTGCAGCTGACAGCGCCTGCATTGGGCTTTCTCACCCTCTGCTTCACCTGGAAGAATATCTGAGCTTAAGTAGCTTGAAAGTGTTGTTAAATAGCAACTTTCTTTTGCAGTGACTTTGCTGACAGACAGGAGAAACTTGTAATCATAAAAAAGACTGATTGGGCTAATTGCATAAAGTTTATTTCCCCTTTCTAACAAATATTTACCATCCAATGTTTATAACTTTATGTTTGGACTTTCTTGAAATGCTTTATTGAATTAAAAACATCACATTACCATTGGCTAAAAGAGGAGACAGCTGTATTTGCCAATAACTTTTGCAACAAATGCCAGTTGTTGATGCCAATTTTTTTTCTAGTTCATATTTCCATAGACAGCTTTGAGCCTTACAATACTAGCATTCTGCAGACAGACATTCAGTGGTGATAGTGTGGGAGCCTCCAGAGTCCTAAGAATTAATATGGACTGTATTTTAATTTTTCTCAGTTCTCCGGTATGCAAATGTTTGAGAAACCAGCAACCTGGTTAATATTTGAAGCCTAGACTGCTCCTAAAGCAATTGCAGAAATGCTCTTCCAAGGTTATTTACCCACACCTTTGAGTAGGGAAATGATGTTTAAATTGATTGGTCTTAAAACAGCTATGAATTGCGAGTGGCAGAAGAACATACAGAGAGGACCAGTCAGAAAGAAGGTCCACATTTAAAATTCCACCCAGCACCTGGTCATTCTGTGCTTCTGGAGGCACCTGATGGAGCCTTCTCAGGGTATGTGGTGAATGCATAATTATAAAATACATAAGATAACCAAGAAAACAATTAAACTGGAAGTGTTTTCAAAATATAAAACATTCTAAATTTGTAATATAGTAATATATGCGTTTGTCAACACATAACAAGATCTGGCCCTGGGTCTACTAACCACCATCATTTTGAATTGGTGAAGAGTCTAAACAGTATTTTGAGATGTTGGCCACAATTTACATGGTATAAAAATATCTGTGATTCCGTGGCTGGGCGTGGTGGCTCACACCTGTAGTCCCAGCACTTTGGGAGGCTGAGGCGGGTGGATCACCTGAGGTCAGGAGTCTGACCAGCCTGGCCAACATGGCAAAACCCTGTCTCTACTAAAAATACAAAAATTAGCCGGGCGTGGTGGAAGGCACCTGTAATCCCAGCTTCTTGTGAGGCTGACGCAGGAGAATCGCTTGAATCTGGGAGGCGGATATCGCAGTGAGCCGAGACTGTGCCACTGCTCTCCAGCCTGGGTGACAGAGCAAGACTCCATCTCGAAAAAAAAAAAATCTGTGATTCCTAATCACAGTGGCAGTCACGGGTATGGCTAAGACTCCTGTGGTTTACCGGCAACATTCAGTATGGAAGAGAATACTAACTTCCACTAGAACTTGAAGAAAATGAAAAGTATAATCTCTTTCCTATCCTGGTTCACCAATTCTTTGAAATCTATCCAAGGACCCGAGGTGAGCAGTCCTGCTTTGGTACAATAACACACGCGTGTCGATGAGAAACGCCACCCCCGAGACCAGGGAGGCCTCTCCCTCCTGCCAGGGAACAGTGTGGGCTCATCTTGAGGCAGGCAAGCTATTTTCCTTCAGAAGAGGCAGCAGCAAAATGAAAACTGCCCATCACTAGTCATGATGGTATTTTTCTCAAAACATAATCTACCCAGTTTCTTTTCTTACTTCTCTATATTTCAGAAAAATAAAAAGCAAATGTTCAACTCCTCAGCACTGGTGTGGCTCACAGTTTTATTCCCTTGGCAGTGTCCAGCCTCTGTCATATTTCATCATTTTTTGTCTCATAATATACTTAAAGTTCTAGAAAATTTTAAGATAAAAGATAGACAAACATACACACACATCCCCCAAAACTGCTGCCCCATTAATGCTCAGGTGCTTTTCTAAGCTGCCCTCAGGCTCTGCACACAGCAACACCAGTGAGGGGCTTACCAGTTCTTAGCAACGGTCTTTGGGGGAGCCTAGGGCTTGGGAACATGAATGGTGTTCTCAATTCCTACATATGAATGGGGTTAAGAGAACAGAGTCCTCCAAATTTTTAGACTTTTAATTGCTTCACCCCTAAAACTCCTGACTATGAATATTTTTCTTTCGTTTTACAGCATCTAGCAAGTAGTAGTATTTTTCATATTAAAGAAGGCCAACATTGGTTTGAAGAATACTGCTGAGAATTTTGCATCAAAGTTCCCTCTGCAATAACTGCAGGCACCTTAAGATGTCACGACACCACT
This sequence comes from Homo sapiens, assembly GCF_000001405.40. NCBI lineage: Eukaryota > Metazoa > Chordata > Mammalia > Primates > Hominidae > Homo > Homo sapiens. The sequence goes on from NC_000015.10 coordinate 100,145,528, forward strand.
GGTGTGACTGCTAATGAGAAAACTGGACCATTAGTACTGTTTTTCTGGAGATATAGGATGGTCATGGGGCCTGCCTCACGAAGACACACATCTAAATTGAACATGTCAAGAACCCTAATGTAATGAGAATTGTATATGTTTATTAATAGAATGGAGTATAAATGGTTAATATGCATTTATGATCCATCCTGGCATGATCTGTTTCTAATGTGCTTAATCACAGGAATAAGCAATATATGAAGACATTTTCTTTTCTTTCTTGGCATATTAGCTAAAACTCTGTTGTTATTTATTGGTTGCTTTACTAAGTTGACATTCTAATCTTTAACGCATCACATTCTGCCTTTATGTAAGATTATTCCAGGCCGGGTACAGTGGCTCACACCTGTAATCCCAGCACTTTGGGAGGCCAAGGCAGGGGGATCACTTGAGGTCAGGAGTTCGTGACCAGCCTAGCCAACACGGTGGAACCCCATCTCTACTAAAAATACAAAAATTAGCTGGGTGTGGTGGCGCATGCCTGTAATCACAGCTACTCGGGAGGCTGAGACAGGAGAATCACTTGAACCTGGGAGGTGGAGGTTGCACTGAGCTGAGATCGAGCTACTGCACTGCAGCCTGGGCGACAAGAGTGAAACTCCATCTCCAAAAAAACAAAAATTATTCCACCTTGTATATAGTATAAAAACCGTATAATAGTATACAGTTATGTGTTGCAGGAAGTCAGGGACCCCAAATGGAGGGACCGGCTGAAGCCATGGCAGAAGAACGTGGATTGTGAAGATTTCATGGACATTTATTAGTTCCCCAAATTAATACTTTTATAATTTCTTATGCCTGTCTTTACTGCAATCTCTAAACATAAATTGTGAAGATTTCATGGACACTTATCACCTCCCCAATCAATACCCTTGTGATTTCCTATGCCTGTGTTTACTTTAATCTCTTAATCCTGTCAGCTGAGGAAGATGTATGTCGTCTCAGGACCCTGTGATAATTGTGTTAACTGCACAAATTGTACAGCATGTGTGTTTGAACAAATATGAAATCTGGGCACCTTGAAAAAAGAACAGGATAACAGCAATTGTTCAGGGAATAAGAGAGATAACCTTAAACTCTGACTGCCGGTGAGCCAGGCGGAACAGAGCCATATTTCTCTTCTTTCAAAAGCAAATGGGAGAAGTATCGCTGAATTATTTTTCTTAGCAAGGAACATCCCTGGGAAAGAGAATACGTGCCTGGGGGTATAGGTCTATAGATGGCCCCCCTGGGTGTGGTTGTCTCTTATGGTCGAGACTGCAGAGGTGAAATAGACCCCAGTCTCCCATAGCGCTCCCAGGCTTATTAGGAAGAGGAAATTCCCGCCTAATAAATTTTGGTCAGACTGGTTGCTCTCAAAACTCTGTCTCCTGATAAGATGTTATCAATGACAGTGGTGCCCGAAACTTCATTAGCCATTTTAATTTCACCCCGGTCCTGTGGTCCTGTGATCTCGCCCTGCCTCCACTTGCCTTGTGATATTCTATTACCTTCTGAAGTACTTGATGTCTGTGACCCACACCTATTCGCACACTCCCTCCCCTTTTGAAAATCCCTAATAAAAACTTGCTGGTTTTGTGGCTTGGGGGGCATCATGGAACCTACCGAGATGTGATGTCTCCCCTGGACGCCCAGCTTTAAAAATTTCTCTCTTTTGTACTCTGTCCCCTTATTTCTCAAACCAGCTGATGCTTAAGGAAAATAGAAAAGAACCTACGTGACTATCAGGGCAAATTCCCTGATAGTTATGCATCACTCAACAATGGGAATACGTTCTGAGAAATCCATCAGGCAGACCTTTCATTGTGTAAACATCATAGAGTGCACAAACCTAGACGGCATAACCTACTACACACCTAGGCTCTGTGGTGTAGCCTATTGCTCCTAGGCCACAAACCTGTATAGCGTGGTACTGTACTACTACTACTACACCACTGCCTGCTGTAGGCAACTGTAACACAATGGTATTTTGTGTATCTAAACATCGAAAAGGTATAAAAATACGGTATAAAAGGTTAAAAATGGTACACCTCTATGAGGCAGTTCCATCATAATCTCACAGGACCACCAGCACATATGCAGCTGATACTGACTGAAACCTCATGATGAGGCGTATGACTGTGCTTCCATTTCTCCCTTTCTGGCCTTTGTACGAATGTCATACCTTTTACTTTTATGTATGTGAAAAACCCTAAACTAATGTATTAGTTTCCTATGGCAAATCTGTATTAGTTTCCTATTGCTGCTACTACAAACTTAGTGGCTTAAAACAACACAATTCTCTTATAGTTCTGGATGTCAGAAGTCCAAAATCAGTCTCACTGAGCTAAAGCCAAGGTGTCAATAGGGCTGGTTCCTTCTGCGAGGCTGTGAGGTTTCCTCGCCTTTTCCAGCTTCTCATGGCTGTTGCATTCCTTGGCTCATAGCCCCTTCCTTGCATCACTCCGACTTCATGCTTCTATTGCTACATCTCTTATTACTCACCCTGATCTCCTGCCTCCTTCTTAGTAAGGACTCTTGAGTACACTGGGCCACCCAGATAACCCAAGAAAATCTCCCCATCTCAAGATACTTAGCCACACTGGCAAAGTCCTTTCACCATATAAAGTAACATTCATAGGTGCTGAGGATAGGACATAAAGATCTACCACAATTATATTCTTACTGTTTTTCATAAAACACAGTTGTTTAAATGATCAATGATCTTTTGAAGACTTTGAGTGTATCTAAATCTATCATATATTTGCCCACGAAATTACTACTTCCAGGGCTCTTCATTTCTTTGTGTAGATCCATATTTCCACCTAGTATCATTTTCTGCAGAAGATTTCCTTTAATATTTCTTATAATGTGGGCCTCTTGGTGATACATTTTTTTCAGTTTTCAGAAAAACTGCATTTCACATGTAATTTTGAAAGATATTTTTGCTGGGTATAGAATTGTAGGCTGACAGCCTTTTTTTTTTTAGTACTTTACAATGTTTCTCTGTTGTCCTTTCACTTACACTGCTTCTAATGAGAGGTGTACTGTCAGTTTTACCTTTATCTGTATATAACTTATCTGTTTTTCCTCTGGCTCCTTGAAGATTTTCTCTTTTTCACTACTTTCAAACAATTTCATTATATTGAGTATTTTTCTAGATTTCTTCATGTTTCTTGTGAATTAGGAGATGTGGATGCTGCACAGGTGGGCAGGGGAGGGTACCAGATTGTCATCTTAAAGAGGGTAGTCAGGGTAGGCCTCATTGAGAAGCTTATATTAAAAAAAAAAAAACAGAACTCAAAAAAGGTGACGGAATTAGTCATGTGGATAACTGGGAGAAGAGTGGCAGGGAGGAGGAAACAGCCAGCATGAAGCAACTGTGTCCCTGGTGGGGTCCGAGAAGAAAAGGAAAACCAGTACAGCTGGAATAGAGTAAGTGCAGGGGAGCATAGGGCAGGATGAGGCCCAGAAGGAAGAAAGGAGGCGGCACACGCCTGCACCAGGAAGGCTGCCTAGCAGGGAAGAATTGAGGGATAACAGCATATGTACGCTCTCCTGCCATACCCAACATCAACCACAACACAGTCCTACAAAAGCAGGGAAGGCGCAGACTGTTGATACAGCAGGGCCTGGAGCCCTGAAGTGTGGCACTGTCTTCACCTGGATTTGACTGATACATGTCCCAGGCCTAGGGCAGCATGCCCCAAATCCTTGGTTCTCAAAGGGTTCACAGGGAAGCATCTGGTCTTCTGCATTTTCTTCCCCAAAAGAGCGTGAGTGTGTTGGATAGAGTTCAAATAATCAGTATGTCAGTATGTTCAGTTCTTTGTCCTCCATTTTAAAGTTTAACTTCCTCGCAGTTTCCATAAACAACCTTTTCCACCAGTTTTAATCAGTAGTTCACATCTGTTCCCCTGGTCACCTGCTCCGTCCTGATTCATCCTGGTCACCTGCTTTGACCTGAGTCACCCCTGGTCACCTGCTCTGACCTAAGTCACCTTTAGTTCCCTGTTCCTCACCTTTTTTCCTGCCAAACTGCTCACCACACCACTCTGGCTTATACCCTTTCTCTCTTTGAAATAGCCAATCAGAATTAGCTTCGACTGTGTGGTCCAATCCTAGCCAAAAGGGGAATAACACAGCAGTAGGGGCTACCTGAGTCAGGAGTAAGAACCCCTTCCTCTCCCTTGTTCAGGTGTGCTCTCACCATTGCTCCATCCATGAGTCACACCTCCTATCTTTTGCTGAGAAAATTCTTTCAGTGCTAGTTCTTCTTTTCGGCACTGAGGAATAAGCATTTATTTCTAACAATCGTGACATTTTCTCCAGTGTGCACAGTCACTGCTACCCCACAGTCAGATTCCTCTAAAGAAAGTGTCACTAGCCTTGCAAGCAGGACAATCACCACTGACCAGCTGAGGCTGGTGGCCATGAAGGGGACTGTCATTCCATCACTCCCCTAAGAAATCCTTTCTGCTAGTTATTGGAGAGGAAAAAACACATTTATTTTATTGCTGGTGAAACTCTCGAGGCAAAAGCAAACAGGAAAACATATTTTGCAGTTCCTTGGGAGCCCAGGAATAAATGTTCAGCTTCAATGTAAAAGGCACGTGGGAAGATCTCACTTGATATGCATTTGGATTTTGAGCTTCTAGGGAGAAAGGAGTCACAAAGCTGAGGGAATCATTGCTTGTTGCCCTCTAACTGAATTCCTCTCATGAAAATATGATTCTGAAGGAAAATAAAATACCACATCCCCTGCCTCCTCTCTTTGGGGTCTATCTTTGAATGACAGTAGCTTTCCTTTCCTCCCTCAGTAACAGATACCCCTGGGCTCGCTTTCCAGCCCACCCCTTTCCAGCTGGGTGAGCCTGGCTTGTTTTCTAATCTCTCTTAGCTTCTATATTCTCATCTGTTAAAATGGGGTTAAAAGCCCTTGCCTTTGGGGTTGCAGTCAGGGTTGTGTGTGACAGTGCAAGGACAAAGTCCAGCCTGGGAGACTGTGAGTCCCCAGTACAAGTGCCTTCCTCCCTCTGTCCCTCCTCATCCAACCGGGATGCAAGTGCTTGGCTCCTAGAAGGGAAAATAGCTCCGGCTCTCATGGAGCAGGCAGTCTCTGCCCAGCCTCCACCACACTTAATCCTGCCCTGTAGGGCCAGCTCAGCCTGGCCCGCCACATCTCACTGGCCCTGCGGAGGACTCCACAGTGGGCAGAGTGACCACTCTGTCCCTTGGCTCAGCTGGGCACTACCCACTTCCCCAGCCCCAGTGTCTGGGGCCCTTTTCTCTGCCTGACATCCTCCCTGGTATCCCAACCACACAATCTCATGCTGTCTCCACATCAAGGGACTCCCTGAAACCTGCTCTTTACTGGCATCTCGGTGCCATCCGTGCACTGCAGGGACTGAGGAGGCAGACAGAATGCCTCTTGGCAGGCACTGTGCGTGTGCATAAGCCTTAACACTCAAGCCACACAGTGGCTGATGGTGAGTTTGGGCACCGCTGCAGGATGCTGGGGACGATCACATCCTAGGGCTCATCACATCTCCCCATGGAGGTGTCCTTCAACCCTGCTGCTGGGGGCAGGAGGTACAGGCATCCAGTGGGAGGCTGACATGGGTGACAGCTTCCCACTGGTCTCTGGAGGGGACCCTCGCAGGCGTGCTCCCCAGGGGAATGGCAGGGCAGAAGCAGCACTACAGTGTGGATAAACGTCCTTTGGGGAAACAGCCAGTAGGAGACAACAGCCTGGTTTTAAGGAGCTGCCCTTTTTAGCAACCCCAAAGGTGGCAGGCAATGCTCCAACTGCAGGTTGTGTCCCAATTTCCTAAACTAACTTATACTCAGACAGGAAGCACTCAAGAGGCAGCATCTGTCTCCAGGAGTCTGGGCTAATGGGCATTGGGACCGCATTCTGGAGGCAGCCTGCATGTGCCTGTGTGCTTTGGTGCTGCTCCCGAGTGCTTGCTCCAGGAACCTGCCCAGCCATCCACACATCCTCCTTGGGACCAGGTGTGCTTCTGAGTGCCAGTGCTGGAATAGCCCTCCCTCAGGCTGACCACCTGCTGCCTGGCTGCTGAGTTCCACATACCCCTGGCTGGTTCCCCTACTTCTGCCCTCCTTCTCCACAGGATGGTGCAGGTTCTGCTCCCCTAGCCCCGTCACTGCCAGGGCCAGGTGGACCACAGGCTCCTGGCCTTCCCCTGTGGCCAGGGCCTTCCCTGTCTGCTACACAGATGGCCACAGGCATGGAGACTGCCCTGCCCTGGGTACCCACATGCCCCTCTTGGCACCCCTCACCCATAAAACCAGCCAAGTCACAGACCTTGCTGTTTGCATCATGGTGAAAACGTGTGCAATCAGGGGTGAATGAGACTTGAGTTCAAATCCTCGCTCTACTACCTACTAACAAAGCCTTTTTCAATGTTTGCTTACTTTGACTTGGTGTTGTCATCTGTAAACCAGGGACAGGATCTCGGGAGCCATGGTGAAGACTAATTGGGATCACACATGTTGGAAGCGTTAGTACCAAACACTTAGGCATTGCTCAACAAGCGGTAACTGTTTAATGGGGTTATTATCATATAATCAATTTATTACTTGTTAAATTTTCCCAATTTGATACGCTCAAATGTTTAATAGTTTTAACCCTCTTGTTGATCCATGCAGTGTTTGAAGTCAGGCGACAGTGTCCTGCGTCTCTAGTGTCCTCAGGTTTCCATATTAAAATGTTAGGCTACCAGAGTCAGTAGTAACCCTGAAGGATTCCCCTGCAAAAGTGCCCGTGTGGGGGACTGTGTGTAGATGTGTGCCTGCAACTGCATGTGTAGGTGTGTATGTGTGTATGGCTATATGGGGTACACATGTGCAAATGCCTGTGAGAGTGTGTTTATGCATGTCTCTGTATGCAAACGTGTGTGTGCATATACATGTATACCTGTGCTTGTGTGTGTATGTGCCTGTGCTGAGTGTGAATGCCCATGTCCTCCAGCAGAAGCCAGACCTGCTGTGGGAGGGCTGGATCCATGCTCTGTCCCGAGCCAGCCCTCCCACGGCTGCTTACCTCCATGTTTCTGCAGAAGGTGGCATTCATGCCAAACAGGATCTGGCACTGCTCGTTGGCACTGTAGTGCATGCCCGGCAGCTTGTGCGGGAGGCGTACTGTGTGCTGGCTTCTGGGGTCCGTGACTAGCAAGCAGGTGCTGACTTTTGACCTGAAACAGCCGAGAGGCAAGTTGACTTGCAAATGTACTGCCTAGGTTTTTTTGTTTTCTTTTTCTTTTTTTTTTTGAGTTTTCAGTCACTGAGAAGAGGGCACCTCCACGTTCCTTATGGAAAAAGGACGCAGGCACTGGACACACAGACTGCGCTTTTTTGCTGTGCATTCCTCTTTTTCTACATGGCCAAATGTGAATCTTCGCTCTGAAGGTAGTAAGAACCTGGAGACTCGGGAGGGGCATAGGAACGACATCCACAAGGCTGATGGACTTTTACTGGGGAGTCTGAAAGCTTTCTTTGATGAAAATGATTTTGGAAGAGATTATCGTATTTTCTTAGACTATGGCTTTGAGCAAAAACTATCATGAATAAAGAACAAGTACAAGTTAGACTTGCTTTACTTTAAATAAAATCAAAGTGCTTATTTCCAACTCTTCAGGTTCTTTTCGAGTGCTTGTGGGACCTCGGTGTCTCACTTGACCACGCTATCCCTGAAAGCCACTGGCAACACTCGCCGAGGACTTCAGGATTTCAACTGGGGTGGGAGCATTCATTCACAGTGAGAGGCGCGTCTCTAAAAGAGTGAACTGGGGGCCGGGCTCGGGGGCTCACACCAGTAATCCCAGCACTTTGGGAGGCTGAGGTGGGTGGATCACTTGAGGTCAGGAGTTCAAGACCAGTCTGGCCAACATGGGGAAACTCCTGTCTCTACTAAAAACACACAAATTAGCCAGGCATGGTTGTAGTCCCACCTGTAGTCCCAGCTAATTGGAAGGCTGAAGCAGGAGAATTACTTGAACTCAGGAGGCTGAGGTTGCAGTGAGCCAAGATAGCGCCACTGCACTCCAGCCTGGGTGAGAGAGTGAGACTCTGACTCATAAATAACTAAATGAATAAGTGAACTGGGGATTGCGAGGCTCTGGCTCTAAAGGAGGTTACTTACTACAATGCTTTTATTTCTCAATTTCTAAAGGCAGATGGTTTAAGGCAGAAAACCCAGTCACTTGCCAAGATTCTTAAGGAAAGAGTTGCATGAACACAAGACACAGACTGATCCTGGTTTACTTCTGGGCTCACACACACTACTTGTCACCAGTGCTGTGTACATGAGCAAATAAAAACACCTGATCTTGGCCGGGCGCGGTAGCTCACACCTGTAATCCCAGCACTTTGGGAGGCCGAGGCAGGCAGATCACCTCGGATCAGGAGTTCGAGGCCAGCCTGGCCAACATGGCGAAACCCCATCTCTACTAAAAATACAAAAATTATCCGGGTGTGGTGGCACGTGCCGGTAATCCCAGCTACTGGGGAGGCTGAGGCAGGAGAATTGCTTGAACCTGGGAGACAGAGGTTGTGGTGAGCCAAGATCGCACCACTGCACTCCAGCCTGGGAGACAGAGTGAGACTCCATCTCAAGAAACAAACAAACAAACCCAACCCATCTCGTGGCCATGACCCTTCTGGGTGAAGTGAAATAACATCAAGGGGCTTACAGCATTTCCTAAGATCTGTGGTATCAAATACTCAGTGGGAAGTAGACTACATTAAAAGTAATGAGTGCATTGTTAAGCTGGTTTACCACTGAACAATTTCCCCATGAACAAGGAACGTCATGAAAAAAGACCCAGGATGGCACCTTTGCCACTACATCCTGAATTCGTCGGGTACTTGAATGTGCTACTGGACTGAGAAGCTCCATCTGCAGGTGAGACTCGCCGACTCACTGCTGTCTCCCAGGGTGCATGAATTCACACGGCTAAGTAGCTCAGTGACCAGGGCCTGCACAGTCACTCTGTAAACCCAACCCTGAGGTCTTGACACTAAGGGACAGGGACCGGCACCGTCCACAGGTACAGACTGTGACAAAGGTCTGAAATCAGATGGCAGATTCTTCCACAGAAATCTGAGAATGGAAGGGTGCAGACACCTTCTGGGAAGAAAGTAGCAGTGAGATAAACACAGCCCTCCCCTCCCCAGAGGTGAGGAAGCTGAGCAAACCCACCCCTCATCCCCCAGCAAATTCACTCCCTCTCTAGGCAAGCGGCCTTCATCTCCACACCAGGAAATGCTCCATTCCGCAGCGGCCCAGGGGCGCCCCAAGGTGACCACACGGTCACAACACTGCAGAGGAATGAAATGGGTTTCTTTTCAAGACAGGGTGACTATGTTGACATTTGAGTCGATCGGCAATTACGTAATGATCACCCACTGTGCGCCCATCGCTGGAGCAGATGCGCATGTGGGAGATGTCCTTGCCATTATAGGACACTCTGCGCTGACCGCCTCCTGAGGCTAGATGCAAATCCCAAAAGAGAGTCATTTCTCCACTTCACACTTGCTGAGACTCCAATACTTTTGTCTTTTGGAAGTACTTTTGATTGCATTCATCCTATAGAATAATTCCAGGACTTACTTGAGGAAGTTTTCAAGGTCATCTCGGCTGCAGGAGGACCAAGAGAGGTCACTTGGGTTCCGGCCTTTCACCCACTCTCCTGACATGATGTGGGACCTGCCAGCGCAAGATGAGTGGTCATCGTCGTGGTTCATGCCCAAGCTGTCCAAGAAGGAGGAGAGAGGGATGCTTATGCTACAAGCTTCTCATTTCCAGTTCCTGGTGCTAGCGGACCATGCTAAGGTAAATCAAGTCTTAAAAACAAAAACGGACGTAACGTGAAAGTGGTTCTCACACAGCAGACCCACAGTCATGTGTTTTCACAGAAATAGAGGGTGAGGATTTGCTTAGTGAATGAAGATAAATTGAGCAAATGACAGACACTAATAGCATTCACTAAATAACAATAAATCAACAAAGTATATTAACTCTGATAATTAACTGTGACATGATAATTCTTAAACTTTAAGCTTCTGATGGCTAGACTTGTTTTCTTACATTAAATATTCCAATGTTCATGGTTTTGGTGTTTCTGTTCCTTAGAGATAATCACTGTGCTAACGGGAATCACTGGGTACCATCCTAGACCTTGACTTACAGAATGATCTGAATCTAAGCCTTCCAACTCATTACAGAGTATGGCTTTTCTATCTTTCACATCTAACAAGATCACACCTGTCACCTTCCCTATTCAGCTATACCTGAGACATACCAGGATGCCTGTCTAGGCCTGGAGGGCTCATCACACTGTGAGCTGAACAGTGATCTTAGCTTATACACTTGCCCTCACTGGGGTGAGCCAAGACATGCAGCACGCAAGATCCAGTTGCCCAGTTTGCTGACCCAGAGTTCTTATGCCCCAACGTGTATAAGGATGACCATCTTTCAACAATCTCAGTGGAACAACGACAACAAAAAAGAACATGTACTTTCATTCATTCAAAAATATTAGACACTTTCCAAGTGCCAGGTAACGGACCACAAGGAAAAGACCTCAAATCACTGCCAGCTTGGGAGAAGAGATGAACACTGACACAGATAATGATAAAAGAGGTTTCTAAACTCTGCTCTAGAGCCATGTTTTCCTAGTTTGCTCATAGATATCTGACCATCTTCCGTCAGCAACCCTGCTTGTTGCCTAATGGTGGTGTCTCCCCAAAAGAAACCCATCCTGTCTTCTCTGCATGCCTGCAGGCCACCCCCACACCCTTTTGCCTACAGAGATGCTCCCTTGGCCAACTCCCACGTGGAGTTGGATCAGCTAAAGTCACCCATGTCCTTTGGAGGATCCGCTGCCTGGCGCTCATGTGTTCTGGAACTTTGGGCTAGCGGGGCCCTCTCTGATCACCCACATGTGACTTCCCCCGTCAGTGGAGGGGGGGCATCCTTACCAATCTTCCATTGTATTTATTCTTAAACCTACTGATGTCAGTGACACTTGTTATTTCAATTCATACATGTGGCTACATGTTGGGTTAACCAACGAAATATGGGGACAAACACCAAGTTGTTGTTCTCATGAAAACAGATTTAGCCAGTAGCTAAGATAGACTGCTGTCCAACTGGGTGTGGGCAAGACAACTGTGAAAGATGAATAAATCATAAAAATCTGCTCCAAGGCTGCTTCACAAGTCTTTTACAATCCTTTTTATGTGTATACAAACACACACACACACATGCACATATAAAAGAAACTAGATTCAAACTCTTATTATAGGCATGCTTTGTGTGAGGAAAGTGTATTAGTCCATTTTCACACTGCTATAAAGTGTTTCACACTTGAAACTGGGCAATTTTTAAAGGAAAGAGGTTTAACTGACTCACAGTTCTGCCAGGGAGACCTCAGGAAACTTACAATCATGGCAGAAGGTGAAGGGGAAGCAAAGACCTACTTCAAATGGTGGCAGGGGAGAGAAGCACAAGCAAGGAAAATGCCAGATGCTTACAAACCCATCAGATCTTGTGAGAACTCTCTCACTGTCACAAGAACAGGACAGAGGAAACCACCCTCATGATCCAATCACCTCCCAGCGGGTCCCTCCCTCGACACATTGGATTACAATTCAAAATGAGATTTGGGTGGGGACACAGCCAAACCATATCAGAAGGTGACATGGAAGTCCAATTGGCAGACACCCGTCCTCAAAGAAGAGGCTTTCCCTCTCCATTACAAAATTGTTGAAAAAAACTAATGTTTTTATAGCTTAAGTTAAAACAAAATGTCTAAGGCACTTACATATAATGTCTTGTTATTTCTCCACTTGAATCAATTTTTTGCTTAATTGCTCAAGTGACCAACTAGAGTCATTTCTGAAAAGGGAGTGTCTGCATCGCCACCTAGGTATAGATGGCCATATTTTCGCGTGGTCTGGACTGCTATCAACCTCAGACCCTCCTGACTGGAGGCCCACAGGCTCTTCCAACTCACCCTATTTTCTCAGGGCAGCAGAAACTGGTGCAAAGCGAGCATTTGGTAAAAATATTTATTGAACGAATTATCTGTTTAATAGCAAAGAAAGTGCCAAAAAAATACCGGACAACTCATATCCATGACAAGTGTGTTGATCTGGCGTGGTGGCAGACTGCTTGGCAGAATGGCAAAAGTCACCTCTCGTTAGATTCAGTCTCGTCCTCATGCCTCAGTGTCAGGTATCTATCCAATTAGGGTTAAAGGAAGACTGAAGAAATTATCAGACAAATATGGCCAGTGAGAACAGTTTAGCTATATTCTTTTTTTTTTTTTTTCCTGAGATGGAGTCTTGCTCAGTCACCCAGGCTGGAGTGCAGTGGCAGAATCTCGGATCACTGCAACCTCTGCCTCCCGCGTTCAAGCTATTCTCCTGCCTCAGCCTCCCGAATAGCTGGGACTAGAGGCACGCGCCAGCACGCCTGGCTAATTTTTGTATTTTTAGTAGAGACAGGGTTTCACCATGTTGGCCAGGATGGTCTCAACCTCTTGACCTTGTGATCCGCCCGCCTCGGCCTCCCAAAGTGCTGGGATTACAGGCGTCAGCCACTGCTTAATGGTCACTTTGTTGAATAAAGTGAGTTCTATTTTTTCAATGCAATTACTCAGCTTTTTACTTTACTTTTGGGTGAGCAACAGAAAATGTTTACTTATACACAAGTGCATGAGAAAGCAATCTCCATTCAGCTTTAAAAAAATCCTGTTACAAATAAAAAAGATTTTAAAAATATATTCATCCTTGGCACCAAAAAAATTCTTTTTACTTTCACTCTCAGTATGAATTCTTTTTTTGAGGTTCATTTTCTTTAACTGTATTTCACAGTGGTAAAAACACTTCACATGAGAGCTGCCCTCTGAAGTTTTTAAGCTTACAATACAGTATTGCGGACTACAATTGCAATGCTGTTCAGCAGCTCTCCTGAGCTCCACTGAAACTCGATGCTTACTGACGAGCAGCTCCCCCTTCCTCCTCCCTCCAGCCCCTGGCAATACAAGCCCACTCTTTGATTCTATGAATTTGACTATCTTAGATGCCTTATGTAAGTGGAATCCTGCAGTATTTTTCCTTCTGCAACTAGCTTATTTCATTTAGCATAAAGTAACGGATTAAGTTTTAAAATATATATGAAGCTCCTACAACTCAATAGCAAAAAAACTAACAACCCAGTTAAAAATGGGCTAAAGACTTGAGAAGACGTTTCTCTAAAGAAGACATACAAATGGCCAGCAGGCACGTGAAAAGATGCCCAACGTCACTAATCATCAGAGAAACACAAATCAAAACCCTGATGAGATACCACCTTACACCTCTCATGATGTTTACTATGAAAATACAAAACATGACAAATGTCTGTGAGAATGCAGAGAAATTAAAACCCCTGCATGGCGTTGGTAAGAATGCAAAATGGTATAGATGCTATGAAAAAAACAGTATGGAGGTTCCTCAAAAAATTAAAAATAAAACTACTGCATGATCCAACAATTCTATTTCAAAATATTTACGCAAAAAAATTGAAACCAGAATCTCCAAGAGACATCACTCCCACGTTCAGTTACAGCATTATTCACAATAGCCAAGATATGAACCCAACCTAAACAGCCACTGATAGATGGATCAATAAAATGTAGTCTATACATACAATGAAATATTATTCAGTCTTAAAAAAAGAAATTCTGCGATATGCAACAACATGGGTGAACCTTAAGGACTTTATGTTAGGTGAAATCAGCTTTTTATTTTCTTCTACCTGGTAGCTTTTTCTTTCTCTATTTCATGTTAACTGTTAAAGGAACTGACTGGTTTTTCAAGTATGCTTAGCAAAGGACATTAAAAGTCAACTATCTTAAATTTGACTTAGGGTTTGATTTTCTTTCTTTAAATAAAACTGGTGAGAGAGTTTTTAAATGAGCAGGTCTTCTGAAAGTTTTGATGGATTTCAATGAACTCCGCCAAATGTACAGAGGTTATAGAAATAAAATGTCTCATGAAAAAAGTGGCTCCAGCTGCCACCTCATGGTGTAACCATTGCATGTGGACCAGGTCAAATTGCTATCTCCAGCCTTGGCAGGCATGGTCTTAATCAGCATTAACAATGTCTCTTCATAAGGGTCACAACTCACAGACCCTGGAGTCCTAGTCTGAGTCACAGACTAGAGTCTCTACTTGGAACATGATCTTGCACTTGGAAGCAACGAGGCAAATGCAAGGCCTTCATTGTATCAACGATGTGAAACATTCAGGAATGTAAGCCTAAGAGAAAGGAACGTTTTGCCTCTTTAAGAACATGCATAGTTTCAGGAAGCCACAGGGTCTGGAACCATGAGCTGCGTTCTGGGGAAAATCATCTGGGAACTTACACAGAGGTTGCACTTGCCTGGGTCACTGCCCCTCAAATACCCCACTCAGAAAACCCGTTTCTCCTGGAATGGCCCCCCAGTAAAGAGGGTCTCATCAGCTGCAGTGTCAAACGTTACAAAATTTGCACATTCACCAAATGGATACAGCATTATCTTACTTTGAGAAATATTCAAGTCCCTTAAGAAAACAACTCTCCCTGTAGGCATTCTCTAAAACCTCTTTCCCTACCTTGGCCAGGATCAGAGGCATCTCCCACCTCAGGTAATGAGAACTTTTCAAACCTGGGGCACAAGTCGATGGAGGATCAACACATGAATTAAGTATTCTAACCGTGCACTTGGACAAGCTGCTCCCATTCTCCCTGGCTGGGATCTCCTGGGCAGCTACCAGAAGGGTTTTTCAAACATGGATGTTGCTTGGAAAACCACAATGGGAGGAGACTCAAGCCCTGGGAGGATGGTCTCCTCATTTATGGAAGAAAATTTCATGAGCTTTCTCAGTAGACAACTTGGTTATCAAATGAAAGGGGCTCCTTCTTCCCACAGGGCCTCTTCTCCTGGCCAGAGAACCTGGTGATTGAGGAGACACACAGGATGGTTACAAAAGCGCTTGGAAAAGATGGCTGTGCTGTTGGCAACTCCATATTCCTCACAGGGATGTGGCCAACCGAAGCACACCACGTCCAGTGAGCGTTTCACTCTGCCGGCCGAGAGGACTTCCCCAAGGAATGTTCCAGTCAGCAAAATCAGCCGAGTGGGATTCTTGGGTTTCTGGAGTTTGTCTCTAATATAGATCACGCTTGATCTCCTTTAAAATGTTTACATGCCAAGCGGCTCATCACTTTACAGTTTGATTAACCAGCATTAGACCGGGAGGAGCCTTGATACTTGAGGCTGACATCAACTACTGTCTAGGCTATTTTTAGTTTAAATTAAAGATTACTTTGACTGAGAAACTCATATTAGTTTAAGTTTATGTCCCAGGGCATTTATTATTTCTGGCAACATTATATTTAACGAAAACGTGTGGCATTAAGTATGCCCAGTAATTTTAACTTTCAGTGACTGTGGGGCTGAGGGCACAGATGGGCCTTGTGTCTCACGTGGCCCAGCTTTATCAGACACAGTCATAACTTCATGGCCTTGACTTGATTTTATCTTAAAATAACATGCTGCTCTGTATTTGTTTTGGGAGACACAAAGCACACCGTGCGGCGAGTTCTGAGAGGATTCCCACAGCACTCGACCCCTCCTGGCTTCCGAATCTCGCAGGACATGAGTAGGTGTTCTAGACGGAACCTCTGCCACTCTGGAAGCTTCAGCTTTACCTGGCTCTGACCGTACCTGTCTCTCAGAAGCTTTGGGATTTTGATGTCAGGTGTAGGCGTCAGGTCCGGCCTCACCTCAAAGTAGTCTTGGCTGAGTCTGTGGAATGAATCCCCGGAGTGGGATGAAGAGCTTGGGCTCCCGTGAACACAGCCTCTCCATGGAAGGCTGACTCCAGCCCTACTTTCATAGCCCTGTGGGGATACTGCCTGGCAATTCCTATTCAATAGATGCTTATTGACTTTGCAGTAACTGGAATGGCCCATGGCAGTTTCTAAGAAATAGTGGGCAGATGTGTATTTGTTATTGCTAATCAACATAACAATAATTAACAGGCCAGCTCTGCACCAGAGGGGAAATTCTCCAGTCAGTACTTCTTGCCAAGGACCAGATTGTGCCCCCAGTCTTGAGCTACTCAGAAATGCTACCTACAAGATTAAATGCCACTAGGGGATAACAGGCTGCACTCATTTACAGGTAGAAGAACAGGGTCAATTTCCATGATCATCAATAACCCCCTTTACGGAGAACAAAACAAATAGGCAGCAATAGCATCAAAAGCCTCTCACTGCGGAGAAGGTATTTGTTTGTGTTTTGTACAGAAAAATGAGCCCACCAGCTTTCAGGGATTCAGCAATAAGGCGAACCCCAGAGTAGACTGGGGGTCGCCATAGATTTAGCTGTACTTCAAATGCACATAGTACCATGTCAGTAAGAATCATCCTAAAACAGTACAAACTTCGGAATCACCAATGGATAAATAATGACCAATATAGTGTTGGTGTTCAGTGTATTTTTCTAGAATAGACAACATCATAGCAGGTAAATATGGATAACACTCATACAATACACACAGCCTCTCTAAGCTAACCAGAGGACTGAAGTGACAAGCAAGTACTCAATTCTTGAATCTATATACATGGGATTTTGATGTAAGGTGCATGAGTCAGGTACAGCCTTCAGTCAAAGTAGCCTTGCCTGGGTTTGTGTAGACATATATACGTACATGTAAGTGTAGGTATATACCTGTCCTATATACCTATATATAACTATATAGTTATATATATGTTATATATATAACTATCTATATGTGTATATATGTGTATATATAACTATATAGTTATATATACACATATAGTTATATATATGCACATATACACATTATATGTGTATATATATGCACATATACACATTATATGTGTATATATATGCACATATACACATTATATGTGTATATATATGCACATATACACATTATATGTGTATATATATGCACATATACACATTATATGTGTATATATATGCACATATACACATTATATGTGTATATATATGCACATATACACATTATATGTGTATATATATGCACATATACACATTATATGTGTATATATATGCACATATACACATTATATGTGTATATATATGCACATATACACATTATATATAGGCACATATACACATATATATACATATGCACATATACACAGTATATATGCACACATACACATTATATATATGTGTATAACTATATATAGTTATATATCTGTGTATATATATAACTATATGTATATATATGTGTATATAGAACTATATATGTATATGTGTATATATATAACTATATATGTATATATTTGTGTATATATATAACTATATATGTATATATATGTGTATATATAACTATATATGTATATATGTGTATATATAACTATATATGTATATATATGTGTATATATAACTATATATGTATATATATGTGTATACATATAACTATATAGTTCTATATAGTTCTCTATAGGTATATAGGACAGGTATATACCTACACTTACACGTACGTACATATATACACACATACATCTCCATACATTTACAAGATTCACATCAAGTAGGCTTTTAACTTTTACCAAAAATTCAACTTATTGAGACAGATAAAGAGAGACAGAGAGAATGAAGCACGGGAGATTCTGTCCCCTATTCCAGTCAGCAAGCGTGTGTTTGCTTGTGCACACTGACACCCTGAGAGTGTGTGAGATAAAGCCATGTATCCACCCTTCTCTTGGGGTTTCTTGCTGCAAGCACCACCCCATGCTGAGGGTGACTCTGGTGCTTCATGATCCACATTTTTTTTTATACAACATGGGCAGGAGGTGTGGAGTCTTAATATTTGAAATCTAAATTTTATAATTTTAATTAATAGACAGGGTCTCACTCTATCACCCAAGCTGGAGTGCAGTGGCATGATCACAGTTCACTGCAGCCTCAAACTCCTGGCCTCAAGTGATCCTCCTGTCTCAGCTTCCCAAGTAGCTGGGATTACAGGTGCACGCCACCACGCTTGGCTAGTGAAGTTTAAATTCTATCTGATGCTCTAAGAAATGGCTGCTGTTTCCAACAGTGGCAGGAAATCTGGGTATGAAGGATGTAGACAGACACAGTTGAATATGGTAGCTCCTAGGAAGTTTTCAAAGATCATTTGGACCATTCTATTTTCACCTTTCACCCTTACTTTAGACTCTCGCTCTGTCAAGGTGCAGTGCACTGGGCCACTACCACTTTGTCTGAGCATTTCACTTATTTTACCAGTGTGTCTTCACAGCCTCCAGATGTAACAGGGATAGAAGCGGCCATCATCTCCCCTATTCTTGCTGAGCACCTTTGAAGGCTGTAAGAGTAGAGTGATTTGCTCAAGTCATGCAGAAGAGCAGAATCTGCACTCCTAGCTGGCCTTCTTTCTCTGAAACCATCTTTCCCAGACAAGTTAACAGTATCAGGCACCAGGCGCTAGCTGCTTAGTCTCCCGTATTCAGCACACCCTCCTCCACCCCTGCACTCCAGGGACACGTGCATACACAGTGGCCAGCTCAAAGTCCCAGCCAGCCTCCAATGTCCTGATGGCTTTGATGAGAAGGTGTCAGCAGCCAGGGAGGATGATACAAAGTACTCCTTCCCATCTAGAAGCATCCCTGGCTTTGCAGTCAGACCAACCTAGAAGAAAATGTCAGCTCTGCCTCTTGAGAAAGAAACATACCTCTGAGCCTTAGTTTCCTCATCTATGACTAAACAGGGATAATAATACTGAATGTCATTCATTCATTCATTCAACAAGTATTTGTTGAACGCCTTCTGCATGCCAGATCCTGTTCTAGGCACTGAGAATACAGAGTTTACATTCTCTAAGGGAATAGGGGTCAGGGTCACATGCGAAAACAGCCACCAAAGTGCCTGGCAGTAGTAGGCACAGTGGAGAAGAATGGCCTTGCTTCTGCTAAGCACACACATTCGCTTGAGCAAAGCAAGTTGCAGCCCCTCGAGCTGAAAACTCAGGTGCTCTCAGAGAGCTGTGGCCTAAGGAGGGAAGTCATACTATAAGGCAGGTGGACTGGCGGGGAAAGGAAAAGTTCCCACCCCACTTCAACGCCTTTATTCCCGTTCTTTCTCTGCAATGAGCTAAGAGAACAACACGTCTGTTCTAGCAGATGTGGTTTAGGGACTGTGGTAAGACTCCTGGAGTAAAGCTTAAGTCTTAGAGGCCCACTGTTCTTGGTAAGTGGCTACCCCCATCCAGGACTGCAGATGCCCTCAGGACACCTCTGAAGGACAATCACTAATGACCACTCATCTATACCATGTGTTGCTCTCCATAGGAAGGGGATGAAGATGGTGGCCTAGGGCACAGCCTCCCATTCTTTTTGGCTCCCAACAGTAGATCTAGGTTTGAATGCGGCAGGTCACACTCCTCCTTGCTTCAGAGTGTATGCAGTAGCCTGGACTTGGTAAAAGCTCAAGGGACATTGGACTATAGGGCTGAAGCTCCTGCCATCTCTGTGAAATGCTGTTTTCTGGTCCTAATAGATTCCATGGGCTCACCAGCTCCTGCCACTCTGATCTTGCTCCCACTTGACAAAGACAGTCCTTAGGGAGTGAGCTGGTCTCACCTTTCTCCACTCCATCAGCTCTCAGAGCACAGCTGGACACAGGACTGGGATCAATCAATGGCTTGACATGAAAGCAGCATATGAGCACCTAGGTCTATGTAATGCACCATCAGCACATAGGACAGAGGATACCCACAGCGTGCCTCCCCCCAATGCCTCCTGGGCATGCCATGGCTTCATGATAGGATGGTCCCAATATGAACACGCAATGACACAGGCTCCCAAATGAGTGGCACCTGCTTGGGAGGCTCCCATTCTCCTTCCCACAATGTCCTCACTGCTTAGAGCATCCAAAAATGCATCTAGAGCCAATGCAGGCAAACGGCCTTATGA
This sequence comes from Homo sapiens, assembly GCF_000001405.40. Taxonomy (NCBI): domain Eukaryota; kingdom Metazoa; phylum Chordata; class Mammalia; order Primates; family Hominidae; genus Homo; species Homo sapiens. The sequence continues at coordinate 100,165,578 of NC_000015.10, forward strand.
CTTGAATAGACTCTGAGTTAAAGATTTGAAATATTTCACAGAAAAGAAACCCATGAAGTTATGTTAGTTTCTGACCTGAGAAACCATTCTACTGTGAGGGGCTGTGCTAAAGCTGATTCCAGTTAGAAATTGTGAAGATGTTTAGAATGATGCCATAATGATGGAATAAGAATATAGCCTCCCCAGGTGATATGAGGGAACAAAGCCAGTTCAGGTGAAAAGGCTGTAGGATGTTAAGAAGAACCTCTGCCCCCCCTCAGGACAAATAGAGGGAGTAGAAGCAATGAACCAATTCTTTTTCCTTTCTCTCTTTTTTGTTTTTTTTTCCAGAATGGCCTTGGGTATTTTGAGAATTTTATTCTTCCCTATGATTTTAGCTTGTCAAATTCTATAAAAAGTCATTCTAATTTGAGATTGCACTGAATACACTGATTACTTTGGGGAGAAATCACATCATTAGAAGTTTGAGTCTTGCCATCTTAGGACATAGGGCACCTCTTCATTTTGCCAGGCTTTTTTTGAATGACCTTGGCAAATGTTTTTAGTTTGCATCATGACGGTCTTACATTTCCTATTAGCATCATTCTTGGGTATTTCATATCTTTGGTTGAAACCGTGAATAAGATCTGCTTTTTATTCTATTGTAATGATTGCTTGTACTTAGGAAAACTACAGATTGCTGCATGTTGGTCTTATGATACAATACCATGATGAACATCTACTGCTTCCAATGGCTTTTCAGATGATTCTTTTACAATATACAGGCAATTCTCATTTTGCTTCATCCTTTTCTATATTCCTTATTTCTTGCCTTATGAAATTGAACAGGACTTCTAAAATAATATTAAATATCAGTTACAACATGGGCACCTTTGCCCTGTTCCCATATCGACTGGAAATGCTACTAATGTTTGCACACTGAATACATTTGCTCCAGATTACTCATAGGTAGGTAACCCTGATGAGGTTAAGGAAGGTTTCTTGTAAATAATCATTTGTAAAGCCTTCCTTGCTGCTACAGTGCAATAGTCCAAGGAGAAAGAGATCATGGTTAAAGACCTGACAATAATTATTATGGGGATGTTAAGCAAGGTTCCTAAACTCCTGGGCTTGTTTTCCTAGCTGAGAGATGAGGGGCATGAACCAGGTGGCTATTCAAAGGTTTCCAATCTAGAAGGGAATAACTTCATGATTCTTGATCTAGAAGGCTGGGCACAATTTAAGGCGTAGTTGTTCTTCATTCTTTCAAGAGTAGATTTTGCACCATCTTGCACCAGGCATTTTGCAGAGCACCAGGCCCATAGCAGTGAGTGACACACAGCCTCTGCAGGAAGCCCATGGCCTGGTGGGGATCACAGAGAAATCAGCAGGCTATTGGTATGTAGCCTAGGCCAGTGCTGTTCAATAAAACTTTCTGCGATGACGGGAAAGTCTCTATGTGGGCTGCCTGATATTGTGGCCACTGGCCACGTGTGGCTACTAAGAGTTTGAAATGTGCTAGTGTGACCGAGGAACTAATTTTTAATTAAGAGAAATTTAAATAGGCACAAGTGACTAACTGCTAGCACCCAGACCACACAAGCCTAAGTGAGAACCTGATTGGCTAACTTGAGGTGGGAGCCCTGGATATCACCTCATTGGATATCATCATAGCATATCTTTGCCCACAAATTACTCACAGATACTTGGAGAAATAACCCAATCTCATAACACAGCTGGAGAACAATTAGTGGCCAGGTGTAGACATCAGGAGCTGAAAGCGTGGGCATTCAGAAAAGGGAGCCCTTTGCCTGTTATCACGTACTGACTCTTCACGTGATCTTAATTTACACCCAGTTTACCCTCCCAGATGGTCGTGCGGATGCCGTCATCCGTGAAAACCCTCCCAATTCCAGGGCTGCTGTGGATTTCTTAGACTTGAAGAGTCAGAACCAAAAGCTCTTTGCATCCAAGTGAAGGAGAAACCACCGGGCTGCACTGTGTGCTGTGGACAGTGACAGGATGCTGGAGAGCAAATGTGACCTCAAGCAGGAAGGGGGACCCCCGAGGCACCTTCCTATGGATGGCATGCAGTGTAATTAAACCTGGGATCTTCTCAGTTTCTAATGAATTTAGTCAAAGAATGTGCTTTCATCTGCTACAAAAGCGCGTATGGCGAAATTCAATGCGGCAGAGCAAGGGAGATAATTATGGGAAAAGGTCTTGTGAGGCTCTCCTTAGGTTTTTAGAGGACGATAATTTATGCAGAAAACCTAATTTTTACTTAGGAAGACAAATTTATGAAAGCACTGAGCTCTTTTGAAACTACCCATGCACGTGATGAATGTCACAGGGCCCGAGCTGCTCTCCCTTCTGGGGCCTGCTCTGGCCCAGGACACAGAAATGCTCCTGGCAAAAAAACCCAGATGACCTGCCAGAAAGTGGCGAAGCCGTGTAAACCTCCCACTCTAAACACCGCAGGACGAACAAGGCGGGTACGTGTTGGCTTTCTGGGACTCCTGTTCCCCCTTCAAGTCTGCGGCGGGCCTTCCTCAGGCCCCACTGTATCTGTTAGAGGCAGGTGTGCAGACAGGGAGGGCTCCGAGGATGCAGCTCATGGCTCCATTCACCTCTCCTGGTCTGCCAAGGGTGCACTGCGAATGACGGGAGGAACCACCTCCTGGATTTTGGTTTCAGGGTGGCTCTATCAGAAGACCACGTGCACGGCTTATTAAGCAAGAACACAGCAGAGCTGAAGAGTACAAAGTGCTTCTCTTTAGAGAAATGTACTCCCAAGGCTCTGCCAAGGAAAGACTGCTGGAGCAGAGCGCTGTCAGTTATCATGGAACTTTGTTGAAGGAAACAGGGCGATTTGGTGAGAATAAGAATATGCTTTCTGCTTCTGAGCCTAGAGAGTAATTCATCTAATGGTGCTGCAGACACAGGGCTGGGACAGGGCAGGAAATGGAAAGATGGCTAAAAGCTCCTGAAGATGAAAACCCCAGGCTAACAGTCAACCCTCCAGGTGTCGAGGAGGAACTTGCTGCTAACAGTGCGTAGCAAAAATCATGTGTACGTGGAGAGCAATTCCTCAGTTTTAGGGAAGTCTACAGCCACTCCAAGTCTTCAGTATCTGTTTCTTGCGGAGTGCTACAAGGCAAGCACATCAGAAGGTCAAGGCAAATCTCCCCACTCAATGCATCCTCTGGGGTCTGCAACCCCAAGCTCTGCGGGTTGGGGGATGTGATTCTTTCCCTTCCCATCCCCAGCCCCGCAACAATGTCCTGCACCCAGGCTGTCTGCTCCTACCCTCCCGTTGATGTCCCTGATTCAGAGGACCCTCCCCTTGCCCCCCAGGTGCTTTGTATTTTAACATCATCTGCCTTAGCACATTCCCCGGAGGGGCGACTATAATGGCAGATGTGTTGGGCATCGTGGTGGCCAGCGCGGTGGTGGTGGGGGCAGGCACGGTAAAACTGACGGTGTATCACCACTGTGGGCTGTGTTCATCATATTCCCTTAGAGGTGGGGATTCATACACTCCTGGTCTGTGAAGGTTGCTACTCATTCAGGTCAGAGCCTCGGGAAGCCCAAGGCATTCAGAGAACCTGAACAGATACCCTAAATTTCTTCCATTCATGCTCTTATCCATCCACCAGCACAGCTTCCACTGCCCAACACATGCCAGGTATGACGCTAAGCACTTGTGTGTGCACATGGAACATGCCCCTGAGGTACAGGCAAAGGTGGAGCCACCCCTCAACACAGATGCTAAATGGGATGCTGAGAGTGGGAACAATATTGACAGAGCAGAGAAAGGAAAATACTCTACAAGGGGCACTCATGCCCACCAAGTGGGGAGTACCTGGGAAAGAGAACTGTTTTCAATGTGAAAATCACTACTCATTACATATATCATCTCATGAATTATTATTATTCCACTTCACAGATGAGGGAACTGAGGCCAGGAGAAGTTGGGAAGCTTGCCTGAGGTAACTGGCCAAGCACAGCTTGAGCCCGGGCAGCCCATGCATTGAACCTCCATACACGGTGCAGTCACTGAGGATGCAATTGCCCCCACACTCAATCGAGAGCAAAGAACCGGCACCTGCTAAGCTGTGCGGAAGTGGCCACGTGGAGGCTGGGAGCCCTCAGGTACTGTGAACTGCATGCTCGAAACCAGCAGGAAAATCCCTCTTGGGGTTAGAGGTGGAAAGCCGGGGGCATCTGGTCACGGGGCACTGGGACTCGCCTGCAACACAGCGTGGATGTGGCTTTGGGGAGAACAGGTGTTGAGAAGCAGCTAAAATCTTGGACCAGCTTGAAGCAATGACACCTCTGTTCTCCGGGGCCACTCCCGGGGGCACTCAGTGTTCCAGGGCATTCAGGAGGCGGGGTTCAGGGTTGGTTCCCTTCTTCCCGGACACCTCCTAGTCTCTTATCATAAGTACAGGTCCGAGACATTACCTGTGCCTACCCTCTGACTTTCCCACATACACCCGAGGCTAGAAGAGGAAGCGTGATGTGACTGGCACCATGAGATGTTACGTGGGCACCAAGTCCACATGGGCTTGGGAACGATGGCGGGGGGCATGGGGTGGGGGTAGAGAACTTTGAATTCTTTGTGACATTCATCCGTCCTCCCCTTTTAGTTACCTTAAACTTTTGTACATTAAAAACATATTGCCAGGAGACTGCTGCAGAATGGTAACTCCTTTCACAGTTGAGATACAGGCCTTAAAGAGCTGCAGGGTTTGAGACTTAAAGGGACCTTGTAGCTCCCTCATCTGAACCTATGTGGAAACTGAAGTCCAGAGAGAAGCAACCTGCCCACGGCCTCACAGCCAGCCGCGGAAAGTCCCTCAGCACGCAGGGACTCCTAAATGCTGGGCTGAAATCAGCCTTCTGGCCTACCTCAAAGTTTCTACCTTTGCATAATCCAGCCACAGAAACTTGAAAAGATACATCAAATTGGGAACCATTGAAAGTCCCTTCGCGGATTTCAAGATGAAATTTGGTTTGTTCTGGTAAACCTCACAGTCAGCTCTCAAAACAACATCTTTTAAAAGTGTTTATTCAGAGGAAATGCTCTAGGTCAATTGGTTTTCTATCAGCCTGTTTTTCTCCCACAAAGAAACAAAAGAACAGCAAGTACTTTTGTTTCCCTTTTAAACTGCTTATATCCCTGCACTAGACAAGATTTTTCCAATTCCACCTACACTTAGCAACTTGGATTCCTTGGAAGCTGAGATTGAATAAGCTTTCTACTGACAATTTTGACTGGCAGATTTCTCAGGGAGGGTTTACCTCAGCCAATAGCAGGAGAAGGCCTGGCTGGTGGCACCCGTTACTTTATTGAGTCACTAAAATAAGTACATGGTAGAAATTCAAAGGCTATCAAGGGTTGTGAGATGAAAATTGAGCCCATCCCCCACACCAGCTTCCTAGGTGCCTGCTGCCCCCCTTAGGGGCAGCCTCTGTCACTGGTTCTCCTAGGGGAAGCCATTTTAATGGGCAGTAGGAACCAGCCCCCAGCACTTCCTATACCCTTCAAAGGCCAGTTGGAGGAGGGGATTAGCCCACCTGCAGGAGGGGCTGCAGTTGAGAGAGCCTGCTGCCTCCAAAGTTCAAAGACCTCCCAGGGATGTCCGATGGGACAGATGCTCTGGGCAGCAGACAGTGCAAGGACAGACTGCTTCCTGCTCCTAATGGCCTTACCCCCTTCCTTCCTTCCTTCTTTAAGACCCAAATGCCATGAGGGGCTTTATGGCCTCATTATTTGGACGGCTGCCTTTCCACCCTGCCCAGGAGGCTGGGGTGGGAGCAGGGGCAGGAGTGCATCCTCCTCCATCCCACCTCGCAGGGCTATGAAATGCATGTCACAGGTTAGGGGGGCCTGAGGGAGCTGTCACTCAAGTGACACAAACCCTGACCCCTGCACGCTCCCACAACATCCCTGTACCCCAGTGCCTTTGCTCATGCCTTTGCCCCCATCTGGATGCCACTGTCCTCTGGCGGGCCCAGCTTGCAGGTCCCATCCTTCCTGCAGCAGCCCCAGTCCTCGCCAGCAGACAGCATCCCTCCAGCTGAGCTCCTGAGCACCCCAGTGGCCTTTCAAGGTCTTTGGAGAACCCCCAAAAGCAGGACTGGTCATGTTTCTCTACACCTCAATGGCCCAGAACCTCCCGGCAGCCTGGCTCAGTGCTCACCACATGGAAGGGGCTGGTAAATGTTCATAAATGAATGGAACCAACGGACCCAACAAAATAAAAACAGCTTCTCTGCTGCTAAGAACTTCTTTTAAAAGGTCTTAACCCCGTGGAACTATGGCCTCTCTGCCTGTGTTACTTAAGTGGCTGGGAGTGCCTGAGAGCACCCAGTCAGCACAGAATCCCCTTATCATCCCTCTCTGAAAAGCACATAAGAAATCAGAGGCAAGCAGACCCACTTCCCCCAGCAACAATGTAGACACTAATCCCTTCCAGGCTCTCAGACCATTCATGTTCTGCCTGAGGTAACTTAACACTAGGGAGACAGGACAGAATTTCAGAGGCAAAGTCTAGAACCTTAATACCAGGAAGGATCCAGCTCAATTTCCGCAAAGCATTGGTTCCCAAGTGTGGCTGCACAGTGGAATCCCCTGGAGAATACTAGAAAACACTGGTGCCTGGCTCCCTCAATCACAGGCTCTGATTTCATTGGGATGAGGCATGACCTGGGCATGTGGATTTTTTTAGAGGTTCCAGGTGATTCTCATGTCTATTGTTGGATGCAGTGAATTCTAAATTTTTCTTCAAAGAATCAGTACGTTAATATGTTCAGTTCTTTGTCCTCCATTTTAAAGTTTAACTTCCTCATAGTTTCAGTAAACAAAATTTTCCACCAGTTTTAATCAGTAGTTCACATCTGTTCCCCTGGTCACCTGCCCCATCCTGACTCATCCTGGTCACCTGCTCCATCCTGACTCACCTCTGGTCACCTCCTCTGTCCTGATTCATCCCAGTCACCTGCTCTGACCTAAGTCACCTTTAGTTACCTGTTCCTAACCATCCTTCCCACCAAACTATTCACCCCACCACTCTGGCTTAGACCCCTGCTCTCTTTAAAATAGCCAATCGGAATTAGCTTAGACTGTGCGGTCCCACCCTAGCCAATACGGGAACAACACAGCAGTAGGGGCTACCTGCATTAGGAATAAGATCCCGCACCCCTCCCTTGTTCTGGTGTGCTCTCACCATTGTTCCAACTGCGAGGAGCACCCTTTCTGCAGACAGTAAATTTGCCTTGCTGAGAAAACTTTTTGTCTGAATGCTAATTTTTCCTTGAGGTACCGAGGAACAAGTATTTCTAACAAAGGAACAAGCATTCTGTTTCCAACATCTATCAAAGTTTGAGAGCCATTGCTGCAGTGTAGAAGAGTGCTTCTCAAACTTCTGTGCACATTAGAATCTCCTGGAAGGCTTGGGAAAACTAAGCCCAAGCGGTCTAAGGGGTGGGGTGGGGAGATGGATGAGGATTTTCACACTTCTATTTAGTTCCAAGTGACGCTGATGCTGCTGGTCCACAACTGGTGAGGAACTCTTGCACTATTTTAACCCAGTACTCCATTTTTCTAAGATAGTTTAATTATTTTTTTTCTTTTCTTTTCTCTTTCCTCTTTTCCCCCACTCCCTACTTAGCTTTTTAGAAATGCAATTACAGTCTTTTACCTCCTCTTCACCAGACACTCCCTACAGGGCAAGTTCATCTATGTGCTTAGAAGCTCCAGAGCAGAACTCTCATCCACCAGGAGGTTGCCTTGAGAGAGAACAGTCGATTTACAACCCAAAGTATGCCTGCTAGAGTTTCTGGACACCCTCACAAACTATTTCTGCCCATGAGGACCCCAAGTCAACCACCTGGTAGACAAGGCACCAAGATAGCTTGCCAACCCCCACCTGCTCACTTACCTCCTCTCCTGCCTTTTAAAAGTGCTCACTTTCTGCTCCAAAAGGGAAGCAATACCCTTAAGGCAGGAAGCCTGTCCTTCCTCCACTAAGCTGAACTTTGGAATAAAAAGTCGCTTTCTTTATGCCAGACCTCTCTCTTATTCACTGGACTCTGCAAGTGGCAAGCTACTGAGCCTATGTCTCGATTACACTGTAAGCATCCCACTGTGGCTATTACTGCTGGCTGCATGTGAGCATCACTTGGGAAACTTTTAACACACCAATATCTGCGGCCCACCTCAGACCAAACACCAATATCAGGGGCCCACCTCAGACCAAGTAAACCAGGCTCTTTGGAGTACAGGCCAGGCATCTGAATTTTACAGGGACTCCCAGGTGAGTCTAGTGTACCACTGAGGCCAAACATCACCACTAGAAACAGGCTGTCTGTGAATAGCTCAGGCAGGACCAGAGCCGCAGCTTTCTCCTACTCTGAGCTGAGATCCACCTTCACACATCTTCCAGGCACAGTCCCCTACCTGCCTTACTGGAAAACACAGATCAAGCCCCCTCTTTACAATGTGACAGAGCTCTTGGTCCCATTTAAGCTTCTCTCCTTTTTCCCACAAAGTCCAGGGAGAAGCCGAGTTGATAACCAATGGCAACAATTCACAGACTTCTTAGCTAGGCAACACAACATTCAGGATAATCATTTCTTGGTTAAAGTCAACATTCTCACTGTTATTTCTGCTCAGATTCCCAATTTTGGGTGAGACAGAGGAGGGCAATAGTGTTGGCAGATTCTGGACACAACTAAAATACAAGGCCCCAATGTTTCATCTAGATAGTCTGCCCTGACAGGGAATATTCTAAGGAACAAAGTTCAGGAACTGTAATCACACTGCTGCTAGGTTACTAAACCCTAGTTTGTGCGACTCTGTACCAAGTATCCTGGGTATTGTACAGATTCACTGTTTTTCTAACACCAAGGGCTCGTTTTTGAAATTTCCATGCAGTTTCATCTTTGGGAGTATTGTTACTAGTATTTCGTTTACTTTTTAAATATACTTTTGAGGCTCTTCTAAAGCAATACTTTTTTACCTTAAACAAATATTCACTTCTCCTAGTATAAATTATAGCTTCTTGCAGTAATCACTGCTGCTCAACCGGCATTCATTTCACAGGATAAAAATATATTCTTTTGGCTGTCTTAATGACTGTGTACACAACTTGTCCTCAAACCCTCTCTGGATTTTGGCTCAAAGCAACGTTCATGTTAGGAGGATGGAATGTGGTTTCAAGCAAGGCACTGAAAGGATTGCATGAACGACAGTAGATATTTTTACTAGCAGCAACTTTGTAGTTGATAATGGGTCGTTAAGACAGGAAAAGGGGCTCTTTCCACAAAATCTCATCTGAAATGTAAAAGGAAAAGGTGTTCCATACAAAAAAGCCTCCCAGTGTCAATAAAGGGTGGTACCAGCAGGTTCCATGCCTCCCAGAATATGCAGCCCTGGGCAGAAAGCATCAGGGAAAAGAAGAAGCACCCACCTTCCAGCATCTCCCAGTCCTGCCCGCCAACTCACCCTCCCCTCGCAGCCTACTGCAACCCAGCTTTGAAGGGATTCGATCTCACATTTGGAGTGAAACAAGAATCAGAAAAAGCAAGGGTACTCAGCTGTTCCAGTTCCTATGCCTTTTTAAAAAAGTAACTCTGATATTGCCTTTTATTTAAATGTCTGCTTTCAACTTGTGTTTATGGAAGAAATTAGTGCCAAATTTGGCAACCAACAGAGCAGAGACTAATTGGTCTGGAACAGCAGCTGTCCAAGGAACAGCCTTCTGTCCTTATCCTTGGTCACCCGGCATGGCCTAAGGATTTTCCTTCTGCTTCAGGTAGGAGGTCGGCATGATTTCACCGGACTGAGGCAGTAGAGCGCTCATGCATCTACAAACGTCGTATGCCCCCCAGTCCCATGTTAAGGCCTTCAAGAGAATCCTAATTCTTTAGGAAAAGAAAACCAACATTTCAACTCTTAATGCATAAAGGGAGCCTGAACAGCAGCTGACTTCTAGGTGAAGGAATGCACCCCAGGGCGTGATGGAGACTCTGACCTCAGAGGTGAATTTATGTGGCTTGGTCATCTGTACTCTTTCTGGTCCCCTTTTGTCTCTTGGTTCTCAGTCCTAGGAGACCACCAGCTCGTTCTCAGCCTTCCTCAAATCTCACCCTTCCTCAAATCTCACCAGTGTCAACTCCAGCTTGTGGTGACCTCATTGTCTGTGTGAACGGTGCCCCCGAGAGTGCAACGGAGCCTGCCTGCTTGTTGCTTGGCAAGATTCCACGTCTTTCCTCTCTTCCACACCCTCCAGTCCCAAGGCAGATTCATCATTCTCAATGTCACAGGCATGTAAACATTTATTTTTGGCAGCCAAGTCTTTTCTTTTTAGGACATAAGAAATAATGAAATTATGAAACTTGGCAGCCGAAACAAGATAGGGGACCAACCCCTAGACCATGGCCTGCCCCGTGATCTGTCTTCCAGGCCCTGCTGCCCAGGCCACAGGCGCAAACTCCCTCATGAGGTGGATGGTAAAAGAATGAGGAAGGTCTGCATTTCTATGCTTTCAGAACCACCGGTCAGTGGCCAACCACTCTCCAATGGGAAAGGAGGCCTAACGACAGCAGTGAAGAAAGAAGAGTGGTTATTACTGACGGTGAGATGGGATGATGAATGCATGGTGCTTCAAACAGTACATGGCACAGAGGAAGGGCTCTATCAGTGCTGCTTTAACGAGGAGGAGGAAGATGACATTTATGACAACTGCTCACATTAAGGAGCACAGGTTCTCAAACTAGGCTACGTGTTGGAGTCGCCTAAGGAGTTAAAAAAAAATACAGATGCCTAAATCCCACCTGCAGAAATCATGACTTAATTGGTACGAAGTGTGACCCGGACATCTGGATTTTTTAAAGATGCTCAAGGCATTTTATCTTTTCTCTGTATAGCTATGGAAAGGAAAAACACAGGTAGGTTGCATGCACCCTTCCCCCAGCCTCCCACAATGGTAACATTTTGGATAACTACAGTATATCAAAATCAGGATTCTGACATTGGGTACGATCCACAAAACTTGTTCTGATTAAACCACTTATACATGCGTTCATTCATATGTGTAGAGCTCTATGCAATTATATCACGTGTGTATCTTTGTGTAACCACCACAATCAAGAAACTTAACTGTATCATCACCACAAGACTACCCTTTTATGACCATAACCACCGTCCTCCCTATCCTTCAAACCCTGGCCACCACTAGTCTGCTCTCCATCTCAATAACTGTTATTTCACAAATGTTATATAAATGGAACCATGCATTATGTATGCTTTTGAAACTAGCTTTTTAAAATTTGGTGTAATTTCCTTGAGGTTCATCCACATTGCTGTGTGTGCCCATAATTCATTCATTTTTATTGCTAGGTGGTATTGCATGATATGACTGTACCACAGATTAACTGCTCACCCATTGGAGCACATTTAGGTAGTTTCAAGTTTTGAGCTATTAAGAAGAATAGAGTTGTTATGAATATTCATGTGCAAGTTTTTGCATGAAAATGACTTTCCAATTCTCTGGGATAAATGCACAACAGTGCAATTGCTGGGCCATACGTTAAGTTTTAAAAGGAACTTTTCCAGAGCGGCTGTACCATTTTACGCGTGCCTTTCTAATTTCTTGAAGTAGGAACTTAGCAATTATTCATTCGCAATCTTTCGTCTTTTCTAATGTAAGCACTTAACAGCTATACATTCCCTCTCAGCACTGCTCTAGCTATATCCCACAAATTTTGATAAAATGGGTTTTCATTTTCATTCCGTTCTATGTATTTTTTATTTCCAATGAAGTTTCTTCTCTTATGGTTTATCCAGAAATGTGTTATTTAATTTTCAAGTGTTCGGAGATTTTCCTGTTGTCTTTTTGTTATTGATTTTCAGTTTGATTCCATTATAAGGTCAGAGAATATACCTTACACGATCTCAATTCTTTTAAACTTGTTACAGTTTGCTTTGTGCCTCAGGATATAGTCTATAATGCTGAATGTTCCATGACAGCTTGAAAAGAATGTGTATTTTGCTGTTGTTGGATGAAGTGTTCTATAAATGTCCGTCGGATCCTGTTGGTTGATGTTTGGTTCTATATCCTTGCTAATTTTCTGTCTAATATTTTTATCAATTGCTGAGAGGGAGGTTTTGAAAATAGCCTTTTAAAATTGTGGATTCATCTAGCTATAATTGTGGATTCATCTACTTTTTCTCTCAGGTTAGTTTTTGTTTCATGTATTTTGAATCTCTTTATTTTGGTACATATACGTTAAAGGTTGTTGTATCTTTTCTGGTGGGTTGACCTTTTTATCATTATACAATGTCCCTCTTTGCCCCAGTCATCAATCTTCTTTCCTCTGAAGTCTACTTTTTCTGATATTAATATAGCGATTCCTGTTTTTTTCCCACAATGAATGTTTTCATGATGTATTTTTTCAATTTTTAAAATTTTACATTCAATCTACCTATGTCATTATGTTTGAAATGAGTTTCTTTCAGGGAGCAGATAGTTAGGTCACATTTTTAAATCCATTCTGCCAGTGTTTGTCTTTTAGCTGAAGTATTTTTTTAGATCATTGAAAGCAATTACTGACATGTTAGGGATTAAGTGTGCCATTTTATTATTTGTTTTGTTTCTTTTGTTTCTTTTTTCTAGACATCCTGTGGGTTACTTGAACATCAATTAGAGTTTGATTTTGATTTATTCATGATTTTAAAAATATCACTCTGTATAGTTCTCTTAGTGGTTCTTCTAGGTATTGCCATATACACACATCACAGCCAACTGGTGTTGACATTTCACCACTCTGAGTTAAGCAGAGAAATGTGACATTTATTTAGATCCTCATACCCTCCCCATAATGCACTGCCTTAAGTGTTCTGTCTACATACATGAAATGTTATAACTTATGCTTCAAAGCTAGAATATGACTTAAAAAGTTTACGAAGTTAAGAATACTCTATAATATGTAGTTGTACTTTTACCCATTCTGTTGTTCTTTTACTATTGTTCTGTTGTTCTTTTACCCATTCTGTTGTTTTTTACTATTGTTCTGTTGTTCTTTTACCCATTCTGTTTTGAAGGATCCATATTCTTCTCCTACCATTTTCTTTGGAGAGCTTATTTCAGCCATTCTTTAAGGGTCCGTTTACTAGCAACAAATTCTATTAGATTTCCTTTTTCTGAGAATGTATTTTTTCTTCATTCCTGAAGGATAGTTTTATTTGATATAGGATTGAAAATTGAGAATTATTTCAACACTTAAAAAAAATTTTGTGCCACTTCATTCTGGCCTCTATGATTTCAGATGAGAAACCTATCGTCATCCAAATTGCTGTTCCTTTAGAGGCAATACATTGTTCCCAATTTTTTTTTCCTAATTTCTGTGGGTACATAGTAGCTGTATGTATTTATGGGGTGCATGAGATATTTTGATACAGACATACAATGTCTAATAATTATATCAGGGCAAACGGGGTATCATCATCTCCAACAATCCAAGTATACTTTTTTAGTTATTTAAAAATGTACATTTAAATTATAACTATAGCCCTGTTGTGGAACCAAATACTAGGTCTTATTCATTCCTTCTAACTAGTTTTTGTACCCATTAACTATCTTCACTTCCCTGCCAGCCTCCTATTACCCGTCTTAGCCTCTGGTAACCATCATTCTACTCTCTATGAGTTCAATTGTTTTAATTTTTAGCTCCAACAAATAAGTAGAACATGTGAAGTTCGTATTTCTGTGCCTGGCTTATTATGACCTCCAGTTCCATCCACGTTGTTGCAAGTGACAGGATCTCATTCTTTCTACTCCATTGTGGTAAGTACCATATTTTTTTAATCCATTCCTCTGTTGATGAACACTTTGGTTGCTTCCAAATCTTGGCTATTGTGACTAGTGCTACAATAAACATGCGAGTGCAGATATCTCTTTGATATACTGACTTCCTTTCTTTTGGGTATATACCTAGCAGAGAGATTGCTGGATCACAAAAATAGTTCTATTTTTAGTTTATTGAGGAACCTCCAAACTGTTCTCCATAGTGGTGGTACTAATTTACATTCCCACCAGTGTATGAGGGTTGCCTTTTTTCCACAACCTTGCCAGCATTTGTTATTGCCTGTCTTTTGGATAAAAGCCTTTATAACTGGGGTGAGATGATATCTCATGGTAGTTTTGATCTGCATTTCTCTGATGATCAATGATGAACACTTTTTCATTTGTATGTCTTCTTTTGAAAAATGTCTATTCAGATCTTTTGCGCGTTTTTAAATCAGATTATAAGATTTTTTCCTAAGAGTTGTTTGAGCTCCTTATGTATTCTGGTTATTAATCTCTTGTCAGATGGGTAGTTTGTAAATATTTTCTCCCATTCTGTGGGGTGTCTCTTCACTTTGCTGGTTGTTTTCTTTGTTGTGCAGAAGCTTCTTAACTTGATGTGATCCCATTTGTCCAATTTTCCTTTGGCTGCCTGTTCCTGTGGGGTATCACTCAAGAAATCTTTGCCCAGACCACTGTCCTGGAGTGTCTCCCCACTGTTTTATCAGTTTCATAGTTTGAGGTCTTAGATTTAAGTCTTTAATCTATTTTGGTTTTTGTACATCGCAAGAGAAAGGGATCTAGTTTCAGTTTTCTGCATATGGATATCTAGTTTTCCCAGCCCCACTTATTGAGGAGACTGTCCTTTCCCCAACGTATGTTCTTGGCACCTTCGTCAAAAATGAGTTCACTGTAGATGTATGAATTTGTTTCTGGGTTCTCCATTCTGTTCCATTGCTCTGTGTATCTGTTTTAAATGCCAATACCCATGCCATTTTGGTTACTATAGCTCTACAGTATAATCTGAAGTCAGGTAATGTGATTCCTCCAGTTTCGTTCTTTTTGCTCAGGATAGCTTTTGCTATTTTGGGTCTTTTATGGTTCCATATAAATTTTAGGATTTTTTTTCTATCTCTGTGAAGAATGTCATTGATATTTTGATAGGGATTGCACTGAATCTGTAGATTGCTTTGGGTAGTATGGATGTTTTAACAGTATTTATTCTTACAATTCATGAACGCTGAATATCTTTCCATTTTTTTTGAGTCCCCTTCAATAGCTTGCATCAGTGTTTTATAATTTTCATTACAGAGATCTTTTACTTCTTTGGTTAAGTTAATTCTTAGGTATTTTATTTGTAGCTATTATAAATGGGATTACCCAAGGCCTGCTGTAACCACTACCTAGATACTGCCTATGTTCTCTCAAAGTCCCAGGGTGCTACAATCAGCAGGTGGCAGAGCCAGCAAGGCTTGTCCTTCCCTTCAGGGCGGCAAGTTCCCCTAGGCCCCAGGTGGATCCAGAGACACTGTCCAAGAGCCAGGCACTGGAGTCAAAACCTTAGAAATCTACCTGGTGGTCTATTCTACTGCAGCTAAGCTGACACTCAAACTAGAGACAAAGTCCTGCCCTCTCCTCCCTCCTCTTTCACAGGCAGAGGAGCCTCTTCCTGTGGCCACCGCCACCACACAAGGCCCATGGGGAGTACTGCCAGGCTACCACAAGGTTCACTTAAGGCTCAAGCACTCTTCAGTTTGTGGTGAATGCTGCCAGACATCGGACTCACCATTTAGGGCAGTGGACTCCCCTCTGGCCCAGAACAGTCCAGAAATGCTGTCCAGAGCAAAGGCCTGGAACTGGGGACCCCAAGAGCCCACTTGGTGCTCCACCCCACTGTGGCCAAGCTGGTACCTAAGGTGCAAGACAAAGTCCCTTTTACTTTTCCCTCTGCTTTTCTCAAGCAGAAGGAGTCTCTTACCATAGCCACCACAGATGGAAAAGTGCTGGGTCTCACCTGAAGCCACCACATCTCAGAGTCTAAGCCAAGGCCCATGGCATACTACCTGGGTATACCTCTGATTATTCAGGGCTGACTAGGGGCTCTTTAGCCAGCAAGTTATGAATGATGCCAGGACTGGGTGCTTCCCTTCAAGGCAATGGGTTTCCTTCTGGCTAAGTGTGTGTCTAGAATTGTCATCTGGGAGATATGGCCTAGAACGGGGGCCTTATGAACCTGGCTGGTGCCCTATCTTCCTGTGGCTGAGCTGGTATTCAAGATGCAAGACAATGTTCTCTTTACGCTTCCCTCTTCTCTCCTGAAGGAGGAGGAAGGAGTTATTTTTGTTGCTGCAAGCAGCATAGCCTGGGGTTGGGAGAGGGGTGGCACAAGCACTCCCTTAGCCACCTCAGCTAGTGTCTAATTAAGTTGCATGCCCCCCAAGTCCACTGGCTCCAAGTCCAACACAGCACTAGGACTTAACTAGCAGTTTCAGTCCTTGTGGCCCAAACTGCCTTTCACGTTTATTTAGAACCCCAGAGCACTTTAGCCCACGAAGGCGAGGCCTGCCAAAACTCAAGTTCCAACCACTGGGATGGGTGATTCCTCTTCTAGCTAGGACATCCATGGGTGTCAGCTGAGCTCAGCCCGGTTTTGCTTTCCACTGTGCATTAGGCCATTTTTCACACTGCTACAAAGAAATACCCGAGTCTGGGTAATTTATAAAGGAAAGAGATTTAACATGTGGACTCACAGTTGCACATGGCTGGGGAGACCTCAGGAAACTTACAATCATGGCCAAAGGCAAAGGGGAAGCAAGGACCTTTTTCACATGGTGGCAAGAGAGAGAAGAGCGAAGGCGGACGAGCCCCTTATAAAATGATCAGATCTGGTGAGCACTCACTATCGCAAGAACAGCATGGGGAAACCACCCACCAGGTTCCTCCCTCAAGACTTGGGGATTACGCGATTACAATTTGAAATGAGATTTGGGTGGGGACACAGATCCAAACCATATCACACTGTGATAGGGCAGCATTGAGTTAAATGCAAAGTCTCACACTCGTTGTGCTATCCCTCCGCCAAGCACAGAGATTACCTCTCTGTGCTACACTGTGGCTGCTGTTGAAGGGTGGGGGAAGAGGTTGCACTGGCAATTCAAGACTGTCTTTCCTACCGACTTCAATGCCTCCTTCAGTGATATGAAGTTAAAACTAGGTACTGTGAGTGCTCACTTGATTTTTGATTCTTATGAAGGCACTTTTGGTGTAGATAGCTGTTAAATTTGGTGTTACTGTGGGGTGGTGGCAGGGGGTGACAACTGATGGAGGCTTCTGTTTTATTTGGCCATCTTGCTCCTCCCTCTGGTCTCTGGTTGTTTTGAAGAGTTTTTTCTTTAAGGAATTTAGTTTTGATGTGCCTTAGTGTGAATTTCTTAGAGCTTATCCTATTTGGGATTCACTCAGCTTCTTGAATCTGCAGGCATATGTCTTTCACTTAATTGGGATGTTTTCGGACTTTATTTCTTCAAATATTTTTTCCAGTGCCACAATCTTTATCCTTTGCTTCTGGGATTCTTTTTCTTTTTCTTTTTTTTTGAGACAGAGTCTCGCACTGTCACCCAGGCTGGAGTGCGGTGGCACGATCTCAGCTCACTGCAACTTCCACCTCCTGGGTTCAAGTGATTCTCCAGCCTCAGCCTCCTGAGTAGCTGGGATTACAGGCATGCACCACAAAACCTGACTAAGTTTTGTATTTTTAGTAAAGACGGGGTTCTTCTATGTTGACCAGGTTGGTCTGGAAGTCCTGACCTCAAGTAATCTGCCTGCCTTGGCCTCCCCCAAAGTGCTGGGATTACAGGTGTGAACCACCATGCTTCTGGGATTCCTGATACAAGCTTATATCTTCCACAGATCCCTAAGGCCCAGCTCATTTTTTTTCCAGTGTATTTTCTCTGTTCAGATTGAGTGAATTATATTCATCTAAGTTCACGGATTTTATTCCGTCATCTCCACTCTATCTAAATTCCATCCAATGAGAATTTTGTTGTTGTTCCTATATTTTTTCAGTTCTATAATTTTCATTGATTTATTTCTGTAAAATTTCAATTTCTTTGATGAAATTTTGTTTTTGTTTCAAGAAAATTTATAATTAATTTTTGGAAGCATTATTATGATTTATAATCGTCGTTAGACAATTCCAACATTTGTCACTGGTGCCAGCTGACTGATTTTTCTCAAATTGTGGCTTGCCTAGTCTTAGTATGACTAGTGATTTTCAACTACATCCTGAATACTTTGGTTATTATATTAGGAGTCTCTTGATCCTGTTTAAATATGCTATTGCAGCAAGCCATCACACTGTTTAGGTTTGCCAGGTAGGTCTGGCTTACTTTTGTGGGCTTTAATTCCAATGACAGTTTAGTTTTCAGAGGCCCTGCAATGTTATCCCAATCTGCTTTGTTTTTATGGTATCGTTGAGGCTCCTCTTCAGTCGCTGCTGGTGATATCTGTGGGGGTGAAAGGCACTTCCCTGTGTTACTGGGTGTCGCTGAGCCACCTCCTATAGGGGGGTCAGGGAGAGAGAAGCTTCTGGGTACAGAGACAGCAGGGAGACAAGGGGTTTCATTGCTGCTGCTGCTGCTGCTGGGAGCAGATCGAGCTGCCCACCAGTGTCCTGGTTGTGGAGCACAAGTTGAGTAGGCCTGGGGTTTGCTGCTGCTGCAGGTAGAGTAGCCAGCTCACTATGTCCTGTTTATGAAGCAGGTCTCAGGCTCCCCATGTGGTCTCTGTTGGGCTTTGTCTCCCCAGTCCATTGGCCAGGGAGAGCAGACTGTTCTTGGGTTTTATGTCTAAGACTGTGGAAAGCTCCAGACTGTGGAAAGCTCCAGGCTGCAGGCCTCCAGGTGCCCCAATCGGTGTATGTGGGGAGAGGAAAAGAAAATCCAGAGAATTCACCATGTTGTCGTTCTCAAGCCCTGGGGCCCCTGGCCAGTGAGCCTTCTTCTTTCCATCTTTCATTATCATTTTATTGTTGTTGTTGAATAATCTCTAGGATATCTGGTTACATTTAGAGAAGGTTACCTTTACGTTTTTCTGAGGCTGTCAGTGTCCCCATTATACAGACGAGGACACTGGGGCACATGGAGGGTAAATGATGTGTGGCAAAGCTACCTTCAGGAATTTTTCTTTGGGGACCAGACCCTGGCTACACATTTTGGCAGAACCTCTGAGATCCAGAGGCCCAGCGTAGGTTGTCTCTCCTCTGTGCCTCCTGACCAATGCTGCCACCTGGGAACTCCGCTCCTGTGTCTGGTCTGTCACCACCTTCCCTCCGTCCATCATGCTGCTGTGGCCATCACCAGATCAGACTTCCCGTAGCCCCCTGTCACAGCCCCTCTCTTCTGGGGGCCCTTCCAGAGCTCTGGGATCTGTATGTGGCAGGTATGATAGGGTCCTGTCCCACTGTGGCCTGGGCTCGCCACCTCTCCTCCTCCCGGCCCCATGGCTTTTGTTAATCACTCCTCTATTACATCAGGCTGATGTCTACTCCTCTGTCTCCAAATTCAGACATGCTCCTCAGTGACCATTCTATTTTCCTGGGCCAAGAGCGCCTGCCTCCTCCCTGAGGATGCCTAACATGGACAGTGCAATGAAAGCAATCTGAAAGCGCTACAGTCTGTGGCAGAGGCTATGGACATAGTGGTCAGCAGTGTGGACACTGAGACCTTACTTCAAATCCTGATTCCATCACTTACAAGCTCTGGGACCATGGCAAGTTGCTTAAGTTCCCTGTGCCTCAGTTTCCCTACCTGTAGAATGGAGAGAACGACAGGAATTACCCCATGGAGTAGCTGGGATGAATTAACAGACATAAAGCCCTGAGAACAAGCTCGTAGAAGAAACCTGTGAGATCTACCACTGCTCAACAGGGTACACATGTGTTTTAAGTTTTGTCTTACTACACCTGTGAACCCACAGTGTGCACTGCTCAGATCCTGGTCTCTTTTGCCCCCCATGTTGACCCCATGTCACAGAATCAAGAACATGAGGGTCTAAAGTGAGATCAGAGATCAATTCAAACCTCTTCAAACTCCAAAAATCTCCACTTCAACCCCTAAGCCAGAAGGCAGCATCTTTGTGCAAACTCGCCAGTGTGAGAAAATCAACACTTCCCATTGCTTCTAAAGAACTCTAATGTTAAGAACCCTCTTCCACTAAGTTGCAACCTCTTTTCCTGTAACTTGCAGCACACCAGTTCAGCTCTGCTGTCGGGGGCTGCGCAGAGATCCCTCATGCCCTGGCATCCTCCAAAGTATCCCCTGCACACCTCGTCCACATAAAGACACTCAGTCCTTCCAGCCGTTTCCTTCATCATCCCCTTCCCTTGCCTATGAACGTGCTTCTGGCTCCTGAAGTCCTTCTTAAAACAGACTTCCCACGCTGAACACAAGCCTCCTGGTGCCACTTAACCCCTGAAGGGCTTGGCAGGACTAACACCGCCTTCTTCATTTCCGAAGATGAGGCTGGTGTTAATACAGCTCAAGAACACACTGGTCGTGTGAGTGCAGCCGACAATTACTCCACACCTACGGGACGGTCAGTTTGTTTCATCTCTTATGCCAGCCCTAATCTACTGGCAGTGGCCGCCTAGAGTTGGGAAGGCCTGTGAGTTGCGATTCAGTGGAGAAGGGAAGGTCCTGGGATCAATGAGTAACATCAATGAAGTATGTGAAGGAAGTAGGGACAGATATACTCGCTGGCAGTGATACTGTCATTAAGCTGCATTTCCTCCATCCTGTACATTAGTTGATCTGAGACTTAGCCGATGTTAAATGCCATCTGGAAAGCTGTAAGGCACATGGCGAGTGCATGGACTTCAACATTGACAAAGGGCTTGAAGCCTGGCTCTGCCATTTACCAGTGGAGTGTCCTGGGCCTCATCTTCCTCTCTATAAAATGCAAATACTACTACTATTATAGGATGGGGTGAAAATGAAATGCAATCACGCATTGCTGCATTTGGCCACTTTTCAAGGTGACCAACAACTTCATGGACTCTGAATTGCCGCATACCCTTTTCCCTCCCATCTTGGCGCCATCTCAATGTCTGATGAGCATACTACCTATCTCCACAGCCAGGTCATGACTACAGCAGTCAAACAAGCAGTGATTCCAGCGCCCGGGGCAGGCAGGAAGCAACTCTCTCAGGTAGACATTCCTCTACTAATAAGCATCCATTGAGTAAGGTTATCCAACTGTTACAAACTCCTTTAACTGCAGCAGTATCCAGCTCACAGTTCTCCATATTTCCCCATCAGGAGGGCTGAGAGTTTTGCAGAAACCTGAGCAAAATTTTCCATCCCCTATCTCTGCACGATCCTTGGCTGACTTCTAGGATTGTCGCTTTTATTTCTGAGAGCTCACAAATTATGTTTGATGAGCCATTCTGGAATGTTTCCTATAAGCAATATTAATATCGTAAGTTGAAATGTATGCCATTTGTCTCATTTCCCTTTTGCAAGATGGCATCTGCCTATTTTTAGTCTTTGGCATTCCTTCCCTTCCTTCATTGCTCTTCCACAATTATCAATGTGGTCTGCCACTCCCATTTGCAAATAAGTTCTTTTCATCTGGACCGAGAGAGCCAGACTCATGTGAAGCAACTATTGACCTCTCCTCACCTCCTCCATCACCCAGGACCTCAGCTCCCACCGGTACAAGGTGCACTGCACATCCCTGGTGTGTAAGGTGAGACTTGCTGGGCCATTGAGACGGAGATAAGCATGCCCAGTGATAACGTTAGAGCAGGCAGTATCTGTCAGCGTGCCCACTGTGTTCAAATGGGGGCATCTTTACAACCCTTTGCAAATCCCTAAGGTTGAAAACATGATTGCTTTAGGGTGCTCTTCGACTTTCTTTCCCTTTGGTAACCAGCCCTCTTGGCTTTCCTTCCTGAGCCACCTTTCACAAGGAAATGAACTTTACAGTCACTTTGTAGGAGTTGCTATAAACACAAGGACCACTGAAGACTAATGCCAGGCAGGTACCAGGCTCAACCCGCAAGAGGTGAACCAGCTTCTCTGGACATATGATTCATGTTGCAGCAAGAAGTGATCTGGTTCCTGGACTTTATGGTTTACTCTGAACCCCCAGATTCCAGAAGTTTCCACCCAGCATTTGAACGTTGCTCTGGTCTTCCAGGCCATGGGTAATAATATAACAAATGTGGAAACAGAAAATGATGCTTTTCATACCTGACTCAAGACACCCCAACAGGCTGACCTGCCAACTCCCTATTTCACCAAAAGGGCAGCCACGGGACCAGCTCTTCACACATGGTCCCTGGCAGTGAGGGTGGGAAGAAGACACCCTCTAGGAAAAGCACAGTCGCTCACATCTCGGCTTCTGCCCCCAAACTGAAAATAAAAACTGAATGGGAGACCAAAAAAAGGCAAGAGAGCAAAGTCAGCATTTCACAGACAGGGACCCATAGTCTGCCTTTTTTGGCAAGTCAAAGAGCAGCAATAACCAGGCGGGATGGTGTGCGACTGTAGTCCAAGCAACGTAGGAGGCTAAGGTGGGAGGGGCACTTGAGTCCAGGGGTTTGAGGCTGCAATGAGTTGCGATCACACCACTGCATTCCAGCCTGGGTGACAGAGCGAGGTCCTCTTTTTTTTTTGTTTGAGGTGGAGTTTCACTCTTGTTGCCCAGGCTGGAATGCAATGGCGTGATTTCGGCTCACTGTAACCTCCACCTCCCGGGTTTAAGGGATTCTCCTGCCTCAGCCTCCCAAGTAGCTGGAATTACAGGCATGCACCACCATGCCCAGCTAATTTTGTATTTTTTAGTAGAGACGGGGTTTCTCCATGTTGGTCAGGCTGGTCTCAAACTCCTGACCTCAGGTGATCTGCCCGCCTCAGCCTCCCGAAATGCTGGGATTTTAGGCATGAGCTACCACGCCCGGCCACGAAGCCCTGTCTCTTAAAAAAAAAAAAACAAGAACACACACACAAAACCAGGTGCTTTGGGAATTTTTAGGGAGAGTCTGACATTCTTCTTCAGTGTTTCTGACAGTTTTGCGGCTTCCTTCCATATTCTACGTGGAAAACCCCCATTTCACGGGAAACCCCAATTCAAGTTGACCAGCATGTTTCCATACAAGTTTGTAAATATCCAAGAGTTTGATGTGCTCAAGTTTAGCCAAAAATGTACCAGGTTTTATAATGTGTCAAGTCACATGTCTGGACTAGAGTGAGGTCTCTTTGACAGGTAGGATCAGTGGTGGCTGTACCAAGCACACCTGCTAAGAAACCTGTCTCCAGGTGATAGAGGAGGCTGAACGGAAACCTAGCGTCAAATTCCAAAGCCAGCTGACAATCCCTGAAAGCCTTCTAGCACTGCACAGGCAGCAAACAAAGCATGGCCAAAGAGCAGGGACCAGAGAAGAGATTCCAAAGCCAGGGTATGAAAGCTATCCCGAAAACACCCCCGCAGAAACAAGATGGAAAAAAAAGTCTTTTGCTTTAACCCACCAAGTTATATATACCTGCAGCTGCAACACTGAGCATCGGACTGAGGAATGAGTTAAACCAAAAGGTCCACCCCTTGGATGTCCTTAGCTATAGTTGTCTCAAACTATCATGTTCTACACGAGTCCCCTGGCAGGCCTGAGCCCTGCATTTCCAACCAACAGTCTCCAGGGTGATGCAGACGCTGCTGGTCCAAGACTACACTGTGAAGTGCAAGGCACGAGTTGAAGTCCTAGGGTGCCTCTCCACTGTGTGCAGCACCAAATGTGGGGCTTCTTCCCTCTGCCAGATTCTGAACTAGGCATGGGATGTAGGAGTTTTAGGTGAAAATTGTTAAATCAGAAAGGACAGCTCAACTGGGGGACGGTATATGGAGCGGGGCTTTGCGAGCTTGTTCTGCTGAGTAAGCCGAGTGTGGACCAAGCAGCTGGCAGGAAGTTGGCTGCCTTTTTCTTTATAACTCTCCTCCTGCTGCTGGGAGCAGTTTCTGACATCCCTGGGTCATCACAGAGCATGTGCCACAAAGCTTCACAGGCCCTTTATTAATTCAGGTGCTCCCCAGATGCAGAGCCACCAACACAGCCAACCACAGACTCACTAGGTGTCATTTACCAAAGCAGCACATGCCTCTGTATGGAAGGAATAACAGGAACATGTGCTCCTGCTGAAGGCTCCCCTGACCAGAAACCAACCCATGCATGCCTTTGGGTCGTCAGCAGGCGTCTTGTCACTTGTCTTCAGTGTCTGAAGCTGCCTCACGGCAGGCGTCCTCCTGGATCTGCTATGTCCTTGGTATGGCGATAGTATTACCAAGTTTGACTTCTAAAAACTACCACTGTGGATGCCCTGTCTTTCTCTTTAGCAATCCACCCGAATGCAATCTGGGAAAGCCGTGGCCAAGGTGTGGGCACAAGTTCAGGCCCTGACATGATACACCCAGCACCACAGGGCCCAGCTTCTCCCAGTGGTTGCCTGCCTCAGTTGCCTGCATCAGCATCACCGGGGCCTTGGAAACCCTAAGACTCTTCCCCAGCTCAGTTCAACGCTGACCAGCCTGCCTTCCTCTCATTGGCTGCTGATACCAATCACAAGTGAGGTGTGAGTCACTGAGGCTTACTTAGCAGAGGCCCTCTCAACACTGCAGAAGTGAGGCTCTGCTTAACAAGAGGATGCCCTACTCATGCTTCCAGCGACTCGCTAAGAAAATGATAACCTCCCTCATTCTACATCCATCTACTGATGTATATTTTTTTCCAAGAAAGGCCATTCCCAGATCCTCATGCTGGCTCCTGGAAACCACCATCTGTGCTCTGCTCTGATGTCAGGAACAAAGTGCATGATTCCGTGGCTCTCCCAGACCCCCCAGCCCTTCTGCTGGCCCTCTCTGTCTGCCACTGCCATTTGGCAAAACTACCACCTTCGCACAAAGTGAGAGCAAGCCATCTGTGACCTCAAACAGATGGAGATGAGAAGCGCCCTTTCCCAGAACGTGCCATTGAGTGGGCTGGTGGCAAGGTCCCCAAAGGCATTCAGGTTTCTTCCAGAGGCCACAGGTTGGGTTTTCCAGAGGCCACAGGTTGGGCCTGTCCACTACAGGAGAGGTCATTTCCAGAATGAGAAGAGAATGGTTGACCGGAGCAAGGGCACAGGGACAGCAGGAGGAACCCCAAGAGGGGCAGGTCTGGAGAAGTCAGGTACTTGGTTTCAAGTTGTCCACTGGCAGTGGGCAGTAGGTGCACAAGGGTTTCAGGCAGGAAACCAAACACCTGGAAGAATGGGGACACTCCTTCTGCAGAGAAAGCTGCATCAGATCACACCCCTGCCACCTGAGCACGAAGGAAACCCTAGCTGTGTAAGCCAAAGGTGTCTTTTCAAGTAAAGGTGAAGTGAGTCCAGTTACCAAGAGAGCCACCTGGACAGGGCTCAGCGCTGGCCCTGGTTCTGTTCACGTGTGGAAAGAGCACTGTGCTGTGGCCTGAGCTTCTGGTCCGAGTCTCCACTGGGCCACATAGCGCCGTGGGAAGGGAGGTGGCTCACCGTCTGCAAAATGTCGACTCTGGACATCCCTTCCAGCTCCAAGAACCACTCAGTTGAGGCTGCCAGAAGCTCTGACACAAGAAAACTACATCTCAGCTAACTGCTGGAAGAGTCTGGAAGTTCTGAGGGGATTTCAGAATCTGGTTATTTAGCCAAACTCAACTTCCCTCCTGCCTCCTCAAACACCACCTTGGATGACATTATTTTAGGCAAGGGAATCTACCTGATAATTAAATGCAAAGGATTCCTGGGGCAGAGACAAACATCAGCACAGCGTGTGTAACCTGCCTTATTCAGTAACGAAACTCTGGGGGCAGAGGAAGCCTCTCCACGGCTGGACTTCCTACCGTGACGCTGAGCTCCAGCCAACAGCTGTTTGGACATGCTGCTCAGAATACAGGTAGGACTGCATGTGCCTGCTTGCTGACAGGCTTTTAATGGCTTTCTGTTTGAGTTTCCCTCCCTCCAAGCCAGGCATCAGGCCTGGCCTGGTGGGATTTGGGAAGGCTGTGGCTGAGATCCTCTTTGGAACAGAGGCTCTGGGTTTTCCAGACAACTGGAAGAAATGTCGTCGCCTCGCATGAGACTCCACATCAATGATGAGACTCCAAGGAAGAGCAATGCAGTTTCTCTGCAACCCGTGAATGCAGGACTGTGAGAATTGCTGCAGACAGCAGTAGGGCCATTTAGACAGAGCCCACAGTCACAAATGCTCCTTGCTGCTCTGGTCACTGCGGGGGCACCTCCCATCCAAGATTCTCTGCTGGGGAGGGGCCAGAAGGAAATTCTGCTTTTATTTGTGTGAGAGAAAGGGAGAGGGGAGGAAGCAAGAAATCAGGCAATGCTGAGTGGGGCAGAGCAACAGCTGCCCCGTGGGTCCTCCACAGTCGCAAGCTCATTCTATCACAGCCAAGGCACCAGGAGGTTTGTGGCTTGTCAAGGTGAAGAACCCTGCAAGTCTCACCAGCAAAACACCCTGATGTGACTTACGCATTGCATGCCTGTATCAAAGTATCTCATGTAACCTATAAATATATATACCTACTATATACCCATAAAAATTAAAAATAAATATAAATACATAAATAAAAGGAAATAAGGCCTGCACGTTTTGAACAACTCTGGAATTTGGGTAAGACTGCCGTGCCCAGTGGACGCTCACACACGGACTTTGATGCAGGGGCCAAGTGCAGAGGAAACGTATTCAGGAATCACTCCAAGCTCCGCTGAGGGAAACGTGAGAACCCTTCAATGCTTCAAGCACCACCAACCAATTACCCTTCAGTAGAGAAGGGAAGACTGCCTGAGGCCATGATTGCTAAGCAGGAACTGGGGATGAGGCCCAGGCAGGAACCTGCTGGGAAACCTGTCTGGAGCCTGTCCAAGGCTCCATCCCTTCCTGGGGGGAGGCACCCCCTTTTCTGTTCCTCCAGGAAGGCCAACCCCTATGTGAACACAACTGCCCTAATCCCAGCTAGAACAAAAGAATGCTCCCTCTCCCTCCAGGATTTCTAAACAGTTATGACATTCTCAGAAATTCTCTCTCTGCATACCTTCCTTTCAATGCCGGCCCATCTGATGTCTGTGCTGTGCCTACTAGGTGGAGCACTCAGGCCAAACATTTGAGGCAAGAGCAGCCACCACCCATGACTGTCTGCTGGTGGGTTGCCTGCTTGCCTAGATCTGTCCTGGGTCCATTCCGTGTCCCCACAGCACTGTGCCGGCTGGCTCGTTCTTAATACAAATCACAGACAAGCATTTCCATGCTTCACACATCTGGATAATGGCTTGCTTTCCTTCCTGTTCTGGGACTGAGACAATTTCTTTTCATTTGAACCATGTCAACTCCAGTTATGGGAACATTTCCCCCACATGGCTCTCCCCCAACCTTCCCTCCTCCCCATCACTCCCCCAGACATGTGTCCACCCACTGCCCATGGGCCACACTTTGCAGGGATCAGATTCCTTCACGTTCTGAGCTGCAGGCCAGGCAAGCACGTGCCTAGTCAATGTGGCATCCTTCCCGACGTCCACTGTCCCAAACTCACCTTGGCACAGCATCACATCTGGCTGGAAGCATCCAATGTAATGAAAATTAGAGAAGACTGAGCTTCACCTGCACCTGGTGGCAGCCCCACCTGCCCTCTGGCCTTGCAGGGCTCCACCTGTCCCTCTGCTGCTCGCTCTCCTGCCTCTTCTGGGTCCAGGCTTCTGCCCGGCCCATTATTCCAGTGGCTCCACCACAGGTCACTTTACGCTTTGCGCCATGTCCTCCTTGAGGTCTCCCGGGAGCTGACGGAGTAGAGAGAGGACTAAGCCTGTCTATGCTAGCAACATTCAGAATAGCTGGGTCCTGAGCGCTCACTCAGAAGTGGTGAGGTGCATGGAACTCAGGGTGACCGAGAGAGAGGTGAAGTGGGTGGGTTATTTTCAGCACAGCCGGGCTCAGCACTGGGGGAGACCCAGTGTTGGCTCCCCAGCACTGGGGC
Source organism: Homo sapiens (assembly GCF_000001405.40). Classification (NCBI taxonomy): domain Eukaryota; kingdom Metazoa; phylum Chordata; class Mammalia; order Primates; family Hominidae; genus Homo; species Homo sapiens. Next base: position 100,193,466 of record NC_000015.10, read on the forward strand.
CTTGGAGGCATGGCGGAAAGAGATGGTGGCAGGAATGTGGGCAAGGCCAGAAAGAGCAACAACGAGACACCTCCAATGTTGCGTCTTCCGCGGTTCTCCACCTGGGATGTGCGGAATCTCCTGGAGAGCTTTCCTGAGCTTCCTCCCCGAGAGTGAGCGCATCGGTCAACAGTGGGTGACGCTGGGCCACTGCATTTCTAAACGCCCAGTGCTCCTGCTGCGCGTCACTGCCAGGCACCATCTACGCCAAGCTCCCAGCTTGTGTCAAGACAGTGTTTTCCAGAGGCCACGGGCTGAGCCTCCCCACTACAGGAGAGGTCAACTCCAGAATGGAAAGAGAATGGTTTTTTGACCGAAGCAAGGGTGCAGGGACGGCAGGGGAAACCCGAGGAGGGGCAGGTCTGGAGAAGCTCCTTCCCGAGGAGAGGCTGCAGGAGGCTGAGCACGTGCGTGGCGCTGGTGCCACTTGGGCTGGAGACCTCCCGTGGTTTGGGCCGGCTCCCAGGGCCAGGCATTTCTTGAACCCTGGTCTGGCTCAGGCTTATCTAACAGACACTCCTCACTCCAACAAAGGCAGAGGTTTATTTTCTGCAATGAGAAACCTTTTTATTTCTCTGTATAAAGATATATCCTCTTCGTTTTTCTGAGTGGGTGGCGGATAGTTCACAAAGCAGACTCCCTCCCTTCCACTGTCACCCCACCTAGAAGGTCCTGTCTCTAGACATCTCCCAGGAGTTTGCTGCCTTACCTGATTGAGACACAGGTGGGCACAGGGTCCTGGGTTTCCCTAGGCCCAGAACGACTAGTGGACACTTGGTTCTGTGCCCTCCTGCCAGCAGCTGCACTAGGACCAGCTCCTCCTACCAGGCACCTCCCCTGGACCTAGCTGCAGCATACCAGACACACTTCCCTCGAAACACAAGGCACTCAGCAGCCTTCACAGAGCTATGCACTTTCTTTTATACCGGAGCTTCCAAATCACAGCCAACAATAGATGCTACAATCCAAACAGCTGCATTACACCCACCTTAAAGTCACACTAAAGTTACTGCCAACTGCCTCCTTGATCTGGGTTTTATTTTTGCTTTTTCTCACGGGCAGTCAGCATAGAGCTGAGCTTCTACTCATCATCAGGGGTCAGTCCTTCCTAGGACCAACCAGAGTTGAGCCTGAAAAGCAGGGGCCTATCTGAGAGAAACAAATGCTTACTTCTGGATTTTCCTCTTTCTCTTTAAAACCAAATTGTGATCGGCATGTTGGATGCTGACATCCAGGACAAGGCACGCTGTCCTGGTTTCTTGAAGGAGAAAACCCTGGGGCGTGTCATCCCAGCTGGGCAGTTTCTCTCAAGGAACTGCCCCCCATTCCATGGTTCCTGTCTTAGCAAGGATCAGCGGGTAAAAGATGCCTGTTGTAGCCATCTTCCCATGTGCAGGGGCTGCTGCTTTCTAACGGCCACCGCAGGATGGAGAAAGGCAAAAGGAGACCCCGGCTAAAAACACTCACTTTACGGTGCATTTCTCAAGCTACCGCTATGGAAAGGGACACAGCTGCCTTCCTCACACTCAACGCTGCCAACATTTCTAATTACTAGCTGAACCCAAAGGTAGCACATGGCTGCCCATCAGAATAGCCTTTCACGGGCAAGAAGACAACCAAGGGCACGGGTGTACATTTAGGAGCCTCCAGGCTGTTGTTAGCGTGACCGCTGCTCAGCAGCTGACTCTGCCTCCAGGCAGCAGCAAGGGTGGCCCCTCTGCAGCTTCTCACACAGCACCTGCACCAGGACTTGCCATCCCCCAGCTCGTGTCCGCAGCAGGGCTGGGAAGTCTTCTGCAGCCTGCTCCTTTGTCAGGGCACAGAATCAGAAAGCTGTTAATCGAATGAATCCACAGCTTCAGCTCAGTGGTTACACGGGAGTTAATGATGATATAGGAGAGGCAGGATCTGTGAGAAGGCCCCGGGCAAGAAGCTTTTAAAATCTCAGATTCATTTATGTATTAATATGTAAATGGAGCCTGTTCCATGTTTCCGTAAGACCACAGAACTATTGATCATTTTCACATTTTCACATTTTCACCGGCATCACTTTCATCCTAATAGTCTCAGACTTACATTAATTAAATGACTGGCCCATTGTTTGGTCTCAAAAAAAAAAAAAAAAAAAAAAAGAAGCTGTCAATCTCATCTCAAAAAAAAAAATCTGTCAATCTCACCCACAGTACTCGAGTGTCCTAGGGAACCCCTCTCCATGATACGGTCATTGTCCTTGGTCAGCCAGCAGCAGCTATACACATGGACATTTACTTCCCTTAAACTGAAAGTACCTTGGTTTTTGACTCTACAAGTTCTCTTATTATTTATTTCATGTAATTTGTATCCTTATTTTAATGGGCCTATTGCAGCATGTATAATCATATAAGTGATCCCAAATCATATTAAGTAGTAACTATAAATTTTTAAAAAAGCAATACTAGTTTCCTAACCTGTAAAGTAAAACCTATATAATGCCTACCTCATAGGACTGACTCAATGGCGTGATAAACACACAGCATCTCACACAGTACCCTGCACATAGTAGGTGTTCAATAAACAAGAGCTCTGACCTGAGTTAAACATCACTAGTATGTTATTAATTCATGGCTGAAGCAGCAGTATTGACATTACCATGGCAAGAACTTTAAGTTTAATTACAACTTAGGACCTATTTGACTGCAAATTGGATTAGAGCCAGTTTATTGTACCAAATAAATTATGTTTGATTTAAAATAAAGCCATGCATACAAAGAGACACTAGAAAGAGAAGAGGGAGGAAAGTATAATTCCAGGATGTAGATGAGTTAATTGCTGAAAATAAGCCCTAAATCTAGCTTTGTGTTTTCTGACAGCCAATGCAGCAACAAAATCATGTGAATCTGTGCAACTCATTGTTTGATAAGTGGAACGTACAGCTCACACAGAAGTGGAATTTTTTTCCTGACAATCAGATTTTAGGGTAGCTGCTTACACCAATCGCCCTACGACGCACATTAGGTAACGAACAGGAGAGCCACACCTTTGCGTGCTGTGTGCAAAGGCACACACGCACATACCTTCCCTCCAGAAATGTTTCACTTTGTCAGCATTCCATGGTAAGGGACCGGTGGGTGAGCCACCTGGAGACTTTCTTCACATAAGCTAAGGAATATGGAGTTAAATGGCTCCACTGTATTCCAAAATAGGGATCAGCTTTCCGGTTTCGTGTCTGTGAAACAGCCTGGCCGGTGGCTTTGCTGAGAGTGCAGGTTGGTCTTGGCCTTTTCCAGCAGCCCATATAGCCTGCAACCACAGCCCAGCAACCAGAGGGGCCTGCTGACGGGGAGGACATAGCTTCATCCTCAGGGATCTGCTTCCCAACACTTGCGACTAATCAAAGACTTCCCTGGGAAACCTGTAATTACCCAAAGAGGGGGAGGGCCAAATGCTAGCAAGATTTATTGGCTTTGATTAACAATAAGGTGTTTGTTTTTGTCGGTAATTGGAGTTCAATAGCAAGCTATAAAGAGTCCTCCAAGAAATTCTACACAGTCTATAGCTAAAGGGTACTAAAGTGTGTTTGAATCTAACCATTCATCTTTGCAGACCTCCGCTGCAGGGAGGCCAGTGTTTGATCCGGCACACTCGAACAGGTCATCAGGGAGAAAATGGCCCTCTGTATTTTTAATGTCTGATGAGAAAAGACCTCCATGCGGCATGTGTGCGCCCACACGTATGTGCAAATGGCACTTAGCATGTGCCATGCTGCTGGATGCTGGCGTGGGACATTGCAGTTCATGTAACTATAGCTCAACCCACCTTATTTAAATTGACTATTCAAAGGCCCATAGCAACTCGGGTGTTGGTAAGTACTCTGACATCCTGCATTCTCATAATCATTAGGTAATTGATTCTTAGGTACTACGGCATGCTGGTTGGGTCCCTTGATGGTGGGAAGATGTTTGCCAAACCCATTCTGATTTATGCTTTTTTTCCCCAGCAAATCACTCTTGGATACAGGATTTTAAGAACTCAGAGGTATTAATACAAATGCAATTGAACTTCATTTAAAAAACAGTTCTGTGCAAAGAATTGTCGCCAGTATTTTTAAAAATAGTGTTGAGATGAGATAACTGTGCACTCAGAGACAACTTCTCATCTTGCTTCACCAGGTCCTGGGTCAGTATCATGGGATTTCCTCCCTACCCCAGGAATTGCACATAACATCATTTCCACTCTCTGTACCTACTCACATCATGACATACAATAGGTACGGAAAGGCCAACTACCAAACCCCTCTACAGGAATGGAAGAAATTAAAATGGCGCTAGATAAACCAAAACAACAACAAAAACATGCAGCCATAAAAATGGATGAGTTCATGTCCTTTGCAGGGACATGGATGAAGCTGGAAACCATCATCCTCAGCAAACTAACCCAGGAACAGAAAACCAAACACCGCATGTTCTCACTCATAAGTGGGAGTTGAACAATGAGAACACATGGACACAGGGAGGGAATACCACACACCAGGGCCTGTTAGGGGATGGAGGACTAGGGGAAGGACAGCATTAGGAGAAATACCTAATGTAGGCGACAGGTTGATGGGTGCAGCAAACCACCATGGCACGTATATACCTATGTAACAAACCTGCACATTCTGCACATGTATCCCAGAACTTAGAGTAGAATTAAAAACAAAAAACAGCAAAAACAAAACAAAAAGGTCATAAAATCAATTCAGTGGATATGGACCAGCATTTTAAAAAGTGAATTAATAGAATATAAACTCATTAAAAGGCATCACTCATAAAAAAACAAACAAACAAAAAGTAAAGCCACAGATATGGCAAATGCTTGAGAAAAACAATTGCTTTTATACTCCTTCTTAAACACTGACTTTACTCTCGTAAAAACTAGAGTTAACACTTGAGATTCCAGGCATCTTACTGTGTAGGTCATTAGGAAACCTTTACAATAATTTTTCCCCCAAGAACTAGATTTCCATTTACTTATGTTCTATTCAATCCAATATAAACCTTTCCACTGTTTGGCATGCTCTGGCCTCCTCAATTTAATTTTCTTTTAAGCTCTTAAGCAGTCATATCACAATCTTTCCTTCAGAGAAACATAAAACAGACACCTACTCTAGGAAAAAGAACAACCCTCAGGCCACAGTTTGAGCGTCGTCTGGCTTTCTGCCGCTTGAGGCTTCCTACAGATGGTCACAACCTGGGGCCAGCCACTCAACAACCCCTCTGACGCTCTGTTTCCTCATCTGAACAACCAGGAGGTTGCCTCGGACTCTCCTTAAGGCAAGCTCTAAGGTTCTATGGTTATTTCATCCTAAAGAGAAGAATCGCTGTGTGCAAAGACTCTCATCCACAGCTGTTAATTCTTCAAAACTAAGACACTAAATTCTACAATCAGAAAGTTGGACTTTAGAATTGGCAGAAAAAGACATGGAAAGTCAACAGTATAAAGATGCATCCCATTATGTGAATAATAGACTTAGAGTGAATCAAAGATCATGCTCGTCCCGGAAAGGAAGTACAATTAAATAAGGACATCCTGAGAGGAACCTCTTCTTTCTAGTCTGTTGGCTTTAAGAATAGATGTGCACATCAAATTAACATTTCAACTCTCCAAGCCAATCGGTGCAGTCATCTCGTGGGGTCTCTGAGGGTTTGGACCCTAGTGTACTGACCTGGGTCCTTTATTGCAGATGCAGCAAAGGCATAGAGCAGCACTGTTTTAGAACTTACAGAATTCAAGTGAAAAATCTGCACTCAAAAAGGACTGAAAGAAAACAGGACGACACAGAGTCTGATACTTACTTGTGGCCCAGCTCATGGGCGATGGTAAAGGCCAAATTGAGACCATTGTCTTCGGCAAGCACACACTTCCTCTTAGCACTGCACACACCTCCTAAGTAAGCAATTCCTGCAGCAGAGACACAAAACACATCCTCTTCAGAACGTGGGAGGCCCTGGTCTCACCGGGCAAGTCCGCACGGTCAACGTCATGCACAATCAAGGCAGGCACACGGCAACAATGGTGACTATGAGCCTCAGCCCACCTGGGAAGGGTTTGTGTATGATGCTTTTGTGTTCACCCAATAAAACAATAACCACCGCAAGCATCCATCAGGCATCTAATACGCGTCGGGGGTGTGCTGAGTAGAGTACCCATAGCACCTAACTTAATCCCCGTGACCCAGGATGAGGGAAACTGAGGTTTGGAAAGGAAAGGTAACTCTCCCAAGGTCACCTGGATGGGCACTCCATGCTGCGATCCTACGCCAGATCTGTCTAACTTCAGCGCCTAGGGCTGGGACCAGGTGAGCCAGCCAGGTAAGACACCGAGGGTGCAAGGTTTAAGAGGCCCTGACTCCCCTCAGGCGATGCCCCTGCACCCGCACACCCTGAGAGGGAGCGCCTCCTCACAATGCGCATCCCGGGCGTGAGCCGGGGTCTGTGCTGGGTCTCGTGGACAGCACGCCCCGGAAGGCTGCACAGAATGTTCTGAAAAATGCTTCAGGAGCCCTTGAGAGAGGAAGACCCAGAGGAAGCGGAGCCAGCGCTGGGAGAGCCAGGGTCTTGAAGTCCTCAGTGAGCACCAGCCCACAAGCCAAACGTGTGTCTCCACACACACATGCTCGCACCTAAGGATCTCACCCTAACACAGGAAACCTGAACCACACACACCAGGAGAAACGCAATGCAGGGCAGTGGAGGCCGCATCCCAAGGATGGGTGGTGTTGGTGGGACGGCAGGCCAGCCACTGCAGGAGGGGCAGGTGTTTTCCAGGGGAAGAATGTGGCTTTGGCAGAGGGACGCATAGGATGACATGGAGCCCTTGGGTGCCGGCCCCTCTGGGGAATGCTGGGAGGGCAGCCACAGCAGGGGTGGGGAGGGCGAGCCCATGCCGGCCGCACTTCTGGGGGCTGACTCTCCAGGGCTCCCCACCACAGTACTCCCCGCACCCAGGAAAGACATGTCTCGCCCCGCAGGGACCACAGGGCTTATCTCAACAGGGCTCGCTAGGAAACCTGACATCCGCCCTCCCGTGGGCGTTTAACCCCGAAGGCAGTTCCTCGATATGCCCCTGTGTGACACGCAAGCGGATGGTGGCATGGGGTGGCTATAGGAGCTCAGTGCTCCCCTGGCTGTGCAGTCACATTGGGGGTTGGTGGGCAGTGGCTCTGCTGGCATAGCGCCATGGGGCGGATGACGGCTAAATACAGCTGGACTCTGCCCGTCAACTCCATGCCCTGGATGGGCTGTGGCCACCAGGAAGGAGCACTTGCTCTCCCCCATGGGCTGTCCCTCTGTCGAGCTGCACCTGCTCTCCCCCATGGGCTGTCCCTCTGTCGAACTGCACCTGCTCTCCATGGGCTGTCCCTCTGTCGAGCTGCACCTGCTCTCCCCCATGGCTGTCCCTCTGTCGAGCTGCACATTGCTCCTTTCCAAGGGCTCCTTCCATGAACTTGCCTGAGGTGTCTCAGGAGGGAAGGAGTTGGCAGAGGGCAGGAGAGAATGGGACAGGGGAACCATTTCATTAAAAATGACCCCTCCTTCCTGCCCCCAAAGAGCTAAACCAACATCCTCTTTGCTGATGTCCAAATCAAACTGGTGCAGAGTTCAGCCATACACAGGGTGGTCCCTCTGATGTGGTGTGGCTCTGTGTCCCCACCCAAATCTCATCTCAAATTGTAATCCCCATGTGTCAGGGAGGGACCGGGTGGGAAGTGATTGGATCATGGGAACAGTTTCCCCCACGCCGTTCTTGGGACAGTGAGTTAGTTCTCATGAGAGCTGATGGTTTTAGGAGTGTTTGGTAGTTCTTCCCCTCCCCCCTCTCTCCTGCTGCACTGTGAAGAAGGTGTCTGCTTCCCTTTCCCCTTCAGCCATGATTATAAGTTTCCTGAGGCCTCCCCAGCCATGCAGAACTGAGAGTCAATTAAACCTCTTTCCTTTATAAACTACCCAGTCTCAGGTAGTATCTTTATAGCAGCATGAAAACAGACTAATACATCCTCCTTCCTCATCCGCTCCAAAAGGCGCAGAGGAAGCTCACATGGCCTGGCTCCGCAGAGGTGCGGCTCCAGGGCTCATGTTTCACACACTGGGCCCAGGTACCTCATTGTGGGTCTATTTTTATTTGGAAACATGCAATGTGCTTAGTTAAAAATAAATAAAGAACAAATTAAATGTTATTTTGCCTCAAGATGGTTTTGTGGCCACGTGGATGTCACAACCCAGCAATGCAGACTATTAAAAAAAACAACACGACAACCAGAAAGGATGTGATGTGGTTTCTCGGTGCCTTCAAGGTCATTATTCTGGGTTTTGTTTAAAAATGTTTTGTGGGTTGCTTTTACAAGTCTACCAGTGAGTAGATGGAATACTGCTACACAGCCCTGATGGTATGTGCACGCGGCCCACGTGGGTGCACGCACACGCTCAGACACACACCCAGCAGTGCCCGCCCAGCCCTGGCTGCAGCCCCTCTGGGTCAATGAATCAATTAGAAACAATCAGATCTGCACGCCCTGGAGAAGTTGCCTGGTGAGGGGGAAGGGAGACATAATAAGGCCAGATGTGCTGAGCTTCCTGTCCTGAGTGTGCCCACCACGGGCTCTGATGCAGAACCGGCAGACCTCAAATGCCACACAAACACATCCCCCCTGGCCTCAGCCACACTCAGCACTCGGAGAAGGCAGCCCTGACTTTCCACTCTAATTAGGTAACGTGCAATGCTAGTGGAACAGTGAAGCAAGGAGCCTTCCAATAATTGCATTTTAATTTTTCCAAGGTGCAGATGATTTTTTTTTAACTAGAAAACAAAGAATCAGTTTATTTACAAGAAATGCTCTTGCACAAAGGTGGATCAAGGTCGAGTGCTTTTAATGATTTATTCCAGTCGTGACCAGCCTGGTCATAAAACTGAGCAAGGAAAAACACATAAAAGAAACAGCTCCTGATAACAGAGCACAAGACCTGTGTGTTTATGAGAGATGAGGTGGAAATGCTTAGAATGCACAAAACAAAGTCTGGAGAAAATCCCAGGTTGTTGTAAAATAAGAGCTGTGGGGGGAGTAAACAGTAATTAAGCCATCCAGCTTCGCAGAAAACAAAGCCCACCACTATTCCATGTTTCTAAAAAGAAACTGCAGTCTAGGGAAGACAGAGCCCTGGAGACTCAGAGATACCCCCACCGTCTCAGGCTGCAGAAGGCACCAAGCTGGGAAAACCCGCCAAATCCCCATATGCTGGTGCTTGTCAAGAAATGAGGAAAAACCAGTTTTCTCTGTATTGATTTATTAAAAACTGAGGTCTGTGACAAAGCTCTGCTAATTTCAGTGCTGACACTGTGGAACCTTCTGAGTTAACTGGAATTGCCTTATGCTGGGGAGAGGCTTTTAGACCCTGCAGTGGTGCTTTCACATCCAGCCTTCTATGATTTAAAATTCTCCACAGATCACAGAACTTATTTAAAAATTTTTAAAAACATCAATTCCACATGTTTGCATAGTTTCTCGTAACAAAACGGAGGCAGAAAGGCAACTGGAATTTATTAGTCGTGCCTCTAATGGGCTTGACTGCTCTGAACACTCGACCCTCCCTTGCTTGGCAGGCATGACTGGTCCCATTTTATAGATGGGGAAACAGAGGCTCCACTACACCCCTGACAACAAGCGTGTGCTTGTGTCCTAAATGGTGGCTCACTCCAACTCTACTATACCCCTGACAACAAACACACTCTTGAAAAAATCTGAAACACAGAGGGTAAAAATGAAGGGGTGTGGGCCAGGTGCGGTGGCTCATGCCTGTAATCCCAGCACTTTGGGAGGCTGAGCTGGGAGGATCGCCTGAGGTCAGGAGTTCAAGACCAGCCTGGCCAACATGGTGAAACCCTGTCTCTACTAAAAATACAAAATTGGTTGGGTGTGGTGGCCCACGCCTGTAATCCCAGCACTTTGGGAGACCGAGCAGGCGGATCATGAGGTCAGGAGATCGAGACCATCCTGGCTAACATGGTGAAACCCCATCTCTACTAAAAATACAAAAAATTAGCCGGGTGTGGTGGCAGGTGCCTGTAGTCCCAGCTACTTGGGAGACTGAGGCAGGAGAATGGCATGAACCTGGGAGGTGGAGCTTGCAGTGAGCCGAGATCGCGCCACTGCACTCCAGCCTGAGAGACAGAGCAAGACTCTTTCTCAAACAAAACAAAACAAAACAAAAACAAAACAAAAAAACACCCAAATTAGCCAGGCATGGTGGCAGGTCCCTATGGTCCCAGCTACTCTGGAGGCTGAAGCAGGAGAATCACTTGAACGCGGGAGGTAGAGGTTGCAGTGAGCTGAGATCCATCACTGCACTGCAGCCTGGGTGACAGACCAAGACTCTGTCTCAAAAAAAAAAAAAGAAGGGGTGTAATGAATTCTTCTGACACCTGGAGAAGCTCATTTAATTTATCGAGAGAAGAGGCTCCCATCCACTAGCTCTGTGACCCATCTTCCCATCCATGCCAGCACAACACAGGTGCTCATTTGTCTTCTTTCCTTTCCTTTTCTCAGTAGAAGCATAATTTTGTAGACAAAATTGGGTGAAGAGACTTAATTAGTTCTTTTTCAGTAGAAAACTACATGATAGAAGCTCATAACTCTTTATCTAGGGGCTGACCACTCGACTCTCTCTAGACTTAAGGAATAAACAACAAACAACTGTATAAACTCTGGTTGATGCAGTAAGTTGTTGCATATAAGCCATCTGCAGCTGGTGGCCTTGCTGCCCATTAGTCCAACCTTACAGGGTCTGCCTTTGAGAGAGATGGCTCAGTTTTTCCCACCAACTGCTCAACTACCAAACACCGTCATAGTTATTTCTGGGACATCAAGCTGTCAGTCACAAGAGAGCATGTGGCATCTGCCATACACCAACCATAGTCATGGATATTGGATTGCAGATTCAGGCTCATTGACAAGTCCTTGTGTTCTTGCAAACCTAAGTGGATGTGGGTGTGATCTGAATGGCTGAACAGCATTTAGGAGCAAATGTCTTAGAGGCTAGGATGTGACAAAGGAAAACTAACTACAAAGGAATAAAAAAGTTGGACCCCTACCTCACACCACATTTAAAATATAAGTCAAAATGAATTGAAGAGATAAATGTGAGTGCTAAAACTATAAAAGTCTTAGAAGAAAACTAAGATGGAAATCTTCCTGACCTTGGTGTAGACAAAGCCTTCTTAGCTATAACATCAAAAGCACAAGTAGGGGTGGGAAAATCCTAACCTCTTACAACAGAAGAGTAGCTGAGGCGGAAGGGGCTGGGAGTGAGGTAAGGAGTCACCTTCATTTCCACTGCCAGCCCAAGCAATGAATGTGCTGGCACATTCTCTAAGGAAGCCTTCCAGACTTTCCCCTTGGCAATTATGGTTTTCTGTGGACCGGGAGTCATACAGCAGTTATGGCCTTGCAGGCTAATTCAGTTTGTTGGTTTGTGTGTTGTAACGCCATGTGAGCTGTTGCTTCATGATGGGGTTCTCAGTTATGGGTCAGAGTCAGGAAAGGCTACATATTCTTGGCCTTGCTCCCTAGGGTTAATGAGACCACAGCTTAGGACACAGATGTCCTTGGCTTCGGTTTCCCAGGTACCTCCAGGATCCTGGACTTCAGGAGGAGATGCTGTCTCTGGTAAGAGAATCACACGAGTCCCCACAGATGACTCGAGGGTCCCTGGGCTGGAGCAGTCACTCCTACAAGATAACATTTTCATGTGTTCTGTGAGTTAAGGGTAAGTGGAGGAATAAATTGGCCCTGGGATTTACAAGTTAGAAGCCACAAGTTTATGCCAACAGTTTGCTGCTAGAAACCAAAACATGCCGGGAGAGGGGAAGGAAAGAGAAACGAATAAGTGGTGATGTTCAAAAGGCCACAGCCAACTTGAGCCAAGTGCATGGAGATATCGTGCAGATTACCCACCTGCCAGAGAAGATGATGCTCGTGTCAGCAGGACCCATCACGTGGGAGGGGTTCTCCAGGGAGCAATGTAACGTTTGTCAAATCACAGTGTGCCTCTCTTCGGAGAACCCCAGAGAGGCTCAGGGGCTTCTGAAACAGGCCCTGATGCCCACCAGAAATGGTCCCAGGCAGGTTCACCTCAGGACATCAGAGGAGCCTTGAAAATCTCTTATTTTGACAAACACTTTGTCAAGTGTTTCCTGACTGCCTGTATGTGACACAGGCCTTGCGCCGGGCAGAGTCTAAGCTGAGCAGGCACACGCCTAGGGGAAGCAGCCTCCAGGCCATTTCAGCAAAGAGACAAAGGCGGTAGAAAGGTGAGCAGGGATGTTCCAAGCCAAGCCTCAGGGCCTGAAGGGTGGGCGCCGCGGTCTCTGAAAGACAGCTGTGCCAGGGACCGAGCCCAGGTCTGGCCCCTCCAGAGGGCAAACAAGTGGAGACTGGAGAGGAAGCTCCACACTGAGCCACGCACCCACTGATCCCTGCTCCTCCCTCTGGGTCACCTGTCACAGCTGAGGGCCCCTCAGTGAGCCACACCCTCATTCTGACCGCTCTCTCGGCAAACTTTCCCAGACCATGGGTGGCTCCCTGTGTGGGGAGCAACGGCGGGCGGCACCGTGAATGCAGCAGGTGATGAGTGCCTTGGAGTTCCCTTTCAGGAGACCTCTGGGCCTCTGCATGTACTCCCTGGCTACCAGAGAAAAGCCCTGTCTTCTAGCATTTGGCATTCAGGAAACACCATGCCCTGACCAGCCTGCCGGATGGCTGCACCTCAGCAGCACTGCACCGTCACCTGTGTGCAGGCTCCTGTGTGTGCACTTGAGTGTACGTCTGTAGACATGGGCATGCCCAGGACACCCCTCCCCTTACTGGCAGCATGAGGGTGATGCCCACACTCACTCCTACAGCAATGGACCCTGGTGAATTTTGAAAACTGTAACACACTCACATTCTCTATCGACTGCACTGCTTGGCGCCTATTTCGGTCAATAATTTTAAAATGAACTTGCCTTAGTCCCACTTCAGTGACAGCTTTCAGCCTCCTCTATCTTCTCTCACTGGAAATGTCTCCCCTTTGCTGGTGGGTTAGAATGCCCTCCCTCTCCCTGGGGAAAGCTGGGGTTTTAGGTGGGGGTGAGGCTGAGAAGAAGTGTGGTATGTTTTGGCTAAAAATAATCTCCTCCATGTGGGGAACGGGACAACTAAGTCTTCCATGGGGTCAGATATCCCCAAAGGGAATCTGGGAATGGATCGAATCTCCCTTCAGAGATTCAAATGCGACCTGGAAGGAGGGGCACATTCCTGACTCAGCCTTCCCAAGGCAGCTGTCTGAGGTGTGTGCCTAGAATCCTGATCTTTCTCAGCATTTCTGTTTGAATCACAGTTATTAGAGCAGCCACAGGCAGGGCCACGAGCGGAGGCTGCTCAACTGTGATGACAGCCGGAGCCAGGAAGAAGGCAGAGTAGGGGCTGGTAAGAGCAAATACGTGCATTTTAATCATGCTCACTGTTATGGGCTAAACTGTGTCCCCCTGAAATTCAGAGGTTGAAGCCCTAATCTCCAATGTCACTGTATTTGGAGACAGGGCCTTCAGGGAGGTGATGAAGGTTAAATGAGGTCAGCAAGGTGGGGCCCTGATCCAACAGGTCTGGGTCCTTATAAAAAGAAGAAGAGACACTAGAGGTATTTCTCCCTCCCTCCCTCTTTCCCTCTCTCCAAGTGAGCACAAGAGGGCAGGTGAGGACACAGTGAGAAGGCAGCTGTCGACAAGCCAGGAAAGAGATTCCTTATCCCAAACCAGTCCTACTGGCACTGCGGAGTTCCAGCTTCCAGACCCATAAGGAATAACTGTGTGCTGTGTAAGCCTCCCAGTCTGCAGTATTCTATAAGAGGAGCTCTAAACAAGCTAATACACCCAGAGTGCACCCTGGGTCCCCTTGCTCAAACATGGCTAACCCACGAGCATGGCGGCCACCGGAACTCACCATGCTCATTTGCCACACAGCACTGCAGCCACCTAATGCGCCATGGGCTTGGCCTTGATGTTCACGACATGGTTTAATAACAAGGAACTGATCTGGAAAGTTGTAGGAGCATCAGGTTGAACTAGTTACAAAAACGCTTGGTAGAGAAGAATAAAAAATATGGTGGAGTGGGGGTGTTCTGTATTTCAAATCATACAACACCTTAGCCAGCTGCATCTGTAGGCAGAGAAGTGCCATCCCTCAGTCGTTTGACAATGGGGTACACCTTGCAAGTTACAGCCAGGGATGTCCATCAGGAGAAACTAAGGCACCAGGGAGGGAGGTGAGAGAATCATGACAACATGCCAAACGTGGACCCATCACTCACGTCATTGGCCATTTCTATTTGCAGGAGACTCCCTGGAAATCCCCAGGCCCTAGGAGATGTTCTAAAAACACTCAAACACAGCCTTGGAGGGAGGAGTCAGTTTTAAAAGACTCTTATAAAAGTAATATACTGCTAGCTCTGAAGAATCGGAGGCTAAAATCATCTCTTCAAGTCCCCAGGGAATCCCAAAGAACTCCAGGGGAAGGTGGGATGGGCCAGAGAGCTCTGGAAGCTTCCAGGTCTGTTGCAAGCCTCACCTGGTACACAGTAGGCTCTTCCAGGTCTGTCAGGAACCCAGGAGCCTCCCCTAGCACACAGTAGGCTCACAAAAAGGGAGCACTGCTGCTGGTTCTGCTTAGCGAATCTCAATGAAAACCGAGCGGCAACAGGCATTCCGGGTGTGCAGAACCAAATGCAGCAAGCCAGAAACATGTGCTGCTTGTTCTTTTTACCTTGACTCATTCAAAAATCACAAATGCATAAGGCCAGAAGACAGAAGGTGCTCATCACTACAAAAGCCAAGGAAGTGGGTACCTGTGCAGAGGGAAGGGGCTGTGGCTGGGACGGGGCCCACCTGCAGGGCTGATAGACTCTACTGTTTGACCAGGATGCTGGTCACAAGGATGTTTGCCTTATAATAATTCATTTAGAGATCAAAAAGTCAGGTCAGTGTTACCCCAGAGGGACTAGTGACCAGAAGGGGCATGAAGAGGCCCTGCCCGGGGGCTGATATTGTCTTGTTTCTAGATCCAGGTCATCATTCATCATTACACAAAGCTCATGAGTTTACAAATATTCACTGAATAGTACACTTAGATACACTATCTATATGTAAATTATGCCTCAATTATAATTTAAAAGATAACAAAGGGATACACACATGCATGTGAAATAGAAGGAGAAGAGGCCTTGGTTTAAGAATCTGGGAAGAGTCAAGGTCACTGGACAATTTAGATAAGGGTATGTCTTTGGTATATCCAAGGGTCATGAGTTGATGAAGCTATAGTGATGTGTATTAGTCAAAGTCTGCTTTCACCTGCAACACCAGGCTTTACCTGTATCACTCGTATTTCTCGGACCATATGAGCCATTTCTAATTTACCTTTACTGCCTTCCAAGGGCTCTTCCAATGGTACGTTCTTGAGACTTGCCTGAAACAACCTTGAAAAACAGCTTCACTCCCTCTTATAGCCGTATTTCTAAAGGATGAATACAATGCAAGGCCATGCATGGAAATATTTGCCAAGTTAGCAAAAAAAAAAAAAAAAAAAAGGAAGAAAGAAAGAAAAGGATTCTCAAAACAAGTAACCGCATTTCTTGCTAAATGCTTAGCCCAGCAAAGCCCATTCTTTGGGGGATGAAATGTGGACTTTTAGTGAAACCTCGGGACAAGGGTAAGCTCTTTCAATCTACACGTTGTTCTAGACACCTCTCGGGGCCCTGCTCTTGGGCTGCGCACAAAGGTCAGCCCAGGCCTCAGAGCAGCTCTGGGCACCAGCTCCTGAACGCCAGCTCCTGAGTTCAAGTCCATAAATCACTCCCTGGCAGGGCATCACGGCCCCTCCACTAAAGAAGTAACCCAAACATGGGAAGCCAGCCATCATTTGGGTGTTGACTCAACAGTCATGAACTAAAGTCAAACTACCATGACAAGCCCTCCCTTCTGATGGCCCAGGGGAAGCCCTAGGACAATCTCCGCCTTTGCTGACAGGATATAAAAATGACGGCATTACATTTTATTAAAAAAAAAAAAAGCCTCTTAGAAAAGAATGTTGATGAGAGCCACACCACGAAGTCAAGTGGGCACTAAGATTACAAAGAGGAAACAGGTGACTCGTGGCAGAATCAGTGGCAGACAAGGAAGATGGCCAGCCTCAGAATCATCGCCAGCGTGGCAGAAAGTGGATGGTACCAAGTCTCAGGTCCCATCTTCAGGGTGAAGGTATGTCCCTGTTCCATGCTTATGGAGGCAGCTCATTACCAGTGGGTTACAATGGGTTTCAGAATCATCCCAGACTATGGAAATAGCATGCATGTCAATGTCTGTCTTTAAAATGTCAAAGGTCAAGAAAAACAAATGTTCTTCACCTTTCAAGCAATTTCATACATTTCCAGGTTGCCTCTATGCCTCTGTGGTGGTCCGCGGGCAGATCATGAGGTCAGGAGATCAAGACCATCCTGGCTAACACGGTGAAACCCCGTCTCTACTAAAAGTACAAAAAATTAGCCGGGCATAGTGGGCGCCTGTTGTCCCAGCCACTCAGGAGGCTGAGGCAGGAGAATGGCGTGAACCTGGGAGGAGGAGCTTGCAGTGAGCCGAGATCGTGCCACTGCACTCCAGCCTGGGAGACAAAGCGAGACTCCATCTCAAAAAAAAAAAAAAAAAAAAAAAAAAAAAGAAGTGAGCTGGAACAGGGAGGGGTAAGTAATGAGGCAGCGGCTGCTGATCAACACTAACATTTGTCAGACACTTACTATGTGTGTACCAGGTCCTGCACTAAAGAGTCCCATGCGGGATCTCATTTTATCCACACCACCACTTGGTGAGGTACATATTGTTATTATCCTTGCAGTACTACTGATGAGGAAATTAAGACTCTGAGAAGTCAACAACTCATCCGAGGTCAAACAGCAAATGAGGGGTGGAGCTGGGATTCAATCTCAGGTCTTCAGGGCCACAGGTCCTGTCCTAAAGCACTACATCAGAGACCGCAAGCTGGCAGCCACAGAAGGATTTCAACTGCAGGAATGTTTTATTTGGCCCATTTAGGATTGAAATGAAAATTCTAATCAGTCACCAACAATTGAAAATTAGAAGAGCTAGTCAGGCGCAGTGGCTCACGCCTGTAATCCCAGCACCATGGGAGGCCAAGGTGGGTGGATCACTTGAGGTCAGGAGTTTGAGGCCAGCCCAGCCAGCATGGCTGAAACCCCGTCTCTACTAAAAATACAAAAATTGGCCGGGCGCGGTGGCTCACGCCTGTAATCCCAGCACTTTGGGCAGCAGAGATGGGCGGATCACGAGGTCAGGAGATCGAGACCATCCTGGCTAACATGGTGAAACCTCGACTCTACTAAAAATACAAAAAATTAGCTGGGCGTGGTGGCAGGCACCTGTAGTCCCAGCTACTCGGGGGCTGAGGCAGGAGAATGGCGTGAATCTGGGAGGTGGAGCTTGCAGTGAGCCGAGATTGCGCCACTGCACTCCAGCCTGGGTGATAGAGCGAGACTCAGTCTCAAATAAATAAATAAATAAATAAATAAATAAATAAATAAATAAAAATACAAAAATTAGCAGGGCATGGTGGCCTGTGCCTGTAATCCCAGCTACTTGGGAAGCTGAAGAAACGGTTGCACCTGGGAGGTGGAGGTTGCAGTGAGTTGAGACTGTGCCACTTCACTCCAGCCCGGGCAATAGAGCAAGACAACTTCATCTCAAAAAAAAAAAAAAAAAAAAAAGTTAGAAGAGCTTACATAAAATGCAAATTGCCTGACTTTTAAAAATATTGAATAACTGGAAAATGATAGACTGTTCAATAAATGGCACTGGGACCACAGGTGTCCACAGGGAGATGAATGAATTAAACTCTCAACCTCATGCCAGACACAGAAACAAACTCAAAATGGATGAAATACACAAGAATGGAAACAACTTCGAATCTGTCAGAGGAAAATGTAGTGGAGGTCTTTATGTTCCTAGAGTAGCAAAGAATTTTTAAAACAAGAAACAGGAAGCAAAGATCATAAAAAAGATTGGGCTATCTAGCTAAATCCATACTGAAAACTTCTATGTCATAAAAGGTACCATAAACAAAGGTAAAGACGAAGAAAAGACATAATGAAGACATTTTCAATTCCTAAAACCAAAGATTTAAAAAGATATACAACCTACCTTGTCACCAGAGAAATGAGAAATAAAATCACAAGAAGATATCAATTCACACCCAGCATGTTGACAAAACAAAAAATTCTGACAATAACCGGCAAGGTTATCACAATTAAAGACTCCCAGATGTTATTAAAGAGAATATAAATTGGTATATTGGCCATTTTAGGAAGTAATTTGACCCACTGAGAAAGGCTGAAAGGTGTGTAGAAGTCAGGAAGTGGTTATATCCTGGGAAGTGGCAGGTCACCATCCAGGCTGCATTTCCATGCTGTTGTGCCCACCCACCTGTCCCTGCTGACAGGAATCTCGGTAGCCTCTTATGTGTATGCACACATATGTACACATGCATGTGCACGTACCACCACCCCACGAAGGGATACTATTATCATCCTCATTCACACATGGGGAAACTGAGGCACCAAGAGGGTAAGCAAATCCCCCAGGCTCATGCTGCAACCAAGTAGGAGAATTCACTGAACCCAGCCAGTCTGGCTGCAGATCCCCTGTAACCGCAGCAAAGGTAGAGAGGACTCTGCCCCCAGGGAATGTACAGCAAGCCTGGGAGACAGACTCACAGTCAGGCCCGTGCATAACGCATTCCAGGGAAGACAGGAGAAGCCTGCCAACTACGATTCAAAGTCCAGGGAGTTTCCTTTTAAAACACAAACTAACAAGGCTCACGTACAGATGTCTTTAACCCTTGAGACTGCAAAAGCTAATATGCATGTGTGTATTTCTTGCAAGAAGCTTTATAGCTTTCATCTAATTTCCAAAGGGATCCATAACCTCAGAAAGGTTAAAAACACTAAACACAGGAATCCCAGAATGTAATCAAAGACATTCCCTAGGAAAAAAAAAACCCTCTCTGATGAGCCAAGTCAGACCAAAAGATCCTGGGAAAATTATCCTCCAGCCCTTAGGGGTTACCCAAGCATTCCTCAGAAGGTGATAACCAAAAATGCTTTGTAGAATGTGCTTTTCGTTGCCAGATCTCAACTAACCGACACATAGAAAACATGAGGAAAGGTCTCACATTATTCACCAACAATGTCACTTGTAAAAGAGCAGCCAAATTGACTCTTTATTATGCCTGGGGCGGGGGTGGGGTGGAGTGGAGTGGGAATCAGCCAAGGTAATGCATAGGGTGACGCGTACCTTTTTGTCAATCAGGTGCACGCATTTAATTTAGAAAGCACCCTGAGTTAAGCATCCAATTTAAATTAGCCTGTAATTGTAAATAATATAAAAAAAGAAGAAAAACAGCTGAGGGATATGCACATATCCGTAGTTTAACATATATATGATTTACAAAGGTATAATCTTGAGTGTGTATATATAAAATACAAATTTTATATATACCACTCTATTCTGTTTGGACAAGGCCAATACCTGTTCCCTGGTCCCAACTGCAGGGCCTTTATTGTATCTTGGTATGTTTAACTGAATTGAACATGAATTGAACATCCATGGAGATGGACTTGGCACAGCAGAGTATATGCTTACAAATGTAACAAGCTCTCTCTGTTTTCTGAAAATTAGTATTTCTAAAAACTGGATTTGTTTTGGGTTGATAAGAGGAAAAACATGATATAAAAGCCATTTGTTGATGGTGTTCTCCATTTGATGGATACTGACAAATCACCATGATTGCTCAGAAAATCGATGTCAACATCCACTCTGTCAGGGTCTAAGACCAAAGAAGCATTTACGGCTTCCTCCCCGTCCACAGCACACACACCACACACACCCCGGGAACATCCCATGCCAGTGCCCGTCAGCATGGGAACAGAAAAGAGCTGTGTTATTTTCCTAAATCACTCTCTCTCGGTCTAACATAAACAACTCACCAAACAAAACTTGAAGACAAGGCAGGAGAATCATTTTAAAATGGGATCCAAGACCTGAGACGCAAAGCAAAAGCCTGCCTAGATCCTTCTATTCATCCTATCCCTTCCAAGGCTGATCCATGCCAACATAACCTTTGAGTATCAAACATCAGAAGGTCTGTGTGCCTCAGCCCTGTCAAGGGGCAGGTTTCTCCTTTGCCCTCTCCTGCACCTGGGAGCACACGCACTACCAGTAGAGAAGGGCCATCTGGCCCCGTCCCAGCCGGGACCCCTGAGGGTCAGATAGAGGTGCTGAGCCCCTATGTCAAAGTTATTAAATGTTTTTGTTTTGTTCCATGGTAGCTCTTTTTTTCTCCTTTCTGATGAATTTACAAAAGAAAGCAAGCTGCTGAGAAGGCCCTGAAAGTGAGGAGGGGCAAGAAAGATGACTAGTTACGGAGAGTGAGGGTTGTTTTTGTTTTTTGTTTGTTTGTTTTGCCAAAAAAGCCTGGATAGAGTTATCTCAGTTATCTGGCGCCCTCCTGAATGGAACCCCGGAGTAGCTCCCATGTGGAAGAGTCCCTGGATTTTCCCCAACCCCACCGTCTCCCCCTTCAGCCATGTCGACAGGGAAGATAGGAACTTAGAACCCATTTCTCACTGGAGAGGAAAACTTGTCATCTGGCTTTGTGAAGAAGGTTCTACCTTATGCTCATCGCACATTATCTTTGCTATGTGCTAAGATATCATATTTAAAAGGCCAAAAAAAGGGACAAAAGAAATGTAAAATACTTGAATGAGCTTGTATTATAACATTAATATTATTGGGAGTATCTGCTTTCCAGGCTGAAGTGATTCATTCATTATTCTAGTCTTGCTGTAGTCCTTTGTAATTTGTAGTAATTATGTAATTGTGGTAATTATGTTTTTTTAATTAAAAAAGTATAATAATAAAAAACTTGAAAAGGCAAAATAAATTTTTTAAAGGAATAAAATGGGATCCATCCTTCAAGACTATCTTCTGGAGGAGCATGGGATTGCATACGCACTTTTATTGGCCACTTCTTAATGGTACTGCTGACCTGGCCATGCTCTATTCTTCCGGGCACTGGAAATCACAGAATGTTCTAGGTTCACTTGCTCGGCCCACCATCCACGCAGGAGGCTGAAATCATTTCTTAATGGTATCTGTATTAGTTCCTTAGCTAGTCATCCCAATTCCAAATACGCACAAGCGACACGGCACACTTCCTGAGACGGTCCTCGATTATCACTATGAGCACAACGACACCATGAAAGAGTAAAGCTTTGCTGTTGCACTGTCCCGTGACAAGTTCATTACTGCCCTGCAGAGACAACTCTCTTTTAGGAGGAAACAACTGCCCATTCTGCTCTATTGTCCCATAGATCTTTTACACCTCCATTTGGTATCATGAAATAAAGACTAATTCCAACCCTCTCAATACAGAATCTCCCATCCAAAAACATAACAACCCAAGAATGTGGACTGCTGTTTCCTGACCCCTGCACTGTGCCTGGCAGGTTCCGGCTACAGCCAGAGGCAGCCCTCATGCCTGCGTTTGGAACGCAGTAGCAATACTAAATCAGACAGACTGGCGAGGCCAGCAATTAAACCAGAAGTTGGTGAAGCAAACTTCCCAAAGTGAAGCAAGATGTTGATGTGGAAGATCAGCTGCTTGTGAGATGAGCTGACGATTTTCCTGGACTCTTTGTTAGATTTCATGTCTGGATCTCGTCTGGAACATCTACCAGATGGATTAGGGCCCGAATGTCTGGCGTTCTTCTGATAGCTCCAGCCTTGTAACTGTCCCATTGTCATGGCAGAAGGAACCTCACTGCTAGCCTTGATTTCAGTATGACCGATTCTCCTTCATTATCTGAGCTTGTGCACTATAGACAACTCCACGTGGAGTCTTTGCATGGCCAACAGAGAAGTTGACAGCCCCTAAGATACCTGCCCTGGTCACTGCTGCCCTTGGGTAACAAGTTGGCCTTCTGGCTGATAGTCAGGGAAGTCTAGGGCTGGCCTGGCCTAAGTGACTCAGTCAGCAGACCCTGGAGTGCCCTTCTTGGTCCCTCCCCAGGTGTAAGGATGATGCACAAGGCCCCTGGGCTGCTCTGTAGGTAAGGGCAAATGGGCCTCTGCAAAGGGAGCTGCTAGTGTATTTCCCTTCTCCCGCTCGAAGACACAAGTATCAAAACATCCTGCTGCTGGCAGGATGGCCAGCGACCTCCAAGACACCATTTGCCTGAGGATGAATAACTCAAACTCAGAGTTTAGGTGTCGCTGACTCTCCCCAGGAGAACCAAGACTGTGCTTACAAGAGCAGAGCTGACTCGGGAGTCCCTGTTCCTAACATATCCTCAGCTCCCTTGGCCATTCTTGGGAATGTAAGCCACAGGGAGATTTCTCTTTGTGCCAGCAGAGTCTGAGCGGGGTGAGAAGGGCAGGCTCTGGACTGGGGTCTGCATTTGAGTCTCCCTCTGCCACTTCCCACCTGGGTGACTATGGCAATTGTTTCATCTCCCCAAGCCTTGTGCCCCCTTTTGTAAGATGAGATGAACACCTACCTCGTGGAATTGAGGATTAAATGAATAATGAGAGAAGAAGCAATGTTCAGAGTAAACCCTGAACAAATATTATCTAACACTGCAATTAGTTTGACCAAGTCCAAATTTTTTCTTAAAGTTTAACAGAAAGTATTTCTCAAGCCAAAACTCTGTGCCAAAAGGCACAGGACAATTTCACAATGATCGGCAGTTTAGTTGCCAGCGTAGAGGCTGTGAACCTCTAAATGCTTTTATCAACATGACATTTGGAAAGCTGAAGAACAGCAAAGAGCTGGGGACTGGGAAAACACCACCTTCACCGGCATCAGAGGCCACTCTCTTTATCTGCGCTGGGGGCCAGGACAAGGTTGGCCACGACAAGATACCAGCGTATTACAACGTCTGGAACCGCACTGTGCCTCCTTACCTTTGCTCTCCTTGCCTGACCTGGATTTTGCGCTGACTGCCTTTAAAGACAAGCTCACGGAACCCTTTTTCCCGATGCTGACACCTATCCTGACACAGTCTGCTGTCTACCAAGCTACCGGGATGCTTTATCCAGAGGCCTATGGCGCCCACCTTGGTTAGGTCCTGACGTTCCAGGCCCACCTAACAATTCACCCCTGCTCATCAAGGGGAAAGAGAACTCTTCACAAAACTTTTTCAGATTTTGAGATAGGTGAATTCATAATAATTAAGTAACAATATTTTACTAAGATTAGATTCGAAACACACATTGAATGCACTTCTTGGAAACATCACATGTTCTTCTGTTTTGTGAGGTCAGGGTGCCTTCCTGCTCTAGACTTCCCATGTATTTAATCAAACACAAGTCTAAAAATAATAAAATTAGTTTCCTGAAGCTGAAAATGCTGTTTTGAAGAGGAAGAGTTGATATTAAATTTATAACTAGACAACAGGGACATGAGACATGGGTTTGTGTTTCAGCAACATCTTTCTGATAGGAAAAATAAACAGGAGACTTCATGTTCCACAATATAAAATACCTGTGTTTCCCACCAAAATGTCATCTCGGACAAGGCAGGCAAGGAACAGTCTTTTCAATTAGTGGTACTAGGACAACTGGATATCCATATGCAAGAAAATGAATTTAGACCCCTACTTCGCATCATACACAAAAATTAACTCAGAGGGGATCACAGACCTAAACGTAAGACTGAAAATATAAAACTCTTAGAAGCAGTTTGGGAGGACAAGGCAGGCGGACCACCTGAGGTCCAGGAGTTCAAGACCAGCCTGGCCAACACGGGAAAACCCTGTCTCTACTAAAAATACAAAAAATTAGGTGGGCGTGGTGGTGGGTGCCTATATTCCCAGCTACTCGGGAGGCTGAGGCAGGAGAATCGCTTGAATCCGGGAGGCGGAGGCTGCAGTGAGCCGAGATCATGCCATTGCACTCCAGCCTGGGGCGTCAGAGCAAGACTCTTCTCAAAAACAAACAAAACAAAAAAGTAAATATTTGTGATCCTGGGTTAGGCAATGATTTCATAGGTATGATACCAAAAGTACAAGTGATAAAAAATGACTACATCAAAGTTGAAATTTTTTATGCTTCGGAAGATACCATCAAGAAAGTGAAAAGGTTCCCACAGTGGGAAATGATATTTGCCAATCATCTATCTGGTAAGTGACTTTTACCCAGAATACATGAAGAATCCTTACAAGTCTGTACACCATATATTTCAAAACAGCTAAAAGAGGAAGGAAAAAAGGAATGACTGAATGATTGACTGATTAACAGGGTCTCACTGTGAAGTGCTGGACTGCAGTGCTACAATCAGTGCTCACTGCCGCCTTGACCTCCCGGGCTCAGGGCATCCTCCCACCTCAGCCTCCCAAGTGGCTGGGACTACAGGTGCACACCACCATGCCCAGCTAATTTTCTGTAGATACAGGGTTTCACCATGTTGCCCAGGCTAGTCTCAAACTCCTGGGCTCAAGTGATCTGCCCACCTCAGCCTCCCAAAGGGCTGGGACTGCAGGCGTGAGCCACTGCACTCGGCCAAACAGACGATTTTAAATTTTCTCACCACAAGGAAATTATAAATATTTGAGATGACAGATATGCTAACTAGCCTGATTTGATCATTCCACAATGTAACATGTACTGAAACATACTGCACCCCATAAATACATACAATTATGGTTTGTCATTTAAAAATAAAATTCTTGGGAAGAATCCAACACCACCTCTCAGCAAAAAAAATTATTCCAACTCAATAAAAACCAAACACAATTTTTGAATGGGCAAATGATCTAAATAGACATTTTTCCAAAGCAGAAATATGTGTGGTCAATAAGCATGGGAAAATATGTTCAACATCAGCCATTAGAGAAAGGCAAATCAAAACCACAATAAGATACTACTTCACACCCACCAGAATGACTATAATCAAAAAGATGGGTGTTGGCAAGAATGCAGAGAAAACAGAATCTTCCTACACTGCTGACAGGAATGTAAAACGGTGTAGACACTCCCCATAGGAAAAGCGTTTGGCAGTGTCTCAAAATATTCAACCTAGAATTACCATCTGATTCAAGCAATTCCATTCCTAGTCACATATACGAAAGAACTGAAAACGTGTCCCCATAAAAACTCAAACATGAATATTTATGGAAACATTGTTCACAATATCAAAAAAATGGGAAGAACTCAAATACGCATCACTGAAAGATAAGCAAGTAAACACGCACACGTCCACCTGAACACGCAAACGTCCACCTGAACACGCACACGTCCACCTGAACATGCACACGTCCATCTACACATGCATATGTACCTCTAAACATGTATATGCAATGGAATATGATTTAACAAAAGGAGTGAAGTTCTGACACATGCTAGAACAAGTATGATGTTCTGATACAGGTTAAAGCGTAGATGACCCCTGAAAACATTATGCCAAAAATGAAAAGAGCCAGGCACAAAAGGCCACATATTGTATGATTCTGTTTAGATGAAATGTCCAGAACAGGCAAATCCATGGCAGCTTAGTGGGTGACTAGTGCTTGGGGACAAGAGTGTTGACAGGAAATGTGGAATGACTTCTAACGAGTACAGGGTTTATTTCTGGGGTGATAAAAATGTTCCTAAATCAAATTATGGTGATGGCTGTGTAATTCTATAAATATACTAAAAACCACTTTAGTACATAGCTTAGGTAAACTTTATGGTATGCAAATTGTACTTCAAAAAAGCAGTTTTAAAGATGTCATCCAGCATGCAAGGTCAAAATTTTCCTAAAAGCAATGTTTTTTCCTACTTATAAGAGTATAACATGGTAGATATTCTCAAGAACACTGAAGAACTTAAAACAGGAAAATCGCCACCACTCATAACCCCATCCCTATATAATCAGAGAGCGTTATCGTCCTCAGATAGGGCTTCTTCTATCTCAAACCCAGTGTTTGATCCCAGTTCGAGGCAAACTGCCTCCTAACGCATCCAGAGACCCTGGAATTTCACCTTCTAGTTGGCTCACTCAAAGTCTTCACATGGACAAGGAGAATCTATGGCAACTTCAAGGAGAAAGCACAACAGCAGGAAAGAATAATTCTGACTGTTCTGGGTAAAAGTAAAAGGCCCCTTCATCTGACCTGGGAATGCTAGAAACCTGGAAGCATTCAGAAGTCCCACATGCTCCCTTCATGCAAAAAGATACAAACCATTCATCCCTCTAGTTCCTTTTCTTCCTTTAATCCTTTCTACTTTCCACTGAGCATTCTTTATAACAAGTTTTAAAATAATATGTGCCAAAAACCGCAATAAGCACTTTACATCTGTTACCCCACAACAATTTTATGAGGCGGGTACAATTTTATTATTCCCATTTTGCAGAGAAGGAAAATGAGACCTCACATCCTAGGCTCATGTCTATTCCTAATGCATCGCCATGGTACCTTCTGATGCATGAAGTCTCATCACCAATCCATCCACTCATTTATTTATTGAACAAGGAGCATGAACCTGAAAGTCTGGCCTTAGACACTCCTCATAATGGACAGCAGACATGTCGATGTCAGGCGTCCCTACCAGCACACTCCCCAGCAAGGGTCAGACTAACCCTCGAAAAGTGGGAAACATTCAGTAGCCCGAGATGTCACCAGCGCCTCCTGTGTCTTTTTTGTTGAACTGAAATAAATCCATCCTAAGTGGGGTGGCAGCGGAAGCATATGCTTTTCTTGTCTTTGCCACCTTTCTTCTTTCCCCCGAACGCTTCACTGTGAAAATATTCAAACACAGAAAAGTAGAAATAACAGTAACATGATCAGCTCTAGTCCCTCCACTTAGATGTAACAACTGATAATATTTTCTCCCATCTGCTCTACCTCGCTATTTTTGTATTAGGATATAATTCACACACCATTAAGTTCACCCCTTTGAAGTATATGCTTCAGTGGTTTTAGTACTTTCTCAAAGTTGTGCAGCCATCATCATGACATAATTCGAGAAGATTTTCATCACTCTTATAGCTAGGGTGATGAAAGATGTGAGATCACAGCCCACTTCCTCCTCCCCGAGCCCCTGGCACCCACTAATCTACTTTGTCTCTGTGCACTCGCCTCTTCTGGACACTTCACCTAATGGAATCACACGATATGCGGCCTTTTGTGACTGGCTTCTTTCATTTAGCATAACGTTGTCAAGGGTCATCCATGTCACAGCATGTAATGTTAGTACTTCTTATTGCCAAATAACATTCCATTGCATGGATATTCCACAACTGAGGCATCCATTCATCAACTGATGGACACTTGGGTAGTTTCTACATTGGGACTATGACGGATAATGCGACTGTGATTATTCACGTACAAGTTTCTGCACGGACCTATGTTTCCAATTCTCTTGGGTACCTACCTAGGAGTGAAACAGCTGCCTATACAATAACTCTATGTTTAATTTCTTGAGGAACTGGGAACATGCTTCCTGATTTCCAATTTAATACCACCAGTTTGACGGGCAAACGCTTATGTGTTTTTTTTTTAAACAGTGACACCTACAAGATGCTCACAAATCTTCTCAATTAAATAACACAATTAGCCTCTTGAAATACACAAAAATATGCTGGAAATGTTTAATGCCCACTAAAGCTACGCCAATAAACTTCACTTTTTTTTTTTTTAACAGTGACAGAATTTGTCTCACTGCCTGTAGACTCTTGAGTCCCGCATAGCATATGTGTGTGTGTTTTAAGGAGAGAAAAAATTTTGCTACAGTAGTGGACAGCTCATACACTCATATAAGGTGGTAATCTGCACTATTTGTACAAACTATATGTGAATAAAGTTGTTCTGAATGGTCAGCCGTTGGGAAATTTTATGCTATAATACCTATTGTTCTTTTGGAGTAACAAACTCTGCCCTGAGATAACGGAAGTTCTAATATACTTCCACCTCCCTTTAATTACAATACATGAGTCTTCCCTTGCTCTAAAATCAGCCATACGCCAAGTCAGTCATGACCACTTGCTGAAGCCTTGGCACGTGTGCAAACTCCCACGTCATTCTCATGGGTCTCAAGTTCTTCCCGAAGGCTGTTTCTGTAAATGGATGAAGAGTGCCTCTGGGACAGGTTTGCCGGGTGGTCTGAGAGCTGGTGTGAAATTATCCAGAATTCCATTTACTTCCAAGAACTTCTGCTCCTCTTAACAGGGCCTGAAATAAGGCTGCTTGTTGACTTCTGCCTGTGCTCGGGGTTGGCCCGGCCTTGCACACTCCTTCTGCTCTCGGGCTGACACCTCTGCCGGAGGCCGCCTGGGGTCTCTGAGAAGCTGTGCAGGCATCACCTGAGGGCCTCGAGGCCATCATCACACAGAGGCACACAGTCTGTGACCCAGTCAACCAGGTGGATTTGTGCAAACCATTTTATTAAACGAAGTCACGCCTTAGCCTTAAGAGTGCTTTCATGGCAGTCTGATCTCACCACTGCAGGAGCGGGATCAGCTGCAACCCAGCAATTTGCAACGTGACTATTTCCTTGTAGCTACGGAAGACTCATCCACACAGAACAAGGTGGACTGTGGTACAGACACCAAAATAGATCCCAGAAAGGAAGCAGAGTGCCAGGTAAGCACCGAGGAGGTGCCGCTTCATGCAGACAGTTCTCTGCCTTAAGTCCTGGCATCCGGCTGTGGATGGCTCTTAATACCATGCTGGCGGGCAGACCAGATGCTCCTGCCAGCCCACGTAGATGAAAGGGGCCACAGCACGTCTGAACAGAAAGACATGATTCAAATAAGCGTGGCTTTGTTCTGCCGCATCTTCTGAAAACCCGGGCAGCCCTGCCTGGAATGAGGCAGATCTGACTGGCTCAGTGCTGCACTGGGAGAACACAGAACCTGGGCAACATGTGCACCTGGGTGGCCTCCGTGTCCCCCCTGAACCAAGCACACAGCTTGGGGCCAGGTCCTCTGGCCCAGTCCATCCTAGGACACAAACATCTACCATCCAACATCCCTGGAGGGCTGGACTTCTCCACCGGAAAAGTCTGGAAATATTGGGGGCAGGAGTTGTTACACGACTGAGGGGTCATGCCTGGACAGAGGCCAAAATGGCCAACGCTCTGCAGTATGGCAGACACTCCTGCACAACAAGAAACTGTTCCGCCCATGATGCCAACGTGGCTGCCATTAAGAAATGGCCTTTTCAGAGTAAGAGTGACCAACTCGAATGCTACGGACCAGGCAGGAAGCCTAAGGGGGAGGCAGGCACCCTTCCAATGGTCTTTTGAATTGTGTTCTTCTAACATGGACACACTTTGCTGGCATTCAAATCACAAAGGGGTGTTTCCTGGGATTTAATTCTACGAAGAAAGCTAGGCTTTCACATTTCTTCCCTTGAAACACTCAGCGCTCTCACCCTATTTTCCATTTTCCCACTTTTGATAAAGATGCGGGTGCAGGAACATTTCAGTTTTCTCTTACTGCACCACAAGGAAAGTCACAGCACAATGTGAGGACGAGAGGCACCTGTCACTTAGCATCAGGGGAGGGAGACAAAAGGACATGGTGGGGACTAAGGCAAACTGGAAACTGTCTAAAGGGGACAGCCACGCCTTAGCTCCAGCTCACTGCTGCCACGTGGGGATGTGCGCCTGGAGGTGCCAGATTTTTCCAAAGCCACCAAAGAGTCAGTTGTTTCCTTTCTTAGGAAAAAGCACTGACTCTTTTTTTTCAGTATTAGAAGACTAATAAGAAAATATTAAACAAAACATGTTTGAGACCAGATGCAGCCTGAGTAACTAGTTTGCTACTTCTGCATGAAGTATATAACCATGTTTCAAAGTGCTCTCTCTCTCTATACTGGCCCTGAGCTCATCTCACGGGGGCAGAAGCTGGATATTGCCTTCCCAGGAAGCCAGGAGCAGGGCAAAGAAGGCAGGGACTCACTCTGAGAAGAGGAGATGAATGAGAATCACAGTGACTCTTGTCCTGGTGGCCCACATATGTGCGTGTATTAGGGTTTTCTTAGAGAGATAGAACTTCACACACACACACCCACAGACACACACACATATATGTGTATATATACATGTATATATGTATATACATATAGTGTATATATACACATGTATGTGTATATATATATACACACACACATATATATATCCTGGGTGTGTCTGTGTGGGTGTATATATATGTGTGTGTGTGTATATATGTGTGTATATATATGGAGTTTATTAAGTATTAACTTATACATTCACAAGGTCCCCCAATAGGCTGTCTGCAAGCTGAGGAGCAAGGAGAAGCAGTCCGAGTCCCGAAGCTGAAGAACTTGGAGTCCAGTGTTCAATGGCAGGAAGCATCCAGCATGGGAGAAAGACGTAGGCTGGGAGGCTTGGCCCATCTCTCCTTTTCACGTTTTTCTTATTGCTTTATATTCACTGGAAGCTGATTAGATTGTGCCCACCAGATTAAGGGTGGATCTGCCTTCCCCAGCCCCCTGACCCAAATGTTAATCTCTTTTGCCAACACCCACACAGACACACCCAGGATTAATATTCTGTATCCTTCAATCCAGTCAAGTTGACACTCGGTATTAACCATCATGGTGGGGATGTCCACACTGCCCACCGCCTTTGGAGTGTACTTGGCGATTACAGAGCAGAGACAGAGCAAATGCAATTGTCTAAGTGCAGTGAGTACAGGAGGGTGGGGGGTACAGATATACCAGGGAGGGAGAGGGAACAGGATGGGGAGGCTTTGGTGGGCGGTAACTTCCTCCTTTGCAGCCAGCCATTTGTGATTTTTGCAGCAGATGTTTACAAGGGTAAAAGAATTGAGATACAGACAAGGTTACTACATCATAAATTACTCAGTCATCACAAGATTTCAAAGAGAAAACAAAAAAACCTCAAAAGGGATTTGGTTTGAGAGTGAAAACGCTTGCCATTGTGCAGAGGCAAAATATTCTCCTTTATTATAAGGTCCTCGTTCTTCACCCCCAGTGCAAAGGCGAGGAAAGGTCACTGCTTCCCCAGTACTCTCTCTGATCTGCTGTAACCTTCTCCTAGGATTACATCTCCCAAGCAGCCTTACAGAGACACAGAACACTCTTTGTCCTGCACTGACCGCACCAGGCATTGACATTCTAGGAAAGGGGAATCCCTCCACTTCCAGAGAGAGCCTCCGGGGCCAACCCCAAGGCTCTCAACAGTCCTACTCTTTGTCAAAACAGGGCCACCCACAGGTTTTAAGGGTAGAAGCAGCAAAGGAAGCTGCGAAGCTTGTCAGGCAACTTCAAGAACCCCACAGACTTAACCACCTGCATTCCATCTGGACCCATGAGCACCCAGAAGTAATGAGCCCCTGGATGTGTCATGGATCCACGAGGCTGCCTTGCTCATCACTGCCTTGCTAGAACCAAGTCCTCCCTGTTACTCACCACCAATTTCACGGCCATGGGGAACCTGCCTTTGTAGGCTGAATTCCACAAGAAATATACTTTCCTCCAGTTGCAGCAAAACATGCAGCTGCTATTGCTCCAAGATTGGAAACATACTTAACCATCTTGGTAAAAGCCTTCTGAGGAACATAGCAAAGATTTTATAAAAGGGCTAAAAGATCCTTTTTAATTCTTTTTTTAAGAGTTGGGGAAGAACATACAAATCATTCCTCTGTCATGTCAAAAATGTATATGGTTTCGTTAAAATAACTGAGTGCCAGCACATGGCTCAAACTAGGACCCAAGAGGGGACAAAGGGGACTTGGGGGAGCTTCCCCGATGGTTCAGAAAGAAACCCCAGCAGCAGCCATTCATGCAGTCCTTAAGCAGTCACGGCCTCTGTGCCCATTCATGCAGTCCTTACAGCAGTCACGGTCTCTGTGCCATTCAGTCCTTACAGCAGTCACGGCCTCTGTGCCATGCAGTCCTTATAGCAGTCACGGTCTCTGTGCCATTCAGTCCTCACAGCAGTCACGGTCTCTGTGCCATTCAGTCCTTACAGCAGTCACGGTCTCTGTGCCATTCAGTCCTTACAGCAGTCACGGTCTCTGTGCCCATTCAGTCCTTACAGCAGTCACGGTCTCTGTGCCCATTCAGTCCTTAGAGCAGTCATGGTCTCTGTGCCATTCAGTCCTTATAGCAGTCATAGCCTCTGTCCCATTCTGTCCTTACAGCAGTCACGGCCTCTGTGCCCACTCTGTCCTTACAGCAGTCACGGTCTCTGTGCCATTCAGTCCTTACAGCAGTCACGGCCTCTGCGCCATTCAGTCCTTACAGCAGTCACGGTCTCTGTGCCATTCAGTCCTTACAGCAGTCACGGTCTCTGTGCCATTCAGTCCTTATAGCAGTCATAGCCTCTGTGCCATTCAGTCCTTATAGCAGTCATAGCCTCTGTGCCATTCAGTCCTTATAGCAGTCACAGCCTCTGTGCCCATTCAGTCCTTACAGCAGTCACGGTCTCTGTGCCCATTCAGTCCTTACAGCAGTCACGGTCTCTGTGCCATTCAGTCCTTACAGCAGTCACGGCCTCTGTGCCCATTCAGTCCTTACAGCAGTCATGGCCTCTGTGCCATTCCGTCCTCAGAGCAGTCATGGTCTGTGTTCTGGGTGCTGCTCCAGGGTGATGTCAGCCCAGCCAGAGAGGTTCCAAGACAGTGGAGGATCTGGGTCCTTGGAGTTCCCAGGGAGGCCACAGACTACCCAGCAGTCATGACATGAGTTACGCCTCCAAAGATAAGCAGGAGTCAGCCGGGGGAAAAGGAGGCTTGGCCCTTCAGGCCTGAAACCCCAAATGTCCAGGCACATAATCAGATGTGGTTTTGAGGGACCATAATACAATCAGAAGCACAACTGTATACCATCCACATCCAGACCACGAAGTGAAGAGAGGCTTTTCCGTGAAACTGAACTCGTGATATGGACACATGCAGAGGCCAAGACTAGACACCGAGTGGAAATGGGATTCTGGAGAAATCCTGTAACTCTCTCACTGCATTTGCAGATCTGGGCTTGATATGCCTGGAAAGGAGAGTGCAGGGGCTTTCAGCAAACATGGGTGGAGATGGACCATAAAAGACCTCAGAGGATGATCTCGGTTGGCATTTTACCTTGTGGATGCAGAGAAACCAATGGTGAGTTTTATACATGGGAGTGATGGGATTAAATTTAAACAGAAAATAAGTGAGAATTCATTGGTTGGTTTGATCTAATACAGTATCTGGTACACAGTTGGTAACAACAGCTATTAGGTTGAGTCCTACACAATTGCTAATAATCAACTGTTCTGATCTAGAAAAATGACAATTTCATGTGAGTCAGCCTAATATTTGTGATTTGATGCAATTAAGTGACAAATATATGACGTCCATCATTTCAAAAGAGACTAAAATAAAGATCCTGGGCAGAATAAGAAAAGCAGTAGCTGTTCCCACCTGGGCCTCTCCTGGCTCTCCTCCCTCCCACCATGATGAAACCCTACCCACAGCCTCAGGCCCCACCTCTGAGCACTGATGAACCCCGAGTGCCCCCTCAGCCAGATCTCGCTGTTCAAATCCAGATCTGTGTTTCAACCATCTCCTGAACACTTCCACCTGGATTTCTCACAGGCTAAAGTCAAACCTCTGACTCAGGCCCAGCTCCAAATCAAAGTGGGTTCACCTCAACCCAAATAACCACTGTCTGTTCTGCTGGGAGCAAAACTGAGATCCTCTGTCTTTCCCACCCACATCAGAAATCCTCACTACCCCCTCCAATCCTCCCCATTCCACCTCCAATTCATTACTAAGTCATGTCAATATGGAGATCTCAGATCCACCCACTTTTCTTTATCTCCCCTAAATGACTGTACACTTGGCCGCAAGTAATAGAAAACAATGGTTTAATCAGAGACGAGACACCATTGCTCAACACAGAAGTCTGGAGAGGCAGGCGGCCCTGGATTGATCAGGCAGCCCAGTGATGGCACATCGCTGGATGGACAGATCTGTGGTCCTCCTGGCCTTTCCCTCATGGTCCCAAGACAGCTGCAGAAGCCCTAAGCACTGTCCTCACACAGTAGCTTCCCAGGGTGGAAAACCTTTCTCTGAGGCTGCCAGCAGGCCTTTGCTTAGATTTCCCTGGGCTACGTGGGATTGCACAGCCACTGCTGCAAGGGAGACCAGGTAAGTGATTATCCAGGAAAAGGAATGGACTGTCGTGACCGGCTTCATCACCTGAGGGTGGGCACACAGCCCAGCAATGTATAAGAGAGGGGCATGGCTGCTAAGTCCACAACTAGCAATACCTTCCAAACCCACTGTTATCTTAGAGCAACGGCTTTCATTCCTGACCTTGCTCCCACTGCAGTAAACATGGCCACGTCATCTGCCCATAGCTCTTTGATGATGAATCCCGACACTCAGATAAAATCCACGACGCTTTGTGGAGCCCTCAAGGCCCTGCAGATACAGCCCTGCCTTATTTCTCACTACTGGGCCTCCTTCATGTTCCTCAAATGCTCCAAACTCTTTCTTGCTTCAAGGCTTTCAGAAGGGGCCATCTCCTCACCTACACGCTCTTTCCCGAAATCTTTACATGGCTGACTCCTTCTCACAGTTCGGATCCTAGCCTTGATGTTACCATCTCCGAAAGGCCTCAGAACAGTCTACTTTGACACCATCCAGCGCGTGACCTCTGCATTCAAGAAACCTGGCCCAGTTTATCATCATATCTATTTGTATGACAAGTTCTTTTATGCCTGTCACTCTGATTAGACTGTAAGTGTTCTGAAGGCAGGAATCTCATCTGCTTTGCACATCACTATAATACTGGTACCATACGCAAAGCCTGACAGGTACAGAGGCTCATGAACACTGCTGAATTCATTATTGATCAATTAGTGCATTAATGAACTAACTGAAAGAGGGACTGGACCGAGGAGAAAAGGAAAACTCGAGGGTGAGAGTGAGCAGGTACATTTAGGGCAGGATGAGGACACAGACCCAGCCCAAGTGGACATGTGAGAGACCACGAGAGAGCGCTGAACAGACACAGGCAGGTGAGGGCATGAAACGTCAAATGCCACACTTGGCATGCTCTTGGAGAACTCCTATTCTCTACCCCTCGTGTTTCCATGCAGAGTGAGGTCTGCCACAGCAATGCTCTGCCTGGCAAGGGCAGGTGACTTGTCTGTCCAATGGTCTGGGGGAAGGAGCTGGCCTGCTCACTAGCCCCCCAACCCCAGCTCTCCCTGCCTACCTGTGGGAGGATGGGGCCCTGTGGTGGGCTCACCACCCACAGTGTCACCTGCCTCTACGAGGGGGCCATTGCCCTGCGGTCCTGTCTGTGACAGTTGCAGAAGAGAAGTTGGATAGTGCTTCCGTTAAATTTCAGGGAGCAAATTGGATCATTCTAAGGTGAAACATTCAGTGACATTTGGGCCCCCTTCTCCAATCAGCTTCCTTGGTAGTAATGCTCACAGACACTGTGACTACCACTGGTTCCAAGCCTGGGAGGGGAAGATGGTTCTTATGGAGTATCCCTGAAGACCCCAACAGAGTAGCTCACCACTGACACTGCAGGTGCTGAGGAGCCAGCACAGCTTTAAGTCCTGCACAACCCAACAGCTTGCAAATAGGACGCAAAGATGGTTTCAGGCTATGAATCACTCTCCCTCCTAGGTAGCTCTCCCCACCCCCTCCCCACATTGACAGAAGTGACCATTGACTGGACTCCCAGGCCTCTTATCTAATATCCTGCCCTGCAACTCTGACGTGAAACATGAGTGTTGCTGATGCCTTCCCTTGCAAATTCCTGCCTTACAAATCTCTGCTGATGTCTTGGTCCATGGGACAATCACTCTTATTTCAGTGGCTTCTGTTCTATGACGCACAGTGGTTCTGCCTGTTGACCTGGATGCTCACTTCACATTCAGGAAGTCTTCTCTCTGGACTGAGAACCACAGCAAGGCTGGTCCCGCTAAACTAAAAAGGACCCAGTCTCCTGGCTGCAGTCCAAAGGATCCACCCTCTGTTGACCTCAAAGAATCATATGATGTCCCAGAGGCAACCACTCAAAGGTCACATGATCCGTTGAAGATGCTGACACGCCTCCTCCCACAACAAAACACCCACAGAGCCTCAGGAGAACTAACTGCAAAGTTCCCTCTCCCTGACCAAATGCAAACATCTTCCTTTGAAGTGTAGACAGAGAACGCAAGGGCAACTCTCTTGCAGTGGTGAAGTATGGAGCTCCAGTGAGCAGGTGGACACAGAGCCAAGATGAAAGGCCACAGCACCTTCCCTGACCAGCAGGAAATTGCCACACAGTCACCTGAGATGATCAGTGCAGGGAAAGCCTGCCTGTGTTGGCCTCCCTCACAGCTAAGGAGGATGCACCCACAGCACATCAACTAGCTCCAACTCACTCTGCCCCCACTGCCAACCACCCATCCCATGCTGAAGTCCTAGAAGTTTCCTGGCCAAGCTGCACGAGCATAACCAACACCGGGCACTTAAACATAACCAGGGGCATATTAACTGAGAAGACAACTCAGAATAAGTGGTTTTCTCAGTTAAACTTTCTCCGCAGTTTGGGCTTGCAGAAGAGCACAAACACGTCACGAATGACACCCGCGGTGCACGAAAGCCACACTTGCAGACCCCTATCTTTGTGGTACCTTCAAAGAGAACTCCACATTCTACAGAGCGTCCAGTGGGTCTCCACATCAGATGCGCATCCAGGGCTGAGGGCAGGCTAGATAGTAACAGATTCCTGTGTATAACTCTTTCCAGATGCTGGCTGGTACAGAGTTGGAGGAGAAGTCATCCATGCCATAGACACACGAGCTAATTCCAAACCTCACAGCAGGGAGGGATCTGAGGCCAGCAATGGTGCAAGGAGAGCAAGGGGTGGAGGAAACGGGGTTAGACTGGGATGGTCTGCAAATTGCAATGGCATCATAGCCGAAAAGTTCCTGAAAAGTCTAATTGTCCTGAGGCATCTTCATAACAGCTATCTCAGGCCTGACCACTGGGTTGAGATGGGAGTGACTGGCATTTAACACTTTTTTCGGGTTTGATCACTCAGCAAAAGCTTAGGAAGTATTGCATTTTGAATGAAAGCATTTATTGTTTAAATGAAGGCACCAATAGTGGGTAACGACAATGCTTGGAAGAAACAAAATTATAAAAATGAATTTAAACACACACACACCTAGCTTCGGAAACATGTCCACTGTTGATACCAAACACCTCCTGAAACAGGTGTTGGGACTGCCTGGGGACCCAATTAGGAAGCCATCACTCTGTCTCCCAGCAGCCAGGGGACAAGAACAGCCCACGGGGGGAGGAGACAGAGGGATTAGCAATAAAGCAAGGTATGTCTTGGAAGGCAGCCACCCTTTCCACCTGGTGCTGAGAACTCTGTTGGCACCAAAAGGAATTGTGAAGTTGGCAACCCCATCAGAACACAGAGAGAGCGCCTGCACATCCTGGGAGGAAGATAATCCAAAGCAGTCTTTAAAATAAATACTTCCATCAGGGAATTTAAGTACTTTGTATCTAGCAATGGTGTGCCTCATTATTTTCAGGACCGTGTTATGTTATGGCCTACGTTGCTTCAAATTCTGAACTCATGCCATTTGTCAAAGACAATAAAATACCAAAGGCACAACTACTTATCAGATAATCCAGTGGAAATTTTAATTGAGGCTTCAGTGTTAATTCCTCTTGGCAATGACCCCTATGTCTAACTCTCTGGCTAATTCTCATTTCATTAAAGACAATTCCCAGTGTGCATAAGCTTCTTATTTCATAAACCAGCCACTGGAATCCACAGGGGATAACTGCCTTCCCACAGGAACATCAGCACCTCCCATTCGCTGGCCTGACAGGGACCATGAATGAGGAAGAAAAGAATCCTGGCCAGTTACTGATGGTGATCTGTTTCCTTCTCCACTGACCGCCTGTAATCAAATCCTTTTTCTAAGTGTTACAGAAGCTGATCAGACTTGGGATAAAAAGGCCTTCTCCCAAGCTGATGTCACACAATGTGTAATTTCCTGGTGTGTCCAAGGGTTCTCAGGGCAGGAGTGAGTTTGGAATCACCTACTTGGCTGGTCAGGTGCCGGTTTTTCTTGAACTCACTCAGTCTTGTCCAAAAGGGTCTCAATGGTCTGTTGCCTCCTTCTGAGCTTTGGGTATGCATTTTCTGGCCTCAGATTCGCCCCTGATTGTATTAGGTCATCTTACCGTCATCCTCAGGAGAAGCGAATAATGTGTAGTAATTCCTCATCCTTTTTCTTCCTTTTGAGCCCAATTTAGGCTGAGCACAGACATAGAATAAATCTTGGCATCGTCCTTAGTCTCCACATCTAATTCCTGAACCTTCATTTTACTTGTGAATTATACTTACTCTAGAACTCAACAGAGTAACAAAAATGAATCACGGCGACCTTGCCCCCACTTGAATTGTCTTAGTGTCAAGACCTGTTTTCCCTCAGCTGAAGTAATAAAGAAATTGACACTTCCAATGAGATAGGCAGAAAAATTGGGTTGGGTTGGGGATACCTGGCCAGAGGCAGCTCTAGATTTCATTACAAGGCTCAGAATGGAGAACTTTCCTCACCAGAACTAGGCTAACCCTGGCCTAGCAGCGGAAGCCAATCCACCCGGGCAGGACACCTGCCTGCAGCATGGAGCCAGGGTGGGAGGTGGGCTTCCCCCTGCCAGCACCTCCCCAACTCCTCTCCTTCCCCTCAAGGCAGATGTGAGGTTCAAGTCCCGGGTATCGACCCATCATCCCTGGGCTCTGAAAGCCTGATGGAGATGAAAATAGTGCCAGACATGGAATGAACACTTGGTGTTCCCAGACTCACATCAAGTCATGCAGAGAGGTGACACATCCTCCCAGTAAACCCACCTTCTTCTTAACATGAAACACGCTGGTGGGACGTAGATGCCCAATCGGCTATTCCCTTCCCCTCCTTTTGATGGCAACGAAGGTCTCACGCTGGGCAGCCACAAAGGGCTCTGGCGGTAAGTGCAGGACACCAAGTCACCAGAACTGAAGTCTTCCTGTGTCAGTGGACAAGTTATGTGACCCCACCAAGCCTGTTTCCTGAATAGCAGGAGTGACTTGGCCATTTGGCCCATGCGGGACACCCTGCCCAGGCCCTCCTCTCACTGCCTCCTCACAGTTCTTCACACTGACACCATGGAATTTGCGTCTTCAGGTCTCGGTTGGAGGCGGCGCAGATCGATTCCACTGCAGCAGGTCTCACAGGCAGAGGCCATCTCACACTCCACCCCAGAGGAGGGACGCCGTGAATCTCCAAGGTCCACTGCCCCATGTCAGTTTTTAAAGGGAGAGTATTGAGGTATTCAGTAAATATGGGTTGAATCTGAGGTTCCTCTACCTACTGCACAGATAAAAAAGGGTGTTAAATGGTACAGAAGAGGCCAGGCGCGGTGGCTCACGCCTATAATCCTAGCACTTTGGGAGGCTAAGGATGGTGGATCACCTGAGGTCAGGAGCTCCAGACTAGTCTGTCCAACATGGTGAAATCCCGTCTCTACTAAAAAGACAAAAAATGAGTCGGGCGTGGGGACGGACGCCTGTAACCCCAGGTACTCAGGATGCTGAGGCAGGAGAATCGCTTGAACCCAGGAGGCAGAGGTTGCAGTGAGCCAAGATTGCGCTATGGCACTCCAGCCTGGGCAACAAGAGTGAAACTCCATCTCAAAAAAAAAAAAAATACAGAAGATTAACTCACTGAAAAGTCATATAAGTCGCCGTTTTTTAAGATGGTCAACAGGAGTCACAAACGGAACTGGAAATTCCCTAGCACTGTGTCCTGAGTCCTTCATCTCTCCAAATACCATTACAGGGCAGATGGGCAAGTTTTATTAGCTCGAAAAATATGTTTAAATGTTTTGATTAGTGAAATCAGTTGTATTAATAAAACTCATTGCATCTCTCATGTGCAGTCGATGGGAACACAGTGGGGGCGTGAAGATGCTGGGTCTGTGTTCCCATCACACAGGCAAAGGACAGAGAAACACGCAATGTCCAGCAATAACTGAAAACTAAATGGAGAGGCCGCTTCTGTCTCTCTGAGGAGATGCTCTTGAACAGAGACCTAACGGTGGGAAGAGAGCGAGTTATGGAGATGTCAGGGGGAGAGTGTGCCGGGCCCAGGAAGATTATGGGTGCCAAGCTGGAGATGGAGGCGAGCCTGGCAAGGGAAGGAGGAGGCTGAGGCAGAGGTGGCTTCCCGGGAGTGAGCACCAGGAAGAGAGGTTGGCAGGAGAACCCTGGGCCACATGTCCTGGGCGCCCTACTGTTCTGTCAGTTCTATCTTAAGTGTCTTCAGAAGCTGTTAGAAGATTCTGAGCAGGGAACCCACAGGATCTGGTTTGGGGCTTAAAAGTAACCCTCTGCCTGTCATGTAAGAAAAAACTGTTGAAGAGGAAGCTCCGTGGCAGGGAGGAGACCCAGCAGGCA
Organism: Homo sapiens; assembly: GCF_000001405.40. Taxonomy (NCBI): domain Eukaryota; kingdom Metazoa; phylum Chordata; class Mammalia; order Primates; family Hominidae; genus Homo; species Homo sapiens. The sequence continues at coordinate 100,234,094 of NC_000015.10, forward strand.
AGGGCAGCACAGGCCTGGACCGTGGGAGGAATGGCCGGTGTGGTTCAAAGAGGTCTGATCGGGAATATATTTTGAAGGTGGAGTGGACAGGCATTGCAGATGGATTAGAAGTGTGTATCGGGCACCTTCAGAAACAAAGACAGTACAACAGCCAGTCGACTACTAGAAAGAGCTAATAAAACTCGCAGCCACCGTTTTCCACGAGGCAGACAGGCACTGTGCCAAATGCTTTACGTTCGTTCCACATTTGATCCCCAGGACACCGCCTGGCATATGGTAGTCCAGTCCTGATGCTACCAGTAAGGAAGATGAAGGATACGGGCCCACAGTCATGTACTGGGAAGGAGCAGAGCCAGCTGCCTCTTCAAGCCCCTTCTTGCACTCTGTGACCTGTCTCATTGGCCCCATCCATAATCCCTGCTTTTCCAATTCCCTCCAACTTTCCCACACAGGGTGCGCAAAGCTGGGTTTGGGGGAAAACGACTCCTTGGTCCAACACGTGACTGTCTTATTGCTTCCTCTTCTAGGATGAAAACCTCCTGGGGTTTCCACTTTATCTCAAAACATATGTTTACCTTGGCATTCGCAGCTCTGTGGCAGAGGAAACGCTGCAACCAGCCCGTAAGGCAGCCCCAGGGACTCCCCGACCACTCCTCTGACTGCTGCCTCTCCGGGAAACCTTCCATTCCATCAGCAGCTGAGCCAGGGTGGAAAGGAAGGGGCCATCCCAGCTTCTCCCAAGGCGCCCCCTCCACAGCCTATGCACAGCTGTTTTGTCCTGTTTGATTTTGTAACCACGGGGTAGAGGAGACAATAGAAAATATCTGGAATATTGTGCAACCAAACAAGAGAAAGGCAGTGGGAACATGAGGGAAGAGGCATGAATAAGCTGAATTGGCTTAAGAAGAAAAACAAGGTAATTATGTTCACGGAATAAAACCCCAGAATGCCACTGGAAGAGGGAAAATAGTGCTGGGCCATGACTCCTGCCTCAGCGATTCGAGAACAGGAAGGCAGACGCGGGCCCACGATGAGATAGGATGCAGGAGGTGCTCGGGGAGAAACGGAAGGGAGAAATGGCCTTTATCAGAAGCCTCTTCTGTCAGCAGTGGTGTGACCAGGATTCCATGTGCTAGAAAAGCCATGCGTCATGCTTGTTCTAGGAAGAATGTCAGTAGGGCTGGTGGCAGGCAAGGGCCTGTGCAGTGCTGGCCCCCTGGTTACTTACACAGCTGCTGGGCACCTGGCTTTCCTGAGCATGCAAAGATCCTCCCCACACTGACCTCCCCGACCACCCCACACCATGCACACACATACGGCCAGTAGAGTTGAGCCCTCCCGTCTCTCAGGTGTCATCCATGCCCTCCTGTCTCAGGTGCTGCCCACCAAGACTCAGATCAGTGGTTCTCAAAATTAAGCGTGTGTCAGAATCTCCGGAAGGCTTGCCACATCACAGATGCTCGGCATCACCTCAGAGATTCTGACCCAGAAGGACCCCGAGGAAGCTGAGAATGTGCATTCCTCATACCTTCCCAGGTTTTGCTGATGCTGTGGTCTGGGATCACCCTTTGAGAACCATTCGCTTCGGGGAGCTCTCTTCCCAAACACCACCACGGAGGACTTCCAGGGCCCTCTCTGACATCAAAAGGTGCTGGGGGCACTGAAACAAGAACAACACAGCCAATGATGATGGGGCATTTATTATGAGTTCTGGGCCCTTTACCTCATTCTATTACCTTCAATCCACAGATCAGGAAATGGAAACATGAGGACAAGTAAATTGCCCAGGCTGTACTCAAGGTAGCAGAGCTGGGATCTGAACCAGGCAGAGGCCAGGCTCAAAACCACAACTCCTCCTGCCTCTCTTAAATACCAACATCAAGTTTATGGAAAATCTGATGAGGTGGCTGAACATTTGGGGTAAATTCGATTCCTTGCATGACAGTCAATATCCTAATGATCACAGACATCCACAGTCACCAGTGACTCAATTACCATCTCTAATTTGGGTCAGACGCCAGAGTCGCACAGACTCAGAGCAAGAGAACACAGGAAGTAACTCGGAAATTTCCATCATCACTGCTTTTTGTAAAAAAAGTAAATGTCTACGATATTTGCACAAGTAATCATGAAATGACAGTAAACATTACATTGAGAGAGGTGCCCTATATTCATGTCACCCACGACATTAAAAAAAAAAAAAAAAACCCTAACAAGAGAAGACCCCCAGCCACAATAAGGCAGGGCTTCTCAGAGTGTGGTCCCCACACCAGCACCACCAGCATCCATAGCCCTGCCCAGGCCCACCGAATGCAAACATCTGGGGTGAGGTCCAGCCGGCTATGTTTAAAGGAGTCCTCCATGTGATCCAGAGGCATGTAAATCTACAGAGCCCTCTTACTAACACTGAACAGCTAACATGGACCCTCTTTAAATCTTTACAAAAAACAAACAAACAAACAAAAAAACGGCAGTAGCTCACTCCTGTAATCCCAGCAGCTTGGGAGGCTGAGACAGGAGGATCACTAGAGGCCAGGAGGTTGAGACCAGCCTGGGAAACGCTGTAAGACCTTGTTTCTACATAAAATAAAAACATTAGCTGGGCATAGTGGTGCGTGCCTCTTGTCCCAGCTACTCAGGAGGCTGAAGTGGGAGGATTGCTTGAGCCCAGGAGGTCGAGGCTGCAGTGAGCTATGACTGCACCACTGCACTCCAGTCTGGGCAACAGAGTGAGACTCCTGACTCTAAAGAAAAAGAAAGAAATACCAACTACTTGTTCCATGCTCCCTCTCCTCTGCCCCCAAAACAGAGCCAGGAATGGGTCTGTCACAGGAGGGAACTCTACGGCTGAATCCCATGGTTCCCAGCTTCAATTCTCCTCTCATCTCTGCACAACATGAGATCAGCTCACTTGGAGTAGCTCCCACGATCCTCAGACTCCAATCTGAAGCTGCAAGCCAAATTCCTCAGGCCCCCACAACCCTGCCCCTGCAACATCTTACCCTTTCAGCACAAGCCTAACTGGGGTGTCGGGCCAGCCAGGTTCCTCCCAGCTCCACCATCGTGTCACTATGCAGCCCGGTGAGGAGCCCAGCCTCAGCACCTTCATCTGTGAACTGGCGCCTACAGGAGGCGACTCCATGTGAGGGCCGAGGTCTGAGGACGGCACCAGGCAAGCAGGAGGCTCTCCCTCAGTAAGCCTCAGGCCCCTGGGCTTCTGCTCTTTGCTTTAACTGCTTTTGGGGTCTCACTTCCCTGCCTTTACCTACATTAGGACTCACCCCTGGGAAGCCTCAGCCCTGCCCTGGCTGAGCAGCTCTGTCCTGGCACCCTCCCTAGGAGATCCACACGACGACAGGAAGAGGGTGGCTGGGCATGATGTCCTGGGGCAGGCTGAGCAGACACAAGGACAAGCTTCACAGAGCAGGCATTGTGCAGGAGGGACTCGATGGGCAAGCCTCACAGCAGTCCCGTGGGGAAGACACTGCTGTCTCAATACACAAGTAGGGAAAGGAGGAACGCTGAGGTTTTTTGTTTTTGTTTTTTTTGAGACAGAGTCTCGCTCTGTCACCCAGGCTGGAGTGCAATGGTGCAATCTCAGCTCAGTGCAACCTCCGCCTCCCAGGTTCAAGCAATTCTCCTGTCTCCGCCTCCCAAGTAGCTGGAATTATAGGCACATGCCACCACGCCTGGCCAATTTTTATATTTTTAGTAGAGACAGGGTTTCACGATGTTGGCCAGGCTGGTCTCAAACTCCTGACCTCAGGTGATCCACCCACCTCGGTCTCCCAAAGTGCTGGGATTACAGGTGTGAGCCCACTGTGCCCGGCCAACACTAAGTCTCTTAAGTGACTTGCCCAAGGTCAAGGAAATGGCAGAAGAAAGACTCAAATCCAGGTCTGATTAGGAGCCCTGCAAAAAAGAAGCAAAGACGGAGTGGGCCCAAGGGTACCCAGCTTGCTCCCACTGTGGGACAGCCACTCACCCTGCTGTCCATGGTGGGGACCCTGCCTTTGCTCACAGAAATTAATAGTGTTGGCATAGGCAACCTCAACACTTCTAATGGCCCTGGCCTGCAAACGGGTTGCACATGAGTGTAATGTCCAAATGTCACCTTCTCAGCAAAGCCTTTGGCCACTCCAGGTAAAATTTCAGGTCCCAGCCCCTCCACTTCCCACCCTTCTTATCTGCTTTCCATGTTCCCTTTATCGCCAGCCTCCATCCACACTCTAGAGTGTACTTACTGACTTCACATGAGTTGCATCCCCTCCAGTAAAACATCACCCCACAAGAGCAACGGCCTTTGTTTGGTGCCTTGAGTGTCCCCAGGGCTGGAGCCGGGCCTGGCACACAGTAGGCACTCAATAGAGTTTTACTGAGTATGAATGACGGAAAAGCAGAATGTCGGTGAGGACAAAGATCCGTCCTGAACACAGAATCTGTGATGGACACAGCAAAGGAGAAAACACAGGGTAAAAGCAACGATGGGAATTTAATACCTGCCAAGAACAAAATGAATGGGCACAGGTCTGGCAGACAAGACCAGAGTTAAGCCCTCAGGCTTTGCTGTGAGATAGTTTGATCCCAGCTCTGTCACTCGCGAGTGGCATAATTTCAGACAAGAAATGTATTCTTTTAGAGCCTCAGTTTCCCCATCTGCTCACAGGAATAATGACGCCTCACTTAAAATGCTATCGAAAAGCGAGAAAGGCAGGGCGTGGTGGCTCACACCTGTAATTCCAGCACTTTGGGAGGCCCAGGAGGGCAGAATACTTGAGGTCAGGAGTTCAAGACCAGCCTGGCCAACCTGAAACAGGTGAAACCCTGTTTCTACTAAAAATACAAAAGTTAGCCAGGCGTAGTGGCGTGTGCCTGTAACCCCAGGTACTCGGGAGACTGAGATGGGAGAATCACTTGAACCAGGAGATGGAGCTTGCAGTGAGCCGAGATCACGCCACTGCACTCCAGCCTGGGCAACAGAGCGAGACTCCGTCTCAAAAAAGAAAACGAAATGTGAGAAAGGAAAGACTGTAACCCAACCGCCTGGGGTCAGAGCCTAGCTTGGCTGCTTACAAGCTGTGTGCCTTCGGGCAAGACATCTCCCTCTCTGCACCTCGGTTTTCCCACATGCAGAATGGAGAGAACAGCAGCAGCTCCCGCACACTGTTGTGCAGATTAAATGACCCAAGACCATGACGTTCTCAGCAGATGGTAGCTGTTCTCAGTCTCACTTTCATCACTCCTGCAAGCACGGGATGAGGAGCGGCGCTGGTTGTGGTCTTTCCTACCTGTCAATAATGACTGGTGCAGGGATACCGCAGTCGACCCTGCTGAAAGCAACGCTCTTCAGCTCTCCAAGGCTAAGGGAAAAGAAGGTGCAGATCTCGGCACCGCTCCCAGGCCTGTGAGATGCTGGACTGTGTGGATGCCCCTGAGCGGGGCAGCAGCAAGAAGAGGCTACCCTTTGTGGAAGCAATGAGAAGGGGGTCTCTCTCCAGCGTTGCAGGAGGAAGTGTTGGAGACGGGCTCTGGAGCCACAGAGGCTGCCTCCTGCCATGCTTTGACGTCTAATGAGCCACCAGGCTCCCCTAGCTGCCTGGTGCTACTGGAGCACAGTCCAGGGCACTTCAGAGAGAAGGGACATGGTGTGGCCAGGAGGAAGGTGGACATGGACACATGCCACTCCTATGCAGTTGATTTGACGAAGAAGTCAGGTGGGAATTCCATCAGGGCCTTACAACCCCTGGAGTGGAGGGATGGTGAGCCCTCTGGGGAAAGATGTGCGCCACGCCCCACCTTCAGGATCACCCTCCACCCTCAGCCAGTGAAGGAGGAGGTGGTCTCCAGGTGAAAACCTTTACCTGATGTCCTGCTACCAGATGTCTGTCTCTCCCCCAGTCACAGCAAAGCCAGAATGTGCCCAACCCCAACAATCCAGGCTGTGCGGCAGATCAGTGAGCCTGCTCCACGTGTACCGGGATCAGCATGGGGGGATCCAATCATCACTGTACTCATTCCTGTAACCAGCTGCTGCTCAGGAGGGGCCCTGGGCCCCACCTCAAGCCTAAGGCTAGCTCTGGGCCCTTAATGGAGACTGGGAAGCTGCTGGTCAGCACCCAGACTGCCACCAGAGACCAGAGCTGCAGGCACCTTTCCAATCCCCAGGCCTAAGTGACTCCTGTTCTCAAGGAGCAGCAATCTCTCTGCTGCTTCTTCCTCCTCAGCCCCAGATGCCTTCAGCAACGTCAGGAATGTGTTCCAAGACCATAGCAAAGGCTGGAGGGTAGCAACATATGCCACTGTGGCCGAAGGATTATTTTGAGCTGAAAGCAATGGAGAAGAAGCAGGTACAAGAAAGCTTTGTCCTCCCACTCTCTGCCAAAGAGCAAGACATGAATTTGTAAAGGTGCTCCCCCCTCACTCCTCTACCAGGAAGAACAGAAGTTAATCACTGGAGAGAACCCCAGACCCTCATCAGTCCAGAGGGCACCCGAGGAATCTACATGACAAACTCAAGTAATGAGCCTTCATCTTCCAGCAGTTCCCCCACAGCTGACCTTCCCACAATCTGCCACCCAGAACTCAGTCCTTTTCTTTCATCTTGTCACTTCTAAGAATGTATTATTCTTTGTCAAGACGCGGTATAAGGCCAAGTTCTAATCACCCCTCTGTGTTCCTCATTGCTGAGAGCTCCCAGCTTATACTCAACTTCTGTTTGTTTTTCTCTTGTTAATCTGGCTTTTCTTTTTTGAGACAGAGTCTCGCTCTGTTGCCCAAGCTGGAGTGCAGTGACAGGATCTCAGCTCACTGCAACCTCCGCCTCCCGGGTTCAAGCGATTCTCCTGCCTCAACCTCCTGAGTAGCTGGGATTACAGGTGCCCGCCACCAAGCCCACCTATTTTTTGTATTTTTAGTAGAGATGGTGTTTCACCATGTTGGTCAGGCTGGTCTCGAACTCCTGACCTTGTGATCCATCCACATTGGTCTCCCAAAGTGCTGGGATTACAGAAGTGAGCCCCTACACCTGGCCTATCTGGCTTTTTTTGGTGTTGCTGTCAGTCTTATTTTCAGGGTCCTGGCCAATGAATCTAATATGGGTGGAGTAAAAAGTTAAATTTTCTTCCCCTACAACTCCAAGACTACTTTTTAATTCTTCAGTAAAAATCACTCAAGATTCTGGCTCTACCCCTCATTCCACCACACCCTGGCAGGTCACCTGCCAAAGTTGTTCTGTAAGCCTGAACGTAGAGATAGGGCCACTGTCCTCTTAGTCCCCACAGGGATGGAAGTCTTCAACGCTTTGAGACCTCGAAGTATTTCAAGGGCAGGATCTTGTAGAAACACACACTAGCACTTCTGATTGTTGCGGTAATTTCTTTAGCAAACAAAGCCTCAAATCTCAGTGTCTCAACACACTTTACTTCTCACTCATGTAACATCCAATGTTTCAGGGGCCATGGCTGCCAGTTCTGTGGACAACCTCAGCCAGTCGGCCAACGGAGAAAGAGCCCCTAGGTGCCATTCATGGATGCTGGGCCAGGCCTAGAAATAGCTCGTATCACTTCCACCCCATTCCACCAGGCAGAGGGCAGTCACTTGGCCCTCAGCCCTTTCCTAACCTTGACTCAGCTCACCTAACCATGACTCAGCCTTTCCTAACCATGATTCAGTTCTTGTCTAACCATGACTCAGCCCTTTTCTATATGTCAATCAAGCTCCCTCTCAGCACAACAGCACTTGTCAGGAATTTCTAATCCAAGTCGTCTATGCTAGTAACTCCGAAGGTTGCTTAAACTGAAGTCCTAAATAGTAGCCAGGCCCAGATTCGGTCTCTGGTAGAGCAGCCCAAAAGATCGCCCTGACATAACCTTCCTTCCCGTTCCTGAAGCACTTACGCTGCATATCTGTAGAAATTGAGGTTAAAAACTCAGAGCCAACCTGAGATTTCACAAGGGAGGGTTTAAGGTTCTTCAAATTAACGAACTCACAAAGAGCACAGGAGCCTGGGGGACTGCCTGAAACACGCAAGCTACAAACAAACATTCTCCCTCAAATTGCAGTTCTGACTCCGGAGGGTCACTCGCATCCTGCCCTTGTGGTTAATTCCAAGTGCTGCAATGGCTTCGGCATGACTGACCTTGCTCTTTACACCGTGAGTCCAGCGGCCGAGCAGTCACTGGGAAAACGAACTCTTGGCTCAACTCTAAAGCGGTGATTTTAATGCCAGATGCAAATGAGGACTGTCCGTTGTCCAAAAACATCAGTGGTAACTTGAGTAAGTCTCAGTGCCCACATGGTCCAATCTGGCCCTGGAGTTTAAGCCAAAGATGCATAGCCTAGCAACCAAAAAAGAAACTTGCAAAGGCACCCTAATCTCTACTGGCATGTCCTTAAGAACATTTCAAAGGGCTCTAATTCACTCCCTGGTGACACTTCTTAACATGCCCCCTCCTCTCTCCATCCTCTCCCACACACTGCAGCCTCTCCCATCCTAGGCGGTACCTCTCCTCCCCGTCCTGCACACACCACCCTCAAACCCTGCACTATTTGTGTCTCATCACTCCTCCCTCACCTCCCAGGGGAGAAGGCAGGAGGAGCTCCTTTGCTGGGCATTGTCCTTCTCCCATCCTGATCATTTTTCTTGGACAAAATCTCAAAGAAGTGCTAGAAAATAAAATTCACAACACTGCTCCCTCTGTCATCTTACTTCTTTAAAAAAATTATGTAAAGTATACATAACATAAAATGTACCATTTTACCTATTTTAAGTGTACGGTTCCGTGGCATTAAGTACCTTCACACTGTTGTACAACCATCACCACCGTCCACCTACAGAACTTTTCATCTTCCTCAACTAAAAAACTCTGCCCATTAAACACAAATTCCCCATGACCGCGTTCCTCAGCTCCTGGCAACTGCCATCCTGCTTTCTGTCTCCATGAATCTGACCACTTTAGGTGCCTCAAGTGAGTGGCTTCATTCACTATTCATCCTTTTGTGACTGGCTTATTTCATTCGGCATAATGTCCTCAAGGTTCATCCATATTATAGCATGTGTCACTATCTCCTTCCTTTTGAAGGCTGAGTAATACTCCACTGTGTGGATAGACCACATTTTTGTTTATCCACTCACCCCTCTATCAACACCTGGGATGTTTCCATATCCTGGCTATTGTAAATAGTGCTGCTATGAAGATGGATGTACAAATATCTGAGTCCCTGCTTTCAATTCTTTTGGGAGTGTATCAAGAAGTAGAGTTCCTGAATCATATTTTTTAATTTTTTGAGAAACTACCATACTGTTTTCCATAGCAGATGCACCATTTTGCATTCTCACCAGCAGTGCACAAGGGTTCCCATCTCTCTACATCCTCGCCAACATTTGTTATTTCTGGTTTTGAAAGTGGTCATTCTGGCTGGGTGCCATGGCTCACGCCAGTAATCCTAATACTTTGGGAGGCCAAGGAGGGTGGATCACCTGAGGTCAGGAGTTCCAGACCAGTGTGGCCAACACGGTCAAACACTATCTCTACTAAAAATACAAAAATTAGCCAGGCGTAATGGCGCATGCCTGTAATCCCAGCTACGTGGGAGGCTGAGGCAGGAGAACTGCTGGAACCCGGGAGGCAGAGGTTGTAGTGAGCGGAGATCCTGCCACTGCACTCCAGCCTGGGTGACAGAGCAAGACTCCATCTTAAAAAAAAAAAAAAGAAAGAAAAGAAAAAGAAATGAAATGAAACAAAACAAAATGAAAGTGGTCATCCTAATGAGTGTGATTAGTCATCCGCTTTAACCCTCACAACAACCCTAGATACTATTATCCCCATTTTCCAGATGAGAAAACAGAGCAGGGGATATTAGGTAAGTGTATCAGTCTATTCTCACACTGCTAATAAAGACATACCAGAGTCTGGGTATAAAGGAAAAGAGGTTTAATGGACTCACAGTTCCACATGGCTGAGGAGGCCTCACAGTCATGGCGGAAGGCAAAGGGGAGAAAAGTCACATCTTACATGGTGGCAGGCCAGAGAGAGCTTCTGCAGGGGAACTCCTCTTTATGAAACTATCAGATCTCATGAGACTTATTCCCTATCACCAGAACAGCACAGGAAAGACCTGCCCCCATAATTCAATTACCTCCCACCAGGTCCCTCCCATGACACGTGGGAATTATTGGAGCTAGATGAGATTTGGGTGGGGACACAGCCAAACCGTATCAGTAAGTCACTCAACGACAGTGGTGGACAAGCAAGATTCGAATGCAGGTTTAACTGCAGAGCCAATCTTGTCCACCACTGTCCTTGAGTGACTTACTGATACAGTTTGGCTGTGTCCCCACCCAAATCTCATCTAGCTCCAATAATTATCACGTGTCATGGGAGGGACCTGGTGGGAGGTAAATGAATTATGGGGGCAGTTCTTTCCTGTGCTGTTCTGGTGATAGCGAATAAGTCTCATGAGATCGGATGGTTTCATAAAGAAGAGTCATGCCTGTCCCCGCTTCTCATGGGTGGCACCTGGTGATGGGCTCAGCCTTCATCATGGAGAGGAAGGGCCCCTGCAGGTGGTAAACAGGACCTTGAGGGCCACTGTACAGGGAGCCCTTCCCTGGCTCTCAGCCTGCGATTTCCTCGGCTTGTTCCAACCGGAGCAGGACCCTTGTTTCAATGGCACTGGCTACAGATGGTACCTGCTCTCCTTGCCTCTCCTGCACCGCCGAGTGCAGGCTGTTTATGAACAGGCAGCACACAGGGTCTAAGAGCTCCTCAGGACTCACAGTGACAGAGGAAGCATCACTTCAAGGCCTAGTTTCCATTTATGATTCTACTCCCCCTCGTGTTTTCGGGGAGGGCTTTGTTGGTTTGTTTCTAACAAACCCAATAAAGGGTCAGGCTGACTCCGAATTGCATGACTAGAGTAAGAGCCGCACTGTAAGGCAATGGAGCATGCAACTGCATTCCAAGCTTGCCATGAGGCGTTCCTTGGCCATGAGGAACAGAAACACCGAGAGAACAAGAGACACTCCTTCTACTCTTGTCACACTGAAGCTGTGGAAGAATGACAGGGCAGTGGGCTTTGGACTGACACCAGTGTCACCAATATCTTGTGCAGGTTTGCAGCTGCCAACCTGGAAGGGAGGTCTGTTTCAGAATCCCCTCGCAGGCAGGGGCCTGGGAAAATACTCACCAGCCACCTCAAGGAAGGACACTCTTACAGGACACTTACTTTCCCAGTCAGAACAATGAAGGGGGCTCTGGGCCTGCATTTGAAAGGTCACGGCTGGAAACCCTGCAAGGGGAGCTGCTTTGCTTGCTCAGCCCTCTTGCTTTCCAGCCCAAAAGGCATTCATGCACAGCCCTGTGTTTTGTTGGTCTCTGTCTAGTTCCAAAGTAAATGTTGGTTCTACATCTCCAAAGGGCTGGTAGAAGCCCATCCCATGCAAAAACATACCTACATATTTTCACCATTTTCTAATGTATTTCAGCCATTATGTAACCTTAGACACAACCCTGGCAGGAAGAACAAGAAAAGTTGAACTTGGTCCCCTGGGGCAACTGGTTTCAGTGTGGACTTCCAGCCAAGTCTCAAACACAAACCTCCTGCAGTGGGATCTTATTTTGTTGTTCCCAGGGCAGACAGATCTTCTTGGAAGGATCTAACAAGCGCTGGTAGAGAACTTACAGATTTTGTAGGCATAGATGGAGCCTCGCCAGGCCTTAAGGTATGGGAAGCACACACACTGCACACTTCCATGGGTGTGCATGCACCCCAGGCATGCATGAGCGTAAAGGTGTGTGTGTACGTGTGTACATATGTGTCTGGTATTTGTGTGTAGGTAAGACACATGCATCACTTACATGTTTATTCACCCCAGTCACTATCTCTAAGTGGTGCACAGAGCAAGCACACAGAGGTCAAGGCAGGAATGTTCTCGGGATCGCCAGTCCTCGTCCTCTTCTGTTCTCTTAGGCATAACAGCTCCTACACACAGTCTTTCGCAGACGCTCTCCAACGATCAGACACAACCTAATTGGCATTCCGGAGGAAATACTCTACGGATGCTTAAAGCTAAACCTGTGAGAAAGGGAACTAGTTTCCTAAAGCCTCCACTTTTTTGTTTTCCAGGCAACTCAATCAGCCGAGAAATCCAAGCTGAATTTGTGGGATACGAAGCCCTAAAATGAATAGCATGCGACTTTCCTAAGTCTTTTAAGCAGATGGTCTATTTTTTAATACTATGATGAAAATGAACCTTGCCAAAAATTTCTTCACTCTTGATGGCTAGATGTAAGCATACTTGATTCCCAAAATTGAAACCTTTCATAAAACCTCTCAAAAAGCAAAGAACATGGTCAAAAGCATAATTATAAATACCAAGGTAGCCTCCGACAAACAGATGAATTTGCTAAAGACTGCAAGTTGTCTAATTTGGAACAACGAATATGTAATTAAGCCTTCCCCTTTGTAACCTTCTCAGAGTAGACACCAACGACATAGTGTGGATAAGCCCAGAACAGGGCCCAAAAGTGAGATGGGTCCTAGGTAAGGACAAAGCCACTTCAGAACTTACTCATTTGAAGGAGTCATTTGCCCTCGTAGGCAATGTCTGGAGACTACACTTTTTTTTTATTGTATTTTATCCATTCCATAGCCATATTTCATCATAGCTTTAATTTTGCATTTTGCTACAGGCTAGTGATATTATTTTTTCATAAGTTTATTTGCCATCCATGTATATGTAAAGTATCTGTTCAAGTGGTTTGCCCTTTTATTTTTATTTATTTATTTATTTATTTATTTATTTTTTGAGACAATGTCTCTCTCTGTCGCCCAGGCTGGAGTGCAATGGCACAATCTCGGCTCACTGCAACCTCCATCTCCCAGGTTCAAGCGATTCTCCTGCCTCAGCCTTCCGAGTAGCTGGGATTACAGACACCCACCACCACACCCGGATAATTTTTTGTATTTTTTTTGTAGGGACAGGGTTTTGCCATGTTGGCCGGGCTAGTCTCGAACTCCTGACCTCAAGTGATCCACCCACCTCGGCCTCCCAAAGTGCTGAGATTACTGGCATGAACCACCACACCTGGCCTGAAGACTATACTTCTAACACACAGTCTGGAAGCACAGTTGAAATTTGCCTTCTGTCAGCTTACAAGGAATAACAATACAGTGGAACAAACAGATAGGAGAGCCCCAAGAAGCAAAGAAACCCAAGAGCTGGTCTAGCCAGTAAAACTTGATTTGTATCTTTGTATCTCAAACACGACTTGCCAGCCTCACCCAGCAAAGAACACTTTTGACACCGCTTTTTGACAACCCAAAACCACCCTCACAGAATGAAGACATACCAACACCACTGTAACACAGAAAACGCTGGCTCACTTGTGACGGAAATTCCCCAGAGGGCTCTACACACCAACCAGTGAGGACGCCAGGGCTGGGATAAGTGAAGAGTCACAGGGTGACCAATGTGGAAGGGACGAAGCACAGTCAGACGGGCCCGTTTTCATATGTTTGTGTTTATGCATAAAAAGTGGCATTTCTTTCTTACCTAACTGATGACATCACAGGGTTCACAGCTTCTCTTCCTCTTTGACACATTCAATTAATAAAAACTCAACAGGTCCAGCACACAACACCGTCCATTACCCACACCCACTCCCCCTCACCTCTTGCCAGTTCCCCAGCTCCTCTTGGTTTCATGGCCTCATGGTGGGCTGGCCTGACACAGATTTCCAAAACCGATGCTTTGTTCCCAAACACCACCGTCCTGGCCAGCAATATCCCCCACCCGCACTTCCTCCACCCACACGCTCTTCCTCACACCGGAAGGGCAGTGGGCACGTCTACCAAGCTCCCCTCAGGCCACCCAAACCTATCAGAGACTGTGGTATCAGTGCCAGGGGTGACGCAAGGAGGGGGTCCTTCTCCCCAAGTTCAGGGAAAGCCATGGGACCCTCAAGCCACAGCCGCTGGGCCCCAGCGCACAGACCAGACTCCAAGCTCCTCCACAGCATCAACCCGGCCTTCAGCCTGCAACGGTGGAACATCTCCACTTCCTCCTGTAGGATCACCCCTCTCCCTCACTGGACAACGAAAAGGGAGGCCCTTCCATTAATTAAAAAATAGTAGGAGACCAAGCAAAGGGCAAAAAGAAGACTAGCTTGATTTAGGCTGGCACAAAAACCACCGTAGCTCAATTTGGAGGCACGGGTAGGAGAAAACCAATGCTCCACATCCACTGAGCAACACTCAGACACCTGCCTAGCCAGCCAGGCTTGGAGAGAAGCGGCTGCTGTCTTCAGCCACTGCCAGAGAGAGGCCCAGAGGGTATGCATCTGGAAGAGGAACGCAAAGGGCAGGCACGACCTCACCTCTGCCAAGTCCCCATCTTGTCACCTCCCTCTTCTCACCCAGGACAGCACCTATGTCACAACAGTGGCTGGAAAGCAGACAGCTCTGGATGAAGAATTCAACAGAGGAAATGTGCACACCCCACAAAGAGGTCTGACATGTGCAGAGTGGGGGCCACTCAGTGAGGGGATGGTGGCTTGTTCCAGATCCTCCTGCCTTACAGTGACTTCCTCCAACGTGGAGATCAGAATTCCCAAGGGGGTCATCCTTGCTATCCTTCCCATTCCAGCGAAGCCTAAGAAGTCCATATCGGTGCCAGGAGGGAAGGAGGAAGGGTCCTTCTGGTGTTAATTTTTTTTTTTTTTTTGAGACAGTCTCACTCTGTTGCCCAGGCTGGAGTGCAGTGGTGCGATCTCGGCTCACTGCAACCTCCACTTCCCAGGTTCTAATGATTGTCCTGTCGCAGCCTCCTGAGTAGCTGGCATTACAGGTGCCCGCCACCACGCCTGGCTAATTTTTGTATTTTTAGTAGAGACAGAGTTTCACCATGTTGATCAGGCTGGTCTCAAATTCTTGACCTCACGTGATCCGCCCACCTCGGCCTCCCAAAGTGATGGGATTACAGGCGTCAGCCACCACGCCTGGACCTGGTGTGACTTTTTGAAAGCATGCCCATTCATCTGCTCACTCAAATCCACCCAGTACAGAGGAGTGTGGTGAGGCCTCTGCACTGCAGGGCTCAGGAGAATCAGGGCCTTGGAAACGCCAACTTTGCCTACACCACTAGCACCCCTGTGAAGCCTAGAGATGCAAGCCTTGTGTTTCAATCTTCACCCGAAAGATCTGAAGGGTGCAGTGGGCATTGGTCATCTTGGGCTGTCTGGCATTCATCCTCCCGCCTGGCTGAAGCACAGTGATCCCCTTTGGGAAGCTTTACCCTCAACATGCATTCTTCGTGGGAGGTGCTGTTGCCTCTCCTATGGAAGCCCAAAGGCCAGAATCTCCCTCACTCCAGTGCAGGTGGGGTGGGGAGGGGCAGACCACAGGACCCTGGGCTGTTGGGGGGAGATGGAGGTCACTCCCCAGCCGTGGTGGCACATGGACCAGACAGGCCTTGCCACTAACTTCTATGTGATGTCAGTGGCCTCCCCACTTCCAGAGCTCCCCCAGGTGCTGCCTGTGTTCCAAGCCAGTCTCCCAGCCTGGCGGCAGCCCCCTTCCAGTAGGTGCCCTTGGCTCATTCCTCACAATCAGAAATGCAGACTGGGCAGTGGAGACAAATGGGCTGATGCAGAGGAGAGTATTTTTACGGAAGCCCCAAACCTCGCAGCGCCTCAGAGTTTATTCCAATGCTTCATTCAAACTGAGATCTGAAATCTATTTTAAACTATTTTAAAAACACTCATTAAAACACTTAACAATAACAGGTTACCCTGGGGGGACTACTGAGGGTGGGGGTTAGGCCATAAGGAACTGGAGGGCTGATCGCCTTCTTCACCTCAATCTGAGTTATGGTTTCAAGAGTAGAGGGATGGGACTGCACAGCTGTGTGGAAGTACTGGATGCCACTGAATTGCACACTTAAAAATGCTTCTGGTGGCAAATGTTATGTGTATTTTACCACAGTATAAAAAAGCACGATTTAAAACAGAACTCAAGATATTGCTTTAAAATGATTTCAATAAATACCAGATTGAGCCAAAAAAGATGAGTATAAGCATAAATTAAAAATCCATCAAGTTTTGCCCTCTTTACATATATGTGAGCTGCACCCTAATTAAAACAACAACAAAAAAACGCTGTTATATACCAAATTACACAACACTGGCAACCCAAAGCTTTCCTAGTTATCTCGAGGTACCAGACAGCTCCTTTCCTACAGAACTCAAGACACAGCATCTCACGCTCGAGCTGGATCCTGAGGTTTCAAGGCAGC
Organism: Homo sapiens; assembly: GCF_000001405.40. Lineage (NCBI taxonomy): Eukaryota > Metazoa > Chordata > Mammalia > Primates > Hominidae > Homo > Homo sapiens. The sequence continues at coordinate 100,250,388 of NC_000015.10, forward strand.
TGTTCAAAATCTCTTAGCATTGGCAAGCATGCATCTACATGACTCAGATTATTTTTCCATTCTGCGCAATCAAAACAAAATTTGAAAAATAAACTGATATTGGGATGAGAAAATCATAAAGATGGAATACAGATAAATGGGTGCCAGTGGTTAGGGAAGGGGAGGGTGGCAGGGAGTGGCTCTCAAGAGGCAGTCCGAGGGGGCATCTCAGCCGCCGTGGACTTCTGTTCCTGATTGTCATGGTGGATGGACAAAGCTGCCCATGTAATAAGATGTCACAGAACTTTATACAAAAGCATACCAACAAATGAGTGCATGCAGAAACCAGTGAAGCCTGATTAAGAGCTGTAGTCTAGTTCACTCTATCGGGTCCGTCCATTTCCTGGTTCTGAGAGGGTACTGCAGTTATGTCAGATGTTACCACTGGACAAAGCTGGGTGATAGGTACAACAGACCTCTCTGTACTCTTTTGGCAATGATCATGACTGTATAATTACTCAAAATAAAAATATTTTAAAGTCCATAAATAAATTGGATGCTGAGATCAATATACGACTGCCATAACCCCAGTTTTTATATTTTTCTGTTCATCGAATCATCCCATTGTTCTGACTGGCTTAATCATTTGTACAAGCAAAATATGACACGTTAAGAGAAACATATACTAATAAAACACCATATACGTTTAATTTTTTTAAAAAAGAAAAAAAGGCATCAGCTCCCTTGGAGAAGCTGAAAATCACTGAGGTATTAGAAAGAACACGTACTGGGGATCAGGAGATAGGCTGGTTCTGCCCTCAGCTAACCAGCTGTCACGTGAAGAACAGTGACTCCACCCAGTCCCGACCATTAAAAGACTTTCTTGTTAAGGAAGTGAGACGCATGCACCTGGGAGGGGATATGAGGACATAAGATGCTCCCTAGTAACATGTGACAAAGTATCAAATGAGCGGTGCTATGGATTGACTTGTGTCCCCACAAAATTCTTATGTAGAAACCCTAACTCCCAATGTGACTATAGGTAGAGAGAGGACCTTCAAAAAGCTAATTAAGGTTGGCCGGGCGCAGTGGCTCATGCCTGTAATCCCAGCACTCTGGGAGGCCGAGGCGGATGGATCATGAGATCAGCAGATCGAGACCATCCTGGCTAACATGGTGAAAACCCATCTCTACTAAAAATACAAAAAATTAGCCAGGCTTGGTGGCAGGCACCTGTAGTCCCAGCTACTCAGGAGGCTGAGGCAGGAGAATGGCAGAACCCGGGAGCCAGAACCCGGGAGGCAGAGGTTGCAGTGAGCCCAGATCGTGCCACTGCACTCCAGCCTGGGCGACAGAGCGAGACTCTACCTCAACAACAAAAAAAGCTAATTAAGGTTATGTGAGGTCACAGAGTAGGGGCTCTAGGCCAGTATGACTGGCGTCCTTTATAAGGAGGAGAGAGAACAGGCAGGTGCGCACACAGAGGAAAGGCCACAAGAGGACACAGGAGAAGGCAGCCAGCTACGGCCAAGAGGAGAGGCCCTCAGGAGAGGCAAAGTCTGCCGACACCTGGATCTAGGACTTCCAGCCTCCGGATCTGTGAGACAACACATTTCTGTTGTTAAAGCCACTCAGTTTGTGTGGCATTTTGTTATGGCGCCCGAGCAAACCAATAAAAAGTAGTATGATGATGTGGCTTAGGAAATGAGATGATGCTTGATTCGAAGTAGCTGCCTGCTCTTCACCAGGGGCCTGAACACAGGATATAATCACAATTAATGGCATATTCCCATCAAAAGAGAAAGCTTTTATATATTCAAAAGAAACGGAAAGCTAGCCATAAATCCTATGGAAGAAAACCACACCACTGGATACATTGTTTTAATGAACACTGGCATTGGAGTCCCTTCACCTGCATTCATTCATTCATTCATTCATTCAGTTCTTCATTTAATCAACCAACCAACAGGAGTGACCAAACCTCTCAATCCAGTGCCAGGTGCTGAAGGACACACAGCCTGGAGGCCAGAGCTGGGCTCTGTTTTGCTCAGGGGCTGCCAGGGGAGAAGTACAGGCAAGCGCCACACGATTGAGAGATTATGTCTCCACGGGGCAAGCCAGGAAGCAGGAGGAGCACGGAGCAGAGGCGCCCCGGACATGGGTACTGTGGCCAAGCCTGACCCGTGAACCCCAGGAAAGAGCAGCCACTCCTAGAAACAGCACATGCCTGGCAGCCCTGTTGACAGACAGAGGTCAGCCGGTACAAGTATCCATGGCCCCAACCTGACCTGGGCCTGGGTCAGCCAGCACTCCAGGGAAGCATCCTTCACACGGCCTTTGTCTAGCAATTCCCTCATGGAGACAGCCCCCAAATAACAAAGCAGGAGGAGTTGGCTGGTTGCTTCTTGACATCTCGCTCTCAGATCTGGTTAGAGGACCGATGAAGTGTAATATATTAAAAATCATTTTGTAAACTCTAAAATGTGACATGAATGGTAGCTATCATTATATTAGATTTTGAAGGGTCTTGTGAGTCACCTAACCCAAAGTGATCATTTGATGGATTAAGAAACCAGAGTGGAGACACATCCAAGGCCACCCAGCTGGCACGTGGCAGAGCCAGAACAAAGGCTTAGGGCTACTCACTGCTGGGGCTCCCCCAGAAGCTCAGGTTTTCAACATGTGAATTTCATAACAGTATATATTTTTCACACCTATACTGTTTTCTTCGATTTTACTACAATTCTAAACATACACGATTCACAATTTTGATTCTGGCAATGCAATACTATATTTCAGCCTCCCGATGAACAAAGGTTCGCGTTATGGCAGGGAAAACTGGAAACACCCTTGGCATTGTGCCTGTATTAACCAAACACTGTGTGCAAAGAATGGTTTCCATTTGAAATCCATGAGAACTCAAGAGCAAACCAGACATAACTGAGGACGGGAGAGAAAGGAAAATGGCAGGTGAAGGGGAAGGTGAGGGAGGGGAAGGTAGAGGGGGAGGGGAAGGTAGAGGGGGAGGGGAAGGTAGAGGGGGAGGGGAAGGTAGAGGGGGAGGGGAAGGTAGAGGGGGAGGGGAAGGTAGAGGGGGAGGGGAAGGTAGAGGGGGAGGGGAACGTAGAGGGGGAGGGGAAGGTAGAGGGGGGAGGGGAAGATAAGGGAGGGGAAGGGAAGATGAGGGAGGGAAAGGGAGAGGAGGAGGGGACGGTGAAGAAGGAAAGGGTGTTTTCTCAGCACTGCATGCCACTTTCAGTGCTGTCTTTAGTCACTAAAAAGCAAGTAGCCTGGCACCAAGGCAGGTGGAAGAGATTGCATGTCTTATAATCTACAGTCACACTTCACCCCTTAGGGTAAAGCTCAATAAAGGTCATGTGCATGCATGAGAACAAACTGCTAAGCTTTCATCTCATGACCACAACTGTGTAACTTAGCAGGCTGCCTCTCCTGCCTGGGTGACCAAAATGCTCAGAGCCAAATGCACCCCCAACTGCAGACCCCTTGGAACGGCCTGGTGGCTTTTCCCCTTGGTGTCACTCTTCATAGCTTCCTTAATGACCCTTCATCTAGATGCCTTCTGCCATCAATAACTTCAAATCATTTCAGGAAAATAAAAAAAGGAAAGTCAAAGACCAACTTACAGGAAGGAAGGCAACAGAATGTGCAGTGCTTGTTTGAGGACAGCTCCTCCACTGTGACCAGGAAGTCTCCAGATTCTCCCAGGGTGTATCAGCCCCTTAGATTATTATTTCAACTCTAAACTTACCAACAGTGTCACACGGTTCATCCTTGTGTACACAGAAATCTGTCCTAAAAAATAAAAAAGCCATCATCAGGTATATGCAGTATCCCCAAGAATGGGAGAAGAAAACACTGTGAATTAACCTCAAGTAGTCATCCTGCAATGTTATTTTTCCAGTGGACACAGGCCACAGCGAATGATAACAAACAGCAGCGTTTGGCAACAGTAATCCATCCACATTTCCCGGGGTAGGTCCACTTACCCCACATGAGAACCTTCTTTTACAGATGAACTATTCTATACGTAACAGTTGCTGGAAGGACTCCTTTCAGCAGCTGAAAATGTTTTGGAAGATGTTTGCCAAGTCACTGATCCGAGACAATTCTCAGACAATAGCATCCAACTGCAGTGGCCTCCCCAAGCTACTCTACTTCCCCAAGCTACTCTATTTGGGCAGCAACTGGTTTTTGATGCTGTAATGACCATGTATTGCTTTCACAAGAAGACAACAAAAAGTCATTTCTAAAAACTGTATTCCTCTACTATGCAGCCATAAAAAGGAATGAGATCATGTTCTTTGCAGGGACATGGATGGAGCTGGAGCCTATTATCCTCAGAAAACTAATGCAGAAACAGAAAAGCAAACACCACATGTCCTCACTTGTAAGTGGGAGCTGAATGATGAGAACACATGGACACATGGTGGGGAACAACACACACCAGGGCCAGCCGGGGGAGGCGGGGTGAAGGAGAGGGACAGCATGAGGAAGAATAGCTAACGGATGCTGGGCTTAATACCTAGGTGACGGGTTGATCTGTGCTACAAACCACCATGGCACATGTTTACCTATGTAATGAACCTGCACATCCTGCACATGTGCCCCAGAACTTAAAAGGTGAAGGAAAAAAAAAAACTGTCTTCCTTAAAGCTCCCCAGGATCCCCTGGGTGGGTGGTATCTGTGGACCAGTGAGACAGCAAAGATGCTTGAAACCTGGTCCAGCCCTGGTTCTGCAAGTACAAGGGGTTCATCTGGCCTGCTGTGGGGAAACCAGGGGTCTAGGCTCTTCTTTTCTAATACTGGATCATTCCTATGCTTCTTTATAAGTTTCCATGGTCAGGGATCAACCACAGAGGGTTGGCTGGGGCAGGACTCAGCCGGCTGAGGAGCCACAACCTGGCCCAGACACGGCCCCTCCCAGGCCCCACACCCATCTTCTCTCAGGGCCCAAAGAACGCTTGAGATCCACACTTTTCATAACCTCACTCCAAAACCAAGGTAACCTTCAGGGAAATGGAGAAGGAATATCATAAAGAGATGAAAAGGCCTAGAGACTTGATTTTTCCATCAGACTCCCTTTTAGAAGATGAAGCAATAGGCGATAGAAGCAGCACTGGCAGAGGGGAAAGCAAATAAAATTAGAGCCATGGGTGTGCTCACTGGCCCCATACCTACCTAGCCCCAGCCCAACATTCAGCACCCTTCCCAATTCTCGTGTTTTGAGCAACACACACACACACACACACACACAGCTGGCCCAGGACCTTGCTCCAGGGTTTCTCAGAGTTGTGAACAGGACATATTTAAAGCTTTGCCCCATCATCTAAGCTGGGCAAAGGGAGAAAGGGACCAAGGCCTCAGTCTGACAGAAGAGAAGTGAAGCCGCAGGCCAAGGCAGGCGCCATTTTGCAGAGAGCCAGCCCTGTTGGCTGAGGAGGACTCCACCTCCCTGCGTTCTCCCATCCAATGGCTGCCCTGAGGGGAAACAGTCAGTCTCAAATGACAGACCCCGAGGTACCACCCACTGCTTCACTGGAGGAAGAGGTGTGTTCAGCTCAGGGAGGGAGAGCCACACTCAGTTAGAGGCCTGTCTTGAAAAGGTCAGCCGAATCTGAATCTCGATCCTTCCTGTTCAAGGTCCTTTCTCAGAAGAGAAGCAGCAAGCCACCTGCCTGCAGGGGCTGCTTTATCTCCAGGGAACCTGGCTCTGTTCCATTCATTATCAGGGGCACTCACTTTTTAGGTCATCCCACTGCCAACTCATGACAAACCCCCAGGCAGGGACTGTAGGGTTCACTTCAGGAATGAAAAGAGGGCTAGACTTGGCTCCCAGCGCCTACATCCATTGAAACCCCAAGGTGCGTTCCTCGAGGCTGACTTGGATCTGCATGACAGGGCTGGCTTTGTGGGTGTCTGACCCATGCCCTGGGCTAACACTCTGCTGTCGCGGGGTCCATATTTTCATTTTGCATGGGGCACCACAAGTTACACAGCTGATCCTGTGCGTAACTCACAGCCAGGCATACAGTTGGGACTTAATACATTCGTTTATTAATTGACTGACGTTTCCAGACCCTTTCAAGGGGCCCTGCAAGCTACCCAGCAGCCATGGCCTCACGAGCGTGGGAAGCCTGGGAGCGTAACATCAAGTTCCATGGATACTTGCTGAGGCTTCACCACGCGCAAAGCCTGGCAAGAGGGTCCCCTGGCAGAAGGTAAAGGGAAGGGTGCCCCGAGGAGTTAGATGGTATTATGCTGGAGGGGAAGGTCTGGCCAGAGGGATCCTGGTGGTGCAGCTTCGGGCCAGCTGTGTCTGCTATGGTGTCTCCCAGGCACTCTCACCCAGAGCACAGGCCCAGGCTCGAGGAGGAGTTCTCGACTTCAGGGAGGAGTTCTCTGCGTTCTCAGCTTTCTGGGTCAGATGTGGAGGCCAAGGTGAAGCCCCCCCAGGTGCTGAAGCCCCCTAAGCCCTGGCTTCTGTGTGGGCTCCGTGTGACCCCAGGCCCAGTCCACTCAGGGGTCCTTCCAAGTCCCAGACACAGCTGCAGAAAACCCAGCTTCAACCGCTTCTGGCTCAGCAGCTCCTGCTAGACATGTCATGCTCACGTCCTCCATGGCAGCCACCTAGCCACCTGTTTGTCAGGGAACGTCTTGGAGAATACACTGTCCGGCTTGACCACAGCCTGGAAGGTGAAAAAAGAACCTTAAACGGGAGGAAATTCTCACGTTGGCCCGTCCTAGCTCAGGACCTGGAAGCTGGCCCCTGAGCGCAGCCAGGCCCGTGCAGCCTCAGCTCGGGTTACGGTGGGAGGAAAGGACAGTTTCTCCAGGGCAGAAGCTGCCTCTCACCCAATCTCCCTGTGAAAACATCAGCCCATTATTATCCCAACCTAGGGAATTGCAGCTCTCTACCTCTAGTTATTATACAAGGCTTCCTGGCCAACTCAGCTTCCTGCCCGACTCCACTGCGGCCTCCCCCGTCCTTCAAGGAGATCTTCAATTTAACATCTGCGAGGACCCAGAAGACGGGACGTGCACTGATCTGTTCAGTCCAGCAGCTCCACAGCAGCAGGTGAGAGGGACTGTGATTGCTCATGTAGCTTCAAGGCGTCAGCCCAAAATGCAGAAGAAAGCTCAGGCTCCCGGGCTGGCAACAGCTAATAGCTATGCAAGACGCCAAATGCATCCTTCATCCAGAGCCCAGCAGCCTGTGGCTGACAAAACCTTGTTTTCTCTGTACCTGGATGAGGACATTGCCCATGCCCCCAGCATCCTCATCCAGAACCACTCCCATGCAATTAGGATCCCTCTCCTATGTGTTTAGTTAAAACAGAACATTTTTACTACTAATTTTTTTATTGTGCTAATACATGAACATAAAATTTACTATCTTAACCATTGAGTGTAAAGCTCAGTAATGTTAACTAAATTCACTGTCATGCAACCATCACCGCTATCCACCTCCAAAACCTTTCCATCACCCCACACCGAAACTCTGTACCCATGAAATAACAACTCCCCATTCTCCCTTCTCCCCAGCCTCTGACAACCACCATTCTTTATCTCTACGAATCTGACTACTGTAGGTACCTCACATAAGTGGAATCACGCAGTATTTGTCCTTGAGGTTCATCCATGTTGTAGCGCGTGTCACAATCTCCTTCCTTTTTAAGGCTGAGTAATATTCCCTTGTACATATACAGCATATCTGTTTACCCATTCATCCATCAATGGACATATAGGTCACTCCCACCTCTTGGCTGTCATGAATAATGTTGCTGTGAACATGAGTGTTCAAATATCAGAGTCTCTGCTTTCAATTATCTTGAATTTCAGTTCTTCTGGGTTCAGAAGTGGGATCACGTGGTAACTCTAGTTTTGAGTTTTTGAGGTACCATCATCTGGTTTTCTATTGTGGCTGTACCATTTTACATTCCCATCGATGGTGCACAGAAGAGTTCAAATTTCTCCACAGTCTTCCAACACTTGTTATTTTCCATTGTTTTGCGTATTAGTCCATTTTCACACCACTGATAAAGACATACTCAAGACTGGGAAATTTACAGAAGAAAGAGGTTTAATGCACTTATAGTTCCACATGGCTGGGGAGGCCTCACAATCATGGTGGAAGGCGAAAGGCACGTCTCACATGGCAGCAGGCAGGGGAAGAGAGCTTGTGCAGGGAAACACCCCCTTATATAATCAGATCTTGTGAGACTTCTTCACGATCCCGAGAACAGCACAAGAAAGACCTGCCCCCACGATTCTATTGGTCCCTCCCACAACATGTGGGAATTCAAGATGAGATTTGGGTGGGGACACAGCAAAACCGTATCATTTTGTTTTACAGTAGCCATTGTAAAAAGTTTGAGGTATAGAAAAGAAGATTTTTACAGAAAATATTTCCTTTGTGGTAAGTTAGGAGGGTGAAAAATGAAAAGAAAGTCTAACTCATAGCATCTTTGCATTGAGGGTGCGTCATGACTGCTGATGTCTCCTTGTAAAAGGGCTAATACAGACGTCCTGTCAACAGTCATCTTGGTGACATTTATTGCCTCTGGAAAAAAAATGCCATTCATCCCCAAATGCAGACCACTTACAAGTGCTTTCTCCACTCAATGAAACAGCAGGAAAGAGAGAAAACTTTTTCCAATGTAGGGAAAATTACCATAAGCCATTAATTATTTCTTAGCAAAACACCAGAAACTATAGATTTTCCACAGTATTTATGAAAACTCTTCTCAAAGTAGAAACCTTGGGAGTTTAGCTGCATATTCCACAGATGACGTTGTTTAGAGTTCCTCTCTAGGAAAGTCTTTCAGACCAAATATAATTACCATTTGGAAAATCAGCTCCATTTACTTATGATCATGCACAGACACGGTTCCCAAGGACTCTTGCTTGCTCCCTAAATCGAATCCACTCTCAAATCATGGTACCCTTAACCTGAATGCTGCGGCACCCAGGGTATTCTACAGAAAGCCTCACAGTCGCCAAATGCCATTGCAAAGTGCCTTGAGCAACAGCGGCCTCTGGCCAGTGAGTGTGGGCAGCCACTGCTCTTGGGGAGGGCGGTGCCTGAAGGCTCCCAGTGCTCACTGGAGTGGGCAAGTCCAGGTCAAAAGCATGGGCCAGGTCATGTTCATCCCTTGGTCCCTGGTGCCTGCTACTACATCAGCCATGTCATAGACGATCAGAATTATTAGACAGACTTTTTCTAAAATGTCTCTTCAATAACTGATTGTCTATGATAGAGCTTATATATGGATTATATATTTAATCATATCCTGTAGAAGCAGCAAGTGTTCTCCTAAGGGATTGGCACGCTACAAAGCACACTGTGAAATGTGTAACAAAGCATACTCAGGGCTGGCAATCGACGAACCATCCACAAGAGTGAGCAGGCATCCATTTGGCAATGGGTGGTGGCATTGTGTCTATTCTAGGATTTTGGTTTTTGTTTTTCTTTTGAGACAGAGTTTCACTCTTGTCACCCAGGCTGGAGTGCAATGGCATGATCTCAGTTCACTGTAACCTCTGCCTCCCCGGTTCAAGCAATTCTCCTGCCTCAGCCTCCCAAGTAGCTGGGATTACAAGTGTGCACCACCACGCCCAGCTAATTTTTCTATTTTTAGTAGAGACGGGGTTTCATAATGTTGGCCAAGCTGGTCTCGAACTCCTGACCTCAGGTGATCCGCCCGCCTCAGCCTCCCAAAGTGCTGGGATTACAGGCATGAGCCATCGCTCCCGGCTTATTCTGGGATTTTTGAAAGGAACGAAAGCTGCACTGTCCGGTGTCTGGGGCTGGGGTCACAGAACTTCCCCAGATGACTGAGACGTCATGGGGCTCAGAGTTTGCAGCACATGGCCTGAGAAATGCAACCAAAAGCCTTTCTTGACTCAAAACCAAATGTTAAGTGAGATTTAACTCTTTGTGGATGGCCAGGCGTGGTGGCTCACACCTGTAATCCTAGCATTTTGGGAGGCCAAGGCGGGCAGATTACCTGAGGTCAGGGGTTCCAGACCAGCCTGGCCAATGTGGTGAAACCCCATCTCTACTAAAAATACAAAAATTAGCCAGGTGTGGTGGCACACGCCTGTAATCCCAGCTACTCAGGAGGCTGAGGCAGGAGAATCACTTGAACCCAGGACGCAGAGGTTGCAGTGAGCCAGGATTGCGTCATACTGCACTTGAGCCTGGGCAACAGAGGAGACTCCATCTCAAAAAAAAAAAAACCAAAAAACAAAAAACAAAACAAAACAAAAAACCTTTTTGTGGAGAAACAAACTGTCCCCAAGCTAAAGATACGATAAAGTTCTCCCTTCCACAACTTTACTTCCAAATTCACAGAGTTGGAAAAGCAAGCACGCAATTTGGGAAGTAGTTTCTTTAAATTAAAAAAAGTCATTAAAATTCAAAGTTGACATATTCTTAGCAACTCTAATAAAAAGCTGGTATTTTTAATCTAATGCATTAAGTTATTTAGGAATATTTCTGTGTATTTTATAAAGGGAGAGTTTTGGTATGAACATGTAACACATTTTGTTTAAGTTATTAAAGTAAAGCAACCAAAGAAAAATCAGTGTTCTCAAAGAGGGTTGAAAACATAAGAAAAAAATGATATAGCCACATCGACATCAATGACATACAACAGTTGTATCCCCCAAAAAAGAAATGTCCAAGTCCTGACCCTCAGTACCTGTGAATGTGACCCTATGTGGAAAAAGGGTCACTGCAGGTAGAATCAAGGTAAGATGTGGTCACACTGGAGTAAGGTGAGCCCAAATCCCATGACTGTTATATTTATAGGAAGAGGGAAGTCTGGACAGAGTCACAGGCAGGGAAAATGCCATGTGACAATGGAGGAGGGACAAAGAGGGACACAGCTACATGCCCAGGCATCGTACCTACCTCAGAGGTGGATACCACCGTTAACCCCCACTTACTAATGAGGAAACCAAAACCCAGACAGGTGGCCCAAGGTCTGATTTCCAAGCCTGAGTTCTTAACAACATGCCTATTTCCTCTCTGAAGGGAAACATCTTTTCCCTCTCACATGTCAGCTACAGGCCAAATCCCATCTTACCTGGTCACAAACACGGCAGCATCCACCAGGGGCGGGTCGTCCTTCCCGCCGGGAACCTGGTTATTGCCGAGGTATCGCGCTCCTCCATACTCCTCGTTCTGCCAGTGACAGAAGCTCTCCAGGGACCGCTCACCATGGTGCCCAATGGACAACTTAGCCTAAAAAAAGTCAGAGGACAGTTAGAGAAACAAACGCCTGGGAGGCCAGAGTTTATTTCCAGACTATGACAAGGACGTTAAGGTGGAGGCAGTCACTCACTGAGACATCATTTGATGACTCACGGCCCTCGAAGAAAAGCCTGATGCTAGTGGGTACGTGGCATAGATCCAGAGAGACCATCAGGGGCCTTACATATAGGTGCAAGTGAAGACTATGCTGTTTTTAAAAAAGCATCTTCTTTTCTGCAAACAGAACAGTATCCCAAACCAAGCGATGCTCCCTCAGTCTCATGGTGGTGGCTTGACCCGGCAGGTAACATCAGCATGTGGGAAGGCGCTCCATTGAAAGACCAGAAAATGATGCTGCCATGAACCCAAACTGGGGTCGAAGCTCTAATGTAGTTTCAGAAGGGGAGCCACAATGCCAGAGACCTTGCCATCAAGCTTTGCACTATCCTAGAGACTCCATCCGAGACCCTCCGGGAGAGGTGGATGTGTGTGGGCTCACTGCTTAGGGTTCCCTGAGATTCTCAACAGCCCCCCCTCACACCATGCTTCCGGTACTGATGCCGGCTTTCCTCTCACGCTGGCAAAGCCACAGAGAGTGACGGAGACTGGCAACTCCCTGGAGCCCCGCTTAGCATTCAACAGCAGTTGAGAAGCTCCAGCCCAGCCACATTTTCTGCTTGCTTGAAAGGTGCCTGTGGGGACTTACGGGACGTTGTCGTAGCAGGACAAGCTTGGTCACTTGAATGTTAATTTTAATCCCCAGGCTCTGGTGCTGAAACATATTGTATACCTATCAAGACAGAAAAAAGAAATAAAGATATAAAGATAAAAAATTTTAAAAATACAGTAGTATCCTAGATGGGAACTTGGGACACAGAAAAGAGATTATGTAAAAATAAGGAAATAGAAATAAAGCGTAGACTTTAGTTTATAACACTGTATCAGTATTGGTGCATTAATTACAAGAAACATGCCATTCTAATATGAGAGGCTCATGATGGGGAAACTATGTATGGCAGCTCTCTGTACTAACTGATCAACTTTTCTGTACATCTAAAATTGTTCTAAAATACAAATTCCATTCATAACAAATTTAAAAATCAATATTAAAAATATAGGTTGTACTCTTCCAGTACTAAAAAAAAAAAAAAACAAAAAACCTAAAGAATAATTATGTGAAATTCAAATGTCAGTGTCCATACATCAAGTCTTATTGGAACAAAAAATACATACGTGAGAAACATAACCCAGATTTTATTTAAAAGGTTGTCCAGGAAAGACAAAAATGTCCTTAAAAATGGATTTGCCAAAAGAAAAATGTATATAAGAGAAACCTCTAGAATCATACACACGTGTGCAAACATACATATACAGTATGCTTATGTATATAGATAAAGCTAAGCTGGAAATAGTTGGTTAAAAAAAACCACGCATACGAAAGGTGGTTTTGAAAAAAAGAAGGGGCAGAAGGTTGAAAACTTCCATTCTGGGCTTTCATGCTTGGGGTTTAAGGCGACCTTCATGAAGGGGCTGGGGGAGACAGATGCCTGCTGCTGAACGCCAGCCTGTGTCATTGCTAACCCTTGCCACACCCCACCAAGGCTGGCATCTCCACTACTCTCAGCTGGGAAACACAGAAACCAGTTCATCGAGGTAAAGCCACCTGCATGAGACCCACAGCCAGTCACAATGGCTTGATTCAAACTCAGCCCTGTCCAGCCAAAAGGTCCACATTCCTTCTTTATTCCCTCAAGTCCCATTGTAACCAAAGTTTGTCACTGAAATAAATTGCAATAACAGAAAAGGACCTATCTTTCTCAATTTTGCATGTCTTGTTGCAGAACTTAATTGTAAGGACCTCAACATCAAGCAGTCACAGCAAAGTGATTCAAGAGGAAGAGAAGGAAAACCTGGAATAAGGCGAAGGAGTCAAAGTTGACATGGATGGAAAAAGCCCACTGCAGCTGACGAGCCCCAGGTCATTATGACTCTGCCGAGTTCCTTTGCCATAACGCAGAGAAAACAGGATTGCGAGAGGTACGCGGAGAGCATAGTAAAGGTAGTGGCAGATGGAAGGTTGGAGGGAACAAGAATGAGAATCTTTTAAATATTCTACTTGGTTTTTACCTATAGACATAACCCAGGAGGGAGAATTTTCCAGCAGGAACATTAAAACTTTCTCCAGCAGGTGCTGTGTTCACGCTATCAATACATCAGCATCAGCAGCAAGCGTTAAGCACGGTAGACAGCATCACCAGGGTCAACTCAGGCCGAGTGGAGCCGCTCAACACGGCTGCACCCAGCCCACAAGCGCTAGAAGCCAGGCACGCAGTGTTTGAGCATCTCCGTGACAAAGGAATCAGCCGTGTCACTGCTCGAATTTTACTCTTTGAAAACCATTATTACAGTTAAAAAAAACCTATCTTTGTGTGACGTAATATTCTTTCACACAAGGAAAAATAGAACACATTCAGTTGTTCTGTTCTCACTTCTGCGATTTCCAAAATCTCCTTTCCTCAGGAACAACTAGCTGTTGTTTTCTTAATACTGGACCATCCACAAGCCAGTTCTGAAGTCACATATTCATGTCCTATCCCCAAGCCTGGGGGAGGAGGGGGGAGGCACCCAACTTGTTCCTGTTTTGATAGTTCGAGAACCATCCAATGGCTGTAATTCAAATTTTCCTTAAAATATTCAGCATCAGAATTGGATCTAAACTGGTAAATTTCAGTTCAAAACATGAAAATTAGGAAGAATGAAAACTTGAAGTTATGAGGGAGAAAATTCAAGTTGCACAGTGTTCACTGAGATTGCACAGCACAATCTAAACACTGCCTGTCACGCCAAGCCCAGTCAAAACCAGAAACATTAAGGAATACTACAGATTTAAAGAAGTAACACGAGAAAGCAATCCTCAGTCATATTCTGATATGCCACAAAAGGAAAGACTGCAAGGAACAGTGCAAGTTTCAGGAAGAACAAAACTGTAGGAACAAGCTCCCTTGTCAAAATCACCCATTTTCTCCTTGGCTGGCTGATGACAGTTCAGAGCCACATGCACCCCATACACCATTAGCCCAAAGCTCAGTCGCCTCCCTTGGAACAAATGCCACTAAAAAGGTGAGAGATGGAAGGGGGATGGGAAAGTTTCGTGTTCCAGGGGCTGGGGGGAGGCAAAAATGGGAAGGTGTTTAATGGGTACAGAGTTTCCGTTTTGCAAGATAAAAAAGCTGTAGAGATTGATTGCACAGCAATGCGAACCTAAGAATACCGAACCACACAGTTAAAAATGGCTAAGGTGGTAAATTTCATGTTAAGTGTATTTTACTACAATTAAAAGTACAAAGTTAACGAATTAAAAAAATAAAGCTTCATGCTCTAAATAATGTTCTCTAGCAAGCCTTGTAAGAAGAAATTTCCCCTTGACATGTAACTAGGGCACTGACGTCCAAGAGAGCAGGTACCAAGGCCTGAACACAGCTCAAGCACTTTGTCACCTGCCAGGTGCCGACCACAGGCTCTGACAAGGCTCAGAGCACAGGGCAAGGCGCACGTTCAGAATCAACTGAGGTCCCGTGCCAAGCCAGGCGAGCCAGGTGACAATCCGACGACAGCCACAAAACACAAGGCACAAGCCTCAAAGACATGTAACAAAGTCTCGTCTTCTTTTTTTTCCCATGGAAACTCATGCTCAGGAGAAGTCTTGGAGGCAACGGCTATATGTTTAGGGAGACACCTGGTTGGGGAGGGAACAGCGCAGCCAAGCGTCTGGAAATTCCGTCTCCGGCGTCCAGCTCTGGCGGCATCCCAGCAAGTGTTCAGTCCTGGCTGCGTTTGTCACATTTCCTTGGCAGCCTAGGGGCCTAGCAGGGTGGACCTGCCGCCTGCAGCACACTACGGCTTCTCTGGCTAGGCAATGTAGGGACACAGCAAGGGAGGGGCAGACAGGTACCAGAGAAGGAGCCGTGGTTGGAGGCACAAGGAGTGGAGCTGCTCACCACGCCAGGCTGGGCTTCACAAGGGCACCACCTACCTGTGTGACCCAAGGCCTCCCCCCAGAGCCACACAGGGACCTGTGGGTGACACTCTCAGGTTGCATACACTGCTATTAAGACCCCCAAACAGGAGAAAGCTATGCTCTGTAGCACAGTGTCTGAGTGGGGTCCCCAAAGCAGCAGCACCAACATGACCTGGGCACTTGTTGGAAATGCACATTCTGGAGTCCACCCCAGCCCCCACTGAATCAGAGACCCTGGGTGTGGGCAGGTCATCTGTGTTGAACAGTGCTCCTTCCCCACCCTGCTCCACACCCACCGGAGTGTGGGAACCAGCCAGTGCTCTAGCACTATGCTAGTCTTGCTGGTCACCAGAGAGAGGCTTGTCTCTTCCACATGGTAACTGAGTAAAATTCATGTCATTTTCCCTCCAAACAGAACTTGCCTGGAACAGCTCAGGTTTTTCATTCCACTCCACGGTCGTTAAGGAAGCTAAGAACAACCAAAGCTCTGTTAAACTGCCCCATTTTCCAATTTGGCTGCCCACACCCACGGTTTCTGGTATCAGCACCACCTGCTTCCGTCTGCAATTTGTTCTTTAAAATATTCCTGCTCCCGTGTCACCGCCACCCCAACCAAAGGAGAATCACATGATGTACACACAAAACCAGCACAGCACATCTGGAAAACCCACAACTGCAGGGCCAGAGTGCTGCTGGGCGCCTGGCCCGATGGAGCCTTCGCCCTCTACATGTACCTGCACAGGTGAGCGGTTTGCCAGGGACACAGAGCCAGGAGCCGAACTCCATTCCCCCAGGTAAGGGCAGGCAGAAGCATATTTTAAAACACTAACTGGAGCCCATCCCTCTTCTGCTTAAGCCCGTGCAGCAGCTTCCCACTGCCTGGAATGAGGCTGCTCTCCACACCCTGGCCTCCCCGCCTGCAAGGTCGGCCTGCCCGCTTCTCACTGTGCCCCCATCACCCTCCCCATCACCCACAAGCAACCAGCTATTTCTGTGCTTCTCCAATGCCAGCCTGACCACCACTGGCTGGTTGCTTATGTTGGCTTAACACCTTCCCCTCTAAGGCCACCTCACTCCTCTCAGAGAGGTGGCCCTGATACCTGTCACTGCTGTCCCCTGGTTCTCTGCAGGGCACTTACCACGCTCTGGTTTTCCTTCTCACTGATTTGCATGTTGAATGCTGTCTGTCGTTCCTACTGCATGAGCTCCGGAGGATGAGACCTCCGGTGGTCCCTACTCTATCCCAGCAGAGGATGCAAGGGTCCCTAGCACACACTAAGTACCCAGTAAATCAATCTGAGTAGAATCAGTCAATTGTTTTTGTATTTCTGGTGAAACAAACAGAACATAAAATTTACCATCTCACCCACTAGTGCACAACCGTGTACTTACCTGTAGTGTTAATTACGTTCACGTTATTGTACAATTAACCTCCAGGACTCTTTTCATCCTCCAATACCGAAGCTCTATACTCATGAAACACTAACTCCCACTGCCCCCCACCCAACCCCCATTCTACTTTGTTTCTATGACTTGGACACTGCAGTTACCTCATGTAAGCAGAGTCATTTAGCACTTGTGTTTTTGTGTCACTTGGCATACTGTCCTCAAAGTTCATCCATGCTGTGGCGTGTGTGGGAATTTCCTTCCTTTTTAAGGCTGGATAATATTCCATTGTATGGACACCCCACGTTTTGTTTATCTGCCCATCTGCCAATGGACACCTTGGCTGTTTTTGCCATCGTTCGGCCATTGTGAGTAATGCTGCTGTGAACACGGGTGTACAGATACCTCTTCCAGGCTCTGCTTTTAATTCATTTCTTTTTTTATTTTCGTGGTAAGTCTAAATGAATATATATTTATAATGTCAACATTTACTTTAGATTCAGGGGTATGTGTGCAGGTTGGTTACGTGAGTATATTGCGTGATGCTGAAGTTTGGGATACGAATCACCCCATCACCCAGGTACTGAGCATAGTACCCAGAGGTAGTTCCTCAGCCCTTGCCCCCCTCCCTGTCTCCCTTCTCTAGTAGTCCGCAGTGTCTGCTGCCACCTTTTAAAAAATTTTATTTCTAATCTTTGTGGGTTCATAGTAGGTGTATACATTTATGGGGTACATGAAATATTTTGATACAGGCATACAATGCATAATTATCACATCAGGGTAAACAGAGTACCTATCACCTTAAGCATTTATCCTTTGTCTTACAGACAATACATTTACACTTTTAGTTATTTTAAAATATACAATTACTGACTATAGTCACCCTGTTGTGCTATCAAATACTGTAACTTATCCATTTTTGTAACTATTTTATTGTTGCCATCTTTATATCCACATGTACCCAGTGTTTAGCTCCCACTTATGAGTGAGAATATGCAGCATTTGGTTTTCTGATCCCGCATTAATTCACTTAGGATAATGGCCTTTAGCTGTATCCATGTTGCTGCAAAGGACGTGAGTTGTTCTTTTTTACAGCTGTGTAGTATTCTATGGTGTATATGTACCACATTTTCTTTTATCTAGTTTACCACTGATGGGCATCTAGGTTGATTCCATGTCTTTGCTATTGTGAACGGTGCTGTAATGAACATATGCATGCATGTGTTTTTATGGCAGAATGATCTATACGCCTTTGGGTGTATACTCAGTAATGGGATTGCTGGGTCAAAGGGTAGTTCTGTCTTGAGTTCTCTGAGAAATCTCCAAACTGCCCTGCACAGTGACTGAACTAATTTACCTTCCCACCAACAGCGTATGAGCATTTTTCTCTGCACCTTGCCAGCATCTGTTATTTTTCTGACTTTTTAATAATGACCATTCTCACTGGTGTGAGATGGTATCTTGTGGTATTGATTTGCGTTGCTCTGATGATTGCTGATGTGGAGCATCTTTTCACATGTTTGTTGGCCGTGTGTATGTCTTCTTTTGAGAAGTGTCAGTTCATGTTTTTTGCACACTTTTTAATGGGGTTGCTTTTGCACTGTTTAAATTCCTTATAGATTCTGGATGTTAGACCTTTGTCAGATAGTTTGCAAATATTTTCTCCCATCCTGTAGCTTGTATTCTTATTAAACTACCAACATCATTTTCACAGAATTAGAAAAAACTATTCTAAACTTCATATAGAACCAAAAAAGGGGCAGAACAGCCAAAGCAATCCTAAGCAAAAATAATAAAGCCAGAAGTATCACATTACCTGACTTCAAACTATACTAGAAGGTTACAGTAACCAAAAAACATAGCACTTATACAAAAACAAGACACACAGACCAATGGAACAGAAACAGGAACCCAGAAATAATGCCACATCATACCTACAACCATCTAATCTTTGACAAAGTTAACAAAAATAAGCAATAGGGAAAAGACTCCCCACTCAATAAATGGTGCTGGGATAGCTAGCTATATGCAGAAGAATGAAACTGGACCCCTATTTTTCACCATATACAAAAATGAACTCAAGATGGATTAAAGATTAAATGCGAGTCCTCAAACTATAAAAACCTTAAAAGAAAACATCGGAAATACCTTTCTGGACAGCAGCCTTGGTAAAGGATTCATGACTAAGTCCTAAAAGCAATTGTAACAAAAACAAAAATTGACAAGTGAGATCTATTAAACTAAAGAGCTTCTGTACAGCAAAAGAAACTATCAGTTCATTTCTTTATGTACCCAGGAGTAGAGGTGTTGGGTCATATGTCATATGAATAAGCTTCTTTTATACTCTAGCCTCTGTGGTAACTAGACACATTGCTGGGATTTTGATTGATTGACTGATCTTTAATTTTTACTTTTTTAGGGGCCAAACAGCATCTATTGCTGTATTCATTGAGGAAAACTGCTCCCAGGAGGTGAGCTCTAGAGAATGGCAAGGACCTTCTTCCCACCATTGAAACCTCAGTGGATAGAGACTCACTCTGCCCGCCCTCGCAGCCCCAGAGCAGTCCTGTTCCCTGGATTCCCTTCGGGGCTCTGATTCCTGGAGGAGGGACAGTAGACAGTCAGGAGATGTTCTTGGGACAGAGAAGCGGCAGCAGGAATCCAGCCTGAGAGGTCAAGCCTGCATGACCAGCCCTCACTCCTCACCTGACCTTAGCCTTCATCTCTCCTGCTTCCTGGCCTCCCAAGTTCCCTCCAAACTTTCCCCAAACTCTGAGCTTGGAGACTCGGTCTTCATTTTGATTCTGGATGCCTCCCTCTATACCTCCAAAACTGGGATTCCTTTTCTACTTCAGCCAGCCCAGATCCAGCCCCTGTTGCTTGTAATCAAAATCCCCAACCAATACAAGAAGGGCCAAATGCATTGCTCTAGGGTTTACAAGACTCCTTTCTTCCTTGTTCAAAAATGAGACCACTTTGCATGACGCCAGTTTTCTCTGGGACCTCTTCCAGGCTTCATAAGCTCTTAAAAACGGCCAAGGTGGATCTGCTCTGACTGCAGCCATTTCTTCTGTGACTCTGGAGCCATTTCTTCTGTGACTCTGGAGCCATTTCTTCTGTGGCTCTGGAGCCATTTCTTCTGTGACTCTGGAGCCATTTCTTCAATAGGGTGTGGATGAGAAGCCATTTGTAGCCGCCAGGCATTCTTTCTTGGTGCAGTTTTTCTTTTTAACCATGCTTGTTTTATCTTCTCCATCTTGTACCACCCTCGGTAAAAGACAAGACCTAGAGGAGATGGCCCATAGTTCAGCAGCCTACCTCAGGGGCTGTGTAGGAAGTATAAGTGTATTATTATATTTATGCATAAACACTTTCAAACAGAGTTTAATACACCATATCCGTGGGATGTGCTTAGAATACAAAAGGCTCTCCAGAAGCAAATTTGCCTAGGAATTAAAAAAGTAAAGCCAGTGTTTGTTTCTGTGACTTCAGCACTGAATCCTTCGCAAAGGATGCTGGTATATGGCATCAGTCATTCATTTATGCATTCACTGACTACACAAATATTTCTGGATCATCTCCTGCATGCGTACCAGGCACTGACAAAATGTTGATGGTGTAGACATAGGCCTACCTTGATGAGCTTATGGATACTGCAAAGGCAGGTGATATGTAGGATGTTTTTAAAAATTGTGGTAAAATATGCATAACATAAAATTTTACCATTTTAAACATTTTTAAGCTTACAATTAAGTGACATTAAATATATTCACACTGTTATACACTAACACTACTACCTATCCCCAAAACTTTCTTCATCTTGTAAAGCTGAAACTCTGTACCCATTAGACAACTCTTCATTCCCTCCTCCCTCTCAGCCATCTGGCCAGCGCTATTCGACTTTCCGTCTCTGTGAATTCACTACCCTACGTAAGTGGAATCACAGTATTTGTTCTTTGGTGACTGGCTCATTTCACGTAGCATAATGTCTTCACAGCTCATCTATGTTACAGCATGTGTCAGAATTGTTTTCCTTTTTAAGGCTGAATAATATTCCATTATACCTATACGCTATATTTATTTACCTACGCATCCATCTGTGGACACTTTGGGTTGCTTCCACCATTTAGTTATGGTGAATAATCCTGCTATGAACATTGGTGTATAAATATCTGTTCTTGTCCCTGCTTTGGGATAAACATTTTTGGGTGTTTACTCAAAAGTGAAATTGCTAGATCATATGGTAATTCTGTTTCATTGAGGAATCATACCATTTTCTATATATTCCCACTAATAATGTACAAAATTTCCCATTTTTCCGCATCACTGTCAACACTTCTGTTTTGTTTTGGTGTTTTATTTTTTTGTTTTATAATAGCCATGGGAATGGATGTGAAGTGGTACTTTATTATAGTTTTAATTTCCATTTCCCTGATGATTGATGCCAAGTATCTTTCCATGTACTTATTGGCTATTTGTACATCTTCTTCGTAAAAATGTCTACCTAAGTCCTTTCCCATTTTTTAAATTGAATTGTTTTTTTTTTTCCTTCCTGGGTTTTAGAAGCTTTCTATATATTCTGGATATTATAAAATATTTGATTTGCAAGTATTTCCTCCTATTCCGTGGGTTGCCATTTTACTTTGTTGATAGTATCCTTTGAGGCACAAGAGTTTTTAATTTTGATGAATTCCAATTTGTCTATTTTTCCTTTTGCTGCCTGTGCTTTTGGTGTTGTATCCAAGAAATCACTGCCAAATCAAATCTCACAAAACTTTTCCGTTTTTTCTTCTAAGAGTTTTACCTCTTCTGTTTAGGACTTTGATCCATTTTGAGTTAATTTTTGTATGTTAGGTAAGGATCCAACTTTGTTCTTTTGCATACAGATACCCAGCTTTCCCAGCACCAGTTCTTGAAAAGACTGTCACTTCTCTATTGAAGGTCTCGGCATCCTTACCAAAAATTATTTGACCATATATATGTGTTAATTGCTGAGCTCTACTTCATTTTACTGATCTTTGGGTTTGTCTTTATGTCAGTAAAGTGTTTTGATTATTACAGCTTTTGAGTAAATTTTGAAATGAGGAAGTGTGAGTCTTACTGTGTTCTTTTGTTCAAGATGGTTTTGGTTATTCAATGTCCTTTGAGATTTCATATTAATTTTAGAATGGATTTCTCTATCTCTGCAAAAAAGTCATTGGGATTTTGATAGAAATTGCATTGAATCTGTAAACTGCTTTGGATAACATTGATATCTTAACAATAAGTCTTCCACTCCATGAACATGATGGCTTTCCATTTATGTCTTCTTTAATTTCCTTCATTGATGTTTTACAGCTTTCCATGTAAAACTCTATCCCTTATTTGGTTAATTCCTAAGTATTTTATTCTTTTTGATGCTGCTGAAGACAGAACTGTTTTCTTAATTTTCTTTTCAGATTATTGTTAGCATATAGAAATGCAACTGATTTTTGTGGTTGGTTTAGTACGTGGCTACTTTGCAAAGAATTTATTAGCATTCTCTCTGTCTCTCTCTCTGTGTGTGTAAGATTTAGGGTTTTCTACATGTAATAAATATGTCATCTGTGAACAGAGATCATTTTACTACTTCTTTTCTTATTTGGAGGCCTTCAATTTCTTTTTCTTGCCTAACTGCTCTAGCTAGAACTTCCAGTGTTATGTTGAACAGAAGTAGCAAAAGCAGGCACTCTTGCCTTGTTCCAGATTTTAAAGAAAAAGCTTTCAGTCTTTCACCACGGAGTGTATTATTAGCTGTGAGTTTTTCATATATGACCTTTATAATGTTGAGGTAGTTTCCTTCTATTCCTAGTCTATTGAGTGCTTTTATCATGAAAGGCTGCTCAATTTTATCAAATTCTTTTCCTGTATAAATTGGGATGATCATTTTCTCTTTTCATTTTGTTAATCAAGTATATCACTTTTTTTATTGATTTGCCTATGTTGAGCCATCCTTGCATTCCAGGAATAAAGCCCACTTGATCATGATGTATAATCATTTTAATATGCTATTGAATTTGGTTTCCTAGTATTTTATTGAGGACTTTTACGTCAATGAATATTTGAACTATTGTTTTCTTATTTATAAGGGACTGTAGTTTTGTTTCTTTTCTTTGGCTTTGTTATCAGGGAATGCCAGTCTCACAGAATGAGTTAGGAAGTGTTCTCTCCTCTTCAGCTTTTTTGGAAGAATTTGAGGAGGACTAGTGTTAGCTCTCCTTTAAATGTTTGGTATAGTTTACCAATGAAGTCATAATGTCCAGGGCTATTCTTTATTAGGAGGTTTTTGATTACTGATTCAGTTACCTTACTAATTATGACTCTTCAAATTTTCTATTTCTTTGTGATTAAGTGTTGGTAGATTTTGTGTGTCTAGGAATTTGTCCACTTCATCTAGGTTATCCATTTGTTAACATGCAATGGTCCATAGTACTCTCTTATAATCCTTTTTATTTCTGTAGAATGGGTCGTAATGTCCCTGTTTTCATTTGTGTTATTAGTAATTTGAGGCTTTTTTATCAGTCGATCTAGCTAAGGTTTGTCAATTTTCTTAATCTTTCCAAAGAACTAACTCTTGGTTTCATTGGCTCTATTGTTTTTCTGTCCTTTTCTCTCTGCTTTAATCCATAGCAATCCAAAGCTAAATTCAAAGCTAGCAGAAGGAATAAAATAGCTTGTTCTTCTTCTAGTTCCTTAAGTTGTAAAGTCAGATTGTTTGAGATTTTTCTTTTTAAGTGTTTACCGCTATACATGCTATACATTTCCCCCTAAGCAGTGCTTTGTCCTTGTCCCATAAGTTTTGACATGTGTTTTTGTTTTCATTTATCTCTAAGTATTTTCCAATGTCACTTGTGATTTCTTCTTTGACTCTTTGGTTATTTAATAGTATGTGGTTTAATTTCTACAAATTTGTGAATTTTCCAGTTTTCCTTCTGTTACTGATTTCTAACTTCACCCCATTGTTGTCAGTGATGGTACTTTGTATAATATCAACCTTTTCAATCTGTTGAGACTTAATTTGTGACCTAACACATGGTCTATCCTGCAGAATGTCCCATGTTCCCTTGAGGAAAAAAAAGTCTTCCATTGTTGTTGGGTAGAGTGTTCTGTGTATGTCTGCTAGATCCAGTTGACTTATTGTGTTAAGTCTTCTATTTCCTTTTCTTCTGTCTGGTTGTTCTATCTACTAATGAGAGTGGGGATTGAAATCTCCAACTATTATTGTACAACTGTGTATTTCTCTCAGTTCTATCAATTTTATTTCATATATTTTGATGATCTGTTATCAGATGTGTAAATATTTATAACTGTTATATCTTCTTATATATTGGAACTTTTATTAATATATAACATCCCCTTTGCCTCTTGGAAGCTTTTTGATTTAAAGTGTCTGTTGTGTGATGTTAGTATAGCTACTCCTGCTCTCTTTTGGTTACAATTAGCATGGAATTTCTTTTTCTATCCTTTCACTTTCAACCTCTGTGTCTGATCTACAGTAAGTCTCTTATAGACCGCATATAGTTGGATCTATGATTTAAAAAACAAATTCATTCTGCCATCAATTTCTGTCTTTGATTGAAGTTTAATTAATTTACACTTCAAGTAATTACTGATAAGGAGGGACTTACTTTTCCATTTTGTTATTTGTTTCCTATATGGCTTGTAATAGCTTTGGTTCCTCATTTCCTGCATTACTGACTTCTTTTGTGTTTAGCTGATTTGATTTTCTTTTATATGTATACATATATTTTTTTTTGGTAGTGAAACTTTTAATTCCCTTTTCATTTGCTTTTGTATGTATTCTCTAGTTATTTTCTTTGGGGTTACTGTGGGGATTATATTTAATTAGGATTAAAGTTATAACACTCTAATCTGACTTTACACCAGCTTAACTTCAGTGGCATTAAAAACCTCAGCAGAATGGTTTTTTGAAAGCAAATAAATATGGAATTGTAAATTCAGATGAGGACTACCCAGGAAAGAGCAGGCTTTTATGTTGAGGAAAACAGGGTGGGCCTCATCAGAGGGATCAGCAAAGAGGGACCCTCTGAGGGGACATTTGCACAGAGTCCTAAAAGGCAGAGGAACTCGTTCCACAAGGCACGTAAGCAGAGCATTCCTGACAAAGACAGTAAGTCAAGTTCGGGCTGCCTAGTGAAAGTCAGTGTTGATGGCAAAAAGAATGGAAAAGCAGATGGGTCCTGGCCACACAGGCTGGAGGGCCACATGAAAGGCAGGGGGTGGGGGGCCTTCCCCATCCAATGCAAGGGGAAGCCACAGAGGAGCCCAATGCTGCCTAGTGACAAAGTTCCAATTCTGCAGGAAGAGGATCTTGCTGGTTATTCTGTAGCAAGGATTCAAGGGGGAAGAAAATGGAAGTGAGAAGCCTGGCAAAGAAGCTCCAGCAGCTGTCAAGGCCAGAAATAAT
Organism: Homo sapiens; assembly: GCF_000001405.40. Classification (NCBI taxonomy): domain Eukaryota; kingdom Metazoa; phylum Chordata; class Mammalia; order Primates; family Hominidae; genus Homo; species Homo sapiens. The sequence continues at coordinate 100,275,496 of NC_000015.10, forward strand.
GGCAGTCAGTCCAGGGTGGAGACAGAAAGAAAGGATGGGTTCCAGACATGCCTGTCACCTTCAACAAGGTGACATGGGGTCCCTCAGTCCCGGACTGGAGTCCTTGCCCTACTGTGTACTCACAGGCTCTGCACCCTGGCTGTGTCACGTCCCCAAGCCTCCATTTCCTTCTCTGTAAAATGGGAATGACGAAATCCACCAGGTATGAGAAGGCAGTAAGGTGGAAGCACTTTGCCATCTGGGACAGCTGGTGCATCATAAGCAGTCACATCTTCCCTTGGGGCCAGTGGCTGACGCTAATCTAATACATCAAAACCATGAGATGCTATGAAACCCGGAGCAAACGCTTGATGCCAAATTCTCCCAGCTTTGGCCATGCTATCAGCTCTCTGAGGCACTGTTAGGCCCCAGTCTGCCCTGGGGACAGGGTACTGTCTGGGTTATGCCTTGGCAGGCAGGTCAGCACACATGGGCGGGCCAGGCCTCTGACCACAGAGACCTAAGTGGGAGGGTGGGAGGGAGTAGGTGCCTGGTGGGAGGGAGTGGGTGCCTGGTGGGAGGGTGGGAGGGAGGGAGTGGGTGCCTGGTGGGAGGGTAGGAGGGAGGGAGTGGGTGCCTGGTGGGAGGGTAGGAGGGAGGGAGTGGGTGCCTGGTGGGAGGGTAGGAGGGAGGGAGTGGGTGCCTGGTGGGAGGGTGGGAGGGAGTGGGTGCCTGGTGGGAGGGTGGGAGGGAGTGGGTGCCTGGTGGGAAGGTGGGAGGGTGTGGGTACCTGGTGGGAGGGTGGGAGGGAGTGGGTGCCTGGTGGGAGGGTGGAAGGGAGTGGGTGCCTGGTGGGAGGGTGGGAGGGTGTGGGTGCCTGGTGGGAGGGAGTGGGTGCCTGGTGGGAGAGTGGGAGGGAGTGGGTGCCTGGTGGGAGGGTGGGAGGGTGTGGGTGCCTGGTGGGAGGGTGGGAGGGGGTGGGTGCCTGGTGGGAGGGAGTGGGTGCCTGGTGGGAGGGTGGGAGGGAGTGGGTGCCTGGTGGGAGGGTGGGAGGGAGTGGGTGCCTGGCCATCAGCACGAATCATGCTATTTCCCACAACTCGGAGAGAAATGTGTTGGAATGAAGGTGGCAACCAACTCTAGCAGATTTCCTTCCAAATCTGGAGGGCTTAAGGAGACAGAGCCACTCCCATCCCACAGCCCCACAGAAAACATGCTCTGGAGGGAAACAGATGGGCTCGCTGGCATCACGTTCTGCTCTATGTTCCAGGGGGCTTGTCTAATGACAGCCCAGCCACAATCCTTTCCCGTCCTCCCGGCTTAAAGGTTATCTCACTTGCTAACGGAAAGCCCTTTTCTAAAACAGCCGCAGGCAGGAAAGAACTCTTTGGATTTCCTAAACTAGGATTTGAGGGATTGAGAAAGGGGGGTGCTGGTGGAGGTGGTCTTGTTTAAACAAGGTGTCATCTCTGAACGGAACTTGTTTTTCAATTTACTTAATGGTGGTCCAGGGCTAGAGCGGCAAGAAAGGGCTGCTGCGGTGTGAGCCCCCCTGTGCAAGGGGGCTGACGACTCTGCTTCCATTCGCCTTCTGGCTTGGATCAAAAGGCCCCGGAAACCCCAAGTATAGACGACAGAAGGGCTCAGAGTCATCGCACCCAGCCCTTCTCACAGTGGGATCACCCTTATTAGGCAGGCCTCCTCAGGAAACATCTCAATCCAAACTTCACGTGTTAGCCCCGGGTCTGCCCTCAGCCCCGGGCTCTTGAGCCACCAGTGTCTTAGTACAAGCAGCTGAAGAGGGGTGCAGGGTGTTTAATCAAAGGCAAAAAACAGAGCCCTTCAGTCTTTACGGCCCATGAGGGGTGCAGGGTGGGAGTGTCTGTCTCCATGTACCAACCCCATTCCCTTCCCACTCCCTGCCTGGGATCAAACAGCCACCCCTGCCTGGATGATAAATTATGAAAGCAAATATCAAAGTCGAAGCTCTGCCTTATTACTACCTTAGCTGTTGTAATGAATGTTTATTCCTTGCACTTGTGCCCTGGATAATTAAAAAAAGAGAGAGAGATAAAATAATCTGCAGATGAAAACATCTGGTGCAGAGCCAAGCCCCTCCAGCCCTCCTCTCAGGCGTGCTCCGGGCAGACTGCAGCAATGCAGCCCGTCATTAACCGGCCACCGGGGAGACGTGGGTTTGTGCACACGAGGAACACGGAACTATTTCTCAGAAATGAGCATCATCAAAAGTTAACACTGAACTATTTCTGAGAGCTGAGCACCATCAAAAGTTAAGCAATTCCATTTCCAGGTGTATGCCCAAAAGAATTGAAAGCAGGGACTTGAACAGAGATTTGCACACCCACGTTCATAGCAACATTATTCACAGTAGCAAAAGGTAGAAACAACCCAGGCATATGCTGACAGACGAATGGAAAAGAAAAAGGTGATGCACGTACGTGCAATGGGATACTACTCATCCTTAAAAAGGAAAGCCATCCTGACACATGTCACAACATGAATGAACTCTGTGGACATTATGGTGACTGAAATAAGCCATTTGTCCACAAAAGGATAAATACTGCATGATTCCACTTATATGAGGTATCTAGAGTCATCAGATTCACACAGATAGAAAGTAGAATGGAGGTTGGCAGGGGCTGGGGGAGAGGGAAAGGGGGAAGATAGTGTTTAATGGGCAGGAAGTTTCCATTTTGTGGACAGTGAAAAAGTTCTGGAGGTGGATGGTGGTGGTGGTTGCATTAACAAGGTGAATGTGCTTTAGGCCACTGAGCTGGTCCACATAAAAATGGTTCAGACGGTGAATTTCGTATTACATATGCATTCTACCACAAAAAAAAAAAAAAAACCCAGAAAAAGAAACTTGCAAAAAAATAATGTTTAAGTTAACGGAACTTCCAGAGTTGATGACTTTGAAGGAGGGGTGGGAGCAGCATGGCACCCTCACATGCCCACTGAGGCCACGTCGGAAAGCAGATCCCTGGCCCAGGTCCCAGGGGCCTCCTTGGCAAGTGTACCTTGCAGAAGAGCCTGGCATATGAGGAAACATGTGGGTCCAGCGGCTCGACATGAGGCCTCTACTCTGAGTGCTGCCGAAGCAGCCTCCCTTCAGAGCACAATAGGGGTGAGGGGCATGGCGGAGATAGAGGGAGTTTCCTGCAGAGAGAGGCATGTCCCGAAAGCCAGTCCTGGAAAGTCTTCAACGAAATGGAAGACAAAGTACCAGAGATTTGTCCTCCTAACAAGCAGGATTGCCGTGGGGTTCCCCACACCCAGTGGGCCCAGGATTGGGGTCCTCAACATTGATTTCCCTGTGGCTGGTTAGGGGAAAGAAAGGCTTGACATGGTGGTCATAGCTCTGCCAGTGACTTCCTGTGTGACCCTGGCAATGTCCCTGAGCCTCCCTGCTCTCGGGCCTCCTTCAGCCTCTGGGAAACAAGCTGTGGGATCCCATCCCCACAAGGGGAGAATCAGTCCTGGTCTCCTTTGTCCAGGCCACCACATGCCACCAGGCCTCCCAGCCACCACAGCCCCAGCTACACAACTACCAGAGCCGAGATCCCAGTGGGAACGGTGCATTGGGGGTTCATCCAGCTTTGTGTCCTTGCCCAGCCACAGCCCCGCCCAATCCGCCTCTAAAACACCGGAGGTCCCAGCAACATAACATCCACACATGGGCAAAGAGTCACCTGCAGACCCTGTCCAGCCATGAGGACCACCACCCTCTGCTATCCTACCCGCACTCTGAGCCCCTCCCTTGGGCTTCATGTCAGAGCCAACTTCCTCCCCAGCACTTACCCCTGAGCTCCAGCGCTCATCACACCAAGCAAACAAAGGCGCCTGTGGCCTGGGCCAGCCCAGGCTCTGCACCTTCGCTAGACCTCAAGACCTTGGCTGCAGCTGGCCCAAAGGCCCTGCAGATTCCGGGAATAGGCATGTCATCTCCCTACCCCACAACCCACGGCTGCTGTGTCCCCACTGAAAACTCAGGCCCTGGGTCATTCCCCACTGCACCCATTTCGTTTAACCTTGCCCTGTCCTCTCGCGTCACTCCCTTCCATAAGCGGCCTGACCATTTGTGGCCAGGCACTGTGCACTCACTGTGGCCAGAGCTAAATTCCTGACCTGCTGATAAGCAGCAGACTGAAAGAGGTTCTTCTGTTATGGCTGGGCAGGAGTCTGGCCCAGGCCTGAGGCTAAACCTCACACTCGGAACCTTCGCACCCCTTTCCCTCTACAAAGTTCCCCTTGACCCAGATTCCACCTGACTAGGCTTCTCTCTCCTCTCCTTTAGCCAAGATCAGCAACTTGGCTGTTTCTACAGCTGAGTTGTAGCTGTTTCTGCTTCTCATTTCCCATTCACTTTTCAGTTTGTCCTCATCAAGCATCTACAGACAACACTCCCTAATGCCATTCCATCTGGCATTGTTAACCAGGCTCCTCCTGCACCTGTCACCCCTTCTTCAGGACAACCTCCTCCCAGGTCGTTGCCCCATCCCCCCCAGGGCTGGTGCTCCATGGGCTGTCTTTGGACAGCTTCTCTACTCACTGACACATTTCAGCCAGGCAGTGCTACTCACTCCGCTACTTCAGCTGCTGCTGTAGGCTGAAAAGCCCAGGTCCCTCTTTCCCACCAAGACATCTGTCCTGATTTCCCACCTTGAATTCAGCTTGTCCAGAATGGAAACTCTTTGCTGTGGCCCCATATTCATTGCTCCTCCTTTTCTCAGACAATGGCTCCACCACCCACCCAGAGGCCCAGCTTGAAGCCTGGGTGTAGTAGCCTGGATTTCTCTTGCCTCCTCTTCCTGACTCTCCAACCCCCACATCCTGCCAGTCACCAATTCCTGCAGCTCCTTCCTTTTACCCCAGGCCCTCCTCCATTCCCACTCCAACCTCTCCCACACTCACGCCAGCCCCAATGCTCCACAACACTGCTTCCCATTCCAATCCATCCTGCATGCAGCTGCTGGGCTGTTCTTCCTAACATCAACCTCGGCACACTGCTCCCCTCCCCTTCAGTGGTCCCACTTCTCAGGGTGGAGCCCCTGCTCCTCAAGATGCCTGGCCCGCCCTCCCTCACCAGGCCCTGTCCACAACTTCCACACCCTTATGGCTCCCCGTTCCCGCCATGTCAAATGACTTGGTCCTTAAAAACACCTGGGAAAATGAATGGGTGGGTAAAGCTAGGATGCCCTTGAAGGTCCTTCAGTGTCTAACATTTGAGGAGTCAGCCTCACCACCCATCCATCCCCATTTGACAAATCGGACATAGACAGACGTGGGCATCCTGACTCCTTCCTTGGTTCTCTCAACTAGGCAGCCTCTCTAAGTCAACACAGTAAGCTCTTTTTCCCATAGAGGTTGGAATTTGTTCCCCCCGCTAGACTATGGACTCCTTGGAGCAGGGTCTGGGATTCACAGGACTTTGCCGCTTGGAGTGGGTCTTATACTTTTGGGAAGGAAGCCTTCTGGTAACAAGTGGCCCCATCACTGAGCAGATCTGGGCACTTCAACACTACGCCAGTGTGGAGCCGAGGGCAGGTGCTCTTCCATCGGGATGTCCCCCAGTTACTTGCCCTCCTCAATGCCCAGAATTACCAGGCTATGTTCCCGTATCCCCAACCCAGCGTCTTCCTCACTTGAGGAGATGAGGACACAGCACCTGCTTCCAGATCTCTCATCAAGGAGAAAACAGAGCCCCCCACATCAGGACCCCGGCTCCGGACTCACCATGTTCATGACGGTCAGGATGAACCTCTGGGCGGCCTCGGCCCCGTGGTACTGCACCATGTCGGCGTCGGCCACCACCAGGGTCTCCACCGTGTGCTCGCTGGTGAGCCGGATAGCGTTCCTCCGCTCCCGCCAGTCCCGCGAAGGCCTGCCCCACGTCGGCTTCTTCTTTTCTAGAAAATGATGGAAACATTTGTGCGGTCCTTGGCTTACTGACTTCCAAAACCATGCAGTGAACAGGCCTTCTGTCAAGCCTGCCCGAGAGAGTGGTCAGTCTCGACAGGCCTAGAGGGGCCCAGCACCCAGCAATCTCCACCGTCATGTGGGTGCCCCGAGTTCACTCACGTAGGGGGGTGCTGGCCCAAAAGAAGGGTAACAGCTATGAGGCCAGATGAGGGGCCCACACCCAACTCCCACCACAGCTGGGGAGGCCAATGGGGCTGAGGGGAACAGAGGAGAAAACCCACCCCTTTAGAGAAGCACGGAGAGCTGCCAAGTACGCACAGAAAAGGAGGCCTGGACCCAGCGGGCAGGGGTCTGAAAGGCCACACCCAAGGTGGATAACTGGACCAAGGAAGCTGGGCAGAGGGGACAGGACACTCCCCTGGGGGCTGGCATCCCAGTAACTCTTCTTGGACTCAGGAATCAGGAGCCATAAATGTTGGTAGACATAAAAACACTATGTTTTTTAAAAAAATACATAATCAGAAGGAAAATCATACGACCCACATCCAGGCTAAAATGAAAATCTTCCCTTTCCTCACAATAGGGAAGGATTAGTAGTAGATGTGTGAGTAATTCTCCATTGATTCTCTAGATAACCTATATCCCTGTAAAATCTTACTTTGATAAACAGCTACTGTTATCAAAGAGCCCACACCTACAGGTCCAAATCTGCCATAGTCTTTGTACATGGAAACATCTCTGACCAACACAACAGGTTGATATGAACAGCATGCATTTTCAGAATCCGAATATAAACAGGAAGTCTCTCTCATTTGATAGTTATTTCCATGTTAGCACTAGCCTATATGGACACATCTCTGCTACACACAGTCTACATATGCACCAACCGGCTTCATAAAGTGACCCAATCATTCCAGGACCAAAACTGGATACAGCAGGCCCTCTTTATCTGCAGGGGCTATGTTCCAAGACTCCCAGTGGATCCCTGAAACCACAGACAGTACCGAGCCCTACATCTACTAGACTATGTTACGTCCTATGCATACATACCTACGATGACGTGTCATTTATAAATTAGGCATAGTAAGAGATTTACATTAACGAATGGAATCATAACAATATACTGTACTAAAAGTTATGTGAATGAGGTCTCTCTCTCAAAATCGCTCATTGTACTGTACTCACCTATTTTTGATGCCTGGTTGACCGTGAATAAATGAAACTACGGAAAGTGAAACCACAGATAAGAGGTAACCACTGTATTATGAAATAATCTGAGATATGGGTCGTAATTTACAAACAAAAATGGCTATACAACACAATTACAATCACAAAAAAGTGGCAAAAAAATGGAAATATACAACTATAGATAAAGCCAACAACAGTAAAAAGGTATACAGCCATTAAAATCATACCACGAAGATGACTTAGAGATCTAGAGAAGCCGATATAAATCTGCATGTATAGTTAGATCATGATTTTGCAAAAATCTTACATACAAGTATCTTCAGGCCCCAAAGGAAAATAAATACTAAAACACCTAGGAAGAACCAAAATATGAATAGTGGTATGTGATCTTCGTTTTCCTATTTTCCTCTGTATTTTCCAGATTTATATAATATGCAGGTATTACTGTATTTTAAAGAAATATCATTGAGTTTGAGAAAAACACAGGCATCACTTTTAAACTCTAAACGATAAAACAGAAGCTCTCGAGGGAGAAAAGTATGCCATCTGATTTATCACAAAACTGCAAAATGAAGTCTTCTCAGCCCTGCAGGATGGGCCTCCTCCCTCAGAGCCAGGCCCATCTCCCCTGAAGCCTTCCGGGCCTCAGTGATGGAATAAGGGAAGAAAGCATCCATTCTAACACAAAATCAAGGTCCTAGGTGGCTGTGCCTTTGCACATTGGCAGAAGGAAAGAGGCCGCTGGTGGAAAATCTAGTGACCTACCCCCACACTCACCAGCCAGGTTATCTCTCACCTGACCAGCCTGGAATCTATGAAGATTCCTTCCTTGTTTCCATTTTAAAGGTGCAGAGCTGATGGGCCACCCAAGCAGGAGCTCTGTTGTAACCAGCACACCCTCGTTCTCCCAGGCGATCAGGTATGAGCCAAATGGCAGCCGCCGCCCTTCTCAAAGTCAGTGTTGATAATCCATTTCTTTGAGTCACCATCTGCAGATGCTCCCCACGTTGGTTATTCGGTACTTGTTTTCACACCTTGTCGTATATTTTTAAGTTCTAGTACAGAAAGAGCTGCATTCCTAGCAGGGCCCACAGGACACATTAGGAGCCAGCTAGCATCAACATGTAAGAGCTGAGAGCTCTCTAAGAAAAGTAGCCTGTCACTCCCAGACCAGAGGGACAGGTTGTTCCTGGACACTTAACATTTCAAAATCCTGCACTGCACTGGGTACAGTGGCTCACGCCTGTAATCCCAGCACTTTGGAAGGCCAAGGAGGGCAGATCACTTGCGGTCAGGAGTTTGAGACCACCCTAGCCAACCTGGTGAAACCCCGTCTCTACTAAAATTACAAAAATTAGCCAGGCATGGTGGTGCGTGCCTGTAATCCCAGCCACTCGGGAGGCGAGGCAGGATAATTGCTTGAACCTGGGTAGCAGAGGTTGCAGTGAGCCAAGATCACACCACTGCAATCCAGCCTGGGCGACAGAGCAAGATTCCATCTTAAACAAACAAACAAACAAACAAACAAACAAAAAATCCTGTACTGGGTATGTGTCTTTCAAGTTTACAAAGAAAAACTTATAAGACCTGTGCCTCCCTAGGCCTTGGAGAGCTAACCTAACAGGGTGCCGTAAAGAGTGACACACTCTGAGTTAACACATACCCAGAATACTGAGTAACAGGTAAACGGGCAGGTGCGCTGTGGTTTTCACAAGCTTCCACTAATGACTGTCATTGGCTCCTTTCCCCCATTCCCTAGCACACAGGTGGGGGGAAATAAATGCTCACCCAAGGAATGCATGCAGTGGGTAAAGGGATGAATAATGACACTTGCTCAACAGCCCCATGTGAGTGCAGGGCAGAGCTTGCCACAAAATGAGTGTTGAAACCCCTGGATTTTGGAACTGCAGGCAAGAGACCGTGGACTTGCATTCCTTTCCAACGCAAGTGTCCTTCCTGGGGTGCTGGCAAGTGAGAACAGGAGCACTGAGGGGTGGGAGGCTAGAGGGCACCTTAGCCTTCTCCTCCCTCCCTGATCTCAACCACTCCCTCAGCAGAGACCCACAGCATCATTTTTGATGGTCATTCCTTTTCCTACAGGGAGAAAAGAACCCTAATAAACTTTTACCTTTAATTCCCTAAACTGCAAAAATATGCTTGATAATGCTGCACAGATGCCAATATTCACAGATGATAGCAACTTCAAAAGTAAGAAGAAAAACACTAATTTCAGAATAACACATGTGCTGGATTCTGACCTCACCAGAGAGGTCAAAGTGCAGGTGGGTGGGCGTGTGGCCAGCCGGGGAGTGCTCCAAGCTCTGCTCGTGACCAGCTGTCTCCAGCTGCTGTGGGAATGAAGGGTGGCTCTCGCCCCGCTGATGAGGACATCGCAGTCAGGTCAGGCCTCAAGCCTTCTCCTGTTGTCACAGACACCAGGAAGCATTCTTGAAGGCAAGCCCAGCAGTTTCTTTTGCCAGCACCTTGCTGGAGGTGGTACTGACTTGGAAAATTTTCAGTCTCTGGCTTCATACTATTTTTCTTACATCTCTTTCCCTTTGCCTCAGTTATCCATTAGAAAAGAAAATTTTATGTATTTATGTAAGATACCTCAAATCCTTCTGGAACAAGATGAAGAGAAAAAGACAGAAATGGACTTTTAGAATCTTCAAATTACAATTTACTCTAGACGTTTGGGGACTGCCAAAAATGTTGAGCAAATATATAAACTGTCATTGTAGTTACTAGTTCTCCACTTTGAAAACTGAAAAAATAAAAACAACAACTATCTCAACTGTGAATTATCAAAGCTCTGTATGGAACAGATACTCTTTAGTTTAGAAAGGATACAGTATCCAGGTATTTATTAGGGAAAAACAATACGTAGATCAAAAAATATTTGGCATGAAAATTCAAAACCACAACCCCTCTCAGAATTCCTTTACTTTCTGCTACACAAGAAGAATCTCTGCATCTCAAATTCTACCAACGCCATTTCCAAGGAAGACCTGGGGAAGAGTTGAGTTGAATAGGCAAGGAGTAGCCTGCTCCTGCCACAGACTTCTGAAATCCTAGCTGCAGGAGATCCCATGACCCGCACGAATGCTTGAGCCGGCAGGGAGAGCTGCTGAGAGAGGTGGCAGGGGCAGGACTCCAGCCTGTGTGGAGCCCAGAGGGTTTTGCGTGGGAACAGGTACAGTGGAGCATGGCCATGGATGCCCAGCCCCCAAGTCTTACCAAGATCTTCTAGGTGGCTTCAGCCTTTGGGTGACTGCTGGACCTGCACAGACCAGGGTGGTCTTGCCCATAGGATGAGGACAGTCTGATCTGAGCACCACCCACCATGTGCCAGCCTCTCCTAGGGCCCCAGCATGGTCACACCAGCTTCCAGCACAGCCTTCAATGCCCGAACAGGGTGCTTCCCAGGGGCGGCCCATCATAGCTCCTTCATGGGCAGATGGCAGCTAACCACTGGAGAGCTCCAGCAGACCAGCCTCCACCGACGCGACCAGCCCACAAGCAGCCTCTCCCACCACTTTGTCAGCAAACACTCACCCACAGATCTCTCCCACTGCTTTGCCGGCACACACGTATTGGCAGACTTCACCCTCCCTCCCCGCAAAACGTGAATGTGCATGTGCACCCTGCTGCCCTACCACTGATGGCAGAGCCCATCCCACCGCCCTACGCACCTCCACTGGGACTCCACTGCTGCTGAGGCACAGGCAGTCTGACATGCCACCGTGGCTGCTGGCACATATGAGCAAGCACAGATCCCACTTCCACCGCTCCTATGAAGTACTGTGGCCAGCACCCCACATCGAAGTGTTGGGGCCAGCAGACCGGGAACACCTCAGCCTCTCCAGTGCATCAGGTTACTAACTGCAGGGGACCAGAAAACAAAGCTGGGAAACTCATACCGGCACCTCAGAGTTAAAGCACAGAGCCCATGGGTGCTGAGCTGAGCCTTAGCCCTCTGAAATCTTCCAGAATAGAAGCCAGTCAGCTGAGTTCACCTTATACCACAATCAAATGCCTAAGGGCATCAAAAAAAACCCATCCAAAGGACAGCAACTTCAAAGAGTAAAGGAACATCAGCCCATGCAGACGGGAAAAATACAGTATAAACACACTGGCAACTCAAAAAGCCAGAGTGTCTTACCTCCAAATGACCACACTAGATGGTTCTTAACCAGGCTGAAATGACAGACACAGAATTCAGAATATGGAGAGCAATAAAGATCACTGAGATTCAGGAGAAAGTTGAAACCCAATCTAAGGAATACAAAATGATACAGGAGCTAAAAGATGAAACGGCCATTATAAGAAAGATCTGATGGACTTTGCAAGGCCGAAGTGGGCGGATCACAAGGTCAAGAGATCGAGACCATCCTGGCCAACCTGGTTAAACCCCGTCTCTACTAAAAATACAAAAATTAGCTGGGTGTGGTGGCACACACCTGTAGTCCCAGCTACTCAGGAGGCTGAGGTGGGAGAATCACTTGAACCCAGGAGGCAGAGGTTGCAGTGAGCCAAGATCACGCCACCACACTCCAGCCTGGTGACACAGCAAGACTCCATCTCAAAAGAAAAAACAAAAAAGATCTGATGGAGCTGAAAATCTCACTACAAGAATTTCATAATGCAATCGCAAGTACTAACAGCAGGATACACCAAGTTGAGGAAGGAATCACAGAGTTCGAAGACTGGTTCTCTGAATTAACTCAGGCAGACAAGCTAAAGAAAAAAAGAATGAATAAAACCTCAAGAAATATGGAATTATGTAAAGAGACCAAATCGATCAGCCGTTGGCATCCTTGAAAGAGAAGGAGAGAAAGCAAGCAACAGGGAAAACATATTTGAGGATATCATCCATGAAAATTCCCCCAACCTCACTAGAGAGGACAACATTCAAATTCAGGAAATAGAGAACCCCTGAAAGATCCTATACAAGATGACCATCCCCAAGACACACAGTCATCAGATTCTCCAAGGTTGACATAAAATAAAGAATATTAAAGGCAACTAGGGAGAAGAGGTAGGTCACCTACGAAGGGAACCCCATCAGGCTAACAGCAGACCTTTCAGCAGAAATTCTATAAGCCAGGAGAAATTACAGGCCTGTACTCCAATCAAGAACTTGATATCCAGCCAAATTAAGCTTCATACGTGAAAGAGAAATAAGATCCTTTTCACCAAAGCAAATGCTAAGGGAATTTAATACCACCAGACCTGCCTTACAAGATGTCCTTAAGGGACTGTTAAATATGGAAAGGAATGACTGTTAATGGCCACCACAAAAACGCACTTAAGTAGATAGCCATTGACACTATAAAGCAACTACACAATCAAGTCTATGTAATAACCAGCTAGCAACATGATGACAGGAAGAAATCTGTATATATCGATATTAGCTTTGAATATAAACAAACTAAAGGCCCCAGTCAAAAGTCACAAAGTGACAAGTTGGATAAAGAAGCAAGAAACAACTGTATGCTGTCTTCAAGAGACCCATCTCACATGCAGTGACACCCACAGGATCAGAGTAAAGGGATGGAGAAACATCTACCAAGTAAATGGAAAACAAAACAAAACAAAAAAGCAAGAGTTGCTATTCTAATTTCAGACAAAACAGGCTTTAAGCCAACAATAATTTTTTAAAAAGACAAAGAAGGGCATTACATAATGGTAAAGGGTTCAATTCAACAAGAACACTTAACTATTCCAAATATATATGCACCCAACACAGAAGCAGATTCATAAAACAATTTCTTAGAGACCTACAAAGAGACACAGATAATACATAGTAACAGCTGGAGACTTCAACACCCTACTGACAGTATTACATAGATCATCAAGGCAGAAAACTAATAAAGATATTCAGGACGTGAACTCAACACTTGACCAAATGGATCTAACAGACAACTACAAAACTCTCCGCCCAAAAGCAACAGAGTATACATTCTTCTCATCTGCACATGCCACATACTCTAAAATCTACCACACAATCAGCCATAAGACAATTCTCAGCACATTCACAAAAAACCCAAAATTATATCAGTCACACTGTCAGAACAGTGCAATAAAAATAGAAATCAATACTAAGAAGATCACTCAAAACCATACAATTACATGGAAATTAAACAAGCTGCACCTGGAAACAGTGAAATTAAGGCAGAAATCAATGAATTTTTTGAAACTAATGAGAAAAAAGATACAACATACCAAAATCTTTGAGAGACAGCTAAAGCAGAAAATGAAGTTATTTAAATGCCAAATGCTCTCATCAAAAAAGTCAGAAAGATATGAAATTAATGATCTGACATCACACCTTGAGGAACTAGAAAAACAAGAGTAAACCAACCTCAATGCTAGCAGAAGACAAGAAATAACCAAAATCACAGCTGAACTGAATAAAATTGAGACATGAAAAACAAAAGATCAACAAAACCGGAGCTTTGTTCTTTGAAAGAGTAAATAAGATTGGTAGACCTCTAGCTAGACCAATAAAAAAAGAGAAGATCCAAATAAACCCAATCATAAATGACAAAGGGGACATTACCACTAACTCCACAGAAATACAAAAAACTTTTAAAGACTACTATGAACACCTCTATGCACACAAACTAGAAAACCTGGAAGAAACTGATGAATTCCTGGAAACATCCATTCTCCCAAAATTGAATCAGGAAGAAACTGAATCCCTGAAAAAACCAAGTTCCAAAATTGAATCAGTAATAAAAAGCCTACCAACCAGAAAAAGCCCAGGACCAGACAGATTCACAGCCAGATTCTACCAGATGTATAAAGAAGAGCTGGTACCATTCCTACTAAAAGCATTATGAAATATGAAGGAGGAGGGACTCCTCCCTAACTCATTCTATATGGTCAGCATCATTCTGATGCCAAAACCTTGCAGACACACACATACACACATACACACACTCACACACACACACACACACACACTCTTAAGGCCAATGTCCTTGATGAACACAGATGCAAAAATCTTCAACAAAATACTAGCAAACTGAATCCAGCAACACATCAAAACCTAATTCACCATGATCAACCAGGCTTTATTCCTGGGATGCAAGGTTGGTTCAACATATGCAAATCAATAATTGTGATTCATCGCATAAACAGAAATAAAACCCAAAGCCATATAATCATCTCAATAGATGCAGAAAAAGGCTTGTGATAAAACTCCACATCCCTTTATGTTAAAAACCCTCCACAAACTACATATTGAAGGAGCATACCTCAAAATAGTAAGAGCCATCTATGACAAACCCACCGCCCATCATACTCAATGGGCAGAAGCTGAAAGCATTCCGCTTGAGAACTGTAACAAGACAAGGATGCCCACTCTCATGGCTCCTACTCAACCTAGTACTGGAAGTCCTAGCCAGAGCATTCAGGCAAGAGAAAGAAATAAAAGACATCATACAGGAAGAGAGTAAGTCAAACCATCTCTGCTTGCAGACGTTATGATTTTACAACTAGAAATCCCATAATCTCTACCCCCAAAAGCTCCTAGATCTGATAACTCCAGCAAAGTTTCAGATATATAATCAATGCACAAAAATCAGTAGCATTTCTATATACCAATGACATCCAAGATGAGTGCAAATCAATGCAATCCCACTAACAATAACAACAACAAAAAATAAAATACCCAGGAATAAGGCTAACCAAGGACACGCAAAATCTCTACAGTGAGAACTACAAAACACTTCTCAAAGAAATCAGAGATGACACAAACAAATGGAAAATCATTCCATGGTCTTGGATAGGAAGAAACAATATTGTTAAAATAGCCATAGTGTCCAAAGCAATTTATAGATTCAATGTTATTCCTATCAAACTACCAAAGACATTCTTCACAGGATTAGAAAAAAACTATTCTAAAATTCATATGGAACCAGGAAAGAGCCTGAATAGCTAAAGCAATTCTAAGCAAAAAGAACAAAGAAGGAGGCATGACATTACCGGACTTTACATACTACAAGGCTAGAGTAACCAAAACAGCATGGCACTTGTACAAAAACAGACACATAGACCAATGGAACAGAATAGAGAGCCCAGAAATAAAGCTGCACACCTACAACTACCTGATCTCTGAAAAAGACAACAAAAACAAGCACTAGGGAAAGGACTTTCTATTCAATAAATGGTGCTGAAATAACTTATTTGCAGAAGATTAAAATTGGACCCCTTCCTCTCACCATATACAAAAATTAACTCGGGATGGATTAAATGCTTAAATGTAAAACCTAAAACTATAAAAACTCTGGAAAAAAACCTAGGAAATACCATTCTATACATAGGCCCTCCTTACCAAAGATTTCATGACAAAGATGCCAAAAGCAATTGCAACAAAAACAAAAATTGACAAATGGGGCCTAATTAAACCAAAGAGCCCTTGCACAGCAAAAGAACCTATCAACAGAATAAACACACAACCCACAGACTGAGAGGAAATATTTGCAAACTATGTATCTGACACAGATCTAATATACAGAATCTATAAGGAATGCAAATTAACAAGCACAAAACAAATCCCATTAAAAAGTGGGCAAAGGACAGGAACAGATACTTTTCAAAAGAAGACATACACGTGGCCAATAACCATATGAAAAGTTACTCAACATCACTAATCATCAGAGGAATGCAAACCAAAACCACAATGAGATACCATCTCATACCAGTTAGAATGGCTATTGTTAAAAAGTAAAAAACTAGCAGATGCTGGCGAGGTTGTAGAGAAAAGGAAATGCTTTATACACTGCTGGTGGAAATGTAAATTAGTTTCAGCTACTATGAAAATAAATTTGGAAATTTCTCAAAGAATTTTAACACAGAACTACCATTCAACCCATTATTGAGTATATACCCAAAGGAATATAAATCATTCTAACAGGATGACCCATGCACGTGTATGTTCATCACAGCACGATTCACAATAGCAAAAACCTGGAATCAATCTAGATGCCTATCAATGGTAGACTGGTAAACAAAATGTGGTACATATACACCAGGAAATACTATACAGCCATAAAAAAGAATGAGATCATGTCCTCTGCAGCACATGGATGGAGCGAAAGGCCATCATCCTAAGCGAACTAACACCAGAACAGAAAACCAAATACTGCAAGTTCTCATTTATAAGTGGGAGTTAAACACTCAGTACACATGGCCACAAAGAAGTGAACGACCTATCGGGTACTATGCTTATTTACCTAGGTGATGAAATAATATGTACACCAAACCCCCACGATGCGATTTATTTGTGTAACAAACCTGCACATGTACCCCTGAAACTAAAATAAAAGTTAAAAAAGAAAAGAAAATACAAATATACCAACTAAAGGTCAACACGGTAGCTCTCGTGATAAAAATTATGAGACACTCACCCCGTGTGGAATCACGAGAGACGCTCAGCCCGTGGGGAGTCACGAGAGACGCTCAGCCCGTGGGGAGTCATGAGAGACGCTCAGCCCGTGGGGAGTCACGAGAGACGCTCAGCCCGTGGGGAGTCACGAGACACGCTCACCCCGTGGGAAACTACGAGACACGCTCACCCCGTGGGGAATCACGAGACACGCTCACCCCGTGGGGAATCACGAGAGACGCTCACCCCGTGAGAAACTATGAGAGACGCTCAGCCCGTGAGAATCTACGAGAGACACTCAGCCCGTGTGAAACTACGAGAGACACTCAGCCCGTGTGGAATTACGAGAGACACTCACCCCGTGTGAAATTACGAGAGATGCTCACCCCGTGTGAAATTACGAGAGACACTCACCCCGTTAGAGACACTCACCCCGTGTTAGAGACACTCACCCCGTGTGAAATTATGAGAGATACTCACCCCGTGTGAAATTATGAGAGACACTCACCCCGTGTGAAATTATGAGAGACACTCACCCCGTGAGAAATT
Organism: Homo sapiens; assembly: GCF_000001405.40. Taxonomy (NCBI): domain Eukaryota; kingdom Metazoa; phylum Chordata; class Mammalia; order Primates; family Hominidae; genus Homo; species Homo sapiens. Next base: position 100,292,546 of record NC_000015.10, read on the forward strand.
ATGAGAGACACTCACCCCGTGTGAAATTATGAGAGACACTAACCCCGTGTGAAATTATGAGAGATACTAACCCCATGTGCACAGAACTGCCCACCAAGCACTGAGTCAGGACTACATCCCATTCTACAGATGTGCAAACTGAGGCACAAGGAGATTTGTTAACTATCTTGCCCAACACCACTAACCTAGTTGACTGGGATTCCAGCCCAGGCATCCTTATCACCATTCATTCTGCCCTGAAATTTGGTTCTGAGTTTCCTAAAACCAGAGGGGGAAAAAAAGAATCATGCTGGATTATAGGTTTGTCATTCTCTTCCAGCAGGACGAAGGATACCATTCCTTAGGGACAGATAATATTCTCCAAACACCAACTTCCCAAATAAAAACACCAAGGAAGACCCCACAGAGGGACCATCTGGTGATACAATAGGCAGTATTGTCGACATCATTTTATGGCAAATGCGATCATGAATTTTGTTTAATTATATCTTATAGGAACCTTCGAAAATGCCAAAGGGCCTAAAATTAAAATACTCATCAAAGGGAATTCCAGAAAGTGTTCAATCTGTGTGTTCCAAGTCGGTAGCCTCAGGGGTCCCTTGGTCCAGGGAGAGTTATTATCGCACCCAGAAGAGGGGCCAAGAAAAAGTGGGGAGGATGGGAGTGGGGGGAACAGAACTCCAAGAAAGGCCAATGACAGAGGTGGCCCAAGCTGGCAGGAAGAGGTGAGGTGGTGACTTTTGTTTCCTGAATCAGAATGGCACTGGTCGGCAGGTGGTCCTGTTTTTTACTGGGTGGCATGACCTAGGAAGGGCCCCAATGGGCAGCCCACTTTAAGTACAAAGAGTCTGTGGTCCCCAGGGCTTGGCTGTTACATAGAACGTGTGGATGGAGATAATGCTTTTTTTTCTGTACCTGCCCCATCAAAAACAAATTCAAACTTATAAATTAGAAGTAACCGTGGGAATGGCAAAACCTCTCAGAACAGACTGGACAGAAGACTGGAACTCTGGAGGTCACCCAGTGTGCCCCAGGATCCCCCAGCCATCCCACCACTGATGGGGGTCTAGACAGCCAACCTCAAGGGGCCTTGGAACGCCTCCTGGCCACCTACCCCCAGCTCTCCTCCTCCAGGCTACACAGCTATTACTGTGCACTTTGAGAGTCTACACTTGCCTTCTTGACTAGACTACGGGGACCCAAACATTAACCTTTGGACCTATCCCAACACCTAGCACTGTGTGGTTTACAGTAGTAATTCAATAGGCATAGTTATTGAACGATTTGTTTAAAACTCTTTGAAATTCCTAATAACAAGATCAGTTTTAGGAAACTTAACATAAATGTCCTGAAATGAAATACGAGTCACTTCCTCCACCTAAAAGGGAGGGGGCAACACTAGTCGTAAGGTGCCCAACTTTGACATCTGACAGAGCTGGTTAGAATCTGCCCATGGACTTCCAGGGTGACAGTGGGTGAGTTTCCTTGTCTATAAGGCAAGATGATAATCGTTCTGCCCTCTTAAGGTAGATGTGGGATTAAGAGGCCCACGCTCAGCCTCTAACATAGGGTCAGATATATAACAACACAACCAAATCATGCCACTCGTCTTATTTCTATCATCTGCATGGCACTGTCATTATTGCTGTTAATTATTAGGGTCTAAGTACTGATTTGAAAATTTTGCATGTCCCCAGAACCACATAGCAAACTTGGATTGCTTTTATGAACACTACAGGTCTGAATGGTCATATTCTCCAGCTGCCAAGAGCTCCAGTCTGAACACTCACCAAAAACTTGCCTTCCGTATTTCCTACTCTGCAGGAGGCATGAAATAACTTCTCTCCTAGGGCCACCCTCCATCACAAAAAAAATGAATTGGAACTGATACAAAAATAACAGTTTTGGACCAGATGCAGTGGCTCATACCTGTAACCCCAGAGCTATGTGAGGCCAAGGTAGAAGGATCCCCCAAGCCTAGGAGTTTGAGACCAGCGTGGGCAAAAAAAAAAAAAAGCTGGGGATGGTGGCACGTGCTTGTAGTCCCGGCGACTCAGGAGGCTGAGGTCGGAGGATCACTTGAGCCCAGAGACTGATGATGCATTGAGCCATGACCGTGCCACTGCACTCCAGCATGGGCGACAGAGCAAGACCCTACCTCAAAATACCAGTTGTAAGAGGGGCTCCCCAACATCCCACTCTAACATCTCAACATTCCAGGGGGAGTGGAGGTTGTAATCATCAGAAACATGATAAAACAAAATGTGGCCGTCCGTGAAAACCACCTATTTGAACCGTGAAACGTTAGCGACATTTTACATAGGTGGGGAAAATGAAAATCAAATGTCTCTCACCAAGGTGGGAAGCAGAGTGCATGAGTCCTTCTCCTTGGGAGAGAGACCAATGGCCGCAACAACTGGGCTTTCTGTGTATCAGCCTTCTGTCCCTCTGCCTCCTGCCCCCAGCCACACCAGTGCTTTCTCAGGACACCAAAGTCACCACAATTGCAGCATGAAAAATAGTAAGACATGTGGATTACCCTGCATGTCCAACTGTCTTGTGTCATTGACCTTCTTAAAAAGCATGGGATATAATCAAAATATCTTCAGACTGAGGTTCAGGAGCCCTAGATATTCACCCAGGCCTCAACTTGGTGCCCTTGAAGTTTTACTGAACAGAAAGGTCTCCATTTCCCATTCTGCCTCTTGTCTCCCAGCCCCTCTTCTGCACGCTGCTCTATAACTCTGGGGCTGGCAGCCTAACTATTAATATATTTCCCAGACCACCTTGCCAGCTGGCTTCCTGCTGAGCTCTGTCAATAGGGGGCACTAGAGGGAGAATGAAAGGCAGGAGGTGAGGAGATGGGGTTCCTTGTGTTTTCAGCTCAGTAGGGACAACCATACAGGACAACTATGGTTCCAGCCTCCAGCTCTTGGGCTATTACAGGACCCAGCCTCCCCATGCTCCCTCAGAGGTGCAGCCATCTAGGCACCAACTTGGGTATACTCCCTCCATGGTCTGTCCCTTCAAAGGTATAAGCCACAGCCCCACAGCCCCCTCCTTCACGCTCTGTGATCCTGGAAATTCACCTTTTATTTCTCTAGCCCTAGGATGATACCTATCTCCTGGGTTATATCAGCTTCCCTCTTTGCTCGTGCAGACACTGACACTGACATAACCAATTCCCTGTGTTAAATCCCTCTGTTAGAAATACCTAGCATGGTTCCAGCTTTCCTGGCTAGACACAAGCTGACATAGAGAAGGTCAGACCTTAAACTAGTGCCTATATGTCATTGAAGCTTCAAAGACTCCTCCCAGGTGTGGAACTAAGGATTGACTTCCTTTCACCATAGAAATATCAGGATATTGAATATGTACTTCCACACTACAGAATGCTGCCATAGACAGGAAAGTTGGCCTATATTCTGAGTCACCATTTAACAAAAACCAGTCAATAGGGTGTCCTGTGATGGGAATTAAGAGTATCAAAGCGTACCACAGATTTCTCAACAACCTACCACCCACATCTAAGAACCTGGGGACAGTGCTTAACAGATTCGGGGTCAATGTGGGAAACGTACTCGAGAAGGAAACCCAAGCCAAGCAGTGAGCCGGCAGCAGGTTTTCAGGTGTCGTACCGAGTTTGAACACACGCACTTGCAAACAACATGTTTTCCAATGAAATTGCCAGGTCCAAGAAAACTGCTTTGTGACCACTTTTTTTTTTTAACAAAAGCAAAAGATCTGTTTATAGAAAAATCACCTTCTTAACTGGAAATGATGGCTCCACATGTGCAGAACTCCTAGCCAGGTGAAGTTTTCCACAGCTGCATAAATCCAACATCCTTGAAGCATAATGGCCTTCTCTTTCTTTTTTTTTCCAAAAGGCAAAAAATAAGTTTTGCTCTCCAAGTTTGCATTCTTTAAATAACTTCCAAGACCAAGTCATTTTTATAAAAGGCATCTTTTTCATGTAAATTCCTTACAAAGAAAGGTGGAAAATAAGGGTTTTTTGTTTGGAGGGGGTGAGGGGGGGTGTGTGTGTGTGTGTGTGTGTGTATGTGTGTGTGTGCGCATGCACGCGCACGTGCATTTACGATATATGATTAAGATCCCAAATGAAAACAGACCTGATGAAATTTGGAGTCTAAAATCAGTCCCCATACTAGAAAGGAGGTATGACCCATGCCTGCATTCTTGAATACAGCAGGCCAGGGTAGGGAAGCCGGGCTGGACCTTCCTATCCATGGTTACAGCCATGTAGATACCAAGCAGGGCACCTCTGCCTATAGATGAAGTTGAAAGATATTCATTCAGTTAAATATTTATTGAGAACCCATGTGTGCTAGGTACTGCCACAATGTAGGTGCCCATCTAGAAGGAGCAGACATTAACCAAATGAACAGAAGAATTAAACATTCTACATGTGACAGGTACTATCAAGAAAGAGTGGACAATGCTATGAGAAAATATAAGGAGGGGCCCTAATTTACCCTGGGGGTTCAAGAAAGCCTTCCCCAAGGCAGTGATGCAAGGGCCAAGGTTGGAAAGATAAGTAGGAGTTAACAGATAGGGGTGGGGGAGAGGAGCTAGGAGGAGTCCAGAGAGTGGGAACAGCATATACACAGGGCCCAGGGGTGGAAGAAAGCACGGTATGTTCTAGAAACTGCAAGGAGGCAAGAGCAAGAGAGAACGTAGGCACCAAGGAGGCCGGAGCAATGGGCAGGGCAAACAGGCAGGGTCATGTGGGATGTGTTAAGAGCTTTCTTCTTTAATTCTGGGAGCAGGGGGATGCCACCTAGGGCTTGTGTTCTGAATGTGTCCTTATGGCTTCTGTGGGCAGAAGAGATTCCAGGGCACACTGGTTGGATAACTACTCCATGGGCCAAGGTGAAAACGGACAATATCTGGACAAGGAAGGCAACTGCAGGTGGGAAGAAGCAAATAGATTCAGGAGGGACTTCGAAGATGGAACAATACTGGGGCTATTTGGATAAAGAAGAGGCACCATCAAGGATAATTCCTCACTGACCTGGATGAATGGGGGGACCAGTCACTGAATTGGGGACCACTGGAATAGGGCCAGGTAGGAAGAAAGCACTGTGAGTTCTGGCCTAATTGAGTTTCAGGTGCTTTAGAAGCATCCAGGTGGAGATGTCAGGCTGGCTGCTGGCTGTGCGGATTTGGGAGCTCAAGAAGCAAGGGAATACTTCATTCCAATGCCTCAGAGCTCACAGCATTCAGGAATCATCAGTTCCAGACGAATCCTTTAGAGACCTCAAAACCACATGGCTAGATAGAAGAGATGGAAATAACACTACAGAGACAGAGACAAAGAAGGCCAAGCTACGACAAGAGCAGAGCATGACATCCCAAGAACCAGGGAAAGTGAAGTCCTGAGAGGCAGGGCTGCGTGGCGTCTCCAACACAGCAGAGTGCCCAGGAAGGAAGGAAGGAGGGGCTGACTGAACAACAGGGAGTCACGGTGTGGGGGTGGGGGGTCTCAGTGAGAGTGCTCGTGGGGACAGATGCAGGCGAAAACCAGACTAGAGAGGGTTGAATGCATGTTTGGCCCGCGAGGAAATGGCGCAAACTTTGGAGAAGTCTGGGGAGGAGAGAGACAGGAATGCAGCTAGAAGGTCCTAGAGTCAAGGGAAGATTTCCTTGAAATGAGAAAAAATTGAAACATAAAATGAAGAAACCCAGGCCCACTGAAGACTGCCTCCCTCAGTTTCTACTGCTGTCCCCTTCCAGCCACATTTGAGGATGTCAGCTCCAGACTCCCAGCCAGGAAGAACGAGGCTTCTACTGCACTCATACCAACTGGGAAAGGACAACTGTCGCTCTGCAAGCCCTCATCAAGCCCCGACTCTGTGGTCGACCCTGCGCTGGGTGCTCTCCCAGAGGGAGGGAGAAACTCATCTGAGTGTTTACATGTTTTTGCATGCAAAAACTCATCAGTCCCATAAACACACCCCAGATGGCAGAACCGTGTTGGGCACACACATCCAGGAACCGGTACAGAACTTCCAGGGAAAGCTGGCTTCCAAATGGAGGGAGAAAGAAAGGGAAATCATATACATTGCATTAGGGAAGAACAAAGCTGGACCACCAAGTACATGCACAAAGAAAGAGAGAAAATGCCAGGCAGCATCATGCAGGAGAAGCTGAGTCTAGTCCAGTAAAAATGCTTCAGACTGGCTGTCACAGGATACCCCGAAAATAAAGGAGACCACCACATTTTCTGGTTAATTTTGCATCACCCTTAAACCTTTGTCTCAACCTCTAATAAATATTCAATGCACTTAAATGAAAGAAATTTACTTCTCACAGTCCCAGAGGCTGGAAGTCCAAGATCAAAGAGTCAGTGGGGTTGGTTTCTTCAGAGGGCCACGAGGGAAGGACTTGTTCCAGGCCTCTCTCCTTTGCTTGTAGGTGGCTGTCACCTTCCTGTCCTCACAGGGTTGTCCCTCTGTACATGTCTGTGTCCAAATTTCCTTTTTGTCTAAGGACACCGGTCATATCAGATTAGGGGACCCACCTTCATCACCTTATTTTAACTTAATTACCTCTTTAAAGACCCCATCTGCAAAAACAGTCACATTCTAAGGTACTGGGCTAGTTAGTACTTCAACCTATGAACTTGGGGGAGACACAATTTAGCCCATAAGATACTCAGATACTCATCTTCCCTGCCTCAAGAAGTGTGGATGAGGCAGGCCACCTTTGCACGCCCGGACGTCAGGGTGTGTGTGTGTGTAACCGCCGTCAGGACAGTCGGGGGACTCGCAGGCAGGACAGTCATCTCACAGCCCCACCAAGACACATTCAGCAAATCCGCAAAAAACAAACGCCAGTACTTAGAATTATCATGATTCTCACCACCACTTTTCAGCAAAGTCTACTGCTGAAAGATTACACTAGCCTATAGCAGCTTGACAGTTTTACCTTCTAAATTGATGGAAAAGAAAAAAAAAAAAAAAGAACATTCCCCAAACACACAGCTTGGGGGAAGAAATTAATTAATGTGTTCACGTTTCAACCAGAGCAAGACAGGGCAAACAAAAGCCTGAAAAGAAATCGACGGCTTCTCTGCACCTGGAATCCCCCATCGGGATCCTGGGAATGGTTTCTTTTGACAGATGGTCTTTCATCTTTGACAAGGATGTAAGAGAAACTTCAGACACCTCAGAAATTCCTCCACCTATGCAAAGGGGCCAGGCCATTGTGTGACTAGCAACCCACACTCTTCACCTTCATCACTTTAACACAAAGCCACCTCTCCCCCAGTCCCCAAAATCACCAAGCACACCCTACGGGGGCCTGAGGTTGTGTCCCCACGCTGCTAGGTTTGAGGATGGGAACAGCCCTCTCTCCTCTGTACCTCTTGTGCTGAGAAGGGCACCAGGAACACAGGTGGTGTTCAGTCATTGTTTCTGAATGAATAAGTTAATGACAGAATGAAGTAAATGAACAAATTAAGAAAAGAATAAAGCAATCCTTCAGTCCTCTTTTCAGAGGATTAGCAAGCAACAACAAATCCTTGGCCCTGTAGGGCTCTGGAGTCAGGGTTTCTTCCAAATGTGTCAAATACCTCCAACATGCCCAGGGCTGTTTACAGTCAGGTGTCCTTCACTCCTCCAGAGGCCTCTGGAGTGTCACAGAAGCCCCAGATGTCCCTCAAGATAGAAGAGGGAGAGACACCACAAGAGAGAGTGCTCAACCAACCAACCATAGGCTTAGGGGTGAGAAAAAAGTCAAAATATTTCCCTTTTGGCCTAGACCCATCATCAGAATGGCATTCTTTCCCAAAGAATCCCTTCCCAAATGCCAAGGACCCTTCAGAGCAAAACGACCTGCCCAGAAAATGCAGTCACCTGAGCCATGGTCCTTCTGACCCACAGTGATATGGAGCTCACTGGACTCCTACTCCCAACTTTCCAATGCCCCCACTGGATTACCAAGAGGACAGTGCTTCCTTGACAGCCAGGTCAGCCATTTCTTGAAGTGCTTCCACGTGCAAAGGAGCCTTGGGCTCCACCAGGGTGAGCAAACCAGCCAAGAGTAGAGAGGCGGAATTCCTTGTTAGGCAACTCACAAATGCACTAGAACCCCTCATTCTTGATTTCCTAGAGCTTCCTGTGGCTTCCTCTAAAATCCAACTAGGAGGGCACCACATCATCACATGGGCTTTCATGAGTTCCAGCATCTCATCTCTTGTCCACACCCTGGCCTCTGGAACATGCTGCAGCTCCACCTGGAAAGTTATTATCCCCAGCAGTCACATAACTTGTATGTACACCCCAAGTGCCACTTCCTCAAAGAAGCTTTTGTGGGTCCCTTAATCTAAACCACAATAGCACATTTTTCTTTTCCTTGGAGCACTCACTATTTGTCATCATTTAATTGTTCTGTGTTTAATGTTAGCCTCTTCCACCACACAGGAAGCTCAAGAGCAAGGATCACCACTCCAAACCTAGTGCCTAGCATGCAGTGGATATTCAAGGAATAGTTTTAAAATAAGTGAAAGAGCAAATAAAAGAATACTAGACTTTTGGAGCACTATGGTAAATATTATTCCCAGTTTTACCACCTTTTAAGTTGTGTTTAATGCTTAAATCTTTACCTGTGCTTTTACATTAACTTTTTAACTCATTTCTAAGTCCTTGTATTTCAACTGGGGATTTTAACACTTTTATATTTATTGTAAAAGTTGATAATGGTTGATCTTCTGTCATGTTTTTAGTTCCTTTTCTCTCTCTACTGTTCTATGTGAGTTATATATATATATATATTTTTCTGAGACGGAGTCTCTGTTGCCCAGGCTGAAGTGCAGTGGTGTAATCTCAGCTCACTGCAAGCTCCACCTCCCAGGTTCACACCATTCTCCTGCCTCAGCCTCCCAAGTAGCTGGGACTACAGGCGCCCACCACCACACCGGGCTAATTTTTTTTTTTTTTTTTTTGTATATTTAGTAGAGACGGGGTTTCACTGTGTTAGCCAGGATGGTTGATCTCCTGATGTTGTGATCCACCTCAGCCTCCCAAAGCGCTGGGATTACAGGCGTGAGTCACCACGCCCAGCTTATGTAAGTTATATTTCATTAGGCTTATCATCTTTAGTAATTGGGTAGGCTATTCTACTAGTAAATTATCTTTACCATCTTAAGAAACAACCTTTACTCTACAGTTTTCTGATTATCGAAGTCAAGAACAATTTGATTTTCCCTTTTGAATAAGAATTTAGCATCTTTTTTTCTCCCACATCCCTTTCCACTTCTGATTTGTCAACATTTCATAAACTTGAGATACAAATTACTATTAAAGCATCCTAATTTATGTTTTACATCTTCCCTTAATTTTTATAACAGCTTTATTGCTATCATCCATATATTATACAATTCACCCATTTAGCATATACAGTTGTTTTCAGTGTATTCACAGAACTATATGCACTCAGCACATTTTTAGAACAGTTGCATCACCTAAATAGAAACCCCATAACCCCCTGCAATCACTTTCCATTTTCCTCTGTCCTTCCCCACCCTCAGGCCTAAGAAACCATTAATCTTTCTGTCTCCAGATTTGCCTATTCTGGGTATTTCACATTAACAGAATCATATAATATGTGATCTTCTGTGTCTGGTTTCTTTCACTTTCATGTTCAAGGTTCATCCATGCTGCAGCAGGCATCAGTGCTTCATTCCTTTTTATTGCCAAATAAAATTCTATTGTATGACTATACACATTTTATTTAATTCGCAAATTGACAGTCATTTGAGTTGTTTCCACTTTGAAGCTATTATCAACAATGCTGCTATGGACGTTCTTACTCAAGTTTCTGTGTGGATAAATGTTTTAATTTCTTTTGGATATGTATGAGGTGGAGTGGCTAAGTCATACAGTAATTCTATGCTTAAACTTTTAAAGAACTTCCAGACTGTTTTCTTCAACAACTGCACCATTTTACATTCTCAACAGCAGTCTATGAGAATTCGAAATCCTTGCCAACATTTGCTATCTTTTTTACTATAACCATCCAAGCAGGAGTGAGGTGGTACCTCATTGTAATTTTGATTTGCATTTCCCTGATGGCTGATGATGCTGAGCATCTCTGCAGGTGCTTATTGTCTATTTGTATACCTTCTTTAGAGAACTATCTGCGATGGTTAATACTGAGTGTCAATTTGACTGGATTGAAGAATACAAAGTATTGATCCTGGGTGTGTCTGTGAGAGTATTGCCACAGGACATTCACATTTGAATCAGTGGGCTGCGAAAGGCAGGCCCACCCTTAATCTAGGTGGGCATAATCCTAACCCTGCCAGGGAGGTTAGGATACAAAGCAGGCAGAAAAATGTGAGAAGAGAAACTGGCCTGGCCTCCCAGCCTACATTTTTTCCCATGCTGGATGCTTCCTGTCCTCAAACATCGGACTCCAAGTTCTTCAGTTTTGGAACTTGGACTGGCTCTCCTTACTCCATAGCCTGCAGATGGCCTATTGTGGGACCTTATGATCATGTGAGTTAATACTTAATAAACTTCCCTTTATATATATAAAATATATAATATATATTATAAATATATATTTATATTTATATATAAACTATATATAAAAATATAAAAATTTATATATATAAACTTACCTTTATAAAATATATAATATATATGTAACATATATATTATATATATATTCCATTAGTTCTGTCCCTCGAGAGAACCCTGATACACTGTTCAAGTCCTTTATCCATTAATTGAAGTCAATGTCATTCTATCACTGAGTTACAAGAATTCTTTATATATTTTAAATACAAGTCTCTTACCGGACATATGATTTAAAGAACTCTTCTCCCATCATATGAGTTGTATTTTTACTTTTTTGATGGTATCCTTTAAGACACAAAAGTTTTTAATTTTCATGAGGTCCAATTTATCTATATTTTCTTTGGTTGCTTGTGCTTTGGGTACCGTATGTAAGAAACCATCGCCTAAACCTAGACCACAAATACTCACATCTATGTTTGCTTCTAAGACTCTGATAGTTTTAGCTCTTAAATTTAGGTCTTTGATCTCCCCTTAATTCTTAATTCTATTCCATATGTGATTATATTTGTATCAGTTAGGCTTCACTCTGCTCAACAGTTTTAATCAGCTTTTTTAAAATTTATTTTATTTTATTTTATTTATTTTTTGAGAAGGAGTTTCTCTCTTGTCGCCCAGGCTGGAGTGCAGTGGTGTGATCTCAGCTCATTGCAACCTCTGCCTCCTGGGAGGTTCAAGCGATTCTTCTGCCTCAACCTCCCGAGTAGTTGGGACTACAGGTGCATGCCGCCACGCCCGGCTAATTTTTTGTATTTTTAGTAGAGACGGCGTTTCGCCACGTTGGGCAGGCTGGTCTCCAACTCCTGACCTCAGGTGATCCACCCGCTTCGGCCTCCCAAAGCGCTGGGATTACAGGCATGAGCCGCCGCACCCGGCCTTAATCAGCTCTTTATGTCATGACTTCCCTATTCCCAATCTCTTAATTTTACTTCAGCTCAGAATCAACTGCAGTGATGTCTTCAGACAATCCTTCCCAGAACAAAGGCAACCAGGCTATATCATCTCGAACCTCTCAGGTAGCTAAAAGCACCCCTCAGTTGCCTGTACTCTTGAACAACAACTTGTCTGAGTGTCACATCCTTAGGGCACAACCCCTTCTCCTCCAAGCACTGGACTCCTGGCTCCACTGTCTTCTGGGACCCCGTAACATGGATAACTCTGTGGCCTGCTGGATTTTCATTTCTTTTGAGTAGCCCGTTTTGTCTGTTTGAATGCTAGTATAATTTTTTTAACCTTATAATTCGCAAATTTTGCCAGAATAAATCTGTGAGTCCATGTAAATTCATTCTGACTACAACACAGTAAGCCTTTTATCCTGAAAACTGAGATTTGTTTCAAACTTCCCGAAGTCTTCATTCATTATAAATCTTTGATCAATGCTCCTATTCTGTCTTGGGGGAAGGGTTCCATCTGCAGGGATTACTGGATTGGATTTCCATTCTCTGTAATCCATTCCTAGCACTTTCTTTCTCACCACTGTCTTCTTTCCTTTGCCTCCTGAGGGACTACCTCACAGTTATTCTCATCGCTAATTCAAATGTACAAAGCCATTTCTGCTCTGTACTGCCGCCTTTGTGCATTTTGGTCTGCTGTAGCAGACTGTAGTACAGTTGACCCTTGAATATCACAGGTTTGAACTGTGCGGGCCCACTTATACATGGATTTTCACCTCTGCCACCCAAGACAGCAAGACCAACCTCTCCTCTCCCTCTTCCACCTACTCAGCATGAAGATGACAAGGATGAAGATCTTTGTAATGATCTACTTCCACTTAATAAATAGTGAATATATTTTCTCTTATGATTTTCTTAGTAACATTTTCTTTTCTCTAGCTTACTATATTGAAAGAATACAGTATACAATACCCATTGTTTATGTTAACAGTAAGACTTCCAGTCAAGCGCAGCCTATAAGCAGTTAAGTTTCTGGAGAGTCAAAAGTTATACTGAAATTTTCAACTGCATGTTGTGGTGCAGGAGCAGAGGGGGAGGGTCAGTACCCTTCATCCTCAACCCTGCACATTGTTCAAAGGTCAACTATAGAAAAAAAAAACACCTTATAAAGCTTATCTCATCCAGGTCTCATTTATTTTAAGCTTGTTTTAACATCTCAACCTGGTCTTTATGGCTCTTTGTTTCTTAGAAGCCCTAGCTTCTTGCCAGATTTGTTTATTTGTTTACCTATTTAGGATGCCAGATTCCTCAAACTGTTTCTGGTCCCTGAAATAAATCCGTCTCAAAGGCTGTGGTATTTGTACTCAGGTCTTCAGATGGGTTTGCTGTATTTACTCAAATTCCAACGACAAGAGCGCTGGCAAAAGCCAGTGCCAAGACCTGTGTGCACAAGGCCCCCTAGATGGCCCTGGTTCACGTCCCATCTCAGATCAGCTGCTAGAGGGCAGGCAGGTGCACCCAGGGGCTCACAGGCATCTGCCTACTCCATTCTGCTGGGCCATGGTGGGGTCTTACACTTGCCCCAGAGACTGAGACTGTACATTCTGAGGACACTTAGATCTGGATCTACCGGATATGTTATCTTATCGTGAGGGTGGTTTTACTGATGCATTCACATGTCAAAACTCATCACATTAGGCCAGTCATGGTGGCTCACACCTGTAATCCCAGCACTTTGGGAAGCCAAGGCAGGAGGACTGCTTGGGCCCAGTTCAAGACCAGCCTAGGCAACATGGCAAGACACCATCTCTAAAAATATATATAAATTTAAACAAACTCATCACATTGTACATTTGAATATATTCAGTTTATTGCATGTTAATTTTATCTCCGTAAAGCTATAATCAATTAACTGACCAAGGACACTCAGAGTGACTACACCACAGCTCTGACACCAAAGCCTTCTCTAGGCCCAATGCCCACAGTTGATGCACACCAATGTCCAAAGCTGGGCTGAAGAGCCCCATACCCGGTATGCTGTCTCTGAACTATGGAATATGCTCTCTCCTCGAGCTGTCTCTGATCCCTCTGCACAGTAGCCCTTTGTCACTAGCGGTGTCACCTACCTACAGTTATAGAGGTGTGAAGAGGTTTTAAATAAGGCCCCCAAATTCTTTGACATTGAGCGGTGGGGTCTATCTCTCTGCCCTTGAACCTGGGTAGGTTTCTAACCGCTTCAGCCAACAGAGTACCTTCAGAGTGATGCTCTAGGATTTCTGAGGCTGATCCTCAAAGGCAGCACAGCTCCTGCTGGGCTTGCGGGAACTCTTGCATTGGGAGCCCTGGTGGCCATAGAAGAAGTATGTCTGCCACCAAGGTATGGACGCCAAGCTGCAGAGGCCACAGGTAGACGCTCCACGTTGTTGTCCTTGTCTTCAAGTCATCCACCTCCAGGCCAGACACATGAATGAGGCACCTCCAGATCACTCCAGCCTCCAGATTTCAAGTCCTCCCAGGTGAGGCCCAGACACTGTGGAACTGAGAAAAGCTATGTCCACCGTGCCTTGTCAAATCCCTGACCCACAGAATCTATGAACTTATTAAAATGGCAATTTCAAACGACTCAGCTTTGGGGTAGCTCATCGTGCAGCAACAGGGACTGAGACAGCAGTCAGCGCCATAACTTGTTCGTTTCTCCCATGCTCGAACTCGGTAGAAACCCTTATGCCCTGCTGTGCTTCCAAAGCCCAAAGCGGGGATGCAGCACCCCCTTGAAATACCTGAGCCAACCCAGACTTGGGCAACTGGGCATCCTGCAAGAACACAGGCCCAAAGAATTGCTCTTAGAAGGGCCTTTCACCTAAGCATAGCCCACAGCTTGAACATGACTTCCTTCCTCTGCTGACCCTGACAGAAAGGAGAACGAGGCTGAGAGAGGACCATGGCAGGGACTGAGGAGCACTTCATGAATGCCTGTGAGCAAACGCCATCCCAAAAGTCTGGGTTCAGGAGAAAAAGGCAAAGATTGACAAAATTATCTAGGCCACCTAAGAGGGCTTCTAGAGTTTTGCCCCATCCTGCAACAGAACACCTCTTTGCTTCTGAGGACCACACCAAACCAATGAAGCTGTCTATCACCAGCCCTACCCCAATGCTGTGTGATGACCACGTTATAGGACAGGAAAAAAGACTCTGCTTCTTGGACAGAGGGATGAGTCCAGGGCTGGGCACGTGACCCAAGCAGGGCCACTCAAATCCTTTCACAAAGTTTGGTGTGACGGGGTTCACAGGCACCAAGGACCACAAAAGCTGCAGCTGCCAGGGGCCCCCTGTGCTGCCATCAGGAAAGACCTGCCTGAGACTTAAGTAAACCCAGAGTGAAACAAAAGAAAGAGATGGCAAGAGCAAGCAAGGAAGCCCCAGCCACACTGCTGTAAACCCTGGGTCCAGCCATGACTAAAGCTCATATTACCTGATGGGCTTTTCACACGAGTCAATAAATTCCCTTTTATTTATTTTTCTGGCTTAGCTTGAGATGGAGAGAGGGCTAAGCAATGCAGACCTCCTGCCTCTGGTCCCTAAATGCCCCTTCATGTTTATCCAGCTGTAATGGGAACCATGCCGTTTTACTGTGATGAAAACAGCTGAGCATTTGAGGAGGAGAAAATGAGATAGCCGATGTCACGTGCCGCGTGCAGTGCCAGGTGTGGCTGGCGTCCTCCACAAGCTTCTGAAAGAGCACAACAGTGTGGGTTCCCACAGACCCCCTGCTGGGACCTGCCACCCACCACACAGCCCCAACACTGCCACACCTGGACGACAGTCTTGCTCATCTATAATGGTGCCCTGCAGAAAGAGTCCAATCATCACAAATCTGCCCTAGACAAGCAATTATGTTTTTTCTATGAAAAATACAAAATTCAACCTACGAGTACGTTCTAAGCAGCTGGTGCATATCCTGCCAAAAACGTCTCCACTTTACAGAATTTACTCCAGCTTCCTTTAAAACGGTAAGCTCATCTACTTCATTTAAAATTTGACCCACTTTACAGAAGTCTCACTTTTTAAAACAACTTTTCAATGACATCTATTACCAAAACATCATACCCCTGGAGCAAAACGGTCTCCGCTTTTTCTCCCACATACACAGACAACTCACACACACCCCACAAAAGGCTTGATCGTCCAGCCTTGTCAAAAAGTTATTATAAAACATTTTATTTTATCTGGCAGCCAGAAATTATGTTCAGTTGTCTGGAACACAGGCTGCTAGCGGCTGCTTGCCACAGACAACTGGAAGGAAAAAAGCAAAAGACGACAGTTGTAAATCTCAGAATCCCCAAAGATAAAGCAAGCAGGGAACACCATCGTTCACTCGCTGGTAGAATCCTCAGGCTTCCTGAGCAAAGTGCCCACGTCATTCACGCTGGAAGCAATTATAACAAGATTCTTGCTACAACTTGAACAGCTTCCTTTTTTTGCTATTGCTAAATGCTTTCCCTTTTTAGGTAGTTACTGATGTATCATAACTCCAAGTAACTACTCTTTAATATGGTTGAAACTGGAATGTCTTCAAGAAATCTGTACTGTCAGTGTTGGATTCATGAAAAAAGAAAAAAAAGTAATGGGAAAGGAAAACAGAATCCCGGGCTTAGCCATCCAAGTTTGCCCTGGCTTCTTCTGCCGGCTACTTTCTCCACGAGACAACCCAGTGTACATCACCAGGGGAGTCTGACTAAGCAGCAGGAAAGGCCACCCCAGGGGACACAGAGGGACACAACTCATGCACAACTGGGCATATCTTGGGGTTTCGTGCCCTGGTCAGATGAGGTGAGAAAGCCACACCAGATTCACAACCATCAATCCCTGTTCCTGTTTCTTCCCAAACTTCTGGGTCCCCAAATACAGCAAAATGGGCAGCTTGCTCAGGGAAAACTCTGATTTTCACAACTTAGATGTCCCAAAGAAAGCTACGTTCTCAACAACATGGTCCTCATTCTTACAGAGGCTGGACGCTGCATGCCCACAGAATGGCCATGTGGCCAGGGGCAATGGCTCAAGCCTGTGATCCCAGCACTTTGGGAGGCAGAGGTGGCAGGATTGAGCCCAGGAGTTCACGAAAATCCTGGGCAGCACAGTGAGACCTCATCTCCACAAAAAAATAATCAGCTGGGCGTGGTGGCACACACCTCTGAACCCAGGTACTCGGAGGCATGTGGGGGCGAGTGTGGGAGGATCGCTCGAGGAAGGTCGAGGCTGCAGTGAGCTGTGATTGTGCCACTGCACTCCAGACTGGGTGACAGGGCGACACCCTGTCTCAAAAACGCACAAAAAATGGAATGGCTATTCCCCACAGCTGTGATGGTGGTCGGCGCTGGGATGGAACCCACTGCAACCTCGGGGGTGCCCCCTGCCCAAGCCCCCTCAGTGAGGATGGATTTCGAGACAGGACTCAAGCTCTGGCCTGCCTCAGTCTGGTGCCTGTCTCACCACCCTGGCTGCCGCAGAGTCCTCTCTAATCCCAAACCCATTCCCATGGGCTTCTTGAGATTTCTGAAGCCTACAACGTGCCAGGCATGTGGACAACGTACAAAGGCACAGATGACACAAGCCATGCCCTTTCTCTGGAATCCACGTGAAGCCCAGCAGTTTCAATGCCTGGCTCATATCTTGCTTCCCCAGGGAGCATCCCCAAATCGCCATCATGACCTCTTTCCTCCTCTCCTCCAGAACTCTGGGCCCACCCCAACTGCCTGGGGGTCTGTGTGGCCAAGCCTGTTCTGGGCACTCTCTCTCCCTGCTGCCCCCGACCACAGTAGCCAACGCCTGTACACACGTGATGAAGCAAACACAGCAGAGACCCCAGGACCCTTGCAGGGGCAGCTTCAGGGAAAGGCGTCAGGGATAGGAAACAGGAAGATTTGAGGCAGATCACCTGCCGGCAAGGGACAATGTGCCCCGAGGGATGCACAGATGCTCTTGTCACTGCAACAGCCGAGCCGTCCTCGAGGCTGGGAAATGCATATTTATACTAAGGCAGGCAGCTTTTCAAACTCAGAGGCGAGCCAAGCAGGCCCGTGACAGAAATTCACGGATGTGCCGCTGAACACTCTGCACCAACAAGATGATTAACTGCCTCCCAGAAAGGAAACCAACAGGCCAAACACCATTCAGATGATACCCCCAGGGACAAAGCAGGCAGGAGACTCCGAACCTAAGCTGTGCCCGCTGTCGACCATCAGCCCCACACAGGGAGAGGAGGGGTAATAAAGCATCCCCCAAAAGCACAGTGAGAGAAGCAGCCACATCCCTGGCAGCAGTGGAAACAGTTTATCTTCTAGGAGTGTGTTGTATTTCTTTAAATATTGACACAAAGAATGGCTCATTCCCTTCGCAGGGGCCCAGCAGGCCAAGCACTGGCTTCCTAAGAAATCCACGGGACCCCAACCTATAAGCTGTGTCTCTTCGCTTACAGAGAAGAAAGGTCCCTTTCTGCTCCCCAATTCTGGAGCACGCCTAAGCACAGGGTGCAGTGTGGACACCAGAGCAGAAGGTCCCCTGCAGCAGATGTGAGCGAGACCTCTGTCCCTTCACAGCTGGTCCCAGGTTGCATCCACACCACCACCAAAGCCGACCACCAGTGACGCCTGACGTTTTCTGCTCCACTGGGTGGGAACACTCCCGGCTTTACTGGGCTTTTCCCCTAAGCTTCATTGTCCAGCTCCATCCAAACGCCACGGCAGGGGGTTTGATCTACGACTTGCTAATGGATTGAGAAAGGTACCAGCTCCTTCAGCCCAAAGCCAGTTTGTGCAACCCCATACAGGTTCCAGCAGGCAAATTCTCTGTCTGGTCGTGCACATGAAATTGCCTGTTGCTTTGGAAAGCAGGCTTTGCAAAAGGACCCACTGCATCTGCAGCTGGAAAACGCTCAACAAAACTGGGCAGCAGCTGTCCCGGTGAGACTTTCTGCTAGGCTTTTCCATGAGAAATTCATGTACTGAGAAGGCTAGACCTTTTTGCAGAGGAAAAAATGTAACCCGAAAGCCATTTCTTAAAAAGACCAGAGTGTCTGTTCTCCTTCCCTTGCCTCGGGTGGACTTTTTGGCCAGAGGCCTCCTGCCGGGAGGGAAGCCGGGTGTGCACTCTCAGTCACACATTCTCCCGGCTCTCTCCCTTGGAGGGAACATGAACGCCGCTGATTCAAAAATCAGACACTACTGCGGGAGCTGGCAGGGACCTCTCTCTCCACCCCCACCGCCCCCTGCAACACCAAGCCAGCACCGAGGCCATGCGCTCACTCAGCCGCCTGGCCCATGGCCTTCTGGGGGCCACCATCCCTCCTCCAGCCTCAGGGCTGGACCAGCTGCCAGGAGCTTCCCTGAGCCACCTGGACAGCCCCAGCCAGTGTGCACTTTAAATAATAAACTATGAATTCTTGATCCGTCTGCAGCTCGAGGCAGATTTTCCTATTTAAGCTGGAGGCCTTCTCTGCTTTGAGTTACTAAAGTGGGGCGGGCGTGTGTTGCATAAGAGTCCAGGGGAGAACTGGGAAGAGCCGACACCACTTCTTGTCCAATTCCTCTGTTTGGTGGAGCTGCATGTGGGAAAAAGGATTCAGACACATATGCGCACACACAAAAAATGGCATCATACCCTTTTATTTTTTGTTTCAATGTTTAGATTTTAGCTTTTCTTTCTTAATCAAGTAATATTCAAGAAGAGGTGCCTGCCCTAGCCTCACATCTGGGTTCTCAGAGAGAACATGTCCAACAGATAAGTGAAAAAGGAAAAAAAAAAAATACTTAATATTGACTGTGATTGCCATGCTTAGACTCGTGGGAGAAAAAAGGAAACTTCTTTATGTGTTGCAGTAGACGGATCAAGAATGCATGGTTTATTATTTAAAGTGCATGCTGGCTGGGGCTGTCCAGGTGGCTCAGGGAAGCTCCTGGCAGCTGGCCCAGCCCTGAGGCTGCAGGAGGGATGGTCGTCCCCAGAAGGCCATGGGCCAGACGGCTGAGTGAGCTCATGGCCTCCCAACACCCCAAGGATGTCCACATCCTAATCCCCAGAACCTACGAAAATGTGAACTTACATGGTAAACGGGGCTTTGCAAATGTGATCCAGCTAAGGTTTTGAGATGCACACGTTATCCTGGATTATCTGGGTGGCTTTGATGGGTCTTTAGATGAGGGAGGCAGAGGGAAATCTGACTACAGAAGAGAATTGTCAGAGTGACGCAGTGTGAAAAAGACTCAACAGCCACTGCTGACTTTGAAGGAGGGGGAAGAGGCCATGAGCCAAGGAATGCAGGCAGCCTCTGGGAGCTGGAAAAAATGAGGAAACAGATTCTCCCCTGGAACCTCCAGAAGGAATGAAGGCCTGCTGACACTTTGATTTTACCCCAGTGAAACTGATTGCAGACTTCTGACCTCCAGAGCCGTAAGATAATATATTTGTGTTATTTTACAACACTAAGTTTGTGGTAATTTGTTAGAGCGGTAATAAGAAAGTAATGCCTGAGTCTTGCCTTCCTGCCAGAATGCCTTGGATACAATGAAGACAATGAACTGCAGATACAGTGTGATGCTCAGCCCTTCAGGAGTCAGCAAAGCACTTCAGGATTACAGAAAACCAAATGAGGCAATCAGGGTGGACTTTCTGGAGAAGGTGACATCCAAATTGGGCCTCCAAAACCAAGAGAGATTTTCAAGAGCAGTACAAAGATAGACACAAAAAGGTCACTCCATACAGTCCCATGAGCCTAAGTATAACTTTAATGTACCAAAGGCCCTGTGACCTAGGGATGTGCAATCTAGGGTGACCTCCATTAAGTAATAATACATAAATAAAGGGAGGCCCTTACACATTTAAATTGGAAAATCTAGATACAATTTTCTAGGAAAATACAATTTACCAAAATTGATCCCATAAGCATACAAAGCTTAAACAGATCAATTTTCACGGAAGAAAGGGAGAAAGTTATGAAGCAACTATAGTCACAAAAAAGCATTAATCTGAGATGGCTCCACGGGGGATTCTACTAAACCTCTACAAAACCAATAGCTTCCATGGTTCATAAATTGTTTCAGAGCACCAAAAATAAATGAAAGCTTCCATACTTCTTTTCATGGAGCTATAATACTAATATCTAAACTGAAAATAACACACACACACAAAACAATATTATAGGGCAATATCACATATGAATATGGATGCAAAGAGCCTAAATAAAACACTAGCAAACAGAATGCAATAACACTCTGAGGAAAGAATACACCACAACCAAATGAGATTTATTCCAGAATTTAAGGTTGTCATAACATTAGAAAACTATTTACATAATATGCCACATTAATATATCTATGCAGAAAAATTATATGCAAGCCTCCATGATGTTGCAAAAGTGTTTGGAAGATTTGATACCCATGTCCAATTTTAAAAAATACACCCACACGGGCCAAATCTGAGACCGTTTGGGCATCTAAATAAATAAATGTAGAATGAATATTCATGAGGTAAAATAAGAATCTACAACTCCATGCAGCTAAACACAACCTTGGCCAAGTAACAGAAGTTGACATCCCCAATAATGGGACAGACATACAGCATGTGCCTCCTGATAAGATGCACTGAGCAGAACACAACATCACTGCTTTCTTGCTGGACACGTACACCCCAAATGTCACCATGAAGAAACGTCAGACAAAACCACCCCAAACGTCACCATGAAGAAACGTCAGACAAAACCACCCCAAACGTCACCATGAAGAAACGTCAGACAAAACCATCCCAAACGTCACCATGAAGAAACGTCAGACAAAACCACCCCAAACGTCACCATGAAGAAACGTCAGACAAAACCACCCCAAACGTCACCATGAAGAAACGTCAGACAAAACCACCCCAAACGTCACCATGAAGAAACGTCAGACAAAACCACCCCAAACGTCACCATGAAGAAACGTCAGACAAAACCACCCCAAACGTCACCATGAAGAAACGTCAGACAAAACCACCCCAAATGTCACCATGAAGAAACGTCAGACAAAACCAAATTTAAAGACATCCTACAAAATAACTAGTCTATACTAATATTTTGGGGAAAAAATGTGAAGATCAGGAAAGACAAATACAAAGGAATTAACCCAGATTGGAGAAGACTCGGAAGACATGACAGCTAAATGCAATATGTGAGTCTAGACTGGATTCTGTACCAAGAAAAGAAAGCTATAAAAGACATTACTGTGACAACTGGAAAAATGGAAATGCAAATGGCGTATTAGATAACAGTATTGTATCCCCTAAGTCTATCCTTACGTTAAATAAGGGTTCTAAGAAAATTTGTATGTATAGATAAAGGGACATGATGTCAGCAAATTAGTCTCAAGTGGTTCAGAACAAAATATGTGTGGAGGGAGAAAGGGTTGGAATACGAAAGAGAGGGTTGAAAGAGGGAAGAGAGAGAGAACACCATAAAGAGAGAAAAATGCTCATCAGTGAATTCGGGTGACAGATATACCAAAGCTCTTTGCTACTACAGTATACCAAAATAAGAAGCAAACCAAAAGTATGGGAGAATATTGTACAAGTAAAGGGGACAAGGATAACAGAGCAAAGAGTTATTTTTGAGTCTGGGTGACTGGAAAAAAAACTGGTGAGAACATGGACAGGCATCGTCAGACAAGACTTTGGTTCAGAAACACCAAGTTATTGGGAATGGACAGTGCCTGCAGCCAGCCACAAAGACAGGAGGCTGGGGACAGAGTGGGAGATATGCCGAGTGGGACTGCTCCCAGCTGGAGCCAGGAAGGATCCCAAGGCAGTGAGAAAAAGAGCAGCAGAGACCTGGGACACCCTGTTTGGAAGAAGGTGCAGAAGAGGAGCCGACCGTCCCTGGAGAGTGCATTTTATAAACCGGGAACTGAAGGAGGCACAAGGAGTGAGGGGTCCTTATTGTCAAATGCCTCTGAGGGACAAGGGGGCAAACCCCGCCGGCTCTGTTGTAATGGCATGACCTGGGGCAGGTCCCAGGTGGGAGACATCAGTCCACAGAACCCACCTGATCTCAGAGGTAAAAGCAAGGATGCTAGGAATGCTGGGCTGGAGGCCGGGAGGCAGGCAGGCAGCGTGGCAGGTGGGCGGGACCTTCGTCCTCTGCCCCAGGTATCCACTGCAGGGATAAGGAGTCCACCGTGCAGGGGCACTGCTGCTTCCTGCGGCAGCCTCGGCTGCCAGCCTGCTGACTCGGTTCACCCCTCTTTTCTCTCCCCCCACCCTTCCCAGGGAACACTGCAGGGAAATCAGAAACTGATCAGGGGACAGAACAACACTGGTGATCGGCCGATCTCAAGGAGGGTGGCTGTGTGAGGGCAGGGACATCTGTCTCTTAGGATCTCCAGTGCTCAGAACAGGGCTTAACACAGCATAAAGGAACATTAGTCAAGCAAATACATCACTGCATCACTGCCCTAGATAAGAGGGCACGTTACAAGTGTAAATGCAGAAGCCTGCCAGCTGTGATGGCTCACACCTATAATCCCAGCATTCTGGGAGGCTGAGGTGGGTGGACCAATCCAGTCCAGGAGTTTGCCACCAGCCTAGGCAACACAATGAGACCCCTGCGTCCACAAAAAATTTTAAAAAAAATTACAGAGGCCTAAAAATACACTAAAAGACAACTTTAAAGACACACACACTCACACACAGTCACTGAAAGCTTAAAAGTATACAGAATTTAACTCATACTTACATGAAGCCTCATTTAAACACTGCCCCAGGCCTGGCTTATCCATTTCCAATTGTCTCCAGATCAGCCCAGAAAGCAGGGACCACTGGAGGGAACCACGGGGGCAGAGGGTGTCCCTCCAAGGCGAGAGGCCCTTGCAGAGCCTAAGAGGCTCACTTTGGCCAAGCCTTGAACACTCCCGAGGAAATCTCCAAGCTGCTTTGTGGAATGACTCTATTTTTACAAAGTAGGAAGGATGGAAGGAATATGGCATAGATCAACAGGTTGTTCATGCAGGAAGAAATTTTTTTAACTGACTACACAAGGTTTTTTAGAAAGTAACAAACTTTCTTAAGTTACTAGCATTTTGAGAGGGTTAGGGCCCCAGCACTGTGCATTGATGGAATCTGCCACTGGCTGCCTCCCCAGGATGCCCTCCTGAGGTACCATGCCACCCCAACTTCTGCCATAGCTGTGGTGGCAGTGCAGCTGGCCCAGCCCCTCCTCAAGCATGTGACGCTGGCCTTTGATTTTTTACAGGTTTTCTTGCCTAGAAGCCCACTCCCTTGGCCTGCACAGGAGCATCTCAGAAATTTGGGAGCCAAGAACCCCCGGATCACACTTCCATTCTCGCCATCCGTGGGTCACGTCTGGGGAGCCTTCTGTGCACACTCCAGTGTTCCCTTCGGAATCAAGCCCATTGCCTGCAGCAACAATCTTGACACACACTCACTCCCCTTCCGGTGGATTTTCCACTGGATGCCAGTGGATTTTCCTCTGCCCTGTCTCTCTCTCCTGCTTCCTGGAACCCCCTCCCTCCCTGACACTGACCACCTGCACCCAAGTCCTCATCCCAGGCTTGGCTTTTGGGAAACCCACTCTATGGAAGTTTTCCATAGAGAGATGACACCTTACATTTTAATAATACTTTCTACTTCATGAAATTGCATTTGCATGAGTTCATTTAACTCAATTTAACTTGCAACCTGGAGAAGCAAATATATCAAGACATGCATTCCCTCTCTCTCAGAGATGAGGAAAGGTAGGAATAGGAGAAACAGGCTGACTTGTCCCAGCCTCTACGTGCTGGGAAGTAGGGGCAGGCCCTGCCCAAGGCCACTAGGCCCATCCATGGCTGTGTCCATTCCCAGTCACACAGGTGGGCAGCAGGAAATGTCCCTTTTACAGTATCTGACAGGCTCCACACGGTCATACAGCCTCCGGGGAATAATAACAGCAATCATCATAGTTTTTAGAGTGATATGGTTGGGTTTTAGCTTTATTCTCCCCAAAGGGTAATTACGAATTATCAGCACAACACCCCTTCCTAAAGGGTAAGTGTCCACTCACCCGACACCTCAAAAAAAAATCCTAAGATTTCCTCAGTCGTTTGTCTAAAAAACACATAAAAATGGGATGGAGGGACTTGGATAAAGACATAGTTCATATCAACCAAACGGCAGGGTCTGAGCTTCTCCTCAAAGCTTGTGAGGCACAAGCTTGGAAGACAATGGCAAACGTAGTAATGATGACGACTGAACACTCAGGGTGTAAAAGGGGCCCCATGGGCTTCTCTGGAAAGCACTGAAGTCCCAGAAACAATTATCTGGTGACTTCCACAGTGCCTCTGCCCCATGAGCACCAGGGAGACAGGAAATGAGGACCCAGGTTCCCAGCCTCAAAGGAGCAGAGGGTCTGCTTGACCCTCTGTTCTTCCAGGATGGACCCTCGCTCAGCTGACCCCTAACATCAGCTCCAGATCCCTCCAGATGAGCCGGTGGGGACACATCAGAAATGCCACAGGGCTGTGCTCTCGCAGGGCACGCAAGAAACACCATGCGAGGTGTGTGGCCCCAGGGAACAAATGTTGAGCATTTTGGGGGGGACAACACTGAGAAAAAGAGACAATGCTTGGACTTGAGGTCAGCAAAAGAAATAGTAAGTGCTTGCTCTGCTGACTTACGAGGCATGCATGTGGTTTTCTTCTCATGTTATGGTGACAAGGTAGCCTTTCTGTTCCTCTGCCATGGGTGCCTTGCTGGGCATAAAGCTGGGCACAGCCACCATTCCTGGTTTAGTTTCTGAAACCTGAGCTCCCAAAAGAGTAACACCAGGGGCAGGGGGCAGCCGTGAGTTGAGGGGCCAAGGCTGAAGCGGCCAAGAGCAGAGCATAGGACAGCGTCCTGTGAATGGGACATGTGCTTTTCAGTAGCGACCCGAATGCCAGAGGGACTGAGGGCCTGTCTTGAAAGTCCTGCCATTACAAAGCCCCAGGGACATTTGCAGGACATGGAAGGGAAGGCCTCCATCAATGACTGAGGTGACGGGTCAGAGTGCATGATCTGACTTTCAGATGATGAGACGATGACATTTCTGACACGCCTGAGTCCAAGGAATGAAACAGTCACACTGTTTCATGAGGGGTAAATCATTCATGAATAATTCATGAAACAGAGTCAGACAACAAGAAGGACCTAGATTTACCAGACAAAATCTAACACCCGCCCCCCCTTATAGTTTTTTAATACCAGGTATGGTCTGAGTGTTTATGTCCCCCTCAAATTCAGACATTGAGACCTAACCTACAATGTGATGGTGTTGGAAGGTGAAGCCTTTGGGAGGTGATTAGGTCATGAGGGTGGGGCCCTCATGAATGGTATTAGTGCCCTTATAAGAGAGTCTCCAGAGAGCCAGCTAGCCCCTTCCCCCAGGTGAGGACACAGAGAGAAGGCACCATCTGTGAAGCAGAGAGCAGGCCCCTCACCAGACACTGAGGCTGCTAGTACCTTGATCTTGGGCTTCCCAGACTGTAGAACTGTAAGAAATAAATTTCTGTTGTTTATGAACTATCTAGCTGACAGTTTTTGTTATAGCAGCCCAAACAGACTAAGACCATTCCTTAGGCAAATGCAAAATAAACAAACGGGAAAATCTCCTGTTCCAGAAAGGTGAAGAAATCTCACGCCTGTAAGTGAGTGAATGATCTGAGACCTCAACAATCCAGCAGTTGTTGGGCTCAAATATTGGCCTACTGGGTGAAGGGCCAATGTTAACCTACAACACGGAGATGGGGGAATCTGGCCAGGACCCCAGAGTGGCTGGACAACCCCGCCCATGGCACAGGGGTGCAGGGAAGTCTGTCTGCATTCAGAGTTCAGGATACCAGCGGGACATGGGCAGGGTCCCCAGTACAAATCCCCAAGCCTGTGCTACACACACAAGTAGATCATCCTGTGCTTCCGATGGCCTAAGGATAAGCACTGAAGGAGAGATGACATGTGCACTTGTGGAAGAGCCCTGGGGCATCTGGCAGAAGTGCATATGAAATGACTCAGTGAAGACTTTTCCATAATGCAGGGCATAGGGGACTCCCAAAGAGGGTAGAATAGCACTGGGGGCAGGGGGTGGCCTTGAGCCAAGGCTGAAGCAGCCAAGAGCAGAGCAAAGGACAGTGTCCTGTAAATGGGACGTGTGCTTTTCAGCAGTGACCCAAAAGCCAGAGGGGCTGAGGGCCTACCTTGAAAGTCCTGCCATTAGAAATTCCCAGGGAAGCAGGGCAGGAGGGAGAACACATCAGCAGAATTTGAGCTCACGGTATAAAATTACAATCCACATGTGAAAGGGAGTGTGAGCTGACACTCCTCAAGAAATTCAGAAGCTGGCTGGGCAGTGGCTCACGCCTGTAATCCCAGCACTTAGGGAGGCCGACGCAAGCAGATCTCAAGGTCAGGAGTTTGAGAACAGCCTGGCCAACATGGCGAAACCCCGTCTCTACTAAAAATACAAAAAAATTAGCTGGGCATGGTGGCACGCACCTGTAGTCCCGGCTACTCGGAGGCTGAGGCAAGAGAATCGCTTGAACCCAGGAAGTGGAGGTTACAGTGAGTCAAGACCGTACCACTGCACTCCAACCTGGGCGACAGAGAGAGACTCCATCTCGAGAAAAAGAAAAGAAATTCAGAAGGTGGAATCACTCAAAAAAGACTTCAAATAATTATACTAAGAAGATCTAGGTGGGGCGCGGTGGCTCACACCTATAATCCCAGCCACTCAGGAGGCTGAGGCAGGAGAATTGCTTGAACCCAGGAAGCAGAGGTTGCGGTGAGCTGAGATCCTGCCACTGCACTCCAGCCTGGGCAGCAAGAGCGAAACTCTGTCTCAAAAAAATAAATACATAAAAGATCTAAAGTGATAAAGGAAAGGTAACAGCATCATGAAAGAATAGGACACTATAAAAAAGACAGCAGTGGAAAAGAATCAGATATAACTTCTAAAAGTATTGAATATAATTGCGAAAATTAAAAACTCAGTAGAAGATTAAATGGAGATCAGACGTAGTTTAAGAAAAATCTGGTGAACTGAGAAACCGATGACAGGAAATTCTCTAGAACAGAGAACACAGAGATGGAGACCAAAAACGCAAAAAGATGACACAAAACATGGAGGAAAAAATAGTAAGATCCACATATATCAACTAGGAATTCCAGGAGAAGACGTAGGTAATGGGAAGAGGCACGTCTCCACGAGAGGGAGGCTGGGAAAATCACGACAAGTCCCAAACAGAATAAACATGGGAAGTCCACGGGAAATGCTGCAGAACCCAACAACAGTCCTGCACAGAGAGAAGGCAGAGCATTACACAGAATCTAAAATCAGAGGGGCAGAGGACCTTTTGTAACAAAAATAGCAGTCTGAACACAGTACAATAGTATCTTTAAAGTGTGAAGACTCAACCTAGGATTCCACATTTGGATAAATCGTCACTAAGAATAAGGGCGGAGGCTGAACACCATGGCCCACACCTGTAGTCCCAGCACTTTGGGAGGCCGAGGCGGGCCAATTGCTTAGTTCCAGGAGATGGCGACCAGCCTGGGCTACATGGTGAAACCCTGTCTCTAAAAATATACTAAAAATTAGCCGGGTGTGGTGGCGCATGCCTGTAGTCCCAGCTACTCGAAAGGTTAAGGTAGGAGGATCCCTTAAGCCTGGGAG
This sequence comes from Homo sapiens, assembly GCF_000001405.40. Taxonomy (NCBI): domain Eukaryota; kingdom Metazoa; phylum Chordata; class Mammalia; order Primates; family Hominidae; genus Homo; species Homo sapiens. Next base: position 100,320,763 of record NC_000015.10, read on the forward strand.
GCAGAGGTTGCAGTGAACCAAGATCGCGCCACTGCACTCCAGCATGGGAGACAGAGCAAGACTCTGTCTCAAAAGAAGAAAAAAAGAGTAAAGGTAAAATAAAGACAGTTTGGACAAAGCAAAAATAATAATTTAGCCATTTGCAAACCCTCATTTAAAAATGTTCTTCAAGGACATTAAGCCCAGGGAAGAGGGTTGCAAGAAACAATACTGAGCAAGCTGACAAAGATATCAGTAAATCTAAATAATTCTAACTGCAAAAACATGATTACCATTCATTGGGAAGAGACAAAGACAAAATGTGGTTAAATTAACAGATAAAAATAACGTGTAAAATCAAGATAAAGCATTTGAAGGCTTTTATATTATCAATGAAGGAAACCTGATGCCTCAGACTTCCTTTATATATTTTTAAGGCAACAACAACAAAATTTTAATAGATTATCAAATTTCCACACCAGTGGAAGAGAGAAGGGGAAATTTTTTTTAAAAGTTGGTCAAGCCAATAGAAACAAACAAACAACAACAAAGAGAAACAGAAGCAAAGAAAAAGCATGGTATAGTAAACAGATAAAATAAATAAAATGAATTCTAGCAATACTAGAAACATGAAAACACTAACTCTGCCAATGAAAAAACATATTCCCAAATTTGACATTTTTTAAAAAATTCAAATATATCTTACTTTTAAGAAACATACGTACATCATCATGACAGAGAATGACTGAAAATAAAACTAAGGGAAAAGAAACATCAAGCAAACATTTACCAAAATAAAACCTGACTGGCAATACTAACGTTAGCTGAAAACATCTGGAAGGACAAAAGTATTGGCAGGGATAAAAATGGCCCATTACATGATGATAAAAGGAATGGCTCACCAGCCGTACAGCTCATACACCTGTGTGCACCAAACAATACTGCCTCACAACTTACAAAGCAGAGATCAATAGAATTAAAAGGTAAAACTGGCCAAGCCACAATAAGTTATGAGATTTTTAATATATCTCTAAAACAAATCAAGCAGGTCCAAAATAATGAGACTATAAATGATTCTGACATCACACTAACTTCAGTAAATGGGCATATAGAACACAACAATTAGAAAATATATAATCTGTTTGCAGTAATTTGAGATTATGTACTCTTTTCATTTATACATAAAACATTTATTAAAACAAAAACATCTATGTTCTAGGCCACGATGCAAATCTCTACCACTACCAGTAAATCAATGACATACGGAATTCAGTATGCTCAAAAGCTTCTAATAAACCTAATCCTCCTACAGATAGCAACTGTAAACTTGAAAAAAATACAAAAATCCAAACACCTGAAGGTTGGAAGATGTGGGTGGAGTCAACACTTGGAAGACAGGAACAGCACAGGAGACTGAGGGAAGGCCTGGTCAGTGCCATGCAGAAGGGGTAACGCTCCAACAGAAAGCTTGCAGCCCCTGTGATCTGAAGAACCAGAGGACAGAGTGCAGGGCAACAAGGTGACTGGAAAGTATGGGGGAGGCATGCTGGAAAGGAGAGATCCACAAAGGGGAAGCCGAAAATTCTGTATATAAATTCTACCCAACTCTCAGGATGATGCCTACATGGAAAAGAGTCTAGTTAAGAATAAAAGAACTGAGATTTGAGTTGCCACCCAAGATACAAATTCTGCAGTCTGAGTCCAACAAAATTAATTGCCAGCTAAAATACTCTCCAGAGTAATAGAATTCAGAATCTCCACGTTACATTTACAATATCCAGAACACAATCCAAAATTACTTGACACATGAATAACTTGGAAAATGTGACCCCTTTTTAAGAGAAAAGACAATCAATGTAGACCAAACCCGAAGATGACCCAGATGTTAGAATAGCAGACAAGAATTTTGAAGCAATTATTACCATAATGCTCAAGGACTTAAAGGAAAATGTGCTCATGATGGATGAAAAGACAGGAAATTGCAGCAGAAATACTGACACTACTTAAAAAATGGAAATATCATATGCACCACATTCTCCATTGTTATACACAGAATTATAAATTGGCCAGGCGTGGTGGCTCACACCTGTAATCCCAGCACTTTGGGAGGCTGAGGCAGACAGATCACGAGGTCAGGAGATCAAGACCATCCTGGTCAACATGGTGAAAGCCCATCTCTACTAAAAATACAAAAAATTAGCCAGGCGTGGTGGCGGGCACCTGTAGTCCCAGCTACTCAGGAGGCTGAGGCAGGAGAATGGCATGGACCCGGGAGGCGGAGCTTGCAGTGAGCTGAGATTGTGCCACTGAACTCCAGCCCGGGAGACAGCGAGACTCCGTCTCAAAAAAAAAAAAAAAAAAAAGAATTATAAATCATGTTGTAAAGATACCAAAAAAATTATATGAAAAAATAAAAATTCAATTAATTTATAGCATAATATTTACTTTCTGCCACATGCTGTGTTTACATATATTAACTTAATCATCTTAATTTTATAAAATACATGCAAGCATTATCACCCTTTTACAAATAAAGAAATTGAGACACTTTAAAGGGGTTAAATAAATAACCCAAGGTCACTCAAGCTAGTGGTAGAGACAGGAAATCAAATCCAGTAAACTTGTGTCTAAATTCTTACCACTATACTGTACTGCCTCTTTAGGGAAAAGGTATGTGGAAATTACAGACTATTTAGAAGTGGGTACTAGAAATATTACATATGAAAATTTGTATGCCCCTACAGGTGTGCTTACAGGGAAATGAGTAGCCTTAAATACAGAAATTAAATATGAAGATAGTAAAATTTACTGAGCTAGGTATTCTACTCAAGAAGTTAGGGAAAAAGCAATAGGAATAAACCTAGAGAACATTTAAAAAAGGAATAAAGGAAAAAAAATAAAGATACAAATAGAAATTCAAAAATAAAAACAAAACCAAGCCAGTTCTTCGAAAAGGTTAATAGACAAAACTCTGCAATAAAGATAAATGAACTAGATTTGCATTTATTAAGATGGATAAATCTAGAAGACATGACTGTGAGTGATAAATGCAAGCTGCACAGCATAAAATCATTTATGTGAATTTTAAAACATACAAAACAATACAGTATGCAGTTTATGACTATATATCATAATCGCTATAAAAGTACAAAAAAACATGGAAAGGAAGGGGTCCCCTATGTCAGGTCAGTCTGGTGGTTGCTTCCGGGGAATAAGCCAGAGCCATGATAGTGGGTGGAGGGGAGAACGCCATCAGTCACATCCGTAAACGTTCCTTTCTCTCAAAAAAAAAAAAAAAAGAAGAAAGCATCCCAGCACTTTGGGAGGCCGAGGCAGGCAGATCACCTGAGGTCAGGAGTTCAAGACCACCCTGGCCAACATGGCGAAACCCCATCTCTACTAAAAGTACAGAAATCAGTCGGGCGTGCTGGTGGGCACCTGTGGTCCCAGCTACTTGGGAGGCTGAGGCAGGAGAATCACTTGAACCCGGGAGACAGATTTTGCAGTGAGCCGAGATCACGCCACTACACTCTAGCCAGGGTGACAGAGTGAGACTCCGTCTCAAATAAATAAATAAATAGAAAAAAAAAGCTCTGAAGCAAATCTGACCACATGTTAACATAGGGTAGGTCTGAATACTGGATACGCAGGTTTCTTTTTTGTGTTTTGCCTGTTGTAAATTATTTCATAATTCAAAATAATTTACACCTGCTACATTCATTTATGTCTTTACTGCCTATCTCCCCCACCAAACCCTAAGTTCTCTGGAGGCAAGGACCATACTATGTCATGTTCGCCATAGTATGCAAATCTCACCAGAGTCCGGAGGGTCAGTGAGAAGGGAAGCATAACTTCCTGTCTACAAATACTAAGATTCCTTGATTTCTTGTGGATTTGCTCAAGAGGCAAGGATGGCAGATTCAAGAATACTAATGAGAGTCTCTAGCTCCCAGCTTAGTGCTCTGCAGGCCCTCTCTCTCCCTGACTTAATACAGAAAAAGGGCATTGAAGTGGTCTCCTCAATAGTCAAAAATGAGCAGGTGAATTATAACCACAGCAGCTGCAGCAATAGCCAACATGGACTGGCCCTAAGTGGCAAGTCTGCATTAACTCATTTAATACTCACAAAAGCCCTAAGAGGTAGATGACATTACAAGGAAACTGAAGCTCAGAGAGGGTGGCACCATTCTAACTTGCCTGAGCTTACACAGCCCCTCAAATTGTTATCAAGAGTGTAACTGAATAGCTGACCAGCCAACGATGGTGTCTATTGTTACAGACAGGGTCCCTTTGTGTGGCCCACTTCTAGTTTCCTGTAAATGTGATTTTTACCTTTTAGACATTTATGACGGTTCGCTTGAACATGCCCTCCAGAGTGGCTGGAGGTGGTTACAGCACCCCTGGTTCTCAGTGTTCCTCCGCAATTATCCTACAACAGACATCACCACCCCATGGTGCAGGTAAGAAAACAGAGGCTGTGTGGCTTGAACTATGCACCACACCCCTGCCCACCACTCCAGAACCCTGCCAGATTCCTATGTTGAAGTCCTAACCCCCAGGACCTTAGAATGTGGTTGCATTTGCAGATAGGGTTTTTACAGAGGTAACTAAGTTAAAATAAAGCACAACAGTGGGCCCTAATCCAATGACTGGGATCCTCCTAAGAGGAAATTTGGACGGAGACATGCAGAGAGATAAGACCATGTGAAGACACAGGGAGAGGACGGCCAATACGGTTTGGATGTGTGTCCCCTCCAGATCTCATAATGAAACATGCTGCCCAATGCTGGAGGTGGAGCCTAGTGGGAGGTGGCGGATCCCTCATGAATGGCTTAGTGCCATCCCCGTGGTGATGAGTGAGTTCTCACTCCATTAGTTCATGCAAGAGTTGGCTGTTTAAAACGACCCTCACCTCTTCGCTCTCTCTCGTTCCCTTCTCTCTTGCTCCCTTCTCTCCCCATGTGACACGCTGGCTCCCCTTCATCTTCCACCAGAAACAGACACTGACACTATGCTTTATGTAGACGCTGCAGAACTCTGAGCCAAAATAAACCTCTTTTCTGTATAAATTACCCAGCCTCAGGTATTCCTTCAGGCAACACAAATCGACTAACACAATAGCCATCTGCAAGCCAAGGAGAGAAGCCTGGAACAGATCCTTTCCTCATAGCCTCAGAAGGAACCAACCCTGTCAACGCCTTGATCCCACACTTTTGGCCTCCAGAACTATGAATAATAAATACCAACAAAACAATAAATTTCGGTTAAGCCCCTGGGTCTGTGCAGCTTTGGAGCAGCCTCTTCGCTCCACACACAGAAGCACAGAGACATCAAGGGACTCTTTTTCTGGGGTTACAGCAAAGGGAACAGAATTGCGCCTCTACCATGGTTCTTTTTTCTCTTTGCGGAATAATAATTCTTAAACTATTGATGTCTACTTATAGAGTTAACATTTATATGCAAATAAATGTTTAAAATATTAACTTAAAGAAACTCAAAGTAGCAATTTAATGCCATTCCTTTTAGGTTCTGCTTCCAGTTAAGATGTAGAAGGACAGGAAAGACTCCAACTACCACTTTTACAGCAAAGAACACTGGATACACTACAAAATCATATTTTATTTTATCCACTGGGAGAGCTACGGTCTCAAAGAAGTGTAGAGGAACCAAATTTCAGAGGGATTGGCCCTTGCTGAGCAAAGATCAGCTACAGTTATCCCTGGGGCACAGGTGGAATGAGGAGCTCATTAGCATCTAAGCTGTGGAAATAAGGAGGAAACAGCCAATTGTTAACTGTGTGGGCTGTAATAATGGATTACACCTGGATTTGAGATGTCCTAAATCTACTCCAGACTTTTACCAAGTGTGTGATGGCTGGCAAAAGTCAGGACAGGGATGGAAACAGAGTGGTATCTGCATAGTCACATGAGTACTGGCACCTACGCTCTTTATGGGGAGAGACCTAAGCCTGCCATAAACCTTTGCAGCTAGTGGCAAACCCAATCCAAGCCAACCCACTTCAAATCCCAATTAAACAGAACGTTTGACCCCCTCATCCTAATTAAAAAGAAGGGTTGACCTCATCCTAGCTGCCTCTTGGTCACCCTAAGCGGAGCCAGGTGAGGACAGAGGGTGTCATACAAAGAAGTGACCGCAGAGAAGTGAAGCTTGGGTAAGTGTTACCTGATGTCCAACCTCCTGCTTTACTCATCAGCTCCATGAACTCATGTCAATGATGTCTTTAGTGTTTAAGTCAGTTTCATTTCTGTCATTTCCAACCGAATGAATCTTAACCCATTTATGCCAGAGGTTGCACATTTTTTTTGTGAAAACTCAGACCTTGGCGATGACCTTGAGCAGTAGGGTATAAATAACTCCCACAAGCTTAGCGTTCCAATAATGGAACACTAGGCATAATTGGTACAAAGCACAAGACCTGACCAACTGTGCACTACAGAGGATATACACGTATTATACGTGCAAATTCTTGCATAAATTAGCAATGCGCAGTTTCTACAGAGTTATAGTATCCACCAAATACTCATTGACATTACCTTTATAATGCTATAAATGAACAAACAATACTAAAAAATAACCACAATGATTTTTTGAAACAATGATAACAGAACTTAACCTATAAAGTAGACATCAGTGCTTCACAGAAACCACAGCTGGAGGCATAATCACGTTCCAGTGAGCTCACCACCACTCAGCATGTTGCAGGATTCCTATACTGCAAAGGCCAAGGGAAAATCACTCTTCTATTTCACCATCTACTTCTACCACACACATGTGAAATACACCATGGGGGAGGAGAGGAAGATTCATAGTTACTTAAGAGTATGAAAATGCTGGGAGGAAGATTCTAAACTGAATCATAATGGAGAAATTAAAACAAGCACAGAAGGAAGATTAGAACGTTTGAAGTCAAAGTAACTTTTTAAAAATCAAGGAACATTTCAAAATATCCAAGGTACCATTTTAGTTTGCCAAGTTCCAACCTGGAGTGCTATTTTATGGATCAGTTTATCAGGCCCCCAAAATAAGGAGCAATGTAGGAAACAGGATCAGCCTGTCCCCTCGCCTGAAGCCCCAAAGACCATTAGAAATGCAACCTCAGTAGTATCCAAGGGAAAGAAACAGTTCCCAGATGGCCTTTGCCGTGTCAGTCCTTCTAGCCACCAACCCTGCTCAGACATAAAACCCTACTCAGCACAGCGGCTCACCTAGGTTCACCTTTCAAGTACACTGAGTGCTTCATGGAGGAAGTTTCTTAGACTTCTCCTCACCTACAAGAGCCGGCAAGGCTACTCTCAGACCATGTCCAAGGCTATCATAACACAGGGTCACCAACAGGGCACGAAACCTATGGCTGCCATGTTCAGCCAGGAAGAGCATGTTCCCATGGGAAAGCTTGGATTAATCTGATTAATCTTTCTAGGAAAGATTAGGAAACTTCTAGGAAACTTAAAGAATGTACTTTGCAGATGTCCCAGTAAATTAATTTTCCCGATTTCTAAACTCCTGATGTTTGAAAGCTAATCCAAACTAGATAGGGCCTAACTGACTGCTCATTAGCTCAGCCTATTAAAAGGCCCATTGTCATTCTCAGGACAGCCACATTTACTGAATATTTCATGCAATGCAAGAAGGACCAGAAGCAAAATATGTAACTCTCCTCTGTGTCTGTGTTCCTGACTAGTGCAGAGCCTGAGTCTGGCACAACCTTAAATCCGCACATTACTCCCGCACCAAAAAGCAAGCTGATGCAAGGTTTGAGAGCAGGGAAGGAGAGATTGTATTTTTAAGCAAGTTCAGAAATTTCTCCCTACAGTCTTGCGTGGCTGCTCTTGTTTTAACTTGTTCCATCACACCCACCCCACCCTGATTTTGTTAATTTTATTTCCTCATTAAAGGCTAAACAGTCTATCAAAAGAATGCCTCAAAACTCTCCTTAGGGACAAAAATGCAAACACAAGCACCATTTATCATGTCAGTGATCCTCAGTATCACACCACTAAAGGGGATGGAAGGCGGCCATTAGACAAACATCCCATTATCTCATCTACAAGCACGCTGAGTTCTGACCATGGACTAGAGTCTGATGAACGGTGGCGTGAGCAGAGAGAACAGTGAGAAGAAGACACATCTGTCCTTTGTTTCGTTGCATGGCCCTGCTTGAAGGTGCTCAAATGGGAAAATCCACTCCCGATGGCCCACAGGTGCTATTCCTCAGGTTTAACAGTCCTTAGCGATGTGGTTTTCAACACCAGCTGAACATCAGAACCACCTGGGAGTCTTTACTTTGCCAGATGTCCCCAGGATGTCTAATTAAAGTGGTTCTCTGTGGGTGGGACCCAGGCGTGAGTAGCTGTTAAAGCTTCCCAGGTGATGCTAAGGTACAGCCAGGACTGAGAACCACTGCCGTAGAGAAATCCCTCTGCCTCTGTGCCGGTACGTCAAGACAGAACTAGGTAGGGTCAGGGGCTCAGGTTAAAAATAGCACACTGCAGGGGGCCAGGCATAGTGGCTCATGCCTATAATCCCAGGACTTTGGCAGGCCAAGGCGAGAGGATCACTTGAGCCCAGGGGTTCAAGACCAGCCTGGGCAACACAGTGAAACCCATCTCTACCAAAACAAAAATTAGCCAGGTGTGGTGGTGCACGCCTGTGGTCCCAGCTACTCAGGAGCGAGGATCACCTGAGCGCAGGAGGTCAAGGCTGTGGCAAGCCATGATCACACCACTGCACTCCAGCCTGGGTGACAGAGTGAGATCGTGTCTCCAAAAAAAAAAAAAAAGCCATACTGACATCAAATCCACACACAACCAACTGTCAGACCAAAGACCCTGTTTCCTATTAAAAGGTATTTTTTAGGTGCTAGTAATTGTACGGGGTCTTCCTCACTTTTGTAAGGAGGCAGAAAGAACAGAAAAACCCTAATGTCTCCATTTGAGACTCAAAGCTCTCTTGAGGTTTCAGAGATGCCCTCTATCCAGCACAATCACCTCTAATACTCACCTTGCCCACACAGACTAGGCTAAGGAGAAAGTCAATGTACTGCCATCCAGTCCACACACAGCAGCTGAGCTCAACTGCAAAACTTGTTTACAAATAACAAGGTAATTCTAAAGCAGTCACATAATTTATTCCCAATGTCACCGGGATACTAAACCAAGACACATTGTTTCCAATGTCACCAGAATACTAAACCAAGACACACTGCATTTTCATACAAAGATAAGTCTTTAAACTACAGAAGCACAACCCCCAGAAGTCAGCAGTGGGGTCCCACGATCTCCTGGGAGGAAATGCCACCTGTGCTCCAACTTCATCTGGGGACATTTGTAGCCCCATGAAATGTCCTTAAACAGGTGACAGGTCATCCACATTAGGGTTGTTCAAAGAGAGACCCAGAGTATAAGAGCCCCAGGTTCTCCCCCCACACTGCATCTTAAAATCACTTTTAAAAACCCTGGCACCCAAATCATACCCCAGACTAAAACAGATCAGGATGTTGGGGGACAGGCCAGTGCATGGCAAGTTTTAAAGCAGTGGTTCTCACACTTTAGCACGTATCTAAATCCCCTGGAGGACCCGTGAAACTACAGATGACTGGACCCTCCCCCAGGGTTTCTGATTCACAGCTCTGGCCTGAAAATGTGCATGTCTAACAAGTTCCCACGTGATGCTGATGCTGCTGGCCCGGGGGCCACACTGTAAGAATCGAGAATCGAATCACAGCTTCAGAGGCGCCCCAGGTGGCTTTAGTTACTGCGGCCAGAACTCGGGAGCACTGTATTATTAAGAGTGAGCTCCTGGCCAGGGCACCAGGAGGAGGGAATTCTTATCCAAGCTCGGCTACAAGGTTTTTTGGACCTCAACTTGCTCTTGATATATAAAATTGAGGGACTGCATGAAAGAGATCCTAGGTTCCTTGCAGAAACAAAACGATGACTTTTTCAAAGGACTGCCGACACTAAGACACATAGAAAGGAAAAGGAAGTGGTCTCAGGGCAATAAAACAGCTTTTGAAATATAGGGGAAGGTAAGTTCTCACTCATGTGGCTTCAGTGCACTTGGAGACACACAAAGGATGTGGGCTGTGCGTGTGTTCTAAGCTGGTCATGCTGCTGCCCCGACTCACCTGTTAGAACCTTGCAGAGCTGCTCAGGTCTCTGGGCCTCAGCAGAAGGGCTGGGGGTCAAGGACCATTTGCGCCTGATCAGATGTTCTCGTCCACTGAATGGGCCCTGGGAGTTGTTGAGGGGCTGGATTAGCACCTGCTCCTGCCCAAGCTGAATGAGGCCAACCTGTCCAGAAAGGAGAAGGAAACGCGATGTCGGTCATCCTCACTCACACACGCCCATGGCCCCCCGGAGGGGCAGGCAAGACCACCTTGCTGTGATTTGGTTTTCCAGGTCTGGGCTCGTTTCTTTGCAGATTGGTCAGATTTACCTGAGCCCAAGAGTGAGCTTGTGTGTGACTTACAAACATACCACAGAGCAGCTGCGTTGGGGGTAGGGGTACAGAGACAGATACAACAGCATCCATTTTCCATGTTGGCTTTCAGAGAAGATGAACTACTTCATTATCAAATTTTTAATTTTAAAATTATTTTTTAAGTTACTTCAAAAATCATCCCCCCAAAAGTCCACCTGGGAGGCAACACTGAAATTGTTGGGAATGACATTTGTATCCCTAATGGAAAAATGTATCTTATCCCTGGGTATATTAAGAGTAACATTAGTATTGTTTTGACAGCATCAAAACAATTTGCCCTCCTTCAGCAGGCACCTGCTGCTAGTTTCCCTTCTTATGCAGAGTCAAAATGGTAAATCTCTCAAGGAAATCGAACCCAGGCAGGGCCAGGGGAGGACCTGGTTTGAACACTGATCGATGCAGTCAACATCCCCTTCTCCTGGGAACAATCCCGAACTGCCTTTGATCGCAGATTCAGGAGATCTGGCGGATGAGTCTCAGGGGGCCATGGCATCCTTTCTTGTCTCCCTCTTCCACCCTCACTTTTCAAAAGCCATGACACACTACACCCCTGGTTCTCAAAGCCTAGCGTGTGCCCAAATCACCTGGAGGTCCTGCTGGAGCCCAAGAATGTGCATTTCTAAGAAGTTTCCATGTAATACAGGGACCACACTTGGAGAAACAGCACTCCCCACCACACGCAGAGCTAACTCCAGTCTCAAGTATAAAACTCACTTAAGCCAAATGAGATAGACCCCAGCTCTACGTTCTGAAAGGATGCACCAGTACCAAGATTCCTGGAAAGTAAATCAGATCAACTAATAAGATCGCCTACAATCTTGCGTCCCCAAGATACAGGGTGAGGCCATACTTACCGCTCTAAGCATATTTCAAGGTTTCCATTTCATTAGAACTTTTGCCAAGAAAAACTCAAAGATTTTACTGCCCAAATAAAACTGTCTCAAAGTGGCACTGCATGACCTGCAGGAGAGCACAGCTTTCCTCCCTCTCCTTCAAAGTGAAAACTTGAGTTTGTTCACTAGGAAACTTTGGGGAAACTGAAGAAATGGAAGACGGTGGCCACAGTGGGATCTGCAGAGCTCCATCACAGCTGTGCGCGATGCGGCCTCGGTGCAGAACACCCGAAAACTGCCGCAGTCAAGAAAGAGTGGGCAGGGTACGGCACAGTGCCTGGGATGGAGCCCCGCGTGGGAGGACCCCCCACCTGCTCCCCAGAGGATACGCTTCACTCTAATGAGGGGCTGCACTCATTTGGAAACACCCTGGCTGTGGGTCAAAGCCCCCCCAGGATCTAGCACTTTCAAAGCTAGTTATTATTCGTTCAGTCTAGAGTTTGCATTCACAAACCCCGGCATAAAAAGCAGTCAGCTGTTAGTTCTAAGCTGATACAAATTTTTAAAGACAGGGAGATCTCACCTTGGTGAGAAATCCTACACATACACACTCATATACACATGCAAAGCATCACTTAGCACCTTAGGGAAGGTTTTTCTTTACAATTCTCAGGGCCCCCATGTGCTGGTTTCTATAAACTTAAGGAAGAAAACAGCAATGCTGGGGAAAGATGGATGAATGGACTAGTGGGTACTCGCCCCGGCAGCCACTTGCCCTCTTGGGCCCCGACCTCGAACAGGGATGTGGCCAGGCTAGCACCAGGAAGGAGGGGTTGTACAGGGCCCTCACCCTGGGAACCTGCGTGAGGAAGGGCCCTGCCTCCTCCTCCCTCACTGTCTCACTGTCCCCAGGTTCCTTCAAGCCTAACACTGCCATTGTCAGCATGCCACCAGTGGTCAAACGTCCTGTTGAGAAGTGCCACCTATGCATTACACACAGTCTCACCCCAAATACCCACCAGCCTTCCTTCTCTCTCCCTGACCTCTCTTCCCTAAATAAACCCCCTTCCCCGCAGCCCCCTGCACTCTTACATTCCAGCCCACTACCCCATGTTATAGGACCTTTTCACGACCTAACGGTTTGTTCCACTGAGGCAAGATCAGAATTATTCCTCCTGTTTTTGCCAATGTCTGCCACATAACAGTTACTCAGAAAGAAAAAATTCGACTGAAAATGCAGTTACGTGCACAGACTGCCTGCAGCCCCCTGGCTCAGGGCTTCTCATCCCCGGCTACCTATTGTTATGATCTGGGGAGCTTCGAAAACTCCTGATGCCTCAGCCCCTACTCCAGGCCAAGTGAATCGGAATCTCTGGGGTGGAGCCCAGGCACTGATATTTTTTCAAAGGTGACCAGGAAAATTCAATGTGTAGCCAGGGTTGAGAAGCGCCGTCCTAGCTTTTCACTGGGTGCTGGAGACCCTGGACACCTACTGCCTTGATTCCATGTGGAGAGGTCCTTGGATTTGGAACCTGGGACTTCCTCTGTGGAGCTCTGCCCACTGCCCTTGCTTCTGGCCCACGACTGCGCGTGGCCCCAAAAGCTGAGCAGGGCTTCTTGGATCTGTGTGACTCCCGTGTCACCATCTATGCGGGGAAGGGAGACTCAGGGAAATGTTTGTCCAAGGCCTCTTCTGTCCCATTGATGGCGATGAAGAAACACTAGCTATGAGCCTGTGCCTTAGACACAAGAGGCCTGCAACCGTCCTCCAAAGAGACAAACTTTGTAGAAATAAATGCCTATGGCAGACAGAACTGGCAGCCCTGAAGCCCCTTGGTTTTAAGGCATATAATAAAGCCCCCAATGAAATGGTGCTCTTAAAAGAGAAATCTTCAGTTTTGCAGGATTTGGTATGCTATACTATAAGTGTGGCTCAAATAAAATGGATCAGGCAATAACTTGATATTTCAGCAGTTGTGAGTGGTTACCTTTCAACTCTCTTTGTTGTGGGTACTTGCTTTGAAGGGTTCTATTAAGACAGAGTTGTAAATCAGGCATTGTTCACGCCACACCACCTCGTGCCTGAAGCAGGACGAGCTCTCACTGCAGTGTGGAAAGTGTGAAAGACATAGAGGTTTTTATCACCTAACGTTAGCACATGTTCTCGGCATAGCTTAGAAAATGCAGTTAAGATAACAGAGAACGTCTGTCCTGTGTGCTTCAAAGCAGCATGCCTCTGTGGGAGGGGACAAAGTCACACGATTCCACAAAGACCGCAATGGAATTCCCTTTCTTCAGGAGTCTGCAGCTCCTCAGTTAACATGAGTGGGTCTCAGGTCTCCTTCTCTAGGTCAAGATGGGTTGAGAGGATAGGGCCAACGGGGTGGTGAGTTTGCTTCCTGTAGGGACCAACCAGCTTCCAAGAAGAAAAAGCCACCCTGTAACTGCAGATCCTCCCGTCCTGCCTCTGACTCTCCGGCGGGCACACACCTCTTTCGATCCTCCCGTCCTGCCCCCCGACTCTCGGGTGGGCACGCACCTCTTTCCGTGGAAGGAGGCTCCCCCACGCAACACGGCCACGCGGGGCTTCCCAACCTGCACCCCTTCTGAGGCACCACCTGGAGGGCCCCTCCCCCGGTCCCGCCGCCTCCTCGAATGTGAAATGCCTGAGCACAGACGCTTGGTCTTCTTCCCAAAGCAAGCCTCTCCTTGGTAATGTGGGGGTCCCTCACTTCAGTGTCAGCCCTTTCAGACCACTAGTCAGTGCCAGCCAGCCAAAAAGGACTGCCAGCCTGCCCTTCAGAGTCCCTCTCGTGTGGTCTTCCTTCCTTTCTGAGGCTTGCCATGGTCGGAGGCTTGAGCCTGGTCACCTCCCTGCTCTAAGTGCTCCCCTCGTTCAGTCCTCCCCATACGGCTAGCCCCAGGATTCCCCAACTACCCATCCTCCATCGCCTCTCAGCCAGTGACCCTCAGAGTGCCCTCCCAGGACGGCAGCATCAGCACCCCCGGGGGAACTTGTGAGAAATGCAAGCTCTCAGGCCCACCCCAGACCTGCTACATCAAAAACTCCTGGATGGGGCCCAGCAGTCAGTTTAACGGGCCCTCCAGGGGACTGTAACGCCGGCTCAAGGTTGAGAACCACTGCTCTAGGATCAAGTCCAAATGCCTTCGGTTGGCACCCAGAGACCTGCCCCATTTAATCCACACGCCTGCCAGTTCAGTTCCTCTACCCCCATCTCTCCCGTAAAACCACCACCCCACAAATCCACTCATGGGTCCCTTATCTCAGGACAATGGGGCCTCGGTGACTTTTCAGTCACTCACTTCTCCCTCCTGGAATCTGAAGGCTACCCTCCTCCCTCCCCAGAGCCCCGCCCTGCCCAGTTCCAGGCTCCAGCACACCTACCTCCAGGAGGCTGGGACTGCCTTCCCAGACAGGGCCTGCATTGTCTTTCTCTCTGAGCCTTGCTGGGCGCCTACCAGAGCATCCTGCACGTGGCAGGTGCGTGATAATGATCTGCTCATTCAGGCAACAGCGATGACTGATCAGCTGATGTATAACTAGAAAAGTCTGGGAACAGCCTGCAGGGCAGGAGAAGCGGCCTGTTTTTAATGCCTTAATGTGCCAGGCTCTCACTAAATGATTTCACAGACTTTATCTTCTTCCATTCTACCAACAGCCTTGCAGGGCTATGTTATTTACCCCTGTATGGCTGCAGGCAGAAAGGTTCAAAGGAGTTAAGTGACTCGCTCAAGATCACAGCTCCAAATGGCCAAACAGTTTCATTTCCTAAGAAGCAAGAATGTGACTATGCATCTGGGGACCTGTGCACAGAAGCGGGTCCAGGGAAAAGTTAACCAACCACTCTGCATGGTTCCCTCAGATGTACTGGCTGCAAAAAACATCTTCCCCATCACACACATCCAAGATCAGGCAGCTGCAGTATTTCAGAGTTCAGGAAGTAAGCTCCAAGAATGCAATCAGTCAAAGAAGACTGCTTCACTTCATCGTCCCATCTTTTACTTCTTTTTCGTTTGTTTTTAAATGTTGTCAACAAAAGTTCAAAGTGGGAAAATCTAACGTGTGTCCTAGACGATGCTGGTGGGCAGCCTGGTGCAGGAGCAGTCAGTGCCTGGCAGCCTAAGAGGAGTCAGCCCAGCCCTGGAGAGCTGCAGCTGGATGAAGCCCTGAGTAATCAGGAGGAAAACAAGAGTATGCAGGGCTGGAGAGGACAAAGGCGGACAAAGAGAAGCCACCATGAGGCCACAGGAATGTTGTTCCAGAGGTGGCAGCCAGAGGCCTTAGAACTTTCTGAGTTCTTCCCTCCAATACTTCCGTGCCTCTCAACTCCACAAAACTGTCTTTGCCCTTCTTCCATTCCTGCCAAAGTGCCCCTTAACATCCACTCAATTGTTTCTTTTTACAAAGTTCTATATATGTGCTTTGTATTCTCCAAACATATTTATTCTGCACACGATCAAGTCCTCAGCAATAATAAGTAATCACTTAGGACTACGTACCTTCCTCAGACCTGTCTCAATATAATGATGTATTATAATGCAGACCCTTCCAATGGGTCTCCACACCATATAATTTTTGACAAGACTAACTCCTACTCAGCTGTTCTCCATCGAGTAGGCTGCATTATAAAGCTGGGCAATTTTGTAAATCAATCAATCGAAAGGGTTTGAAAACTCTTTTCTAAAGAAAGAAGTAGTAACATCCCAAACCTGCTTTCTCATCACAGGAGTCGTACACGTGCAGGCTGCCCTCTTAAAAGTGGGGTCCCCAACACTTCTAACCTAAGCTGCCTACTCATCAGCTGGCTGAGCTCACCCAGGCTGGAGTGCATTGGCGGGATCTCACCTCACTGCAAGCTCCACCTCCCAGGTTCAAGCGATTCTCCTGCCTCAGCCTCCCGAGTAGCTGGGATTACAGGCGCCCACCACCATGCCCAGCTAATTTTTTGTATCTTTAGTAGAGACGAGGTTTCACCATGTTGGCCAAGACTGGTCTTGAGCTCCTGACCTGCTGGTCCACCCACCTCGGCCTTCCAAAGTGCTGGGATTACAGGCGTAAGCCACCGCACCTGGCTGCCCCCATCTATTCTTATCTGGACTACACTTGCTCCCCTATAAATTAGAGGTATGCATTCTCTAAAGTTCTCAAGTGGACTGGAATAGCTGTACGGAACTATGAATGTCCCATGTGCCACAAATGACGTGCTACCAACATGGACACGTGGTCTGCAGTCAGGCTGACCAGTCAGAGTGAGGTGGGCTGGGCCACCAGACTGACCCCAGTGATTCCAAATAAGAGTCCTACAGCATGTGGCTGTGGCAACAGAAGAGCTATGGTAGGAGGATCCCCGACCTTCTCACAGTCCTTCAAGGTGGCCTGGAACGTGGATCCCTGACCTTCTCACAGTCCTTCAAGGTGACCTGGAACGCGGTTATGGCTTAATGTTTTGCAGCCCAGAGCTCCTTGGTGGTCTGTCTGGTCCCACCATCTCACAGTGTGCCCCTGGCAGGCCACAGCTTTTTCCAAGAAGGGGTGGACACATTCCAGTGGGTGGCCTTCCCAAGCTTTGTGAGTATCATCCAAGAAAGGATGGCCACTGCTTGGCAGACCAAACCCGACAGCAGGGGGCCTCCAGCCCTCCCCTCCTCTCGTTCACTCTTCCTAAAACAAGTCCTCCAGCCACTCACTTCAGACAAGCTGCAAAGATTCTTTTCAGAGCCTGACGCTCATGCTGTTCTTGAAGTGCCCTCTCCGCTATCCTGTCTACCTATGAAGTTCAGCCTGATTCCAATTCCACTGGCCTTCCACGATCCAGTCCTGATCACAGAGGCAGCTGATCCGAACTTACATAAATTCACGAAGAGTGTAAAGGCCTTCCTCAGACACCTGAAGTTCATGCTTTGAAATGATATGCTCATAGAAACACTTCCAAAAAACCCATGCTCTAAAGACTCTTGGAAATGTAAATACAATGAAGAAGCATAAACAGAAAACAATTAATACTTAAGTCTATGGCCTTTGAAGATCCAAAAGGCGCAGCTGGCCCAGCTTTTCAGGATAAGACACCAAGAAAGGAATGCGGCAGGCCCATGCCTCTATCTGCTGTCAAAAGGAAAAGGAGCAAAAATGGAACAGGTGCTTTACTCTCCATGGCCCCTAAACAGCTACGGAATGATCTATTCTAATAATTCGTCTCCTTTAAACAGACAGCAAACATCTCTGGAGACAAACAGCACAGATTCCATGCAACATGGAATAGAACGTGTGTGCCCCCAGCCCAGGCACTCAACACTCTCTACTGAGCCCTTTAGGAGATGTTCAATACAGTGGGACTTACCAGCAATTAACATGATACTCAACATCCGGAACGAAGTTTTGTTGAACGTGGCCACATCCATTCGCTCGTATGCCATCCGTAGCTGTAGCTGCTTTCACACTGAAAGGGCAGCTTTGAGCAGCTGCAACAAAGGCTATGTGGCCCCCAAAGCCTAAACTATTTATTTTCTGGTCCTTAAGAGAAGAAGTTTGCCCGACTCTTGCTCATTTTTAGATACAAGGACACTTCGAAATGCCCCTCCTCCATGGCCACCAAAAATCATCTACTTATAGCCTCCCTTCCCACACCTTATAGCCGAGCCTGTCGTAGCAAATACACACACACACAACTCCACATCTCCACTCACAGAGCTTCTACCACAGTACCACAGTCAAGAGGGACTAACACAACATCATCAGCCACCTGAACTGAGAACCAAAGTCAAAGCTAGTCTGCAATGCAAACTTGGTTAGCCCAAATTCCTGTTGCTTTCTTTTCTTTACGCTTTCAGGACCACCTTGCAAACAAAGGGTCCACCTCCAAGTCACCCCACTGTCTCTTCCCTCCGGCCTTCAGTACGTACAGAGGGGGAAGTGTCCAATGTCCAGCTCACACGAACGGGATGAACAAGGCAGACTAAACAACAGAAGTGTCTGCTCCGGCAGGAATTTAAAAGCTGAAGTCTTAGAGGTACAACCGCCACTGGCACACACTGAACTCAGCCTGTTGGCCAGGTTCCTTTATCTAAAGCACAGCACCCTCACATGGTGCTAAAGGGAAGGACAGTCTTGCCGAGAAGCTGGCTGAGATGCCATCTATGACAGGGCCCAGCCCTCATTCTGCAAGGATTTTAAATCAATGTTATCCAGCTTTCCACCTCGGCGCCTTCACAGATAGCTCCTTGCTGGAAACTTTACACCAAGAAGTATAAACTCTGACCTCTACAGAAACTCACTAAACCGCAGCAAATGGGATTCAGATGTTTCCATGTACAGTACAATGATGTGACTTAGACTTTAAACACTTTGGCAAAAACAGGAAAAATGATGTGGCCCTTCCAGTCCCTCCCAGAACATGATACAGCCTTGACCCGAGCCCTACAGTGATCTGAGCCTTTCTCACTCCTACTTAAGCCTCCTTGCCTACAACCCACATTCCCCGCCCCAGGTCCACATTCCCCGCCCCAGGTCCACATTCCCCGCCCCAGGTCCACATTCCCCGCCCCAGGTCCACATTCCCCGCCCCAGGTCCACATTCCCCGCCCCAGGTCCACATTAGCTCCTTCCTACCAGGCCCCCTCCAAGGGTCTATATCACTTTCCTTGTTTCACCAAAGTTGCCTATTTTTCCCAGCTGAGCAAAAGTCTATCATACCCTAATCAGAACTCAGAAAATTCCTGAAAGGAGAGCCAGACTGATCTAGGAAACTACACACAGAGATACCCGCAGGACTGGGAAGAAAGAGAGGTCTCACATAAGACCTTGCACCCCCAGCCTTCTAGCTTCGTAGATTCTCGAGGACTCGCCACAGACTCTGTGAGTAAGGGCTGGAGAATTCTAGATGGTGGCACAAGAAAAGGTGGAGGTGTGGGGAGCAGTTTCTTGTGCCTGGGAAGGACAGACACAAACTAATATCAGAAACTGCCTCCCCAGAGGCCAGTCATGACAGAAGACAGAGAACCCCTGCGGTTCATGCTCTGGGTCCATACCAAGCTTCGCTGGGGGCAGCCCATCTGCCGGCCATGTGTGCGGCTTTCGGGGCACGATGGAGAAGCTGAGTGCTCGTCTGGGCGCCAGTGTAGCCACATGATCAAGTGTGCGCGCAGGCAGGGCAAGTGCACACAAGAACCCCCCCTCCCCCTGGGAGCACCTGTTCCGGGTGCCTCAAATGCAACAGGCCAGGAACTTCGGGGCAGGGAAGTTACTGCCACAGCAAGGGAGCTCCTGGGGGCAGGAATAGGGTTTATCACCAATGTAAACACCCCTCAGGCCTGGTTGGGGGTGGGCACCAGATAAATGCCTACTAATAGTATAAGGAAGCAAAGACAAACACCCTTTCTCTCCTGTTTCTTACGTTTCAGCTAGGAAGAGTGGGGTGAGCCGTGGCCTGTCTGGGTACCTCTCCAAACTTCCTGTTCCAGGTACAGAGAGAAGACTCAAAAGGAAGGGAGGTGAATGCCCACTCCCCCACCTCCAAGTCCAAGAACATAACACCTACACGTACACAGGTACTCCCGTGACATACACTTTGACACGGCGGTGCAGATGCAGTGTTCTCTACATTGGGGCCAAGGCGCCTCTGTCCAGGGCCCTGACAGTTTCATCCCTGCCAGATCTGCGCTCCCTAGAGCGGGCGGCGTATACCCCACGCAACCCCAGCTCCGCGCGGGTTCCACGGGCTGCAGAGGCGCTGGACTGGGATGCTGCCCCTCCCACCCCCTTTGCCTATAGAGGGTACCGAAGGCCGGGGTGGGGGATGGGGAGAGGTGGAAAGGCAGGGGGTTCCCTCCGGTTCCCCTGGAGGCTGGACTTCCAGCAGAGGCGCCCCACCCCCACCCTCCACGGCGACCACTCTGCGTCGCAACAGACCGGACGGGCCGACCCGGAGGTGGCGCGGGCAGTACCAGGCCGCCGGCGGCGCCGCAGGCGCTGAGCGAGACGAGGGAGCCGGGGTGGCCGAGCACACGGCCCGAGTAGAAGCACAGCTCGGCGGGGCGGCCGCGGCGCCGGGCCGCGCCCGCCTCCTCCACCTCGAAGCCTCGGGACAGGAAGCGCAGGTCGCGGCGCAGCTGAAGGTACAGGTCGCGCCCGAAGGCCGGCAGGTGCAGCAGCAGGGCGCGCTCTCCGGGCCGGGCGCGCGGGGCGGCTGGGGGCGTGCGGGGGCGTCGCCGCCGTCGGGGCCCGGGGGCTGCGGGCAGCGGCGGCAGGTGCACGTCGTCGGGGCGCACCCGCCACGGGAGCACCACCTCCACGTCGGCCGCCGCGTCGCCGACAGCTGCGGGGAGAGAGGAGACGCGTCAGCGCGGCGGGGCCCGCCCGGACGCCCGCCCTCCCGCTGGCCGCCAGCCGCGCCAGCGCGGGGACAGCGCGACCCGGAGCCGGCGCTGCCTTCCCTTCCCTCGCCCGGCACCTCCACGCTGGCCCGCGCCACCCGGGGAGGGTCTCCGGCGCAGCCGCGCGAGCACCTCCCGGAACGGCGCCGCGCATCGGCGAGCGGAGACCCGGCGGCGGCGCGCCTGCCACGGAGCCACCCGATTCCCGTACTCCGGCCGCGGCCCGCGCCTCCTCCGCTCGGGCGCCGTCAGCGGTCCCGCCGCCGCCCCCGGGCCGCCAGGACGCCGCGAGAACGCAGAGGGAAGGTAGCCGCAGGACGCGGGGTGAAGAGGGCTGTGGGAGGGGGCGCTACCTGTGCCCGGGTCCAGTCCCCAAACCAGCAGCAGCAGCACGGGCAGGACGAGCGGAGGCAGCAGGGCGCCGTCACACATGGTACCCGGGACCGGCAGCCCCCCCGGACCGTGGCGGCGAAGCAGGAGCGCGCTAGGCGGCGGCGCCAGCCGGAGTGAAGCCCTCCAGCCTTTGGAAAAAGTAATTAGCGCTGCGGACAAACCCAACGTGGTAAACCCCAAGCCCCGCCTTCCCCTCGGAAGGCGGGAGGGGATTGGGCCCTCGCTTTCCTCCGCCCCGCCTCCTCCTTCCCTACTGGTTGGGATGGGTCGAAACCACAGTGCGTAGTTAGGTTGTCAGCGCTTTCTTACACGTGGTTTCTGGGCAGTGGCGGGGACACGGCACCAGGTGGCGCGCGGGAGCCGACCGGAGCCGTGGGACCCTGGAAGAGCTGGAGGATGCGGGGCTGGTCTTCAGAGCTTGTCCTCATTTTGGAACTCTCTCAGCCTGCTGCCCAGTTTCCCGGGAAGGTAGGGCGGAAATCGCCCCGGCCAAGCGGTTTCATCCAAAACTGCATATAATCTTTACATCTGAAGTTAGGTTTTAGTTGTTTGTGGCCGCAAAGACTCCCAGTCCACTTTCCCGCACACCTGAGTTAGCACCTGAAGGCTATATCCGCGGCGTTTATCCAAACTCTTCACACCTCCTGTCTTCTTTAATCCCACAGGAGCCAGTGCAACACGCATGCTCACACCCTCTTACAGACTGAAAAACTGAGGAAGAGAGAGAGCTTAAGGAAAAACGCTGAAGTTACCCAGAGAGTTCCTGTTGGAGCAGAGGCTAGAATTTGTGATCCTGATTTCTGGCTTGGTGCTTCTTATTAACAGCAGGATCCCCCCGCCCCGAGGGAAGCAGGACTCAGTGTTACAGGTTAGGAAACGGAGGCACAAAGTCCCAAAGCCTAGCCTTGAACGTGAGTCTCCCAGAAACAGAATGAGTTGATCCTTTCCTGCCACAATATAACTGAGGTCTGCAGGGAAGGTGACTCCATTAGCTTGCTGAATAGCATCTTGTAGAGGCTCATGCCTGTAATCCCAGCACTTTGGGAGGCCAAGGCGGGCGGGTCACGAAGTCAGGGGTTCCAGACTAGCCTGGCCAATATGGTGAAACCCTGTCTCTACTAAAAATACAAAAATTAGCCAGGCGTGATGGCGCACACCTGTAGTCCCAGCTACTCGGGAGGCTAAGGCAGAAGAATCGCTTGAACCCGGGGGGTGGAGGTTGCAGTGAGCCGAGATTGTGCCACTGCACTCCAGCCTGGGCAACAGAGCAAGACTCCATCTCAAAAAAACAAAACAAAACCAAACAAAACAAAAAAAACAATTAAGTGTAACCATAACCAATCTCAGGTTTCCCGTCCCTTCCCTGTCCTGCTCTTTTCCATTTTATCATAGCAGAAAGGTTATAGTTCCCCGCTGGATGCTGCTTGAAGCCTCGGAATCTAAATTCATCACAGGATTACATATCATCTGAAGGAATCTATAACACTGGCCACCTTCCCCGAAATATAATGAACCCCAAGGCTGAACAGTGACCCTCCACAGAGGCTTGCCACAAAAGGGGCTGCCCTCACTGCTTGGCACCTACAGTTCTGGGGGCATCTGCACAGGTCCTGCTCTTGGCCAGGCCTGGGGCTGTGTTTCTCCCCCTTGCCTCTGTCCAGGTCAACAACCTCAGATGACTGACAGCTCAGTAGCATTTTCTGGCAGCACAAGAAACCTTGGTGATTGAGGTGATGGACACCTCATTTACCCTGATGGGATTATTACTCATTGTATGGCCATATCAAAAAATTTCATGTATATACATTTTGTAAACATATACACCTACTACGTACTCACAAAATATTAATTTTTTTAAAGATATCACAGTAAGTTTCTTAGTGAATCTTTTTGTCAAAAAGAGCCATTTCTAAGGCCTGCCACTGAAAACCATGGAGTATGGGCCACACCACCTCACAAGCGCAAGTCAGCCTGAAGTAGCCATCACCAACCTATCAAGAACCTATCCAAGATGCTCAAATGCTAAAATTAGTCCATAGGGACATGAAAACTAAAACAGAAAGATACTATTTTATCTCCCAACTAACCAAAATTAAAGAGCTTAGAAAAATCAAGAATTAGAGAGGACACTCTCCTACCTAGGGGTGGAGAGTATAAATTGGCACAGCCACTCTGAGGAACAATTGGGCAAACTGTAAAATTAAAGTTTTACTTTTTAGTTTTAATAAAACTAAAAATGCACACATTCTACAACTCTGTAATTCCACGCTGGTTAATTACTCCAGAGAAACTCTGGCACATGTACAAGAATGTTTGTTCACCAGGGCACCTTATTAAGAGCAAAAAATTGCAAAAACCTGAATGTTCATCGTTACATAAACGGCTACTTGAACACCATTAATTAAAGGAAATACAAAAATCTCATATATGTAACAACATGGACAGATCTCCAAGATCAGTTATCGAATTTTTTAAAAAATCAAGTTGCAGAATGAGGCACACCGAAAAAAAAATGTGTATAAACACACAGACACACATGACATGAT
Organism: Homo sapiens; assembly: GCF_000001405.40. Lineage (NCBI taxonomy): Eukaryota > Metazoa > Chordata > Mammalia > Primates > Hominidae > Homo > Homo sapiens. The sequence continues at coordinate 100,344,407 of NC_000015.10, forward strand.
CTGCATGGATTCAGATAAGTGTACATAAAATCCAAGAGGAAAGTCTGGAATAATACAAGCCAAACTTTGTTAAGGTTTATTGTTCTTTTTGTATTAATTGCATGCTGAGGAAAGGTACTACAAAAGGAAAATGAACACCTGGGACCCCAATTCACTCTGCCAAAGGAAAAAAATCAAGCTGAAAGCTGAGTCAAGCAATCAGCTGCCTTTTCTTCTGTTCCTAAGCAGACAGCGACAGATAAAAGGTTCAACATCTCCACAGGTAGCTGGTAGAGTAAGAGGGAGAAAGAAGAAATGGTAAAGTGACATGAAGGCAAGACGGTGTTCCGTGACTCCGTGCTGCTCCTGTCCCTGTATTGGATTCCAGCACCAGGGGCCTGTGTCTACTGCTGCACTGTTGAAGACACTGTCACGGTTATCATGGTTGATTCTGGATCTACCAAAGTAGTGCTGCCTTGACCGGGGCCCAGTTCTCATTGCCACACCAGCAACTTCCAGCACCTGTTAACATGGAATCCTTACCTCTGCCTCCTGCCATCTAATCTCCTGCCAGGGCCTCTTTTTGGCAGAAGCTAGCAAGAAGCCTAAGAAAATGTAAGGGAGTCAGAGAATGAAGGTTGCAGACTTTCAGCTTCAGTAAAGAGCAGAACATGGAAGTGGGTATGTGGGGCTGGGAGACAGAGCCGCTGAAGGTCTTAATCTGACCACCATGAGTCTGAATTCCCTTTGCCCTTCATCCTTGTATTCACCAGTCATATTAAAAGTTTAAGCTTCCATGCCTTCCACTTTCTCTTTCACAGCATTTCCTCCACAATACTGTGAACTGCCTTCCCCTACCCAAATCCAAGATCCTCCTCAGTCTTGAAACCTTCCCACTGTGCCCTTAAGAGCTGCTGCTCCATATCCTAGATCTGCTGCCTCTTCTCTGAGCGTTCTGTACTTACGAATGGAACTCCTTTGAAAATGTAAGGTGGCAACAAAATTCACATTTCTCAGCATCTTTTTTCCCCTAAGGATGGTCACTTGTCACAGTTCTGGCCACTGTGATAGAAGGAGAAGCTACTGGCTAGAGTTCTAGCAGAGTTCATTTGAGGAGCTTCCTTCTGCCGCTGTATACCCCTTTTCACTGTGTCTCTTCCTCTTTGCTCCTGACTAGAATTTGCATGTGATTCCTGGAATTCCAGCAGCCATCTCGTAAGCATGAGGAAGAGTGCCAGACCCCTGGGAAGCAAAAAGATCAATGAACTCTGGGTTGCTGATGACATCTTGGAGTCACCATGCCAGACCTGAGCTGTCTACTTCTGCACTTTTTGCTATATCAGAAAAAAAATATACTCTTGTCTCTTTTAAGCTGTTGCTATTTGGGTTGTCTGTTATATGCAGCCAAACTCGACCCCTAACAGACACACATATAGACAACTCCCATCCCCCACCCTGGGCTCTGGGCTCCTCAATTTCCTCCTTCAGTGACCTTCTGTGCTATGCTGCCCCAACTGTCCACTCTCAAATTCACACCCTACACCTTGTCATCACCCCTAGCTGTTCCACCTTCCAAAACTTGAACATCCACCTCTGACCACAGCTTCTTGTCCTCCCAGCATGCTCGTCCAAATGCTCCTACCTCAGAAGGTCTCTCAGTCTGCATCTCCCAACCCACCAGCCTCTCTTCACTTGCCTCCATATCCAGCTTGCATTCCAGGCCCCATGACTCTGAAAACACTCTTGCCAATATGCTCAGCACCCTCCCCTATCCCTTTTCACTGCAGTTGTCATGCAGAACTACAGGCCTGGGTAAACTCAACTCTCTACTCTCACTGAGCATGTGGTTGAGCTCTGAACACCACTGGAGCCAAGCATGCAACAGGGAAATCTGCAATCACCTTCTTCATTTGAGCCATCGCCATGCCCACCATTGCTACTACACTCCTCTGCCCAACTCCCCTTTCTCTCAATGCAGTGCTGATCTCGAACCCTCCCCTTCTCAGCTTCGCATTCCTCATCTTATCCCTTTCTTTTGGCAGTGGACAAGCACGCACTTCACAGAGTCATCCCCTGGTCCAGACTCTTTGCCGCGGTTTGAATGTTTATGTCCCTCCAAAATTCATGGTGAAACTTACCTCATTGTGCTGGTATTAAGAGGTGGAGCCTTTTGGGTTAAGGCCCAAAGTCATGAGGGCTCTGCCCTCATGAATGGAATTAATGCCCTCATTAAAGAGGCTCAAGAGGGCTTCTTGGCCCTTTTGCCCTGCATCTCTTCTGCCATATGAGGACACAGCATTTGTCCTCTTCAGAAGATGCAGCAACAAGGTGTCATCCTGGACACAGAGAGCTTACCAGACACTGAATCTGCCGGCACCTTGACCTTGGACTTCCCAGCCACCAGAACAATGAGAAATAAATGTCTATTATTTATAAATTACCAAGTCTAAGCTATTTTGTCATAGCAGCAGGAATGGACTAAGGCACTCCTCCTCCCAGCTCCAGACCATGTATCCAGCTGTTCAGTTGACCACTTCAAAGAGCGAGACCATGGCATGTGATCCAGTTTCAAGGATGGATGAGAATGTTTCAAATCTGCTTTTGTTTTTGTTTGACTTTGAATTAAGAAATCATCCAGTGGATGATGGAAGGATCATGGGACACTGATATCATTTGGGTACACATTGTACTTGTTTGGTTAACCCTATTTGGATAAACTGTTGTGGTCTGGATTTAGTTGCTTGCAGCCAAGGTCATCTATGATCTAATGTCTTCAGACCATTCACCAGAGTACTATTTCTCCTGCCCAAGCTCCTGATGAGGACTGGCCAGCTGAAAGCCAGGGTTAAATCCAACTCCATGCATGACCCAAGGAACAGCTACTCCCTGATGCTGAACAAGGCCAAAGCCATATACTGTGAACAAGCACAAAACAGAGCCAGGCTGGCATGTGCTTCCGCAAATTGTGAAGCCCAAACAGCTGCCTCTGCTGCAGTTGATGGTGACTTATTAGCAAAGAAAACATTTTCTTTTTGGAAAAGAGTTTTAGATTGGCTTCAATGCTTGGACAAAAAGAGGTCAGCCCTACAAGGCCCATGACACTGAGCATAGCTACAATGTATTGAAAACAGGCATCGCTGATGCCCACACAGCCCTAAAAATTGCATCTCAGTGCCCATACAATGTATAAGTTTAGGCAATTCAACTTCATGGTGAACTTTTCAAGGTTAATTGGTTGAGAAATATCAAAAAAGCATTTGTAAAAGTAATACTTTGATTTTTCAAAGAGTTGATCTTGAACCAATCTTTCAACCAGTGGTTGAATAGTGAGACCAGTACCTGCAGATGACACACCTGCTATCTAATGATGGAACCACACCATCCCCAGAAAAGAGGCCCATTATCCTGTGTTCTGGAGCAGATCCTACACATCCAAAATGGTCCTGAATAAAATGTGCGTTATACATTAGGCTGTGAGGTGGGGGATGGGGAGAGTCCAGGACACATCCCCACATCATTCTCATCACAATTATGATCTGATTTACAGAAAACAGTATCTTTGAAGTGGCATTAAAGTGAAACTTCTGGATGAGCAAAACTGGCCAGAGGTCTACATTTAACTAAGTAGCTTAATTTACAAAAATGTCTGTCCTCAGTCTAGACCAAGGAAAAAGCAATGGTAACTGCATTCATTTATGTACTCATTAGGTCCTTCAACCCTTCTTCAGTGCCTACTTTCTGTGTGCCACGTACTGAGATGCCAAATGAAGAGGCAGCAGCATATAAATTGCACTTCTTTCCCCACAGTTCTCTATAGAGCTCTGTTATGAACTAGACACTGTTCCTGGTGCTGGGGATTTAGAAACGAAAAAGTAACTTCCCTGTGTTCTATCTAGTGGGGGAAGGCAGATAGAAAGAAATAATTTTGTGGGAATGTAAAATGGTACAGTCACTGTGGAAAACAGTACGACTATTCCTCCAAAATAGATTTACCCTATGATCCAGCAATTCCGTTTCTGGATGTGTACCCCAAAGCTTTGAAAGCGGGGACTCCAACAGGTATTTGCATACTCATATTCATAGTATGCAAATTTAACTAAGTAGATGTTGTCATGGCATTTGTAAGCTGCCATGGCACTAGCGGGAGTGTCTTTTGCCATGCTAATACATTATAATTAGTGTATAATGAGCAGTGAGGACGAGCAGAGGTTGCTTTTGTCACCATCTGGTTTTGGTAGGTTTTGGCCAGCTTCTTTACCGCATCTTGTTTTATCAGCAGGGTCTTTGTGACCTGTATCTGGCAAAACCTCCCCTGAGATGCAATTCATTGGTTCCTGGGGTAACCAACCTGCCTCCCTGGCAGCCACTGACTCATCCTGTGACGAAGAATGCCTAACCTCCTGGGAATGCAGCCCAGCAGGTCTCAGCCTCATTTTGCGCAGCACCTGTTCAAGATGGAGTCGCTCTGGTTCGAACACCTCTGACAGCTGCCCGACAATGTGAATGTACTTAATGCCACTGAACTTACAAATGATTGAAATGGTAATTTTACGTTATAGTACATTTTACTACAGTAAAAAATGTTTTAAAAAAGAAATCATTACTCTCTTGCTAAGATCTTGTTTCATCTTAACACACACGAGATGCCTTGTCTTCATTTCGTGGACAGGCAAGGCCGAATTCCGTTTCACAGATAGAGGACTGAGATCTGGAGGCAGAGGGCAGGAATTAAAAACAAGACAAACAAGAGCCTTATACAGGCAGTGTCTTTCTGAGTCTGATCCCTGTTGTCTTGAGAGCTGCGGTGAGGGAAAGTCGTCTTCAGAGCCCTCAGGGTCAAAGCAGTTTGTTACCCTTGAGATAGACAAAGCTCCTAACCTCTCCAGCTTTTTGCCGACAGCTCGATTCTGATGGGCACTGACCTTTTCCGACCCTGTTTTCAGGAGCCGACTCCTGGCAGGTTGGTTGTAGGGGCCCTCTTGAGTGCTTCACACACAGCAGTCCTGTTGGGGTGAAGGTCACCGTCACTGTGATAATTGTTGTCGTCGTTGAAACCACCCAGCCCGAAAGCAGCATGGGCTGTGCCCAGAGCCGCCGTGCCAGAAGCCCACGCTTAGAAATAGAGGGCCGAAGACCAAAGAGGACTGCGGGTTCTTGGGCCAAACGTGACCCTCTCAAATCCCCCAACTCGGGGATTTCGTTAGCTGGGGACTGGTGTGCCCGGGTTCCAAGACCCCTGCGTAGACTCTGTCTATAGGTGGAAGAAGGCCTTTGCCCCGAGGCATCCAGAGGTAACGGTGAGAGGAACAAGGGCACGTGGGGGATCCCACCACAGCCTCCCCTGAGACCCTCTTCACGCTGGTTGCAGGAGTAGCCAACCCCGCTCCCTGGCAGCCCGTGAGATGCCACATCCCCTCCAGCAGGGGGCGGCCGGCATCGGTCCCGTCTTCCTAAACCGGCGTTGGTGGGAAATGCCGGCACCAGCTCCCTCCCCGCTCCAGAGCCCTGTTTTCCCCATTTGTATTTCACTACTTTCCTGTTGAGCTTGGATTCCAGCCTCAAATTCCGCGATTTGGCCGGCATCCTAATCCCCGAGTGACTCTTGCCAACCACTCTCTGTGGGGCCTGTGTGCTTCCTCCTGGGTTCTGGGGCGCTGGCGGCGTCCGCTTCACCGGGAACGGGAGCCCCAGCCTCCCGAGGCCTTCCTGCCTGGCTCTGGGAATGGCCACTGTCCAGAAAGCCCCGCGGCCGTCCATGCTCGCTCGCTCAGTCAGGCCCTTGTGGGGATATTGCAGAACGAGTCCGAGTTACTATCCCTTTAAATACAGGCGTTTCGGCCTAGCTGCCGCCGGTCCAATCCGCAGCGCTTCCGTGCCCCACTTTCCCGCGTCAGCCTGGCTCCGGCCTCCACCAGGGGGTGCTAGTGAGATCCCAGCCAGCCTCAGAGCTGAGCGTCCAGGGCCTTCAAATGTCCCCATCCTTGAAAAGGCAACTCCAGTGGCATCTTCTGCGGGGAGACCAGAAGCAGCATCTGACGAGGAGACAGCACTGGCGGTCCCGACACAACTGAATCGGCAGGATGAGGGCCCTTAGTGTTAGGCACCGGCGGAGCTGCATCCCACCCCGTCTCGTCCCCTGAGAACAGCTGTGAGAAGCCGCCTATTTTTCATCGTTCTGCAACACACCTTTCCCTTCCTTGGGATATTTCTCCTCTTTCAGCATTGCCGCATCAGGGTTCCAAAGCCCCGTTTCTCTCCTAGTTCTTTCTTTGCTCAAGAAAAGCAGCTTGTCTGATAAACTAAGCTATGTATGATTCGCTGCCAGTACAGACTGAAAAACAAAATAAACTCCCAATTCACAGTCCTCCGTTGCGTAACAGTGAGCAGACGTTCTGAGAAATGCATCGTCAGGCAATTGCATCATTGTGCAAACAATATAGAGTGTACTTACCCAAACCTAAACAGCACAGCCTACTACACACCCAGGCTGTAGGCTGTGCTTCTAGACTACAAACCTGTACAGTGTGGTACTGAACACTGTAGGCAACTGTAACACAATGGTAAGTATTTGTGTATCTAAACATAGAAAAGATACAGTAAAAATATGGTATGAAAGATTGAAACTGGTGCACCTGCCTAGGGCACCTACCGTAAGCTTGGAGCTTACGGGACTGAAAGTTGCTCTGGGTGAGTCAGTAAGTGAGTGGTGAGTAAATACGAAGGCCTAGGACATTACTGTACACTACTGTAGACTTTAAAACCCTGTACACTAGGCCCACACTCAATTTATTTTTAAAAATTTTCTTTCCTTCAATAATATATTCACTTTAGCTTACTGTAACTTTTCTACCTTAAGAATTTTTAAATTTTTTGACTCTTTTAATAACAGCTTGAATACACAAACACATTGTACAGCTATACAAAAATATTTTCATTCTTCATATCCTTATTCTATAAGCTTTTTTCCTACTTTTGAAGTTGTTTATTTTTTACATTTTAAACTTTTTGTCAAATATTAAGACACAAACACACATTAGCCTAGGCCTATACAGGGTCAGGATCATCAATACCACTGTCTTCTGCTTTCACATCTTGTCCCACTGGAAGGTCTTCAATGGTAATAACACACATTCTTAGTAAATGCAAATAGTCATGGCTCAGACTGATATAGTAATGATAGACTATTCAATATGTGGTATTGGACAGCTGTTTATATATTTGTACGAACCTAAGTTAGATTCTGTGGTGGTTCAAAAATATATCCTCTAATTATGACCTGCTTCCCTTCAACAGGTGTACCTAATTCCTCTGCCTAGAAAGTGTGCTGGAATTACTGCCTGGCTTCTGATGAATAGGGCGTATTGAGAGTGATGCTTTGTGAGTTCTGAGGCTAGGTCATAGAAAGGATTGAACTTATTCCTGAATGTTGCTCTTGGATCACTTGCTTTTTTGGGAACCACCAGCCATGTCATGAGGACACTCAAGCAACCCTGCAGAGAAGCACATGTGTGGAGAGGCACTTCTTGGAAAGGAGGCCAACTTGCCAGAACCAACTAATTTGTCATGTGAGTGAGTCATTTTGGAAGCAGATCCTCTACCCTCAGTCAGGCCTTCCGATGATTTCAGCCCCCAGCCTTTGAGTCTGCCCCAAACACCATGAGTAGAGACAAGCCCTTCCCACTGTGTCCACCCTGGCTGAATTCCAGACCGTTAAAAAAACAAGAGAAAATAAATTATTATTAGTGTTTTGAGTCACTAAGTTTTGGACTAATTTGTTATGCAGCAATAGCTAACAACTACAGAGTCATAACACAAACTAAAATTAATTCTAAGGCATGTTAAAGATTTATATGAAAGCATTCATCTAATGGAGGTGTGCAAGAAGTGGCTATAAAAAATTTAGGGCACCCAAAAGCAACCTGTAGGCTGAGCAGGGTAAGTACATCTGCAAGAGCAGCCAGATGGCTAGTTGGTCCCTGTGTGCAGCCTCTCTACCCACCCATGGTATAGGTCCAGGAATGGAACTGTTTAGCTTCCCTAGGAAACAATGAATGTGGTGCTTGCATTGTGTTGCTGACACCATCAGAGAGGAAATGGAAGTCCCAGTGTCCAGAAGCTAAACAGAAACACACACACACAAAAGACAGAAGGAAAGAAAAAAAGGGCCAAAATATCCCACAACAAAGGGAAATATAGTCATGATACATGCTTAACTTCAGAAAAGACTTATATAATAATTATATCAAAATCATAATGTAAACACTGTGCAATGATTTTCAACTTTTAGAATCAACCAAAAAGAAATAGCAGAATATATCATCCCGGCTGCAGAATCAATTGTAAAAGTTGTCATCCATAACAATGTCAAAGTAAAAGAGTAGATAACAAAGGAGAAGAGATGGAAGTTAAAAAGAAACAAAGAAACGTATAGGGGGCAAGTTCCCTCATCTTCCAAAGTGAAGAGAAAGATATTGCCTATAGTTGATAAAATAAGAAGTAAAGATATACATGTATACTTTGAATTCACAAAGGTAATTAATAAAAGAAATAAAAGTCTCATATTGGGATGGGAATGTGATAAAAAGTGAGGTAAATCCTTATCCATCATTGTAATACATCACTTGCCATATCTAGTCTTGACATATAAAAAAATTAAGAACAATTTTAATGGTATGAAGAAAATGATCAGAAAAATTAAAACCAGAAATAGTTAAAAGGATTGCTTTCAGCAGTGAGTCTAGGGTAGAAAGATTTGGGCAAGGTGTCATTATTTCACACTTTAGGAACTTCTATATCATTTTCTTTAACTATTGAATGTATTACTTTAAAAAATTAATAAATATTTTTTAAATTCCAGATTCCAGAATGGTTCTTCCTTTAATATACGTATTATCTTTGTTTTTACAACTAGGATGGCATTTGTATAACATAACATACACAAGTAAGTATTTAATTCTTAAAATAATTCTGCCAGGAAAAAATTATTATCCTTCACTAATAAGTGGGAAAAGTGAGCTGAGAAATGCTAATGACTTGCCCAAGATGACTCAATAAGTTATATCTTTGAGAGTTATAAAATCTTAAAATATTGACTATGTCTCACAGATGTCTCATGAAGAATCTCACTTTATAGATAAAAATGTAATGTCAACAAAGATACAAAATTTCCCACTGGGTCACAAGGATTTAATGCGTGAGCATGGTTCCTGTTTCTTTCTCTGTGGGACATGGTGACCACCTATGTATGCATCAGAAAGCTAGAAGCAGGAGGAAGTAGGCAAGAACCAGTGGCCTCACCACAACCCTTTGACATAGGCGTTATTATTAACCACATTCTATACTCAGGGCAATAGCGCCAGAAGTAAGCACTGTGTTCATCAAGGTTGCACAGATGGTCATTTGTGGAAGAGGAATTTGACTCAAACCCTGGGACACCAGAGCCATGCCCTCTATCATTAAGGGGGGACATGGGAAGAAAAAGGGAAATCCAACTCACCTGTGAATGGATCACGTGGTGGTTGTAGTGATTCTCTGACTGCAGAGTCTAGGGCAATGTTTTTCTCTTCTCAGATTCTCAGTTTTCTCATCTGTGAAATGAGGAGTTGTGCTAGATTACCTCCCAGTTATGCTTGAACTTGTAATGCAGCAATTCAAACAATTCTTGGAAACAGAGACAAGGGCCTAGGAGAGTGCTGGCACATTATACACACTTGGTTATGTTTACTGAATAAATGACTAAGTAAAGAAAACAATTTGATAAGATTAGAAATTTCTGAAGACTCCATGAACTGTCACGTGGCCAGAGAAAAGAAAGCATCAAACCCATCTCTCTCTGGATTCACTGACTGTCATTCTTCTCTGAAGTAACTTCGATTCACCAGGTTTATGCAGGTTTGATTAAAAACAATAATAACAGCAACAGAAGTCCAGATGTAAAGGTGTGCCCTGCTATCGAGAGAGGGAAGGGGTGTGGAAGGCTCTGTTCTTTAAATAACCCTGGGGTCCTGGGGTCTCTTTGCAACAGCCCCTGTCTGGGCACCACATCTCAGGAGTGTGTATTTTCGCACCCAACCCCTAAGCCACTTGACACATAGCAAGTACTTGGTAAGAAATACTTTCCACATCACCAGCAGTTTATGGGTTTCTCCCCTTTCTTACATATGTCGCCTAGAACTTTCTTCCAAAATCAATTAAGCTTTGAAATATAAAGCTGGGCAGAGAAACTATGATCAGATCTCAATAACTAGATTGTATTTGTCCAAAATCCTTGGTTGCTAGTATCGGAAATACACAGAGCTCGAGTGATCACAAAGAAAGTGTTTGTCTGATATTCTAAAATCAATCATTGGAATTCTCAATATTAACAGACTATAAAGGAAAAATCATATGGTCATGTCAGAAGACATGAAAAAGCCTTTGATAACATCCAACATCCGTTCCTGATTAAAAAAAAAAAAAGCTCTCAGCCAACTAACAGCAGAAGAGACCTTCCTCAACCTGATAAAGGACATCTATGAAAAAACCTACAGATAACATCATACTTAATGGTGAAAGACTGAAACGCTTTTCCCCTAAAGTCAGGAACAAGACAAGGGTGTTGGCTCTCACCATCTCTTTTCAACGCTGTACAGGAAATTCTAGCTGATGTAGTCAGGCAAGAAAAATAAGTGAAAGGAATCCAGATTGGAAAGGAAGAAGTAAAATTGCCTTTATTCACAGACATCGGGATCATCTTCACAGAAAATCCACACAAAAATTTACTAAGACTAATAGTAAGTTCAGCAAGACTGTAGGATATAAGATCAATATACAAATTTCAATTGTATTTCTATATACTAGCAATGAATAAACATTAGAATTTAAAAACAATATTATTAACAATGACATAAAATAGCATAAAAACAGTAGCATAAAATACTTAGGGATAAGTCTGACAAAGGATGTGAAAGACCTGTATATTGAAAACTATAAAATATTGCAGAGAAACATTAAAGAAAGAAAGAAAATTAGGAATACTTAACCATGTAACCCTGGGGCAAGTTTTCCTCCTCCCTATTCAACCTGTAGCTGATGCACTCCTGAAAACACCACCTCCTGGCTGGAGGCCAACCACACAAAACCAGCGCATTAAACAAAAACACAACCAAGGATCTTCAGAGTCCACTGCACTCCCCTGCTCCCTCCACCGGAGCAGGTGCTGGTATCCACAGCTGAAAGACCTGAAGACAGATCACATCATAGGACTCTTTGCAGACACTCCCTAGTACCAGCCCAGAGACTGGTAGCTCCACTGAGTGGCTAGACTCAGAAGGGCAAAAGCAATCACTGCAGTTCAGCTCTCAGGAAGCCCTATTCCTAGGGGAAGAGGGAGAAAACCACATAAAGGGAGCACCTAGTGGGACAAAAGAATCTGAACAGCAGCCCTGGAGTCCCAGATCTTCCCTCTGACATAGTCTACCCAAATGAGAAGAAACCAGAAAAACAATTCTGGTAATATGACAAAACAAGGTTCTTTCGCAGCCCCAAAGATCACACTAGCTCACCAGCAATGGATCCACACCAAGATGAAACTTCTAAATTCCCAGAAAAAGAATTCAGAAGAATTATTAAGCTAATCAAGGACGCACCAGAGAAAGGTAAAGTCCAATGTAAAGAAACCAAAACATGATACTGGATATGAAAGGAAAAATCTTCAGTGAAAGAAATAGCATAAACAAAAAACAATCACAACTTCTGGAAATCAAGGACACACTTAGAGAAATGCAAAATGCACTGGAAAGTCTCAGCAATAGAACCGAACAAGCAGAAGAAAGAACTTCAGAGCTTGAAGACAAGACTTTCTAATTAACCCAATCCATCAAAGACAAAGATAAAAGAATTTTAACAAATGAACAAAGCCAGCCGGGCATGGTGGCTCATGCCTGTAATCCTAACACTTTGGGAGGCGGAGGTGGGCAGATCACCTGAGGTCAGGAGTTCGAGACCAGCCTGGCCAACATGGTGAAACTCCATCTCTACTAAAAATACAAAAATTTGCTGGGCGAGGTGGCGCGTGCCTGTATCCCAGCTACTCGGGAGGCTGAGACAGAAGAACCACTTGAACCCAGGAGGCAGAGGCTGCAGTGAGCCGAGATCGTGCCATTGCACTCCAACCTGGACTAAAGATCAAGACTCCATCTCGAAAAAAAAAAAAAATGAACAAAGCCTCCACAAAGTTTAGGACTATGTTAAACATCCAAACCTGAGAATAATTGGTGTTCCCCAGGAAGAAGAGAAATCTAAAAGTTTGGAAAACATATTTGAGGGAATACTTGAGGAAAACTTCCCTGGCCTTGCTAAAGATCTAGACATTCAAAATCAAGAAGCTCAAAGAACATCTGGGAAATTCATCGCAAAAAGATCATCGCCTAGGCACATATGCATCCGGTTATCTAAAGTCAAGATGAAGGAACAAATCTTAAGAGCTGTGAGGCGAAAGTATCAGGTAACTATAAAGGAAAACAGAGTAACAGCAAACTTCTCAGCAGAAACCCTACAAGTGAGAAGGGATTGGTGTCCTATTTTTAGCCTCCTTAAACAAAACAATTATCAATCAAGAATTTTGTATCCAGTGAAACTAAGCTTCATAAATGAAAGAAAGATGCAGTATTTTCCAGACAAACAAATGCTGAGAGAACTCACCACTACCAAGCCAGCACTTCAAGAACTGCTAAAAGGAGCTCTAAATCTTGAAACAAATCCTCAAAATACACCAAAATAGACCCTCCTTAAAGCATATGTCTCACAAGACCTATCAAACAATAACACAATGAAAAAAAAAAAACAAGGTATTCAGGCAATAAGTAGCACAATGAATAGAATAGTGTGTCACATCTCAAAACTAATGTTGAATGTAAATGGCTTAAATGCTCCACTTAAAATATACAGAATGGCAGAATGGATAAGAATTCACCAACCAAGTTTCTGCTATCCTCAGGAGACTCACCTAACACATAAGGACTCACATAAACTTAAGGTAAAAGGGTGGAAAAAGATAGTCCATGCAAAGGACACCAAAAGTGAGCAGAAGTAGCTATTCTTATATCAGACAAAACAAACTTTAAAGCAAAAGCAGTTAAGTCTTGGAACCAACCCAAATGCCCATCAATGATAGACTGGATAAAGAAAATGTGGCACACATGCACCATGGGATACTATGCAGCCATTTTAAAAAAGGATGAGTTCATGTTGTTTGCAGGGACATGGATGAAACTGGAAACCGTCATTCTCAGCAAAGTAACACAAGAAGAGGAAACCAAACACCGCATGTTCTCACCCATAAGTGGGAGCTGAACAATGAGAACACATAGACACAGGGAGGGGAACATCACACACCAGGGCCTGTCAGTGGGTGGAGGGCTGGGGGAGGAATAGCATTAGGAGAAATACCTAATGTAAATGACGAGTTGATGGGTGCAACAAACCAACATGGCACATGTATACCTATGTAACAAACCTGCACGTTGTGCACATGTACCCCAGAACTTAAAGTATAACAATAAAAAAAGGAAAAACTTTAAAAAAAAAGACAAAGAGAGACATTATGTAATGATAACAGGACTAGTCCAACAGAAAAATATAACAATCCTAAATATATATGCACCTAATATTGGAGCTCCCAAATTTATAAAGCAATTACTACTAGACCTAAGAAATGAGATAGAGAGCAACACAATAATAGTGGGAGATTTCAGTACTCCACTGACAGCACTAGACAGGTCATCAAGACAGAAAGTCAACAAAGAACAATGGACTTAAACTATACCCTACAACAAATGGACTTAACAGATATTTACAGAACATTCTACCCAACAACTGCAGAATATACATTCTATTATCAGCACATGGAACATTCTCCAAGATAGACCATATGATAGGCCACAAAATAAGTCTCAGTAAATTTAAGAAAATTGAAATTATAACAAGTACTCTCTCACACCACAGTGGAATAAAATTAGAAATCAGCTCCAAAAGGAACCATCAAAACCAGGCAAATACATGGAAATTAAATAACCTGCTCCTGAATGATTGTTGGGTCAACAATGAAATCAAGATGGAAATTTAAAAATTTTTTGAACTGAATGATAATAGTTGCACAACCTATCAAAATTTCTGGGATACAGCAAAAGCAGTGCTAAGAAGAAAGTTCACAACATTAAATGCTTATATAAAAAAGTCTGAAAGAGCACAAATAGACAATCTATGGTCACACCTCATGGAACTGGAGAAACAAGAACGATCCAAAACCAAACCCAGCAGAAGAAAAGAAATAATGACAATCAGAGCAGAACTAAATGAAATTAAAACCAAAAAAATACAAAAGATAATTGAAACAAAAAGCCGGTTCTTCAAAAAGATAAATAAAATTGATAGACCAGTAGTGAGATTAACCAAGAAAAGAAGAGAGAAGATCCAAATAAGCTTAATTAGAAACAAAATGTTAAATATTACTACTGATACTACAGAAATACAAAAGATTACTCAAGGCTACTATGAATGCCCACACACATAAACTAAAAAACCCAGAGGACATGGATAAATTCCTGGAAATATACAACCCTCCTAGATTAAACCAGGAAGATATAGAAACCCTGAACAGACCAATAACAAGCAGCGAGATTGAAATAGTAATAAAAAAATGCCAACAACAAAAAAGTCCAGGACCAGACAGATTCACAGCTGAATTCTATCAGACATTCAAAGAAGAACTGATGCCAATCCTGTTGACACTATTCCACAGGGGAGAGAGAGACAGAGAGAGACAGAGAGAGAGAGAGAGAATCCTCACTAAATCATTCTATGATACCATTATAACCCTAATATCAAAACCAGAGAAGGACATAACAAAAAAAGAAAACTATATACCAACATCCCTGATGAACACAGATGCAAAAATCCTCAATAAAATACTAGCTAACCAAATACAACAGCATATCAAAAAGATAATCCACCATGATCAAGTGGGTTTCACACCAGAGATGCAAGGGTGGCTTAACATCTGCAGGTCAATAAGTGTGATACACCACATAAACAGAATTAAAAACAAAAATCAAATGATCATCTCAATAGATGCAGAAAAAGCATTTTACAAGATCCAGCATCTCTTTATGGTTAAAACTCTCAGCAAAATTGGCATAGAAGGGACACACCTTAAGGTAATAAAAGCCATCTATGACAAACACACAGCCAACATTATACTGAGTGGGGAAAAGTTGAAAGCATTCCCCCTGAGAACAAGAACAAAACAGGGATACCCATTTTCATCACTTCTATTCAATAGAGTACTGGAAGTCCTAGCCAGAGCAATCAGATAAGAGAAAGAAATCGAGTGCATCCAAATTGGTAAAGAGGATGCCAAACTCTCACTCTTTGCTGATGATATGATCATATATATAGAAAACCCTAAAGACTCATCCAAGAAACTCGTAGAACTGGTAAATGCATTCAGCAAAGTTTCAGGATACAAATTAATGTACACAAATCAGTAGCTCTGCTATACACAAACAGCGACCAAGCTGAGAATCAAATCAAGAACTCAACCCCCTTTACAATAGCTGCAAAAAATAAAATAAAATACTTAGGAATATACCTAACCAAGTATGTGAAAGACCTCTACAAGGAAAACTACAAAACACTGCTGAAAGAAATCATAGATGACATAAACATGGAAACACATCCCATGCTCATGGATAGGTAGAATCAATATTGTGAAAATGGCCATACTGCCAAAAGCAATCTACAAATTCAATGCAATTCCCATCAAAATACCACGATCATTCTTCATAGAACTAGAAAAACAATCCTAAAATTCATATGGAACCAAAAAAGAGCCTGCATAGCCCAAGCAAGACTAAGCAAATGTGGAGGCATCACATTACCTGACTTCAAACTATAAGGCCATAGTCACCAAAACAACATGATACTGGTATAAAACTAGGCACACAGACCTATGGAACAGCATAGAGGACCCAAAAATAAAGCCAAATACTTACAGTCAACTGATCTTTGGCAAAGCAAACAAAAACATAAAATGGGGAAAGGACACCCTATTCAACAAATGGTGCTGGGAGAATTGGCTAGCCACATGTAGAAGAATGAAACTGGATCCTCGTCTCTCACCTAATAATAAAAATCAACTCAAGATGGATCAAAGGCTTAAATTAAGACCAGAAAACATAAAAATCTAGAAGATAACACTGGAAAAACGCTTCTAGACATTATCTTAGGCAAATACTACATGCCCAAGAACCCAAAAGCAAATGCAACAAAAACAAAGACAAATATATGGGACTTAATTAAATTAAAAAGCTTCTGCACAGCAAAAGAAATAATCAGCAGACTTAACAGACAACCCACACAGTGGGAGAAAATCTTCAGAACCTATACATCTGACAAAGGACTAATATCTAGAATCTACAAAGAACTCCAACAACTCAGCAAGAATAAAACAATCCCGTCAAAAAGTGGGCTAAGGACACGATAGACCAATTCTCAAAAGAAGATATACAAATGGCCAACAAGCATATGGAAAAATGCTCAACATCACTAAATATCAGGGAAATGCAAATCAAAACCAAAATGTGATACCACCTTGCTCCTGCAAGAATGGCCATAGTCAAAAAATCAAAAAATAATAGATGGCATGGATGTGGTAAAAAGGAAACACTTTTACACTGTTGGTGGGAATGTAAACTAGGATAGCCACTGTGAAAATCAGTGTGGAGATTCCTTAAAGAACTAAAAGGAGATCTATAATTTGATCCAGCAATCCCACTCCTGGGTATCTACCCAGAGGAAAAGAAGTCATTATGCTAAAAAGATACTTGCATACGCATGTTTATAGCAGAACAATTTGCAATTGCAAAAACATGGAACCTCCCAGCACTTTGGGAGGCCAAGGCGGGCAGATCACAAGGTCAGGAGATCGAGACCATCCTGGCTAACATGGTGAAACCCCATTTCTACTAAAAAATAGAAAAAAAAATTAGCCAAGTGTGGTGGCAGGTGCCTGTAGTCCCAGCTACCGGGGAGGCTGAGGAAGGAGAATGGTGTGAACCTCGGAGGTGGAGCTTGCAGTGAGCTAAGATCATGCCACTGCACTCCAGCCTGGGCAACAGAGCAAGACTCCACCTCAAAAACAAACAAACAAACAAACAAACATGGAACCAGCCCAAATGCCCATTAATCAATGAGTGTTTAAAGAAAATGTGGTATACTGATCCCACAGAAATACAAACTACCATCAGAGAATACTGAAAACACCTGTATGCAAATAAACTAGAAAATCTAAGAGAAATGGATAAACTCCTGGACACATACACCCTCCCAAGTCTAAATAAGCAAGAAGTCGAATCCCTGAATAGACCAATAATAAATTCTGAAATAGAGGCAGTAGTTAATAGTCTACCAACCAAAAAGGGCCCAGGACCAGATGGATTTACAGCTGAATTCTACCAGAGGTACAAAGAGGAGCTGGTACTATTCCTTCTGAAATTATTTTAAACAATAGAAAAGGAGGGAATCCTCCCTAACTCATTTTATGAGGCCAGCATCATCCTGATACCAAAACCTGGCAGAGACACAACAAAAAGAGAAAATTTCAGGCCAATATCCCTGATGAATATCGATGCAAAAATCCTCGGTAAAATACTGGCAAACCAAATTCAGCAGCACATCAAAAAGCTTATTCACTACGATCAAGTTGGCTTCATCCCTGGGATGCAAGGCTGGTTCAACATACACAAATCAATAAATGTAATCCATCACATAAGGAGAACCAATGACAAAAACCACACGATTATCTCAATAGATGCAGAAAAGGCCTTCGACAAAACTCAACACCCCTTCATGCTAAAAACTCACAATAACCTAGGTATTGATGGAACATATCTCAAAATAATAAGAGCTATTTATGAAAAATCCACAGCCAATATCTTACTGAATGGGCAAAAACTGGAAGCATTCCCTTTGAAAACCGGCACAAGACAAGGATGCCCTCTCTCATCATTCCTATTGAACACAGAATTGGAAGTTCTGGCCAGGGCAATCAGGCAAGAGAAATAAATAAAGCGTATTCAAATAGGAAAAGAGGAAGTCAAATTGTCTCTGTTTGCAGATGACATGATTGTATATTTAGTGAACCCTATCATCTCAGCCCAAAATCTCCTTAAGCTGATAAGCAACTTCAGCAAAGTCTCAGGATACAAAATCAATCTGCAAAAATCATAAGCATTCCTATGCACCAATTATAGACCAACAGAGAGCCAAATCATGAGTGAACTCCCACTCAAAATTGCTACAAAGAGAATAAAATACCTAGGAATACAACTTACATGGGATGTGAAGGATCTCTTCAAGGGGAACTACAAACCACTGCTCAAGGAAATAAGAGAGGACAAACAAATGGAAAATCATTCCTTGCTCATGGATAGGAAGAATCAATATTGTGAAAATGGCCATACTGCCCAAAGTAATTTATAGATTCAATGCTATCCCTAGCAAACTACCATCGACTTTCTTCACAGAATTAGAAAAAACTACTTTAAATTTCATATGGAACCAAAAAAGAGCCCATATAGCCAAGACAATCCTAAGCAAAAAGAACAAAGCTGGAGGCATCACACTACCTGACTTCAAACTATACTACAAGGCTACAGTAACCAAAGCAATGTGGTACTGGTACCAAAATAGATACATAGAACAATGGAACAGAACAGAGCCCTCAGAAATAACACCACACATCTACAACTATCTGATCTTTGACAAACCTGACAAAAACAAGCAATGGGGAAAGGATTCCCTATTTAATAAATGGTGTCGGGAAAACTGGCTAGCCATATGCAGAAAACTGAAACTGGATCCCTTCCTTACATCTTATACAAATATTAACTCAAGATGGATTAAAGACTTAAATGTAAGACCTAAAACCATAAAAACCCTAGAAGAAAACCTAGGCAATACCATTCAGGACACAGGCATGGGCAAAGACTTCATGACGAAAACACCAAAAGCAATGGCAACAAAAGCCAAAATTGACAAATGGGATCTAATTAAGCTAAAGAGCTTCTGCACCACAAAAGAAACCATCATTAGATCGAACAGGCAACCTACAGAATGGGAGAAAATTTTTGCAATCTATTCATCTGACAAAAGGCTAACATCCAGAATCTACAAAGAACTTAAACAAACTTACAAGAAAAAACCAAACAACCCCATCAAAAAGTAGGCAAATGATATGAACAGATGCTTCTCAAAAGAAGACATCTATGCAGCCAAAAAACATATGAAAAAAAGCTCATCATCACTGGTCATTAGAGAAATGCAAATCAAAACCACAATGAGATACCATCTCATGCCAGTTAGAATGGAAATCATTAAAAAGTCAAGAAACAATAGATGCTGGAGAGGATGTGGAGAAATAGGAATGCTTTTACACTGTTGGTGGGAGGCTAAATTAGTTCAACCGTTGTGGAAGACAGTGTGGCGATTCCTCAAGTATCTAGAACCAGAAATACCATTTGACCCAGCAATCCCACTACTGAGTATATACCCAAAGGATTAAAAATCATTCTACTATAAAGACACATGCACACTTATGTTTATTGTGGCACTGTTCAAAGCAAAAGTCTTGGAACCCACACAAATGTCCATCAATGGTAGACTGGATAAAGAACATGTGGTACATTTACACCATGGAATACTATGCAGCCATAAAAAGGATGAGTTCATGTCCTTTGCAGGGACATGGATGAAGCTGGAAACCATCATTCTCAGCAAACTAACACAGGAACAGAAAACCAAACACACATGTTCTCACTCATAACTGGGAGTAGAACAATGAGAACACATGGAAACAGGGAGGGGAACATCACACACCGGGGCCTGTCAGGGGATGGGGGGGCTAGGGGAGGGATAGCATCAGGAGAAATACCTAATGTAGATGATGGGTTGATGGGTACAGCAAACCACCATAGTACGTGTATACCTATGTAACAAACCTACACGTTCTGCTCATGTATCCCAGAACTTAAAGTATAATAAAAAAATTTTAAAAATATTTGGTGTATATATATGCATGCCATGGAATACTACTCAGTCATAAAAAGGAACAAAATAATGGCATTTGCAGCAACCTGGATGGAATTGGGGACCATCATTCTAAGTGAAGTAACTCAGGAATGGAAAACTGAACATTGTATATTCTCACTCATAAGTGAGAGCTAAGCTAAGAGGATGCAAAGGCATAAGAATGATACAATGGACCTTGGGGACTTTGGGGAAAGGGTGGGAGGGGGTGAGGGGTAAAAGGCTACACCTTGAGTACAGTGTACACAGTGATGGGTGCACCAAAATTTCAGAAATCACCACTAAAGAACTTATTCATGTAACCAAACACTACCTGTTTCCCCAAAACTTATTGAAATAAAAATAAATTGAATTTTTTAAAAAAGAGAATGCAAACACAAGCCACAGACTGGGAGAAAATTATTTTTTAAAAAAAAGAAAGGAAGAAAACTAAACATAGAATTACCCAACATATGGAAGAGAGGTTATCAGCTGTTGAGGAGAGAGGAGAATGGAGAGTTATTGCTTAAAGGGTGTATGGAGTTTCTGTTTAGGATAATGAAAAAGTTTGGAAATAGTGGTGATGGCTACACAGCAATGTGAATGTACTTAATGCTACTAAACTGTATACTTAAAAATGGCTAAAATGGTAAATTTCATGATATGT
Organism: Homo sapiens; assembly: GCF_000001405.40. Taxonomy (NCBI): domain Eukaryota; kingdom Metazoa; phylum Chordata; class Mammalia; order Primates; family Hominidae; genus Homo; species Homo sapiens. The sequence continues at coordinate 100,365,156 of NC_000015.10, forward strand.
ATATTTTACCACAATAAAACACACACACACAACAAACACATAAGGAAACACATAGCCCAATTTTTTGAAAAGGGCAAAAGATTCGAATATACATATTACTGAAAAAGATAGGGGAGCGCAGCCAAGATGGCTGAATAGGAACAGCTCCGGTCTACAGCTCCCAGTGTGAGCGACGCAAAAGAGGGGTGATTTCTGCATTTCCATCTGAGGTACCGGGTTCATCTCACTAGGGAGTGCCAGACAGTGTGTGCAGGACAGTGGGTGTAGCGCACCATGCACGAGCTGAAGCAGGGCCAGGCATTGCCTCCCTCGGGAAGTGCAAGGGGTCAGGGAGTTCCCTTTCCTAGTCACAGAAAGGGGTGACAGACGGCACCTGGAAAATCGGGTCACTCCCACCCTAATACTGCGCTTTTCCGACGGGCTTAAAAAACGGCACACCAGGAGATTATATCCTGCGCATGGCTCGGAGGGTCCCACACCCACGGAGTCACACTGATTGCTAGCACAGCAGTCTGAGATCAAACTGCAAGGCAGCAGCGAGGCTGGGGGAGGGGCGCCCGCCATTGCCCAGGCTTACTTAGGTAAACAAAGCAGCCTAAAGCTCGAACTGGGTGGAGCCCACCACAGCCCAAGGAGGCCTGCCTGTCTCTGTAGGCTCCACCTATGGGGGCAGGGCACAGCCAAACAAAAAGACAGCAGTAACCTCTGCAGACTTAAATGTCCCTGTCTGACAGCTTTGAAGAGAGCAGTGGTTCTCCCAGCACACAGCTGGAGATCTGAGAACGGGCAGACTGCCTCCTCAAGTGGGTCCCTGACCCCTGACCCCTGAGCAGCCTAACAGGGAGGCACCCCCCAGCAGGGGCACACTGACACCTCACAGGGCCCAGTACTCCAACAGACCTGCAGCTGAGGGTCCTGTCTGTTAGAAGGAAAACTAACAAACAGAAAGGACATCCACACCAAAAACCCATTTGTACATCACCATCATCAAAGACCAAAAGTAGATAAAACCACAAAGATGGGGAAAAAACAGAGCAGACAAACTGGAAACTCTAAAAAGCAGAGCGCCTCTCCTCCTTCAAAGGAACGCAGCTCCTCACCAGCAACAGAACAAAGGTGGACAGAGAATGACTTTGACGAGTTGAGAGAAGAAGGCTTCAGACGATCAAGCTACTCCGAGCTACAGGAGGAAATTCAAACCAAAGGCGAAGAAGTTAAAAACTTTGAAAAAAATTTAGATGAATGTATAACTAGAATGACCAATACAGAGAAGGGCTTAAAGGAGCTGATGGAGCTGAAAGCCAAGGCTCGAGAACTACGTGAAGAATGCAGAAGCCTCAGGAGCCGATGCGATCAACTAGAAGAAAGGGTATCAGTGATGGAAGATGAAATGAATGAAATGAAGCGAGAAGGGAAGTTTAGAGAAAGAAGAATAAAAACAAACAAACAAAGCCTCCAAGAAATATGGGACTATGTGAAAAGACCAAATCTACGTCTGACTGGTGTACCTCAAAGTGACGAGGAGAATGGAACCAAGTTGGAAAACACTCTGCAGGATATTATCTAGGAGAACTTCCCCAATTTAGCAAGGCAGGCCAACATTCAGATTCAGGAAATACAGAGAACGCCACAAAGATACTCCTCGAGAAGAGCAACTCCAAGACACATAATTGTCAGATTCACCAAAGTTGAAATCAAGGAAAAAATGTTAAGGGCAGCCAGAGAGAAAGGTCGGGTTCCCCACAAAGGGAAGCCCATCAGACTAACAGCGGATCTCTCGGCAGAAACTCTACAAGCCAGAAGAGAGTGGGGGCCAATATTCAACATTCTTAAAGAAAAGAATTTTCAACCCAGAATTTCATATCCAGCCAAACTAAGCTTCGTAAGTGAAGGAGAAATAAAATACTTTACAGACAAGCAAATGCTGAGAGATTTCGTCACCACCAGGCCTACCCTAAAAAAACTCCTGAAGGAAGCACTAAACATGGAAAGGAACAACCAGTACCAGCCACTGCAAAATCGTGCCAAATTGTAAAGACCATCGAGGCTAGGAAGAAACTGCATCAACTAACGAGCAAAATAACCAGCTAACATCACAATGGCAGGATCAAATTCACAAATAACAATATTAACTTTAAATGTAAATGGACTAAATGCTCCAATTAAAAGACACAGACTGGCAAATTGGATAAAGAGTCAAGACCCATCAGTGTGCTGTATTCAGGAAACCCATCTCACGTGCAGAGACACACATAGGCTCAAAATAAAAGGATGGAGGAAGATCTACCAAGCCAATGGAAAACAAAAAAAGGCAGGGGTTGCAATCCTAGTCTCTGATAAAACAGACTTTAAACCAACAAAGATCAAAAGAGACAAAGAAGGCCATTACATAATGGTAAAGGGATCAATTCAACAAGAAGAGCTAACTATCCTAAATATATATGCACCCAATACAGGAGCACCCAGATTCATAAAGCAAGTCCTGAGTGACCTACAAAGAGACTTAGACTCCCACACAATAATAATGGGAGACTTTAACACCCCACTGTCAACATTAGACAGATCAACGAGTCAGAAAGTTAACAAGGATACCCAGGAATTGAACTCAGCTCTGCACCAAGCAGACCTAATAGACATCTACAGAACTCTCCACCCCAAATCAACAGAATATACATTTTTTTCAGCACCACACCACACCTATTCCAAAATTGACCACATAGTTGGAAGTAAAGCACTCCTCATCAAATGTAAAAGAACAGAAATTATAACAAACTGTCTCTCAGACCACAGTGCAATCAAACTAGAACTCAGGATTAAGAAACTCACTTAAAACTGCTCAACTACATGGAAACTGAACAACCTGCTCCTGAATGACTACTGCGTACATAATGAAATGAAGGCAGAAATAAAGATGTTCTTTGAAACCAACGAGAACAAAGACACAACATACCAGAATCTCTGGGACACATTCAAAGCAGTGTGTAGAGGGAAATTTATAGCACTAAATGCCCACAAGAGAAAGCAGGAAAGATCCAAAATTGACACCCTAACATCACAATTAAAAGAACTAGAAAAGCAAGAGCAAACACATTTCAAAAGCTAGCAGAAGGCAAGAAATAACTAAAATCAGAGCAGAACTGAAGGAAATAGAGTCACAAAAAACCCCTCAAAAAATTAATGAATCCAGGAGCTGGTTTTTTGAAAGGATCAACAAAATTGATAGACCACTAGCAAGACTAATAAAGAAGAAAAGAGACAAGAATCAAATAGACGCAATAAAAAATGATAAAGGGGATATCACCAGCGATCCCACAGAAATACAAACTACCATCAGAGAATACTATAAATACCTCTACCCAAATAAACTAGAAAATCTAGAAGAAATGGATAAATTCCTTAACACATACACCCTCCCAAGACTAAACCAGGAAGAAGTTGAATCTCTCAATAGACCAATAACAGGCTCTGAAATTGAGGCAATAATTAATAGCTTACCAACCACAAAGAGTCCAGGACCAGATGGATTCACAGCCGAATTCTACCAGAGGTACAAGGAGGAGCTGGTACCATTCCTTCTGAAACTATTCCAATCAATAGAAAAAGAGGGAATCCTCCCTAACTCATTTGATGAGGCCAGCATCATCCTGATACCAAAGCCAGGCAGAGACACAACCAAAAAAGAGAATTTTAGACCAATATCCTTGATGAACATTGATGCAAAAATGCTCAGTAAAATACTGGCAAACCGAATCCAGCAGCACATCAAAAAGCTTATCCACCATGATCAAGTGGGCTTCATCCCTGGGATGCAAGGCTGGTTCAATATATGAAAATCAATAAATTTAATACAGCACATAAACAGAACCAAAGACAAAAACCACATGATTATCTCAATAGATGCAGAAAAGGCCTTTGACAAAATTCAACAACTCTTCATGCTAAAAACTCTCAATAAATTAGGTATTGATGGGACGTATTTCAAAATAATAAGAGCTATCTATGACAAACCCACAGCCAATATCATACTGAATGGGCAAAAACTGGAAGCATTCCCTTCAAAAACTGGCACAAGACAGGGATGCCCTCTCTCACCACTCCTATTCAACATAGTGTTGGAAGTTCTGGCTAGGGCAATTAGGCAGGAGAAGGAAATAAAGGGTATTCAATCAGGAAAAGAGGAAATCAAATTGTCCCTGTTTGCAGATGACATGATTGTATATCTAGAAAACCCCATCGTCTCAGCCCAAAATCTCCTTAAGCTGATAAGCAATTCAGCAAAGTCGCAGGATACAAAATCAATGTACAAAAATCACAAGCATTCTTATACACCAATAACAGACAAACAGAGAGCCAAATCATGAGTGAACTCCCATTCACAATTGCTTCAAAGAGAATAAAATACCTAGGAATCCAACTTACAAGGGACGTGAAGGACCTCTTCAAGGAGAACTACAAACCACTGCTCAATGAAATAAAAGAGGATACCAACAAATGGAAGAACATTCCATGCTCATGGGTAGGAAGAATCAATATCATGAAAATGGCCATACTGCCCAAGGTAATTTATAGATTCAGTGCCATCTCCATCAAGCTACCAATGACTTTCTTCACAGAACTGGAAAAAACTACTTTAAAGTTCATATGGAACCAAAAGAGAGCCCACATCGCCAAGTCAATCCTAAGCCAAAAGAACAAAGCTGGAGGCATCATGCTACGTGACTTCAAACTATACTACAAGGCTACAGCAACCAAAACAGCATGGTGCTGGTACCAAAACAGAGATATAGATCAATGGAACAGAACAGAGTCCTCAGAAATAATGCCGCATATCTACAACTATCTGATCTTTGACAAACCTGAGAAAAACAAGCAATGGGGAAAGGATTCCCTATTTAATAAATAGTGTTGGGAAAACTGGCTAGCCATATGTAGAAAGCTGAAACTGGATCCCTTCTTTACACCTTATACAAAAATCAATTCAAGATGGATTAAAGACTTAAACGTTAGACCTAAAACCATAAAAACCCTAGAAGAAAACCTAGGCATTACCATTCAGGACATAGGCATGGGCAAGGACTTCATGTCTAAAACACCAAAAGCAATGGCAACAAAAGCCAGAATTGACAAATGGGATCGAATTAAACTAAAGAGCTTCTGCACAGCAAAAGAAACTACCATCAGAGTGAACAGGCAACCTACAAAATGGGAGAAAATTTTCGCAACCTACTCATCTGACAAAGGGCTAATATCCAGAATCTACAATGAACTCAAACAAATTTACAAGAAACAAACAAACAACCCCATCAAAAAGTGGGTGAAGGACATGAACAGACACTTCTCAAAAGAAGACATTTATGCAGCCAAAAGACACATGAAAAAATGCTCACCATCACTGGCCATCAGAGAAATGCAAATCAAAACCACAATGAGATACCATCTCACACCAGTTAGAATGGCGATCATTAAAAAGTCAGGAAACAACAGGTGCTGGAGAGGATGTGGAGAAATAGGAACACTTTTACACTGTTGGTGGGACTGTAAACTAGTTCAACGATTGTGGAAGTCAGTGTGGCGATTCCTCAGGGATCTAGAACTAGAAATACCATTTGACCCAGCCATCCTATTACTGGGTATATACCCAAAGGACTATAAATCATGCTGCTATAAAGACACATGCACATGTATGTTTATTGCAGCACTATTCACAATAGCAAAGACTTGGAACCAACCCAGATGTCCCACAATGATAGACTGGATTAAGAAAATGTGGCACATAGACACCATGGAATACTATGCAGCCATAAAAAATGATGAGTACATGTCCTTTGTAGGGACATGGATGAAATTGGAAATCATCATTCTCAGTAAACTATCACCAAGGACAAAAAAACCAAACACCACATGTTCTCACTCATAGGTGGGAATTGAACAATGAGAACACATGGACACAGGAAGGGGAATATCACACTCTGGGGACTGTTTTGGGGTGGGGGGAGGGGGGAGGGATAGCATTAGGAGATATACCTAATGCTAAATGAGAAGTTAATGGGTGCAGCACACCAGCATGGCACATGTATACATATGTAACTAACCGGCACATTGTGCACATGTACCCTAAAACTTAAAGTATAATAATAAAAAATAAATAAATAAATAAAAATAAATAAAGAAAGAAAAAGATATATAGATGGAAAATAAATTTTGACAGGTGCTCAATATCATTAACTAGTCTTTAGGGAAGTGCAAATTTAAAACTCCAATAAACTAACCACACTAAGTGTTGGTGAGGATGTGAAGGAATTGGAACTTTTTGTACATTACTGGTGAGAACATAAAATGGTACAACCACATTTTGGCAGCTTCTTAAAGAGTTAAACATCCACCTACCCAGCATATACCTATACAAAGACTTGTAAATGAATGATCATGACAGTTTTATTTGTAATATCCCCAAATGCAAGCAATCCAAATGCTGAACAGGTAAACAGACAAGCAGAGTGTAGAATATAGAATATACAATGGAATAAACAATTATGAACTAGGTATACCTGCAACGATATAAATGAATCTCAGAATAACTATTGAGTAGGGGAAGCCAGACTGAAGGAAAGAACGGATGTTCCTTTTTATGGCCGCTTAGCATTCCATGGTGTATAGGTACCACATTTTCTTCATCCAATCCACTGCTGATGGGCATCTAGGTTGATTCCATGTCTTTGCTATTGTAAACAACGCTTTGATGAACATATGGGTGCACGTGCCTTTTTGATAAAATGACTTACTTGCCTTTGGGTATATACCTAGTAATGGATTGCTGGGTCGAATAGCAGTTCTAAGTGCTTTCAGAAATCTCCAAACTGCCTTCCACAGTGGCTGAACTAGTTTTTATTCCCAGCAAGTGTATAAGGGTTCCCTCTTCCCCGCAGCCTCACAAGCATTGGTTGTTTATTGACTTTTTCATAATCGCCATTCTGACCGGTGTGAGACGTTATCTCATTGTGGTCATGTCCTTCGCAGCAACATGGATGGCAGCCATTGTCCTAAGGAATTAACCCAAGAATGGGAAACCAAATAACGCATGTTCTCACTTATAAGTGGGACCTAAACATTGAATACACATAGACATAAAGATGGGAGCAGCAGACACTGGGGACGACTAGGGAGGGAGGGAGGCAGGGAGGGAGTGGAACAGAACGTGGGCTGAAAAACTACTACTCACTACCTGGGTGACTGGATCATCTGTACCCCAACCTTCAGCACCCTGCAATATACTCATGAAACAAACCTGCACATGTACCCTTTAATCTAAAATAAAAGTTGAAATTGTTTTTTTAAAAAAGAGCACATAGTATATTATTCCATTTACATAAAATTTTAGAAAACACAAATGAATGTGTTGACAAATCAGTGGTTGCCTGGAGAAGGGGGAGTGCAGAGAGGTACATGGGGAATAAATTATAAAGGGACTGGAGGAGATGTTTGGAGGTGGTGAATGTGTTCACTATGTTGATTGCGGTGATGATTTCATGGACGTACACATCTGTAGAAACGTTGGTGTGTACATATGTTGTATTCTCAAATTGTCCACTCTGAGTACGAGCAGTGGGGATTAAGAGGAAAATAATAGTAGAGAACAAAATCAGAGCTTGGCATGGCTCTCTGCTGGCACCGTGCAGGGTGTGATTACATCAGATCTGTGCAACTCAGATCTTGGGGAGGGGTTGGGGGGTGGAAGGTGGAGGGAGGAAGGGAGAGAAAACAGAGGGCGGGAAGAAGGGAAGGAAGTGAAGAAGGGAATGAGGGACGGAAAGAGAGAGACAGCGAAGAGAGGAGAAAGGTGAGTGCATTCTGGAAATCACCGGCAGCTCCGCTCCGCAGAAAGGCCTTGGCCTGTGCCATCTGAGGGTGAAGTTACGTGGTTATCAAATTCCCCTTCCCTGGAGCCCCTGGCAAGAAGTTGATGCCAGAAACAGACGGAGGGGGTGCGAGGAGGGAGGGAATCAGACCTTTTGTTTCTCTTTTTCCCCCTAGGACCTGGTCTCATGCTTCTCCCCCTCATCTCTCCCAGGGCACCCCTCCGACCCCCGCTGCGAGGGGTTTCCCGCGGGAGGTGGACGAAGCGTGGGCCAGGACAGGCGCCTGGCACTGGGGTTTCAGAGCCGCGAGTAGGCCCTGAAGGCCGGGAGGGACCGCCAGTCCCCACTGGAAGCCGCTTCCGTGCAGCCCGGGACAGGTGCGCGGCGCCCCTCGCCTTCGCCTCCGCTTCTGCTCTTCCCCTCGCGGCCCCGCGCGCCCGCGCCCTCCGCCCAGACCCCGGTGCAGCCCGGCCAGGCGCGGCGGCGGCGGCGTCTCCAGCGAGGGAAGGTCGTCCTCACGCGCTCCGGCCTCAGGGCGCCTCTCCGCCCGGCCTCGCAGCCTTCCCGTCCTGCCCACGGCCGAGGCCGCGGCTGTCGGGGTGGCCTGGACGGGTGCAGGGCTGGGCGGGGGCGGCAGGACTTGAACCGGCGCCTGCTCTCGCGGAGGCAGCAGCAGAGCTCACCCCTTTCTCGGGAAATGGTTTATCGTGGATAAAACGCAGTCCCCAAAGCGAAGGTCCGACGGGCGGCCAGACGCACCCCGGGGACCTTCAGGTGGACACACGGGGCCTCCGCGCGCCGAGCCGCGAGGGAAGAGGGGCGGCGGGAGGGAGGGAGCAGTGGGCGGCCGGGGAGCCTGGCAGAAGAGTGGGGGCGAGCAGGGAAGGAGGGGCGTCGGGAGGCGGGGGGAGGGGCGGTGAGGACCCCAGTGGGGTGGGGGCGGGGTGGAGCCGAGAAGAGCCGGGAGAGTGGGGACCCTCTGGCCACTCCAGAAAGACCTACTGGATCTCCTCTCCTGCCCTCGCTCACCCTTACCCTCTGTCTCCCATTCACTCTTCGGTTTGCTCTGGTGATTCATTCTCTCTCTCTTTCTCCTTCCCTCCCTCCCTCCCTGTCTCTCCCTCCCTCCCTCTCTCTCCCTCCCTCCCTCTCTCTCCCTCTCTCCCTCCTTCCCCCACCCAATCCTGGGCTGCTGCGTGAGCTTTACACTGAGGTGCCCAAACCAGCGCAGTCGTGGTGCCTGCAGAGGCTGGACTAGCCCCTGCAGGTGACCACAGACTCTCTGCAGTAACCCCCAGCCAGGCATTTTCCTGAGCACTCTCATCAGAAGGACCACATTTGGTCACTCTGTTCTTGGATGTCCCTCTTGTGCCGGAAGCCCATAATTTGACTTGATTTGTTGAATTGCTCCCGATTGTTTTTTTTTCTTAATTCTAAGAGATAGGTATAATGAGATGGTTGTCATGGCCCATTTAATAGAATCAGGGACCAAAAGACACCCATCCCATCGTTCAACTTCCCATCTATTTTCTCACCCTAGCAGGGTTTCTTCGCTGGATGGGGAAAGGAGCTGACCCATCCTTACCACCCCCCTAATTCCTTTATTAGCACCTAAAAAGAAATGAGGATCAAGCCATGAAAAGACATGAGGAACCTTAAGTGTATATTATTAAATAACAGAAGCCAATCTGAAAACTACATGCTGTATGATTCCAACTATAGGAGATTCTGGAAAAGGCAAAACTATGGAGGCAGTAAAGAATTTTGAGACAGGATTTCATTCTGTCACCCAGGCTGGAGTGCAGTGGCACGATCGTGGTTCACTGTACCCTCGACCTCCTGGACTCAGATGATCCTCCCACCTCAGCCTCCTGAGACTACAGGCACGTGCCACCATGCCTGCCTCATTTTTTGTAGAGATGCGGATTTGCCATGTTGCCCAGACTGGTCGCAAACTCCTGGACTCAAGCAATCCACTTGCCTCGGCCTCCCAAAGTGCTGGGATTATAGGTGTGAGCCATTGCTCCTGGCCTCTTGTTGAGTTTTAAGAGTTCTTTCTATATATTGGATAACAGTCCTTTATCAGATATATCTTTTACAAACATTTTCTCCCAGTCTGTAGCTTGTCTTCTGATTTTCTTGACAGTGTCTTTCTCAGAGTAGAAGTTTTTAAAAGTCCAGCTTATCAATTATTTCTTTGATGGATTGTATCTTGGGTGTTGTATCCAAAAAGTCATCTTCAAACCCAAGGTTATCTAGACCTTCTCTTATGTTATCTGCTAGGAGTTTTATATTTTTGCGTTTTACGATTAGGTCTATGATTAATTTTGAGTTAATTTTTGTGAAGGGTGTAAGGTCTGTGTGTAGACTCACTATTTTGCTTGTGGATATCTAGTTGTCCCAGCACTATTTGTTGAAGAAAAACTGTCTTTTCGCCATTGTATTGCCTTTGCTCGTTTGTCAAAGATAAGTTGACTATGTTAGTGTGGGTCTGTTTCTGGGCTCTGTACTATTCCATTAATCTGTTTGTCTATTTTACCAATACCACACTGTCTTGAGTATTGTACCTTTATAGTAAGTCTTGAGACTGGGTAGTGTCAATCATCTGACTTTGTTCTCCTTCAGTATTTTTATGGCTACTGTGGGTCTTTTGCTTCCCATATAAACTTTAGAATCAGTTTGTCAATATCCACAAAATAACTTGCTGAGATTTTGATTGGGATTGCGTTGAGTCTGTAGATTGAGTTGAGAAGAACTGACATCTTGACAATAATGCATCTTCCTATCTGTGAACATGGAATATCGCTCCGTATATTTAGTACTTTGATTTATTTCATCAGAGTTTTGTACTTTTCCTCATACAGATCTTATACGTATTTTGTTAGACTTAAACCTAAGTATTTCATTGTGTGGGGGTGCTAAATGGTACATGTTTTTAATGTCAAATTCCACTTGTTCATTACTGGTATATAAGAAAGTGATAGACTTTTGTATATTAACCTTATATACTGTAAACTTGCTATAATCACTTCTTATAGGCTTTTTTTTGTCAATTCTTTCTGATTTTCTCCATAGATGATCATGTCATCTGAGCGCAAAGACAGTTTCTTTCTTTCTTCCCAATTCAATTATCTTTTATTTCCTTTTCTTGTCTTATTTCATAAGCTAGGACTTCCAGTATTATGTTAAATAGCAGTTGTGAGAGGGGACATCCTTGACTTTTTCCTGATCTTAGCAGGAGAACTTCTAATTTCTCACCATTGAGTATAATTTTACCTGCAGGATTTTTTTTTTTGGATGTCCTTTATCAAGTTAAAGAAGTTCTCCTTTCTTCCTAGTTTGCTGAGAATTCAGGATAATTTGATTGGGGTATAATTACAAGCAGTAAAATGAACACATCTTAAGTGTTCATTTGAACATTTTGAGAGTGGTATTCACTCAGGTAACCACAACTCCAAATAAGACACAGAACATTTCTATCACTTAAAAAGTTTCATAATTTCCCAGTCAATTCTCCCCATCTCAAAAAAAACCACTTTCTAATTGCTATAATCTAAGATTATTTTTGCCTGTGTTTGGACATTGTACAAATTATTCCATGCAATAGGTATCGTCTCTGACATCTTTTAGCCAACATGATATTTTGGAGATTCATCCATGTTGCAGTATGTATCACTTGTTTATTCTTTTATATTACAGAGTAGATTCCATTGTATAAATATACTTTGATTTATTTATCAGTTCTCCTTGATGGACATTTGAAAATATATTCAGTGTTTGGCTATTATAATGATGCCGTTTGATGAGCAGAGACTTGTTAATTTAACATTTTACTTCATAGTTAGTGCTTTTTGCATCCAATCTAAAAAATCTTTATCTACATCAAAGTCTCAAACATATGTTCTTATGTTTTATTGTAGTTTTATTGTTTTAGCTTTTACATTCAGGTCTATGATCCATTTCTTTTTTTTTTTCTGTTCTGTACAAGGTTGTAATACTTTTTTTTTAATTTTTATTTTATTATACTTTAAGTTCTAGGGTACATGTGCACAACTTGCAGGTTTGTTACATATGTATACATGTGCCATGTTGGTGTGCTGCACCCATTAACTCATCATTTACATTAGGTATATCTCCTAATGCTATCCCTCCCCCCTCCCCCCACCCCACAACAGGCCCCGGTGTGTGATGTCCCCCTTCCTGTGTCCAAGTGTTCTCATTGTTCAATTCCCACCTATGAGTGAGAACAAGCGATGTTTGGTTTTTTGTCCTTGCGATAGTTTGCTGAGAATGATGGTTTCCAGCTTCATCCATGTCCCTACAAAGGACATGAACTCATTCTATGATCCATTTCAAATTAATTTTTGTCTCTGGTGTGAGTAGAGGCTAAGGTTCACAGCAACTTCTGTCTCCCAGGCTCAAGCGATCCTCCAGTCTCAGCCTCCTGAGTAGCTGGGACTACAGGCATGTGCCCCCATGCCCAGCTATTTTTTTTTTTTTTGTATTTTTGGTAGAGGTGGGGTTACACCATATTGCCCAGACTAGTCTCGAGCTCCTGAGCTCAAGCCATCCACCCACCTTGGCCTCCCAAAGTGCTGGGATTATAGGCATGAGCCACTGCGCCTGGCCTATTTCATAGATTCTAAGATGCATTTCTTTTTTTTTCTCATTTTAGCATCTCTGAGGTTGGGGTGCATCTTAACATCATTGTCCACAAACTGTCCTGTGCTGTCATTTTCCCTGTGTCTGAACAAACTTGGTAGTTACACCCGTGACTTGATTGGGTGACCTCAACCTTTGATGTTTCAGTCAATGAACCATTCAGGCATCATTGAGATCATTTTCATCTTGCTTATTTTCCTGAACATCTTTCTGTGAAAATCAAACAAGTCCAAGGATCAAACTCCCAGGTGTCAACAGCTTGGAAGGGTTCCACACACTTTTAAGAAATTTTCTGGCCAGGCACGGTGGCTCATGCCAGGAATCTCAACACTTTGGGAGGCTGAGGTGGGCAGATAGCTTGACGCCAGAAATTCAAGACCAGCCTGGGCAACATGGCAAAAGCCTGTCTCTGTGGAAAATACAAAAATTAGCCAGGCGTGGTGGTGTGCGCCTGTAATCCCAGCTACTCAGGAGGCTGAGGCAGGAGAATCGCTGGAACCTGGGAGGCAGAGCCTGCAGTGAGCTGAGATCGCGCCACCGTACTCCAGACCGAGCGACAGAGCAAGACTCGGTCTCAAGAAAAGAAAAAAAAAAAATGCAACTGAAGGAAACCTAGTGTGCAGAAATGTTTTGAAGAAAACTTCAAAAAAAAATTCTATTAGTCTTAAAGATATGAGAAGATATTACATCCATTAAAGAAGAATAATTTACCATAAAAAATTCAAACAATGAAAAGGGCTCTTAAAAATTTAAAACATGGCTGGGCACAGTGGCTCACACCTGTAATCCCAGCACTTCGGGAGGCCGAGGCAGGCAGATGACCTCAGGTCAGGAATTTGAGACCAGGCTGGCCAACAGGGTGAGACCCCATCTCTACTAAAAATACAAAAAATTAGCTGGGCATGGTGGTGTGAGCCTGTAATCTCAGCTACTTGGGAGGCTGAGGCAGGAGAATTGCTTGAACCCAGTAGGCGGAGGTTGCAGTGAGCCGAGAAAAGAAAAAGAAAAAAGAAATTTGTGAGAGCTGAGCATAAGCCACACTAAATGCACACACAGGAAATATTAATACGTATTAGTTATGTTTTGAGGGCATATGTTCACAAATACAAAACCTCTGGGGAGGCTGAGGCGGGTGGATCATGAGGTCTGGAGTTCAAGACTAGCCTGGCCAACACAGTGAAACCCCCTCTCTACTAAAAATACAAAAATTAGCTGGGCGTGGTGGCAGGTACCTGTAGTCCCAGCTACTCGGGAGGCTGAGGTGGGAGAATTGCTTGAACTCGGGAGGCAGAGGTTACAGTGAGCCAAGATTGTGCCACCACGCTCCAGCCTGGGTGACAGAGCAAGACTCTGCCTTTTCTTTCTCAAAAATCCCTGGAGTCTGCCTTTGCTTCAGAAATTAGTTTATCCAGCTATACTTGATGGAAAACCCAGTGTTTCAGTAGCAGAAAGAGCTTTGTGGTGTAAGCCATTCTAGAATAAGTAGACAGGCTAGGGGTCTCTTCCGTGGGATGCCAGTTAGCTGTGTCCCAAAGACAGACCTCAAAGACTCCATCCCAGGGACACAATGCCTCTCCCGAAGCTAGGACTCTGGAATCAGGACACAGGTTGCTCTCTCTGGACATATTTCTCTAAGTAAACAAGTTGCTCTTCCTTAGAGTAGCTGTTGTGTTGCTGTATTCCCATCACATTCCCAGGGGTGTGAAATAGTAGACTCTCCAGTCTACTAGAGATGGGGCCATTTTCTCAGCAACACTTGCTTGTTATATCCTGTTAAAAAATCTTAACGTAGAAAAATGGGCAAAACATAAATGTATAACTCCATGAACAACTGCAAAGTGAAAACATATATAGTCAATATACATATTTTAAAAAATAAAACATTGTGGGCGGGCACGGTGGCTCACATCTGTAATCCCAGCACTTTGGGAGGCCGAGGCAGGCGGATCACCTAAGGTCGGAAGTTCGAGACCAGCCTGCCCAACATGGAGAAACCCTAACTCTACTAAAAATACAAAATTAGCCGGCATGGTGGCACATGCCTGTAATCCCAGCTACTCGGGAGGCTGAGGCAGGAGAATCGCTTGAACCCGGGAGGCAGAGGTTGCGGTGAGCGAAGATCACACCATTGCACTCCAGCCTGGGAAACAAGAGCGAAACTCCATCTCAAAAAAAAACATTGCCAACACACCAAAAGCCCCAAACAGTATCTGCTATCATTGCTATCATTACTTAAACACTGTGGTATAATTTTTCCAATTATTGAATTTTGATTTTTTAGTATATTCACAAGATTTTGCAGCCGTCACTATAATTTAGAGTATTTTTGTCCTCTGTCAAAGAACCCCCCCATACCCATTCGCTGCCACTTCATACTCCCCACATTCTGTCCCCACCCTAAAGACCTACTTTTTGTCTCCATAGATTTACCTTTTCTGGACACTTTATATAAATGCAATGAGTCTTTTGTGACTAGCTTCTTTAACAGCATAATGCTTCAAGGTTCATCCATGTTATCGAAAGTATGGATATGTCATATCTTTTTATTGCCAAATAACAGTCCATTGTGTGGCTGTACCAATATTTTATGTATTCATTCCTCAGCTGAGAGACATTTGGCTGGTTTTCACTTTCTCGCTATTAACAATAATGCAGCTCTGAACATTTGTGTACAATAAAAATAAATAGCATCCTACAATTAATATGGAAACAGCAGAAATTTATTTCTCATAATTCTGGAGGCTGAGAAGTTCCATATCAAGGATCTGATAGATTCAATGTCTGGTGAGGAAATGCTTCATAAATGGTTCATAAATGGTGCTTTCTTGCTGTGTCTTCATGGTGGAAGGGGTAAGGTCTTCCTGGGGCCTCATTTGTTTACGTATGTATTCATTTATATTTTTGGAGACCCAGCCTGCATCTGGTTTCCCCTTCTTCCTTGAATGTAAACCCTAGAAAGCTGGGCTTTCTTTTGAGAGCTTGGGAGATTTTTGTCTCAACTCAAAGAGACTAGAGGATGACCCATCTATTTTTTCATTAGTTTTAAACTCAGCTTTTTTACTTCCTGTAGAGTTTCAGAATTTGGCAAAAGTCTCAAGGCTCAAGCTGGTTGTCTGAAGCCTTTCAAACCCCCAGTTTTATCACCACATATGAGGTATGCATCCAAGTTTACTTATTTATTTTTTTTGCATGTGGATATTCAATTGTTCCAGCACCATTTGTTGAACTTTAAACATGCATTTAAAGGTGCGTATACATGCTGATTTGTCAAAGGGATAGACTGGGCTAGTTATTTACCTATATTTCTCAACTCTAAACCTTCCTTCTAAATCCTGCTCTGTGCTGCTGGGGCTGAGGCTCTACAAACTCTATGTCCTAGACTCCCTTGCCAGTTGGCTTTCTGTTACATCTGCCAATAAGAACTGTTAATAAGGGACTGATGTTGGGAGAAAAGCTGAGTGTTGGGAGAGAAGTTGAAGCAGGGCTTGGAACATGTCTGGGGCCCGAGGTCTAAACCCCCTCTTGGCCTTTGGAATGTGTCTGGACTTGCTGGCTCCTTGCTTCTAGCACTCCCATTATCTCAAGTAGCCATATGTGTCAAAGAACATGCTAAATCATCACAGCTGTAGCTCATTCACTTGATACACCGCTTCCCTTCAAACCCCACATCCTCACCACCTGTTTCTTTGTTTGATCACCAATAAATAGGGTGAGCTCCCAGAGCTTGGGGCCTTCGCAGCCTCCATACTAGCGTTGGCCCCCTGGTCCCACTTTCTCTCTTAACTTGTCTTTTCTCATTCCTTTGTCTCCACCGGACTTCGTCACCCCCATGACCTGGTGTTGGGTCCGATCACCCCAACAACTGGAATACGGAAGGGAATAAGAAGAGGATTCCTTCCTAATTGCTAGCTTCTGTTAGCAGTAGCTGATGCCATGGCCCCTGCTGCCAGCTCTCAATCTTCACCTGAGCCAGGTGGCACCCCTTTGAGAAATAGGGTACTACCCCTTCACCTCCTTCACCTGCCAATCTGGGCTTCCTCTGTGGAGGTCCCAACACCCACTGGTCTGTGTCCTCTTCTCAGAGGTCCCAGCACCAACCGCACCAGCCACAGGACTCCTCTTCTCGGTGGTACAACCAGCAGCTTCCAGGCCCAGCCACATATCCAGAGCTTGGGGATCAGGTATAGAGAGCCAATCCCCTGGGAACCCATGCATTAGTCCCAGGGGGCCTCTCCTCCAAGCGCCTACATTCTGGAAAAGCCTCAAGTTTCTACAGTCATGATACCTGGGAAACTCAGTGCTCCCTTTTGGATTTTTCTTAGCCCTTCAACACCTATGTAAATCTGCATGAAATTTCCACTGTTTGAATAGAGTGTCATTCCCTGCTGAGCCCTAACTGATACGCTGTGTTTCCAGTGTCCCTCATCCACTAGACTCAGTGGTGTCAGGAATGGTGTGGTATTTTGTTATAAATTTAACTCCTTAGATGGACACACAGAGAGCCTCGATAAATATTTTTAATCCATCAATGCAAGGAGTGTGGTTGTCAGAAGTCAGCTAAAAGTCCAAGTTTAAATCTAAGCTCCGCCGTTCACAGCTTGGGTGACCTCAGCTTCTTTTTTGGAAATGAAGTTCATATTTTCCGAGCACTTTTTCTGTGCCAGGTGCTTCCAAATGTATCTCGTTTAATCCTCACAACATACCTCAGAGGAAGACATCATTTTTACAAGTAAGGAAATAGAGGCTCAGAGAGATGAAGTGGTTGACCCGGGCTGTCTATCTTGTAAATGGTGGGCTGTGATTCCCACACGACTGGAGTTTCTGGAGTCAGAGGCTGCCTGGAGTCAGGGGCTGCCTGACTCCAGAAACCATTTTCTGTGCATTTCATGTAGCTCCACCTCAATTGCCTTCCTTTCCTCATCTGCAGACTGATTAAATAAAATGTATAATTTGGATGAAATTTGATAAATAATTCTGAATGCATTCTTTTTTAGAATAAATTATCTGCAGTTCAGTACTTTATTCTTACTAATAAATTCCAAGCAACACTCCTACTCACGGGCCTGGCCCTTCCCATGCATTTTCTTTTCTTGCTTTTTTTTTTTTTTTTTGAGATGGAGTCTCGCTCTGTCACCCATACTGAAGTGCAGTGGGGCCATCTCGGCTCACTGCAAGCTCTGCCTCCCAGGTTCAAACAATTCTCCTGCCTCAGCCTCCCGTGTAGCTGGGATTACAGGGATGTACTACCATGTCCGGCTAATTTTTGTATTTTTATTAGAGACAGGGTTTCACCATGTTGGCCAGGCTGGTCTCGAACTCCTGACCTCAAGTGATCTGTGCACCTCAGCCTCCCAAAGTGCTGGGATTACAGGCATGAGCCACCGCGCCCAGCCCCCATACGTTTTCTCGCTGGCCATGCTGTGCACCGTCTACTAAGTTGCCATGGCTGCCTGGCCATCTGACTTGTCACCCTCTCATCCCTGACCTGACCCCAGTGTGTCTGCTTTTGCAGGGCCAAGGGGTCAGATTCTTCTGCAGAGGACAGCCCTGTGAGGTCCAGGTTACGGACTCCTGCTCAAGCACATGTAGGATGCCAGCCTGATGGTGTCTGGGTCCTTCAGTAGTATTCATGGCAGCCTGCTGAACTCTGCCTTCCAAGATCCAGTTTATATTTTAGGGCCCCAATGTAAATGTTGCAAAGTCTTTCCCATTTCCCCTGCCTCAGAACAGCAGCATGGAAAGCCTAGAATGGAAAAAGAGAATGAGCCCAAACCCAGCAGCTCAGGCCAGGAGGCATGCCTGTTCCACATCACTCCACGTGGCTTTGTGTTTGTTGCCTCCACATCTGTTCCAACCCAGCTAGGCTGGTGCAGAAGGAGCCCAGGGGGTCCTGCTTATCACTGAATTCCTTTACTGATGCATTGTTTTAAAGAGAAAAAATCCCCATGAAAGGTCCACCACAGGAACTGGGGACCTCTCAATGATCCCAATAGGTAAGGAAGACTCATTTGCAGTGAGCTCCAGGGGACCTTTCTACAACTCACAGTGACCAGTGGGAATAGGACACACAAGGTGATGCCAAGCCTGGCACAACAGCTGAGTACCTTGACTCGTCCCAAATCCCAGAGTAAATGTAGGGCACCTGAGGCAGCTGCCAAGGGACAGATGTCCTTCAGAGCAGTTCTGGACAAGGCCCTCATTTATTTCTCTCTGTCACCTGCCCCTCTCTCTCTTTAAAAACCTAGGCATTTTGTCTTCTTTTCCTCATTTTTGTCCTACACAGGAACATGAGAGCCACCTGGTGGAAGGTTTTATTAGCATGGAGGACGAGGGAGAGTTTGGCAGCTTGGCAGAGCTGCAGGTTGTGGAGAAGCAGCTGAGACAACAGCCCTGAGAGAGGAGATCTGTGCTTCCCTGGAGCACAGGGCAGGTTGACACATCAGCTGCGGAACAGTATCTGGACCAGAAGCCTTTGCTCACTGTGAGAGACAGGCCGGGTCACTTACTTGCTCACCGCACATGGGGGCTGAGTGGTGGCTGTTACAGATCCATGGAGGCCAGTGGTTGAGGCTCTGAAGGGGACATGGCTGTCGCTGTGGGAGCAGGGAGCCAAGAAAACTGCTGAAGCAAGCAGCCTGCTTTCGGAGCCAAGCCCTGAGGGGCGGGTGTCGGGGCTTCCATTCCAGGGTCAAGTGAGAAACCTTCAGCCATCGGGGCGGGTGTCGGGGCTTCCATTCCAGGGTCAAGTGAGAAACCTTCAGCCATCGGGGCGGGTGTCGGGGCTTCCATTCCAGGGTCAAGTGAGAAACCTTCAGCCACTTGGCAGAGACTCCACCAATCCTGTGTTGAAGCCAGGCCCCAGCTGTGACAGCAAGGGGCCAAAGTCTTTTACCAAAAGGTAAAACAGGCTACCCAGATGGGACGGGTGTGGCCAAGCAGTGCTACCACCTTGGGCAAGACCCTTCTCCTAGCTGGGATTAGGTTTTCTCCTTTAAAATTCCACCCCTCCAGCAATCCTCAGTGATGGCCTGTTGTTTTCCTAATGCCAGTCCCAGGAAGCAAAGCTCAACAAAATCACCTGTTGTCAGGGATAGTGGAAGACGGAAAGATAAAGCACTGGCTTCCACAAAGTCACAGATGGTGGGTGGAGGTTCCCACAGAGAGTTCACGGGAATCCCCAGGCCGTCCTCAGGGCTTTAGTTTACTCCCTCCCTATAACTCAAGAAAATACAGGGGTTTCCAATAGAAATTTAAACCTAGTAGCCTAGAAGTATTCCTAAGGGACTGCAGATTGAGTAAAATGTAAAATATAATATACCCAACTTTTATTAATGTAAAAATGTATCAGTTGACCCAGTTATCCCCTCTCTTTCCTAAGGAGTGCCTCCCCAGTTAGGCGGACACAAAGGGTTCCATATTAGAAACTTGATTCACATTCCCCTTTCCTTTCTCAGCCACTCACACAGAAGGAAAGGCTAATTTTTAGGGCCCTGCCAGAGCCAAATGTCACTTTGTAGTCCCTGGTCTGGGCCGCCCAGAGCAGGCTTCCCCCAGCTCCCTGGTCTGAGCAGAACTTTAGCAAGAGGGGAAACTAGGAGAATCTAGTGAATATCTGAAATTACAATCTCTCATATAACCTATATATAATCATTAGAAACACCAGCACAACTATAAACCTTTCAAATTAGCAAAAGGAAAACACATACCCACATGAACTACAAAATAATCCCAATAGAAAAGATAGAAAGGGGAAACAAACTGAAATAAGAAACATATGAGTATTATTTAGGAGTATTACTCCAATAAATGTAAATGGAATAAACTTAGTTATTAAAAGAAAAGACTGCTGGACAAGATGGAGTAAATGCATTTTTTGCTATTCTTCTTGCTAAGTACACTTAAAAACC
Organism: Homo sapiens; assembly: GCF_000001405.40. Lineage (NCBI taxonomy): Eukaryota > Metazoa > Chordata > Mammalia > Primates > Hominidae > Homo > Homo sapiens. The sequence goes on from NC_000015.10 coordinate 100,385,581, forward strand.
TTGGACATTATATGAAAAACAAGCAAAAGAAGACACTGAAAGGTGGAGAAAAGAAGGCAGACTGGCTAGGGCCCTCAGGACCCAAGGAACCGCATGGTGGTGTGTAACTTCCCTGCTCCAGCCAAATGCCATGAAAAAAAAACTGTGCCCTCATTCCCGCTCCTCACAGCAAAGAATGAGTGGGGAACCTAGACTTCCATCAGTTGCATGTCTTTTCCTCTCCTCACTGGGATGGTTTCAGAGGAAGCTGGATGGGGAACTGAGAATTTCACCACCTTCAAGCAATACTGAGCGCTCATCCCACTCTGCAGTGTCAGTGGAAGCAATGTGGGGAAGGGCAATGAAGTGCTCCTACTAGCCAGGGTGGTGTCAGCATGTCAGCAGAGGTCTCAGGGAGGCTGAGCTACCATCTTCACCTAGCACTAATGATACACCCTTCTGCACCTGGGTGTCAACACTGGCAAAGTGAGGAAACTGGATTTCCACCTTCACCAGGTACTAATGAGGCAGCTCCTCCTCTCCTATTCCTCACCATCATGGTGTCAAAAACGGCGTGATAAAATAGAAGACTTAGATAAATCCAGTCTCATAATAACCAAAATGTTTAGGATATAATACAAAGTTAGTTGTTATACCAAGAATCAGAAAAATCTTATATTTTTATATTTTTTGGAGACAGAGTCTCACTCTGTCACCCAGGCTGGAGTGCAGTGGCATGATCTCTGCTCACTGCAACCTCGATCTCCCAAGTTCAAGCGATTCTCCTGTCTCAGCCTTCTGAGTAGCTGGGATTACAGACGTACACTACCATGCCTGGCTAACTTTTTGTATTTTTAGTAGAGATGGGGTTTCACTATGTTGGCCAGGCTGTTCTCGAATTCCTGACCTCAAGTGATCCTCCTGCTTCGGCCTCCCAAAGTGCTGGGATTACAGGCGTGAGCCACCGCACCCAGCCAGAACCAGGAAAATATTAACTTGAATGAGAAAAGACAATTAATGATGCCAATATCAAAATGACACAGATGTTGGAATTATTTGACATTTTTTTAACTTTTTATTTTAAAATAATTATGGATTCATAGGAAGTTAGAAAAAAGATATAAAATGAGGTCCTGTGCAACCTGCAACCCTGCACTCTCATATCCCTAGTGATAGCATTTTGCATAACTGCAGTGTAATATCAAAACCAAAAAATTAACATTTGTACAACCCACAGTTTATTTGGACTTCACCAATTATGCATGAACCCATTTGTGCATGTGTGTCTGTGTGTGTGTGTATGCATAGTTCTATGCAATTTTATCACACGCATAGCTTTGGATACCTACCACCACAGTCAACAGCCAAAGCTGTTCCTTTGGCCACACCTTTATAGCCACACCTATAAAGTGGGGCTGGTCACCAGAAAGACCAAGGCATATTTAGAGGTTGGAACCTTCCAACTTATCCTGGCCTCTGAGGAAGGGAGAGGGGCTGGATACTGAGTTAAACACCAGTGGCTCCTGACTTAATCATGTCTATGTAAAAAAACTTTGATGAAACTCTTAAATGACAGGCTTTGGAGAGATTCTATGCCTGTGAACCCATCAAGGTGCTGGGAGGGTGAAGTGCCTGAAGAGGCATGGAAGTGCCCCTATCCCTGTACCTCACCCCACGTATCTCTTCAGTGTGGCTGTTCCAGAGTTGCATCCTTCATAATAAACTGACTAACATAAGTGAAGTGCCTTCCTGAGTTCTATGAGCTGTTCAAGGGAGTTATTGAACCTGATGAGAGGGAATCGCCAGTGTGTAGCCAGTTGGTCAGAAATATACGTCACAATCTAGGACTCGCAACTGAAGTGAGGGCAGTCTTGTGGATCAGAGCCCTTAAACCTTCAGAGTTGACACTGACTCCAAGTAGTTAGGGCCAGAATTGAATTGAATTATAGGACACACAGCTTGTGTCCTAAGAATTGAAGAGCTGGTCGTTGGAATGGGAAAAACCCACACATACGGTGTCAGAAATGTGGTAGAAACATTTCAGAACCTATGATATATGATATGAAATTAAAACAAATCAAATCATAAAGAATAAAAATTAAAGTCAAAACTATTTCAAACAAATTCAGTTCAAAAGAAATCAGGAATCAAGTTATTAATATTAGTTATACAACTCACAATGTGACACTCAAGATAGAAAAAGCCAAACTAGTTGAGGCAGACACACATATTAATAAAAGTAAAATCCACACTGAAGCTACAAGTATCACAAATAAGATATGCACCAAAAATATAGCAATAAAAAAACTTAACTATGAAAAAATAGCAGAAATTGGAAATCATAACTATGACTGTGGAAGATTTTAACTCACCTCTGTCAAAGCATGACATACCCCAAATAAATATGAATCTAAATAAAATAATTGATAAGGTTGAATAATATCCTGACAAAATTGCATATACATTTGCAAGTTCCCCTAGAATAGGGGTCCCCAACCTTGGGCCACAAACTGGTATCATTGGGCACAGTAGGAGGTGAGCTGCAGGCAAGCGAGCATTACGGCCTGAGCTCCACCTCCTGCCAGATCAGTGGCTGCTTTAGATTCTGTTGTAAGCACGGACGCTATTGTGAAGTGCACATGTCGAGGATCTACATTGCACATCTGTCCTTATGAGAATCTAATGCCTGATGATCTGAGGTGGAACAGTTTCATCCTGAAACCATCCAAACACCCCCCCACCCGCATGAAACTGGTCCTTGATGTCAGAAAGGTTGAGGACTGCTGCCCTAGAACATACATTAGGCAACAAAATATGCTAGATATATTGCAAAATATATTAGAGAGTACACGGTTTGTCTATAATGCAAAAATAATCTAGAAAATAAAAAAATAGATGGGGGATAAATTAACCAACTATCATTTTTTACATTATCATAAATAATCTTGGATCAACAAAGAAATAAAAACTAAAATTATAGACTATCTTTAAAACAATTATATGACATCAATACCTATGAAAACAGTATAAAATGGGCTAAAACTGTGTTTGGAGGAAAATTCATAGCCTTAAACACCTACATATCTAAACAAGAAAAGAAAGTATCCAGCTCAAGAAATTAGAAAAGGAGCAATAAACCAAGGAAAGCAGAACAAAAGAATATAAAGTTAGAAATTAATAAGCATAAGAACTGATCATTTTGGGGGGTGGGTCATGGAGATGAGCTACTGTATAGCCTAATCAAGAAGTAAAGGAAGCAAGCGCAATCACACATTATAAATGAAAAGGGCAAAATAAGCATGAATACAGAGAAATTATTCCAGAGGATTTTGCAATTATCTATACAAACACATTTGAAAAGCTGAATAGAGGAAATTGGTTTTCAAGAAAATATAGATGAGCAAAATTGGCCTTGAGATAGAAGACTACCCAACAGACTGATAACAATTGAAGATGTTAAGAAAGCTTAAAAAAAATTACCCCCCACCCCCACCCCCAAAATCTGTTAAGTTTAAATGGTTTCAAAAGTAAATTCTTTCAAACTCTCCAGGAATGTATAAGCCTGATACTATTTAAAGTATTTCAGAATGAGAAAAGAAAGAATCATTCCAATTTCTCTTTATAAACTGGCATAATATTTATACAAAATAATTAAGAAGAATGCAAAATAAAAATCTGTAGAAAAAATTTTTAGTGAAAAATTTTTGCTAAACCACTACACATTCATTAAAATGGGCAAAATCCAGAACACTGACAACACCAAATGCTGGTGAGGATGTGGAGCAACAGGAACTCTCATCCGTTGCCGGTGGGAATACAAAATGGTACAGACGCTTTAAAAGACAAGTTGGCAGTGTTACAAAATGAACACACTCTTATCAGACAGTCCAGCAATTGTGCACCCTGATATTTACCCAAATGAAACATGTCCACACAGAAACCTGCACATAAATGTTTATAAAAGCTTTTTTTCATAATTGCCCAACTTTGGAAGCAACCAAGATATCCTTCAGTAGGTGAATGGGTAAATAAACTGTGCTTCATCCAGACAATGGGATATTATTTTGTGCTAAAATGAACTATGAAACAATGAAAAGACATGGAGGAAACTTAACTTTACTAAGTGAAATAAGTCAATCTGAAAATGCTACAGACTATATGATTCCAACCATATGACTTTCTAGAAAAGGCAAAACTATTGAGACAGTAAAAGGATCTGTGGTTGCTGCGGGGTGGGGGAAGGGAGGGATGATTGGGGGAGCACAGAGGATTTTTACGGCACTGAAACTATCTGTATGGTACTATAATGATGACTACATGTCATGATACATTTGCCCAAACCCATAGAATGCACAGCACCAGAAATGAACCCTAGTGTCAACTATGGACTCAGGGTGACAATGATGTGTCCATATAGGCTCATCAATTGTAACAAGCATTTTGCTCTAATGAGAGATGTTGATTATGGGGAGGCTATGCAGGTGTGAGGAAAGGGTTTATGGACAACCACTATACCTTCCACTCAGTTTTGCTGTGAGCTCAAAATTGTGCTGAAAGATAAAGTTAATTTTTAAACACAAAATTAAAATCTATGCTAAAATGCTAAATGTGGACAAATAAAATCCATCTGTAAATGAAAAAATAACACACTGTGACCAAGATGGGCTGACCTCAGGAATGCTAGGCTAGTCCAGTAATAAAAAACTATCACCATCAGACTAACAGGCCAAATGACAAAGGGCTAAATCAACACCCCCAAGATATGCAATTCAACACCCATTTCTGATTTTTCAAACTAAAAAGAGGAAGAATATATGTGTGAAACTAAAAGCCATCATCATGCTTAATGGTGAGTAACTAGAAACATAATCTTTAAAGGCAGAAGCAAGACAAGCCTAGTCTGTATCAACACTAATCTAGAGATAAAAACCAATGCATTTACACAAAAAGAAAAGATAAATATTGGAGAAAAAATGGAAAATTATAATTTACAGACAATTTATTACTATCATACATAGTAATAAAGTATTTTGATTTATTACTATCATATATAGTAACAAATAATCTGTAAATGATGACTTTCTATACATAGAAAACCCCAAAATTGCTGAAAACCTATTAGAAACTTGAGCGGAGAGGCATATCTCACAGCTATCATACAAAAATCAATAGCTTTTCTAAGTATTAAAAAAAATAAAAGGAAGTAAAGATTTTATTCACAATAATAATCAAAGAGAAAATTACCTCCGTGAAATGTTAAAGGAAATGTTCAGGGTGTATACAAATAAAATTCCCTATTTTACTAAGAGATAAAGAATTTAACTGAAAAGACAACTCGCTCTTCGATGGGAATACTCAATATGATAAATTGTCCGTTCTTCTAAGTGTATAAATTTAAAGCAATCTTAAAATAGCACACCATTGGGATTTTGAGAGGAGCCTAACAAAAAACAAAAACTAGAATTCATCCAGTTTCTAGCTTGGAATAAAATAAATATTGGAAATCAAATAAAGATGTTGAATGGGCCAGTAATATTGGGAAAGACAAGAGGAAAAACGGATTATTGATCTAACCATAAGAAAACCTATTATAAGGCTGTACTAATTAAAACAATTTGGTATTGGAAGTACTTCGGTGAAACAGAATGGGAAGTCCAGAAAGAGACAAGAGACACAAAATAATTTAAGAGTGGCATTGCAAAGCACAAAGGAAAAGAAAAAAATGCTCAGCAAATGCCTTGGGGACAACCAGCAAACCATTTTTAAAAACCCCTATTTACCTCATTTCTTACACCAAAATAAATACCAGATGGAGCAAAGGGTTCATCAACCTATGTAAGTTATAAAAAGAAGCATGAATGTTTTTGAGTATAATTCTGTTTAGCGCAGACTTTCCAAGCAAGATACAGAGTCCGAAGACTGTTGAAGACATGATTAATATATTTTATTACCAAAGGAAAAAAAATGTCCCCCCCAATTTTATGTATAAAGTCATAAGACCAAAAGCAAACTAGGAAATTTTTATATTACATATGATGGAAAAGAAAGCAAACCCCTTAATTTATAATGAGCTCATAGAAATTTACAAGGAAAAGAGCACTATTCCAATAGAAAAACAGACAAGCAAACAAAAGAACCACAAATGTTCCATCTGCAAGTTAAACACGGTAAGATTAAGTCTGTCAGGCAGACAAAAAGGTCAGAAGTTGATTCCCATTTCAGAGAAATGGCAGTAGAGTTTAAATGTTGTAGAAAAAGGCAATTTGTATCTAGTGAAAAAAAGGTATGTGCCTTTTGACCCAGAAATCTCACTTGTAGAAATTTACCCTGTGGTAATTATGAATAGTAAGAAGAGTTAACATGTACTGAGGGCTTGCTATAAGAAATCAGGGTAAAAAATTCCCAAATGGATCATCTCATTGAATCCTCAAAATGACACCATGAGGAAGATCTTATGCCCTTTTTATAGATGACTAAACTGAGGGTGAAGAAATTAAGGACTTGTCAGGCACAGTGGCTCACACCTGTAATCCCAGCACTGCGGGAGGCCAAGGCAGGAGGATCACTTGAGGTCAGGAATTCAAGACCAGCCTGGCCAACATGGTGAAACTCCATCTCTACTAAAAATACAAAAATTAGCCTGGCATAGTGGCCCGAGCCTGTAACCCCAGCTACTCAGGAGGCTGAGGCATGAGAATCGCTTGAACCCAGGAGGCGGAGGTTGCAGTGAGCCGAGACTGTGCCACTGCACTCCATCCTGGCCAACAGAGCGAGACTCCGTCTCAAAAAAAAAAAAAAAAAAAAAAGTGGAAATTAAGGGACTTGCCCAAGATTACACAGTATACCATGGAGTAGGGATTTTAACTCAGGCAGTCTTGGTTAAATACTTGCTCCCAAGGATGTTCATTGTAATATTTTAAGAGCTACAAACTAGAAACAGCTCAAGCTTGCAACAATATGAGACTGGTTAAATATTTTGTGATACATTTCTAAGGATTATACATTTTTAAGGATTAGGGGCAGCCCCTACAGCAATGAAGTCCACCTGTGCTGATGTGGAAAGCTCTCTACCACCCAGCAGTGATAAAAAAGCAAGGTACAGACCAGCGTGTTCCACTCAGAGCACAGGTCTTTTTGTGTTTTAAAAATAGATTGCATGAGAGTGCTAATAGCCTATATGGAATCTTAGTGCAAATTAGGTAACGGCAATGCCTCTGGGTATTCATAGTCCCGGGGGCACGTAGAAGAGGTGGCCCTATGCCTTCATTTCCACTTCACCTGGGCACATTAGTGCAGCGTTTCTATGAATAAGGATAATAGAAACATAATTGTTTCTCAATGTCTGGTTGAGATCGGTTCCAGGGCCGCCCCCACCCAACCTGTGGATACCAAAATCCCCAGATGCTCAAGTCCCTGATATAAAATAGCAGAGTATTTGCATACAATTGTGCACTTTCCTTCTGTATACTTGAAATCGTAGTGTTAATGCCATGTAGCTAGTTGTTATAAGGTACTGTTTAGGGAATAATGACAGGAAAAAACGTCTGTACATGTTCAGTACAGACCCAGTTCCTCCCCCTACCCCCAATATATTCAAATTCCATCCATGGTTGGTCAAATCCATCCATGAATTCAGAACCATGGACAGGGAGGGCCAACTGTATACACAGAGATGGCATAAGTATGCAGAGTAGAGCCTAAACCACAGACCCCCCAAGCTCACTGTCCTTATTAGTATAACTTGAGTATTCCTTATTTTCATTAGTATAATTTACTATTCCAGAAGACTTTTGTCAGGCAAATAACTATATTGTTCATTTGAGGACCTTCTCACAAGACAGTGATAGGCCTTGGTAGACAGCTTACTCCTTAAAAGCCCTGAGACTCTTTGAACACCTCAGGACCTTGGCATTGCTGCTTTCACCAGCCCTAAGCTGTGCTATCGCCATCCTCAGCCAGTCCTAGAAAGCTCAATGCGGTAGGGCCTGGTCCTTCCCCCACTGAGCAGTGCCGCAGCTCTGTCAAGGAGGTGCTCTCCCTTCCTGCCATGAGCAAGAAGCTCGGAGCTGTCTTAGCAGCAAGTTGTGTTGAGGTTATTTGGGGAGCTGGCAGGGAGCAGTGGATACCTCCTAAAATAGGCATAAGGGTGCTTGTGGATGGAATCACAATTAATGTCAACGTGCTTCCCTTTGGGAGAGAGACTGTGCAGAGAGCTTTTTTACTTTCCATTTTTGCATTATTTGAATGCTTGATGCACATGTATCAATTTTATTACTGTTATTTTCTATGCCAATGGCGATTACCTGGTGATAAGATTATGGGCTTTTATGTCTACTTAAAAAAATTTTTTTTGCATTGAAAGTTCTTATAAAAAAGAGATTTTGGTCAATAATGTCAGCTGTCTCAGGTAAAAGTAGCTAGCTTTTCCTTTTTCATTTTAATAACTTAAAAATTATAATACATATGGAAAAGTATAAAAATCAAGTTTACCATTTCACGATTGATCACAAATTGAACACACCCATGTAACCACCACCCAGGTCAAGAAGTAGAACATCACCAGCATCGCGAAAGCCTGTAGGGCCCCCATAAAGACACAGCCCCTCCCTTCACCTCAGAGATAGCCACTACCCTGACTTTAGCACCATAGATTGGTTTTGACTGATTCTGAATTTTATAAAAAACAGAAACATAAACTGTGTATTCATTTTGGAGTAGATTCTTTTGCAAAACACTAAAATTGTGTGATGAAGCCACATTGTTGCAAATACCAGTTTGTTTCCAGTGTTATATAGTATCTCATACTATAAACATACCACAGTTTACTTATCCATCCTACTCTTGATGAACATTTGGAAAGTGTCCATTAGGCAATTATGAACATTGCTGATAGGATTATTCACACACATGCCTTTCGTTTCTGTAGTTGACCCTTGAGTAATACAGGTTTGAATCACATGGGTCCACTTTTACATGGATTTTCTTCTGCTTCTGCTACCTGGAAGACAGCAAAACCAACCTCTCCTCTTCCTCCTCTGCCTACTCAATGCGAAGATGACAAGGATGAAGCCCTTTATAATGATGCACGTCCATGTAATGAATAGCAGATACATGTTTCTTCCTTTTGATTTTCTTAATAATGTCTTTTTCTCTAGCTTACTTTGTTGTAAGAATACAGTATGTTGACATAAAACATCAAACATACAAAACGTATGTTAATTGCCTGTTTATGTCCTTGGTAAGGCTTTTGGTCAACAGTAGGGTATTAGTAGATACGTTTTTAGGGAGTTAAGTCATACATAGATTTTTCAGCTGCCTGGGCAGTCAGTACCTCTAACCCCTGCATTGTTCATGGGTCAACTGTATAATGAGAAGTGAAACTGCTGGGTCATAATATAGACATATATTCAATTACAGAAAATGACAAACTGTTTTTCAAAGTTGCTGTGTTGATGACTGTTATGAAACCTCAGTTCTTGTCTTCTTAGTTCAAAAATATTTAAACAAGAGACACAGCAAAGAAGATGCAGCATAGAGCAATGTATCACAAAGAATACTCTCAAAGTTAGGTGCAGAATAGACTACACCCTGAGAGAGGACTCAGAGCAGGCTGCTCATAAGGATGAGACAGTGTTGCCTGTTACTGGGGCAACTCGTTTTATGGGAGTCTTACATGGTTATTCACAAGAGGGTGAGAAGAGGTGTTACTAGTAAGTATGTTCTGAGTGGTCCTCAGGGTGCACACACGCAGTAGCTGTACATGCTTGTTCATACATTCATATATTGCATGTCTTATTAGCATCTTAAATCTCCACCCAGGGGTGTGTTTTTTACAATTATTATGAACAAAGGGTCAGTCTGAGGTCAGGTAAAATAAAAAAGCATATGCTCTCTATGGGGGTTGTTCCCTACTGGATATAGCTTTGCTTGAATGAGTTTGACTACAACATGAGTGCTGGGGCTTATTGTGTTGATGGTGCGGTTGCCACAGTTGCCATCCCAAGGACTTGGTGGTTACTTCCCTGACTACCTCTCCTGCCTCAGCTGCACCTGTCTGCACAGCTGGCTCCTCGTGATTGCCGTTTGGTACTATCTAATTATCAATATTCTGGTAGGTGTTTAGTGGTATTTTATGGTGGTTGTACTTTGCGTTTCTCTTGTGATTAATGAAATCGAGCACTTTTTCCTGTGTGTTGGACATTTGGATATGGTCGTTTCTAAAGCGTCTGGTTAAATGCCTTGCTCGCTTTTATCATTGGGCTGTCAGTATGATTTCCTTTTTTTTTGAGACAGAGTTTCATTGCCGTTGCCCAGGCCAGAGTATAGTGGTGCCATCTCAGCTCACTGCAACCTCCGCCTCCCGAGTTCAAGCAATTCTCATGCCTCAGCCTCCCGAGTAGCTGGGATTATCAGGCGCCCACTGCCACATTTGGCTAATATTTTTGTGTTTTTAGTAAAGACGGGGTTTCACCATGTTGGCCAGGCTGGTCTCGAACTCCTGACCTCAGGTGATCCGCCTGCCTCGGCCTCCCAAAGTGCTGGGATTACAAGCATGAGCCACTACACCTGACCAGTATGTTTTCATTATTATTTTTTGTATGAGTTTTTCAAATATTCTGGATGTTAACCTTTCATTAGTTCTATGTGTTGCAAACATTTTCTCTCACTCTATGGCTTGGCTTTTCACTGTCTTAATAGCATATTTGACAAACAAATGTTCTTTATTTTGATTTAATATGATGTTAATATTTTCCTTTATAAATAATGCTTGATGTTTTGTTCAAGAAATCTTTGCTTATTTTAAGATATTCTCTTATGTTTCCTTCTGGAACCTTTATTATTTTACCTTTTGCATTTAAATATACAAAAATCTTGGAATTTATTTTGTGTATGGTGTTGTTAAGTAGGGGCCAAGTTTAAATTTTCTTTTTTTAGAGACAAGGTCTCATTCTGTCTCCCAGGCTGGAGACATGCGTGATCATGGCTCACTGCAGCCTCCAACTCCTGGGCTCAAGTGATCCTCCAGCCTCAGCATCCTGAGTAGCTGGGACTATAGGAACACACTAGCTAGCGCACTCAGCTAATTTGTTATTCTTTGTAGAGACGGTGGGGGGCAGGTCTCGCTATGTTGCTCAGGCTGGTCTCAAACTCCTGGCCTCAAGCAATCCTCCCACCTTGGCCTCCCAAAGTGCTAGGATTATACACCTGAGCCACCATGCCCAGCTCTGTTAAATTTTTATCATTAGTGATAGCCAACTGTCCATATATGCGTGAACTTGTTCCTGGACTTTAATAACAATGTTATTCTTCTATTTGCCTATGCTTGTACTAATTTTGAACTGCCTTAAATATTTTATAATATGTCTTAGTATTTGGCAGAATAAGTTCTCTCACTTTGTTCTTTCAAAGATTGTCTTGACCAGACTTGTTTCTTGGCATTTCTGTATAAATTACACACACACACACACACACACACACACACAAAATTTATTTTATATATTTGCATCTCCAATAACAGCTTTTATTTCTCCCTTTCAAACCTTGTAATGTTTATTTCTTGAAATATTACATTGGCTAGAATGAAAAATACAGTGTTGGCTGGGTGTGGTGGCTCATGCCTGAAATCCCAACACTTTGGGAAGCCAAGGTGGGCAGATCACCTGAGGCCAGGAGTTCAAGACCAGCCTGGCCAACATAGTGAAACTGTCTGTAATAAAAATACAAAAGTTAGCCTGGCCTGGTGGCGTGCACCTGTAATCCCAGCTACTTGGGAGGCTGAGGTGGGAGAATTGCTTGAACCCGGGAGGTGGAGGTTGCAGTGAACCAAGATTGCACCACTGCACTCCAGCCTGGGCAGCAGAGTGAGACTCTGTCTCAAAAAAAAAGAAAGAGAAAGAGAAAAAGGAGAGGAGAGGAGAGGAGAGGAGAGGGAAGAGAAACAATATTAACTATATTTAGAATGATGGGTATCCTTGAAGATCACGAGCATCCTTGTCTTAATAACAATCTGAGAGGGAAAAGTTTTCAATAGTTTCAATATTCCATCATTATAGCATTACAATGCTTTTTCGCTTTTTAAAGATACTATTTATCAGATTAAGGTAGTTCCATCCTACTTTGATAAAAGGGATTTTTGTTTTTGTTGTAACAAATGTATGTTGAATTTTATAAAGGTTTTTAAACATATGGCTTTTTCCTTTATTTTATAAAAATGGTGACTAACACTAATTTTCAAGTATTAAATCAACCTCAAGTTCCTAAAATAAACCCAACCTGGTTTTCACATATTATCTGTTTATATATTGCTGAATTCATTTTGCTTTCTTTTAGGAATTTTGTACCTATGTTCGTGATCGACTTAGCCTATAGTTTTGTTTCTTTCTTCTTCTAATATTATTGTCAGATTTTGGCAAGATTATGCTGGCCTTATAAAGCAAGTTTGGAAATGTCTGTTCCTTTTGTCCCTGGAAAAGGTTGCATAATACTTGTATTATTTTTTCCTTAAATATTGGAAGAGTTCATTGATCTGGACCTAAAGTATTTTCGTGGACTTTTTTTGTGGCGGGTGGTGGGCAGGTAGGGTTAAAATTTCGGATTCAGTTTTGTTTCAGATAGAGCACTATTTAAATACCTATTTCTTCTCGTGTCTATTTTGACAAGTTTTGTTTTCCTAGGACTTTATACATTTTGTATACATCTTCGAATGTATTGACATAAAGTTGTTCACAATATTCTCTCCTTACCTGTTTGGTTTCTGCTTGGTCTACAGTGATGGATCCTTTTCATTCCTAACATTGCTCTTTGTCTTTCTTCATCTGTCTTGCTAGAATTTTATAAATTTTTTACTTTAAGAAACCAGCTTTTTTTATTTGATACTCTGAGCTATTATGTTTTCCATGTTACTAATTTTCCTCTTTATATTTTGATATATTTAGACAACTGATTTTGTCAGCCTCTATCTTTACTTATAAAAGCTTTTAATATAATTTTTTCTCTAAATTTCTTATTAGTTGCATCCCACACATTTTTTACTATAATTCAGTTTAAAATGTTTTATTTCCATTTCTTCTTTGATCTACAGGTTATTTAGAAGTGCATTGCTTAATTTAAAAATATGTGGAGATTTTTCCATTTATCTTTTTGTTATAGATTTCTAGTTTAATTTCACTGTTATCTGTAATCATATTCCATGTGATTTTAAACCTTTGAAATGTTTTGGAAATTGCCTTAAAGGCCAGTATATGGCCTATTTGGGTAAATGTTCTATATGCACTTGAAACAAATGTAAATTCTGCAGTTGTTGGGGGCAGTGTTCTATATATACATCAACTAGGTGGATTTTGTTAATGGCATTGTTCAAATCTTCTATATTCCTATTGGTTTTTTTGTTTTTTTTTTTGTCTTCTTGTTCTATCAGATACTGAGAGATGTATTAAAAACCGCCCAAACAGGATTATGAATTTGTTACTCCCTTTAAGTCTGTGAAATTTTTCTTCATATATTTTGAAGCTATATTATTAGGTGTATACAGATTTAAATTTTTTTTTTTTTTTTTTTTTTTGAGATGGAGTCTGGTTCTGTCGCCCAGGCTGGAGTGCAGTGGCGCAATCTCGGCTCACTGCAAGCTCTGCCTCCCAGGTTCACGCCATTCTCCCGCCTCAGCCTCCCGAGTAGCTGGGACTACAGGCGCCTCCCACCACGCCCGGCTAATGTTTTATATTTTTAGTAGAGACGGGGTTTCACCGTGTTAGCCAGGATGGTCTCCATCTCCTGACCTCGTGATCCGCCCACCTCGGCCTCACAAAGTGCTGGGATTGCAGGCGTGAGCCACCGCACCTAGCCCCTTTCATTAGCATTAAACATTCCTCTTACTATCCACTAGTTCTCCTTTCCTTTATCTGATATTGATATAACTATGCCAGCGTTTTTTGGGGGAGGAGTGGAGTTTGCATGGTATATATTTGTCCATGTTTTTACTTTCAACACTTTTTTATAGTGTATCTCTTGTAAGCACCGTATAATTGAGATTTTTAAAAATCGAGCCTGGCACTCTCTTTATTTTTACACTTGGTATAATTACTGGTAAATGTGAACTGAAATCTACCTACTCACCATCTTAACATGAGTTTGCGATTCATCTTGCTTGTTCTGTGTTTCCTTTTCTTCTTTTATTTTGGATTAAATATTCTGTACCATTGCATTTTCCCAGCTCTTAGCATATGAAACTGCAGCTAGGACTAAAACCAGAGGAAGGCACACAGAATCTTGACTGCTCTTCAGAAATACATGGCACTCCGTTAAAATGAAGATTTTTGCTGCTCACTCCAGAAATATTGAATCAAAACGTGGAGCAGGAGACAGGCAAGGTGCGTTTGTTTTTAAAGCTCCATAGGTCATTCTGATGGACAGTCTAGACTCTGTTTCCTCCTACACCTTTGAAAGGTAAATACAGAAAATGAGGCTGAGAAAACACCTTTAGAATCAGTCCCCTTTCTTAGCACTTCAGTGGTTCCTGCACAGGGTGCAGATGCCGAGCTCTCCTTAGGCTCCAGCCCCCAGGCTGGCTGGCTGGTTCCACCGTACATAGCCCAGAGGCTCACCCCAATCAGGCAAGGGGCTCCCCATGTCAGCCAGGCTCCTCTTATCTGGTGTCTGACACCGCAAACGCAGCAGCCCGAATATCCCAACCTGGCTTCCTTCTCCTCACTGCTTCCCTGATTCCTGGCATGGCCCTTCCGGAGGAATGGCAAATCTTTATTTCCACTACACAGGGAGACCTGTTATTATCCCTAAGAAGCCAAGCAATGTGTGTGCTGAATCTACTCAATCACCAGGTACACTGGACTTTTGGCTTTATTGTAGTCATTACTGTTACAATATTGATAGCACTGTGGACTGCATTTTTATAAGGTCATCTGAAGAATCCTGAGCCCTTGTTTCCTGTAGAAAGAGTGGTTTCCTTTAAAATTAACCACAAAAGCCCTAAATAGTGTTACAAAAATGAGTATCTACTTCTTATGAAGTAGTTTAGTGCTTTCAGCTGTATCAGAAATAGTTAAAATTGGTATATCAATTTTACCTTCAACATTCAAATAAGAAAAAAAACTGGAGATAGAGGTAAACAAATACTTTTCTACCTTAAGCAAGAAGATATTTGGTACAGAGACAAAAACCAAATAAGCAAAGAAGAAAGCATACCGTTAACTGAAAACATAAAAAATTATATCTTAGTGTGACCTTCTTCCAGCAAAATAATAATAATATAATATTAATAATAAGTCAATAGCTATACCCTAAAGTGGGTGCAGGCATTTTGATTTATAATATCATATTATGCATATAATGCATATGATATTGTCCTCATAAAAGCAAATGTTATACAGAGAAAATCTGACCTTGTTTGTAACAATTTCTCAGAAAGAGATATTGTTGTGGAAAGAATTCTAAAGGATTTTTTGTTTATTTTTGTTTAGCCTTAAGGTTTCAAATGTATATTTTTATTTAAAAATAACAATAACGCAGTCTGTTCTGTGCAGTGTCCTTCCGGCTCCAGGGGCCCTGCAGCTGCTCTGCTTGGGGCTGATTTTCCAGTCCCTACAAGCCGACCTCTCCTGTGGCTTTCTAGTACGAGCCCCTGAATAAATAGGATGAACATACAAAATCTGACCGTTATGAGAGACTGTGCCAGGTGGTGAGGACAGATGCAGATTTTACTCAGGGTCTTCCTTGGGAAGGCCTGGCCTCTCCTCAGCCAGCAGCCACCTGAGAAGTCTCCCAGGTCAGCCCTGCACATTGTGCCCAGGAGATGTGTCCCTCTGGTGACAAGGCCGCAAGGGAGGCAGGGACGTGTGCAAGTCTTCTCCGGTGCTCCCTTCCGGAGGGTGAGGACAAGCTGGCTACTGATCTGCCCGTCCCTATCCCTCCTCCCAGGGAGCTGGCACTGACTCTAGCACCTGCCCTTAAACATTTCTCAGGGGTATGCCTTTTATGGCCTTTTGTGTTGTGTTTCACTGTGATGCAGGCTGATTGGGTTGGAAGCCAGAGGAAATCACGTAGCATCCTCTGTTCCCAAGATCTCCCCTGGGTCTGGCAGTGTACATGCGTGCCCTCCCCAGAGGCTCAGGCCTCCTGGGTGATGAGGCTCAGCAAGCAACCTGGCCTGGATCCCATTCCCCCGTGGAGGTCCCCAGGTACTGTGCTGGCCTGAAGGAAGGGCTCAGGGCAGCAGCACAGAAGCTTCCCTCCTAGAAAGGAAAAAAGGGAAAGACCAGCAAAGGACAGGAAGGAACAGGGCCTAAGCTTCCTTCCTTGAACCATGGGTCCTGAGGGAGAAGAATTCCAGGAGAATCTGAGAATGACCCTTGGGGAGCTAATGCATAAATAGTTAGCAAATAAAATGGAACACCTTTCTTGGCACTTTCATTTCCAGGTATCTCCAGAGTCATTTAAGAGGAATTTTTAAAGATTCTGCCTTTTGTTCAGGCCCATTGCAGTGCCATGTTTAGCCAGGTTTCTGTCTCCCAAACAGTGCAAAGTGGGTTGGTTCACGATGACCCCACGGTTGACAGTGTGTACTTAAACTTCTGTGATCTCACTTAATCCTTGCTGTAACCCTGTGGGGTGGCAGGCAGGGACTGCCACCGCCCTGTGGAGATGAGGCACCTAAGCTTCAGGATGGAAGTGTCTCCTGGTGTGGTCCTTCCGCTCCTGTCCCACTGCCACTTCTAACTCATTTTGAGAAAGAAGCTGCTCTTTGTGGCCAAACACACCTGGGAAAAATGAGATCACTTAGCACCTGTGAAAGCGTCCTGAGGACAGGCAAGGTGGCGAGGCGAAAGGGTCTATAACAAAGCGAGCCCCTGAGAAAGTGACATGCATGAGGGAGTGCAATTAGAACTGAGACGGTTCTGTGGAGAAATCTTTGAAATCTTTGACCAGTCTGAGTCCTAACTGCAGTAAAAATCCATGGGCATGCTTATATTTAACATTTTAACACAAGTTAACAACATTTTGGTAAACACATCTTAGGTGGGAGGGAAGGCGGTGGTGAGAAAGAGGGAAGGGCAGAATGTGGGGTCGGTGTGGGGCCTGGAAGCCAGGCTGCCAACAGTACTTGCAGCATGCTGTGCCATGGGAGTCCTGTAGGCTTCCAGCTAATGGCCATGCTGGCCATTGGGAATGAGGTGCCTCTCAGCCCTGAGGCCGTTCTTTAAACAATCCATCTCTTTGCCTTTGGTAGCCTCTTCTTCTTCCTCTTCCTCTTCCTCTTCATAATCCTCGTCATCACTCCTCACATCCTGGATGCTCTAGACAAAGGAAAGAATTGGCTGTGAGTGACAATCTTCCAGGAAGAGTCTTGAGTAAATCTGCCAACAGCCAGTTTCAAGTATGGCTCCCTTTAAGGAAAACCCAATATCCAAATAACTAAACATTCACCAAGATTGACTATATCATGGATCATAAAGCCAACCTTAACAAACCTAAATAATTGACATTACACGAAGCATATTTCTAGACCATAATGGAATTAAGCTAGAAACCAATATCAAAAATAGGGAAATTTCAAAACACTTAGAAAGTAAATAAGATCCTTCTAAACAATCGCTGGGTCAAAGGGTAAGATTCAAAGAATATTAGAAAATATTTTAAACTAAATGAAAATGAAAATGCAACATATCAAAATTTGTTCAATGCAGCTAAAATATGCTTAAAAGGAAATACATAGCTTTACATGTTTATATTCAATAAGAAAAAAAGTTTCAAACAATTTCAGCTTCAACTTTAAGAATCTAGAAAAAAAGAAGAGCCAAATAAACCCAAGGCAAGCAAAAGGAAGGAAATAATTAGGACAAAACAATTAATGAAACTGAAAACAGAAAAAACAATAAGGAAAACCAATAAACCCAAAAGCCAATTCTTTGAAAAGATCTAATAACTCACTAGCAAGACTGATAAAGAAAAAAGAGGGAAAGCACAAATTAACAGTAAAGAAAAAGAAGACATGACTATAGATACTGCAGACAATATAAGAATAACAACAGAATGCTATGAACAACTCTATGCATATACATTTGACAACTTAGATAAAATGGACCAATTTCTCAAAAACTACAAACTACTAAAACTTGCCCCAGCCGAAACAGGTAATCTGGATAGTCATATAACTATGAAGGACATTTAATTTGTAATCAAAAACCTGAAAAACAGCAGCACTAGGTCCAAATGTTTACACTGGTAAATTCTATGAAACACACAAAGGAGAAATAACACAAAACATCCACAATCACTTCCAGAAAATAGAAGAGGAGGGAACAGGTCTCATTTTATTTTATGAGGCCAGAATTACCCTGTGTAAAGTTTTTGCAGATGTGATTAAGATCCTTGAGATGAGAATAGTATCCTAGATTATGTAAGTGGGCCCTCTATGGCATCACAAGTGGTCCTTATAAAAACAGAGGCAGAGGAAGGGCCAACACACAGAAGAGAGGCAATGTGAAGACAGAGAAGAGACTGGAATGATGCAGTTACAAGCCAAGAAATGCTGGCAGCCACCAGAAGCTAGAAGCAGCAAAGAACAGATGCTCCTCTAGTGCTTCTGAAAAGAACACGACCCTGCTAACTGACACCTTGATTTTGGCTCAAAACTAATTATGGACTTCTGACCTCTTGAACTGTGAGAGAATACATTTCTGTTATTTTGAGCACCAAATTTGTAGAAATTTGTTACAGTCACCATAGAAATTAATACAACTAGCAGTGGCCAATTAAAAACTGAAATTTAAAAATCTGTGCCATTTATAATAGTTTCAAAAATCAAATACCTAGGTATACATCTAACAAACCATGTATAGGATCTGTATGTAAAACCTACAAAATTCAGAGAGAAATCTGAAATTCTTTGAAAGAAATCAAAGAAGACCTAAATAGTTGGAGAGACATACTATGTTCATGAATTGGAAGACTGAACATAATGAAAGTATTAATTATCCCCAAATTATCCTGTAGATTCCACGCAATACTAATCAATGTCCCAGCAGAATTTTCTGTAGATGCAGACAATGTAATTCTAAAATTTATATGGAGAGGCAAAGGAACTCGAATAGCTAAAGCAATTCTGAAAAACATAATAAAATGGGAGGACTCACACTGCCAGATTTTAAGACTTATATAAAGTTACAGTAATCCAGACAGGGTGGTGTTCACAAAGGAATAAACATGCAGATCAGTGGAACAGAATGGAGGCTCTAGAAATAGATCCACACAAATATGGCTGATTGAATTTTTACAAAGGTTCAAAGCAATTCAGTAGAGAAAGAACAGTCTTTTCAACAAATGGTCAGAGCAACTGGACATCTGTAAGCAAATAAGTAAACTTTGACTAAAATGTCATACATTGTACAAAAGCCAGCTTAATGGATCTAAATGTAAAATATAAAACTTTAAAACTTTTAGAAGAAAACCCATGACCTTGATCTGGGCAACGAGTTCTTAAACACGGCACTAAAAACATGAAAGAAAAAACTGGCAAACTGGAATTCATCAAAATTAAAAACTTTTGCCCTAAGACAGACACTATTCAGAGAATGAAAGGATAAGCTGCAAACTGGGAGATAATATTTGCAAATCACATATCCAATTTGTATGCATAATAAAGAACTCTCAAAACTCAATGGTAAAAAAAAAAAAAAACAAAAAAAAACCCCTAATTTAAAAAATGGGCAAAAGGCATACAAAGAGACACTTTATCAAAGAGGACACAGGATGACAAATAAGCATATGAAAGGATGTTCAACACCATTAGTCATTAGGAAAATGCAAATGGAAACCATGATGATGTACAACTACAAACCCATTAGAATAGCACAAGTTAAAATGACTGGCAATACCAAGCACTGACAAGGACGCAAAACAATTGGAACACCCACACAATGAAATGCTCCTAACAATAAAAAGGAACAAACTGTTGACATTTATAAGAAGTTTGATGAATCTTAAAGACATTATGCTGAGTAAAAAAATGTTAGTTTCAAAATATGATCTATTGTACAACACATGAATATCATTTTCATGACATTCTCAAAAAGATAAAACTATAGGGATGGATAACAGGTAAGTGGTTGCTGGAACTGGGTTACAGGAAAGAGTTATTTGGGTTGATGAAATGATGCTGTGTATCCTGATTATGGGGATGGCTGCACAAATATACACACATGTTAAAATTCACAAAACTCTACATCAACAGAAAAATGTCCATTTTCCTGATAATAATTTTAAAAATAAAACTTATAAGGATTTCTTTTTAAAAAGCAAATACTGTGGGTTTCCCCACTAACACTTGCAAAGTAAAGTACTACTCATGTGGGCATTTTGGTTGTCAGGATATTTTTATTACTTGTAATTAGAATGTTTTCTATTTTCTTCATGCAAGAACTCTTTCAAGGACAGTTACTCATTATGAGTTATATGTTTCCTCCTCTTCTCTCATGGTGTCTCAAAGTAATTTTGCAGAGAAATCTAGAAAAATAACATTGCCCCGAGGAAAGGAGATGGAGGTGCTATAGATCCACCCTCATTGTGGAAGATAAAGGATGATATGAATTATTAAAACAAATAAGATAACTCAAGCTCTGTGCATGTCCAGTGATAGACATGACCCCAGGATCACCCTCTAGGCCAGTTCACAAATGTCTCTATTAAACCCAGCTTAGAAAAGAAAAAAAGATATGGAAGATGAAGACTGTTTCTTCTCACATCATTTTTCAAGATGACATCCATAACTGTACAACTTCTTTTTTCCCTTTTGTGACCTGCAGACTAAAACTGGCCACCTCCCAAGAGTCTCAGCATATATGTAACCAAATACCTCTGTGTGTAATCTGAACATGGCTTTTGAAAAACCAAAGTGCCCACATTATGCTAGCTGAATCACAGAAATTCAACTTCATGGGGCTCATCTCTGTATGTTCGGTGCTTTTCCACAACACCACAGAAAGGGTGTCAAAATGAACAAGCCTCCTTGTAAACACTGAGGAATAAACTTGGCATCTCCTCAGTTAAGATGCATCAGAGAAAGGCAAGCTTTCTCTGATATGCTGGGAGCCAGGATCAAAAGCACTCCCTCCTACAGATGAAGCCTTTCAGGAAAGGGCCATGCTTGGTTGATGCTTGCATAGTCAGTGCCTCTTCCTTTCTCAAAAGATTTCTGTAGAGAACAAGGGTATATTAATCTCTTTCCACGCTGCTGATAAAGACATACCCGAGACTGGGAAGAAAAAAAGGTTTAATGAACTTACAGTTCCACACTGGCTGGGAGGCCTCACAATCATGGCAGAAAGCAAGGAGGAGCAAGTCACATCTTACATGGATGGCAGCGGGCAAAGAGAGAGAGAGAGCTTGTGCAGGGGAACTCCTCTTTTTGACACCATCAGATCTTGTGAGACTTATTCACTATTGCGAGAACAGCACGGGAAAGACCCACTCCCATGATTCAATTACCTCCCACTGGGTCCCTCCCATGATACATGGGAATTGTGGGAGTTACAATTCAAGATGAGTTTTGGGTGGGGACACAGCCAAACCATATCAGAGGGGAAACTCAAATCAGAACAAAGAACCTAATTTCTCTCCAGAAAGGCATACCAGCATCTACCCACCCATCTCTGCAAGACTTAAAGAGCTGTGTTAGCTAAGAAAGAAACCAGTCCTTGAGGGCGCCACCCCATCTGCTCCCAACCACACACCCTCCAGCTGTTTGCCTTTAACAAGAGATCCCAACTGTATAGGGCCTGTTGGAACTTTATAGCATCTTGGCAGTCACAAAGGTTAGAGAATACTACTGATGTTTAGGGAGCAAAGGCTAGGGATGCTGGCAGTCCTGCAATGTGCTGACATTCACATGTCCCGTCAGGCATGCACATAGGTGAAAACCCTGTCTGTAACTATCCAAGCCTAGAATCTGACTCCTTTGTGCATTCAAGCACAATAATTTTTTGCATGGTTTTAATATATTCTGAATTTTCCAGGATTGCAACTGCGTATATAAGTCAAAGTAAGACTATACAGTTTGCCCTCCATATCTGTGGGTTCCACATTTGTCAAAAATATTCAGGAAAAAAAAAGAATGGTTGTATCAGTACTGGACATTTATAGATTCTTGTCATTCCCTAAAAAATGTAGTACAACAACTATTTACACAGCATCTACATGGTATTAGGTATTGTAAGTAATCTAGAGATAATTTAAAGTATATAGGAGGCAGTGTGTAGGTTACATGCAAATGCAACACCATTTTATTTATTTATTTATTTTTAAAAATTATTTATTTATTTTGAGACGGAGTTTTGTTCTTGTTGCCCAGGCTGGAGTGCAATGGTGCAATCTTGGCTCCCTGCAACCTCTGCCTCCAAGGTTCAAGTGATTCTCCTGCCTCAGCCCCCTGAGTAGCTGGGATTACAGGCGGCCACCACTGTGCCTGGCTAATGTTTATATTTTTAGTAGAGATGGGGTTTCACTATGTTGGCCAGGCTGGTCTTGAACTCCTGACCTCAAGTGATCCACCCACCCTGGCCTCCCAAAGTGCTGGGATTACAGGTGTAAGCCACCACACTCGGCCAATTTTATATGAGGCACTTGAGCATCCTCAGATTTTGGTATGTGTGGGTAGTCCTGGAACCAATCCCCCATGGATACCGAGGGAAATATGTACTTTTCTTCGTTTGGAAACTCATAATTCCAGGAAACCATGTCACTGACAGCAATGCTACTGATGACATTTGAGTTACCAGTTTAATACAGCTGTATCAGTCTGCACTTGTAGCCTCCATTCTTGGTGGCTCTACATGCAAGCACAGCACTGGCCAACTTCATGACATTTTCTAGCACAGTTATGCACACATTTCACACATGAAATGCATATTTTATCAGAATTTTAAAAACAGTTGTGGAATTATGTTGTTTTTTGAAATTATACTTATAAGTAAATTATATAACCTAGGAATTTAATTTCAGGCCAGTGAAGGAGTGTGGCTCCGATAGGATTGACAACTACTACCTTAGATGATGAATCAAGCTCAGAAGGGATCCCTCTGGATTTCCCTGCGGTAAGAGTTTATTAGATGGATGAATAGGATGGGTGCGTGTCATGCAAGCTTGAATGATATAAATTGGAAATCAATAAATCTCTCTTTATATTCAATTTTACCTTGTACAGTCCATCTTTCATATAACAGTAATAGCAATGACATTTAAAAGGCTTACCATGTGGCAGGCTCGGGACTAAACAGTTACATCAACAACATTTCCTCCTCACAGCCACAAGACATAGCAGCTATTCTCTTTATTTTAAAAGAGAGGAAACTGAGGCTCAGGGGGGTTAAGTAACTTTCACAACACCACACAGCTATGAAAGGTACACAGGATGAAAAGCCAGACTCTAAGCTTACACACCTTGAACAGCAATGCTCTACAGACCCTTGCTGGAGTAGGCTGCACAAATACTTGATGAGGCAGGACACCCAGGAGACTGGCAACCCAGGTCTATATGAGGTTGGCTCTTCGTATAAGAAAGTGCCTTCTCCCCTCCTTCTGAGCCAAGTGCCCCGTCTCGCTACATCTTCCATCCCTATTCTGACCTTGCCTCAGGTGCCATCAGTTCTGGCCTTTAGGTATAAATTTGAAATAATAAAAATTAATCCTAATAAATGATTGTTTCCTAGGTGAGACAAACACGGACATGTTCTACATTCTATTTCATTTTTAAAATGATGGTCTAGATCTATGAGATGGATTTGGCAACCTATTCATGATTTGCAACTCACAGTTTGAAAAACACTGGCTAAGGTATGCTAGAAAAATGAGGTTTTTCTAATCAGCTGAAATCAAAAGAGCTTAAAAAAAGTGCAGCCCACCACCCATATTCTGAGAAAAACCATATCGCAACTGCAGATTTTTTCCAGTAATTAAAACACTTCATAGAAATTAGAAACAAAATCAAGTATGCTCTAGGGGGAACAAGGCATCTACGTACTCACTAGAGGTCGAGCCTTGGTATTTTCTGAAACTCTACCTGTCTGCTTTGACTGAGTGCCAAGACTTTGCTCGCAAAATCAGCGTGAGTCCGTTTCTTTGAATCTACTGGCCTCTTATTGTGTTGCCCTTCCCATTTGCTCTCCACACACCAACACCCTGTAGGTTTTGTTACTGGGCTATTGGAACTTTTCTTAGGCAAATTGTTGGCCCTGACCCCTTTACAAATCATTAAAGGGTCAAGAAAACACACGCTTCAAGAAGGATCCAAAACCCTCTTTGAAGAGTGGAGGGGTGGACCTGGGTGTCAGCAGCCACAGGACTGTAATGATTTTGTGCGCAGTTCTTGCCCTGGCCGGAGCATACTGTGGCACACACGCCTGTCATCTGCCAGAGTGACTCCCCCTTGGGAAGGTTTTCCTACAGTAGCCGCCATTACAGAGCATATTGCTCTTCTGATAACCTAGCAAAGGTACCTAGTATTCCACTGAACTTTCTCCAAAAACAACCTGGGTGGTCTAGAATGTTATTAGCAATATTATTCACTCCACGTTGGAAGGGGATGGTCATGATTTTTGCGAGGTCTTTTAGAAGTCTCTGCCCCCAACGACTCCCTTTGGTTACACAAAACGACAGTGAAAAGAATGAGAGACAAGTTCCTAGCTTAATAGTGACCCGTTACTTGTCCTAACAGGGGCTATGGAACCCTCACATCACTCAACAGGACCAGTACTGACAAATATTATCAGCTTGGCACTCCAGCAGGCACAGGAGGCCTGCATTCAGTGGCTGTGGTTGAAATCACAGTCACTACAAAGGGAGACCTCGTTTAGTTTGAGAACATACAACACACCAGGAGAAACTGAAAACCCTGAAATTAGGACCAAAATGACCTTCCCCTGATTAAAGTTGGATCAAAGTCAAAGTTTTCCTTTGAAGGGTGTGTTCTAGGAGCAGAGGCATAGAGACGAACTGCCTCACATTCCAAGACTCACTCATTCAGAGCACTGGAGTGTCCCTAAAGCGATAGACGCACTTCCAACTTCTGCTTCTCCTTTTCTTTTGAGGGGCTCAGGAAAACCGATTGAACCTGTCATATCACATGGTAATTAACTTTGTCTGGTATCAAATTTTTTAGACACAGAATACCATTACCAAGACAACAGCCCTGACTTCCCACAGTCTAGAAGTGTCAAAGCATTGTCTAAAGTCCTTTTTAAATTTCTGTGGCAAAATGCACATAAGATTTACTATGTTAACCATCTTTAAGTGTGTTCAGTGGGATTAAATACATTCATAATTCTGTGTAATCATCACCATCCATTCCCATAGCTCTTTTCATCTTGTGAAACAGAAATTCTGTACCCATTAACAATAACTCCCCCACTTCTCCCCTTTCCCCAGCCTCTGGCAACCACCATTCCACTTTCTGTCTCTATGACTTTGTCAATTCTAAGTACCTCATATAAGTGGAATCACACAGTATATGTCTTCTTGTAATTGGCTTATTTCACTTTGCATAATGTCCTCAAGTTTCATTCATGTTGTAGCATGTGTCCAAATTTCCTTCGTTTTGTTTTCTGTTTTTTTTCTTTTGAGATGCAGTTTCATTCTCGTTGCCCAGGCTGGAGTGCAGTGGCACGATCTTGGCTCACTGCAACCTCGCCTCCCTGGTACAAGTGATTCTCCTGCCTCAGCCTCCCAAGTAGCTGGCGTTACAGGTGCCCACCACCATGCCCGGCTAATTTTTGTATTTTTAGTAGAGACGGGGTTTCACCATGTTGGCCAGGCTGGTCTTGAACTCCTGACCTCAGGTGATCCACCCGCCTCGGGCTCCCAAAGTGTTGGGATTACAGACGTGAGCCACCGTGCCTGGCCAAATTTCCTTCCTTTTAAAGGCTGAATAATATTCCATGGTGTGCATATATCACATATTGTTTATCCAATTGTCTCTCAATGGTCGCTGGATTGCTTCTATATTTTAGTGATTGTGAATAATGCTGCTACGAATATCAACACAGATATTGAAAACAGGACAATATCTGTGTCCCTGCTTTCAATTCTTTTAGATATATATCCAGAAGTGGAATTGCTGGATCATGTGGTTAAGCCTATGTTTAACTTTTTGTAGAACTACCATACTGTTTTCCACAGTGACTGTACCATTCAGCAGTTCCATCAACACTTGTTATGTTCGGTTTTTTTAATAGTAACCCTCCTAATAGCTGTGAGTGGTATCTCATTATAGTTTTGATTTGCGTTTCCCTAATGATTAGTTATGATGAGTATCTTTTCATGTGCTTATTGGCCATTCATGTATCTTCTTCAGAGAAAGGTCTATTCAAGTCCTTTGCCCAATTTTGAACCCAGGTCATTTGGAGTTTTGTTGCTGCTGAGTTTCAGAAGTTCTCAATACATTCAGTTTATGAATCCCTTATCAGATATATGATTTGCAAATATTTTCTCTCATTTTGTGGGTTACCTTTAACTCTGTTGATGGTGTCTTTTGATGCCCCAAAGTTTTAAATTTTCATGAAGTCAAATTTGCCCATTTTTTCATTTATTGTCTGTGCCTTTAGTGTCATATCCAATAAATTATTTGCCCTATGTTTTCTTCTATAGTTTTAGGTCTTTGCTTGAATTCAAGTTAATTTTTGTGTATGGTGTTAGGTAAGGGTCCAACTTCATTCTTTTGCATGTGGATATTCAGTTTTCCCAGCACCATTTGTCGAAAAGACTCCCCATTGAATGGTCTTGGCACCCTTATCAAAAATTATTTGACCATACATATGTGAGGGTTTATTTCTCTATTCTATACCATGGTCTTTATGTTTGTCTTTATGCCGGTACCACACTGTCTTGATTACTGAAGATTTGTAGTAAGTTTGGAAATCAGGAAGTTTGAGTACTTCAGCTTTGTTCTTTTTCAAATTTATAAGGGGTGCCCTAAAGTCTTTTAAGTCCTGTGAAGTTTGAATCCAAGTTGCTTAAAACATGACCTTAAGATCAGTTTAGCCATGGTTCCCTGATTTATAGAAGAAAAATAGAGCCAATTTTTGTAGCTGTTCCACGTATACAGAATACCTCTTCTTGAATTTCAGAGCCAGACACAAAAGTTGCTTTTTATACTCTCCCAACTAACCAGTGTAAAATAGAATATGTTCTATTTTTCACTAATTATTTCTTGCTACTATCAATGGATCTAATTCCTTAAGAGATGATTTCATTTTGTAAAAATCTGTGGCTTTTAAAATTAGCTTTTAAGAGAAAAATTAAGTTTTCATGTTAGACAGACTCCGGAGAGTATCTGGTCTGACATTCATTTTCCAGATGAGATGAAAGCTACAGGGCTCAGTCCCACCCTGTAGAGTGATACAGCTTAGTGG
This sequence comes from Homo sapiens, assembly GCF_000001405.40. Lineage (NCBI taxonomy): Eukaryota > Metazoa > Chordata > Mammalia > Primates > Hominidae > Homo > Homo sapiens. The sequence goes on from NC_000015.10 coordinate 100,412,970, forward strand.
CAGCAGAGCCCAGATTATACCATGTGACTTTTGATAAAAATGCATAGATTTTTTTCATACTATCCATATAACCCAAAATAAATTAAAAATGTGCCAGACTGTGTGGTGATCAACAAATTGTGATGGATGCAGAAAATGATTTGATTATATCAACATAATTTGCATTGGGGATTAAAACTGTTGTTTAACATATTCTCCAAATTGCCATATTTTACATCCTTTAAAAACAGCTTTACATTCACAGCTTGAAAGTCCCACAACTCTAACCAGGCAAAGATCTGCAAAAACATTTTGAAAATAAAAATTCTCTGGGATTTTAAGTAAAGCAACATTCAAGGAATAATCATAGCAAGACAGAGGATTAAGCCCACAAAATTTGTATTAAAATTGAAATGAAGTTTGTTTCAAATCTTAATATTCAAGATACACAAAGAGCTCAAATAACTCATATGCACCATTAAGAAGGAAGAAACCGAATGTGATAGAAAAGCAGGCAAAGGACATGAACAGGCAATTTACAAAAAAGTCAACACAACTGACGACTATACTATACTATACTATACTATACTATACTATACTATACTATACTATATGCTCAATCTTAGTAATCAGTAAAATGCAAATTCAAATAATAAGATAAAATCTCATGTGCATTAACCTAGTAAATATTGAATAGTCTGATAATATTGTAAAAAAAGTTGGTGAGCATGTGGGGAAAAAGAAACACTCATACATTTGGTTAGAAAAATAGGTTGGCAGCATCTAGTAAATTTAACCTAACCACCAACCCCACAGAAATACAAGAAAAAAAAAAAAACCCTTACAGACTATTATAAACACCTCTATGCACATGAACTAGAAAACCTAGAAGAAATGGACACATTCCTGGAAACATATAACCTCCCAAAATTGAATCAGGAAGAAACTGAAATCATAAATAGACCAACAGCAAATTCTGAAATTGAAATAGTAATAGTAATAAAACACCTGCCAACCAGAAAAATACCTGGAACAGATGGATTCACAGCCAAATTCTACCAGATGTATGAAGAAGAGCTGGTACCAATCCTACTGAAACTATTCCAAAAAATCAAGGAGGAGGGACTTCTCCCAAACTCATTCTATGATGTCAGCATCATTCTGATACCAAAACCTGACAGAAACACCAGAGAATCAGAGAGCCAAATCATGAATGAACTGTCATTCACAATTGCTACAAAGAGAATAAAATATCTAGGAATATAGCTAACAAGGGATGTGAAGGCCCTCTTCAAGGAGAACTACAAACCACTCCTCAAGGAAATAAGAGAAAACACAAACAAATGGAAAAACATTCCATGTTCATGACAGGAAGAATCAATACCATGAAAATGGCCATACTGCCCAAAGTAATTTACAGATTCAATGCTATTCCCATTAAACTACCATTGACATTCTTCACAGAATTAGAAAAATCTACTTTAAATTTCATGTGGAACCAAAAAAGAGCCTATATAGCCAAGACAATCCTAAGCAAAAAGAACAAAGCTGGAGGAATCATGCTACCTGAGTTCAAGTTATACTACAAGGCTACAAAAACCAAAACAGCACGGTACTGGTACCAAAACAGGCATATAGACCAACAGAACAGAACAGAGACCTCAGAAATAATACCACACATCTACAACCATCTGATCTTTGACAAACCAGACAAAAACAAGCAGTGGGGAAAGGATTCCCTATTTAATAAATGGTGCTGGGAAAACTGGCCAGCCATATGCAAACTACTGAAACTGGACCCCTTCTTTACACCTTATACAAAAATTAACTAAAGATGGATTGAAGCCTTAAATGTAAAACCCAAAATGATTAAAAAAAAAAAACCCTGGAAGAAAACCTGGGCAATACCATTCAGGACATAGGCATGGGCAGACTTCATGACTAAGACACCAAAAGCAATTGCAACAAAAGCCAAAATTGACAAATGGGATCTAATTAAACTAAAGAGCTTCTGCACAGCAAAAGAAACTATAACGAGAGTTAACAGGCAACCTACAGAATGGGAGAAAATTTTTGCAATCTACCCATCTGGCAAAGGGCTAATATCCAGAACCTACAATGAACTTAAACAAATTTACAAGAAAAAAACAAAAAGTGGGTAAAGGATATGAACAGACACTTCTCAAAAGAAGACATTTATGCATCCAACAAACATATGAGAAAAAGTTCAACATCACTGATCATTAGAGAACTGCAAATCAAAATCACAATGAGATACCATCTCACACCAGTCAGAATGGGGATTATTAAAAAGTCAAGAAGCAATAAATCCTGGTGAGGCTGTGGAGAAACAGGAATGCTTTTATACTGTTATTGGGAATGCAAATTAAACTTGCATTGGGAATGCAAGTTCAACCATTGTGGGAAACAGTGTGGCAATTCCTCAAAGAACTAGAACCAGAAATACCATTTGACCCACCAATCTCATTACTGGGCATATACCCAAAGAGATATAAATCATTCTACTATAAAGACACATGCACATGTATGTTTATTGTAGCACTCTTCACAATAGCAAAGAGTTGGAACACCCAAATGCCCATCAATGATAGATTAGATAAAGAAAATGTAGTACACATACACCATGGAATACTATGCAGTTATAAAAAGGAATGAGACCATGTCCTTTGTAGGGAATGGATGAAGCTGGAAGCCATCATCCTCAGCAAACTAACACAGGAACAGAAAACCAAACACTGCATGTTCTCACTCATAAGTGAGAGTTGAACAATGAGAACACACGGACATAGGGAGGTGAAAAACACACACCAGGGCCTGTCGGGGGGCAGGGAGTGAGGGAGGGGAGGGAGCATTCGGACAAATACCTAATGTATGTGGGGCTTAAAACTGAGATAATGGGTTGATAGGTGCAGCAAACCACCATGACACACATATACCTATGTAGCAAACCTACATGTTCTGCATCTGTATCCTGCAACTTGAAGTAAAACAAAAACACCACTGGAAAAAAATCACAGATGACAAAAACAAATGGAAAAATGTTCCATATTCATGGATAGGAAAAGTCAATATTGTTAAAATGGCCATACTACCCAAAGCAACTTATAGATTCAATACCATTCTTATCAAACTACCAATGTAATTTTTCACAGAATTAGAAAAATTATAAAATTCATACAGAACCAAAAAAGAGCCCCCAAATAGCCAAAGTAATCCTAAGCAAAATGAACAAAGCCAGAGGCATCACACTTCCTGAGTTCAAACTACACTGTAAGGCTACAGAACCCAAACAGAATGGTACTGGTACAAAAGCAGACACAGAAACAATGGAACAGATTAAAGAGCCAGAAATAAGGGGGCACACTCACAACCATCTGACCTTCAACAAAGTTGACAAAAACAAGCGATGGGGAGCAGACTCCCTATTCAGTAAACAGTGCTGGGATAGCTGGCAAGCTACAGAATGGGAGTAAATATTTGCAAACTGTGTATTAGTCCGTTTTCACACTGCTATAACGATACTACCCAAGACTGGGTAATTTGTAAAGGAAAGAAGTTTAATTGACTCATAGTTCCACATGGCTGGGGAGGCCTCAGGAAACTTACAATCGTGGCATAAGGAGAAGCAAGGACCTTCTTCACATGGCAGCAGGAGAGAGAAGAGTGAGCAATAAAGGAGGAAGAGCCCCTTATAAAACCATCAGATCTCATGAGAACTCACTATCACGAGAACAGCATAGGGCAAACTGCTCCCATGGTCCAATCACTTCCCAACTGGTCCCTCCCTCAACATGTGGGGATTACGGGCATTACAATTTGAGATGAGATTTGAGTGAAGACACAGAGCCAGGATGAATCTGAAAAGGGTCTAATATCCAAAATCTATAAGGATTCTACAAATCAACAAGCAAAAAACAACCAACCACATTAAAAAACGGGCAAAAGACAAGAACAGATATTTCTCAAAAGAAAACGTACATGCAGCCAACAAGCATATGAAAAAATATTCAAAATCACTAATAATTACAGAAATGCAAATCAAAACTGCCAAGAGATACCATTTCACACCAGTCAGAACGGCTATGAATAAAAAGAAAATAGTGGAGGAGCCAAGATGTCCGAATAGGAACAGCTCTGGTCTACAGCTCCCAGCGTGAGCGACGCAGAAGATGGGTGATTTCTGCATTTCCATCTGAGGTACCAGGTTCATCTCACTAGGGAGTGCCAGACAGTGGGCGCAGGTCAGTGGGTGCGTGCACCGTGCGTGAGCCGAAGCAGGGCGAGGCATTGCCTCACTTGGGAAGAGCAAGGGGTCGGGGAGTTCCCTTTCCGAGTCAAAGAAAGGGGTGACGGACGCACCTGGAAAATCGGGTCACTCCCACCCTAATACTGCGCTTTTCCGACGGGCTTAAAAAATGGCGCACCACGAGATTATATCCCACACCTGGCTCTGAGGGTCCTACCCCACGGAGTCTCGCTGATTGCTAGCACAGCAGTCTGAGATCAAACTGCAAGGCAGCAGCGAGGCTGGGGGAGGGGCGCCCGCCATTGCCCAGGCTTGCTTAGGTAAATAAAGCAGCCTGGAAGCTCGAACTGGGTGGAGCCCACCACAGCTCAAGGAGGCCTGCCTGCCTCTGTAGGCTCCACCTCTGGGGGCAGGGCACAGCCAAACAAAAAGACAGCAGTAACCTCTGCAGACTTAAATGTCCCTGTCTGACAGCTTTGAAGAGAGCAGTGGTTCTCCCAGCACGCAGCTGGAGATCTGAGAACGGGCAGACTGCCTCCTCAAGTAGGTCCCTGACCCCTGACCCCTGGGCAGCCTAACTGAGAGGCACCCCCCAGCAAGGGCACACTGACACCTCACACAGCAGGGTATTCCAACAGACCTGCAGCTGAGGGTCCTCTCTGTTAGAAGGAAAACTAACAAACAGAAAGGACATCCACACCGAAAACCCATCTGTACATCACCATCATCAAAGACCAAAAGTAGATAAAACCACAAAGATGGGGAAAAAACAGAACACAAAAACTGGAAACTCTAAAACGCAGAGCACCTCTCCTCCTCCAAAGGAATGCAGTTCCTCACCAGCAACGGAACAAAGCTGGATGGAGAATGACTTTGACGAGCTGAGAGAAGAAGGCTTCAGACGATCAAATTACTCTGAGCTACGGGAGGACATTCAAACCAAAGGCAAAGAAGTTGAAAACTTTGAAAAAAATTTAGAAGAATGTGTAACTAGAATAACCAATACAGAGAAGGGCTTAAAGGAGCTGATGGAGCTGAAAACCAAGGCCCGAGAACTACGTGAAGAATGCAGAAGCCTCAGAAGCCGATGCGATCAACTGGAAGAAAGGGTATCAGGGATGGAAGATGAAATGAATGAAATGAAGCGAGAAGGGAAGTTTAGAGAAAAAAGAATAAAAAGAAATGAGCAAAGCCTCCAAGAAATATGGGACTATGTGAAAAGACCAAATCTACGTCTGATTGGTGTACCTGAAAGTGATGGGGAAAATGGAACCAAGTTGGAAAACACTCTGCAGGATATTATCCAGGAGAACTTCCCCAATCTAGCAAGGCAGGCCAACGTTCAGATTCAGGAAATACAGAGAACGCCACAAAGATACTCCTCGAGAAGAGCAACTCCAAGACACATAACTGTCAGATTCACCAAAGTTGAAATCAAGGAAAAAATGTTAAGGGCAGCCAGAGAGAAAGGTCGGGTTACCCTCAAAGGGAAGCCCATCAGACTAACAGCAGATCTCTCGGCAGAAACCCTACAAGCCAGAAGAGAGTGGGGGCCAATATTCAACATTCTTAAAGAAAAGAATTTTCAACCCAGAATTTCATATCCAGCCAAACTAAGCTTCATAAGTGAAGGAGAAATAAAATACTATACAGACAAGCAAATGCTGAGAGATTTTGTCACCACCAGGCCTGCCTTACAAGAGCTCCTGAAGGAAGCACTAAACATGGAAAGGAACAACCAGTACCAGCCACTGCAAAATCGTGCCAAATTGTAAAGACCATCGAGACTAGGAAGAAACTGCATCAACTAACGAGCAAAATCACCAGCTAACATCATAATGACAGGATCAAATTCACACATAACAATACTAACTTTAAATGTAAATGGACTAAATGCTCCAATTAAAAGACACAGACTGGCAAATTGGATAAAGAGTCAAGACCCATCAGTGTGCTATATTCAGGAAACCCATCTCACGTGCAGAGACACACATAGGCTCAAAATAAAAGGATGGAGGAAGATCTACCAAGCCAATGGAAAACAAAAAAAGGCAGGGGTTGCAATCCTAGTCTCTGATAAAACAGACTTTAAACCAACAAAGATCAAAAGAGACAAAGAAGGCCATTACATAATGGTAAAGGGATCAATTCAACAAGAAGAGCTAACTATCCTAAATATATATGCACCCAATACAGGAGCACCCAGATTCATAAAGCAAGTCCTGAGTGACCTACAAAGAGACTTAGACTCCCACACATTAATAATGGGAGACTTTAATACCCCACTGTCAACATTAGACAGATCAACGAGACAGAAAGTCAACAAGGATACCCAGGAATTGAACTCAGCTCTGCACCAAGCAGACCTAATAGACATCTACAGAACTCTCCACCCCAAATCAACAGAATATACATTTTTTTCAGCACCACACCACACCTATTCCAAAATTGAGCACATACTGGGAAGTAAAGCTCTCCTCAGCAAATGTAAAAGAATAGAAATTATAACAAACTATCTCTCAGACCACAGTGCAATCAAACTAGAACTCAGGATTAAGAATCTCACTCCAAACCACTCAACTACATGGAAACTGAACAACCTGCTCCTGAATGACTACTGGGTACATAACGAAATGAAGGCAGAAATAAAGATGTTCTTTGAAACCAACGAGAACAAAGACACAACATACCAGAATCTCTGGGACGCATTCAAAGCATGTGTAGAGGGAAATTTATAGCACTAAATGCCCACAAGAGAAAGCAGGAAAGATCCAAAATTGACACCCTAACATCACAATTAAAAGAACTAGAAAAGCAAGAGCAAACACATTCAAAAGCTAGCAGAAGGCAAGAAATAACTAAAATCAGAGCAGAACTGAAGGAAATAGAGACACAAAAACCCTTCAAAAAATTAATGAATCCAGGAGCTGGTTTTTTGAAAGGATCAACAAAATTGATAGACCGCTAGCAAGACTAATAAAGAAAAAAAGAGAGAAGAATCAAATAGACGCAATAAAAAATGATAAAGGGGATATCACCACCGATCCCACAGAAATACAAACTACCATCAGAGAATACTACAAACACCTCTACGCAAATAAACTAGAAAGTCTAGAAGAAATGGATAAATTCCTGGACACATAACACTCTCCCAAGACTAAACCAGGAAGAAGTTGAATCTCTGAATAGACCAATAACAGGATCTGAAATTGTGGCAATAATCAATAGCTTACCAACCAAAAAGTGTCCAGGACCAGATGGATTCACAGCTGAATTCTACCAGAGGTACAAGGAGGAACTGGTACCATTCCTTCTGAAACTATTCCAATCAATAGAAAAAGAGGGAATCCTCCCTAACTCATTTTATGAGGCCAGCATCATTCTAATACCAAAGCCAGGCAGAGACACAACAAAAAAAGAGAATTTTAGACCAATATCCTTGATGAACATTGATGCAAAAATCCTCAATAAAATACTGGCAAAACGAATCCAGCAGCACATCAAAAAGCTTATCCACCATGATCAAGTGGGCTTCATCTCTGGGATGCAAGGCTGGTTCAATATACGCAAATCAATAAATGTAATCCAGCATATAAACAGAACCAGAGACAAAAACCACATGATTGTCTCAATAGATGCAGAAAAAGCCTTTGACAAAATTCAACAACCCTTCATGCTAAAAACTCTCAATAAATTAGGTATTGATGGGACGTATTTCAAAATAATAAGAGCTATCTATGACAAACCCACAGCCAATATCATACTGAATGGGCAAAAACTGGAAGCATTCCCTTTGAAAACTGGCACAAGACAGGGATGCCCTCTCTCACCACTCCTATTCAACATAGTGTTGGAAGTTCTGGCCAGGGCAATTAGGCAGGAGAAGGAAATAAAGGGTATTCAATTAGGAAAAGAGGAAGTCAAATTGACCATGTTTGCAGACAACATGATTGTATATCTAGAAAACCCCATTGTCTCAGCCCAAAATCTCCTTAAGCTGATAAGCAACTTCAGCAAAGTCTCAGGATACAAAATCAATGTACAAAAATCACAAGCATTCTTATACACCAATAACAGACAAACAGAGAGCCAAATCATGAGTGAACTCCCATTCACAATTGCTTCAAAGAGAATCAAATACCTAGGAATCCAACTTACAAGGGATGTGAAGGACCTCTTCAAGGAGAACTACAAACCACTGCTCAAGGAAGTAAAAGAGGATACAAACAAATGGAAGAACATTCCATGCTCATGGGTAGGAAGAAACAATATCGTGAAAATGGCCACACTGCCCAAGGTAATTTATAGATTCAATGCCATCCCCATCAAGCTACCAATGACTTTCTTCACAGAATTGGAAAAAACTACTTTAAAGTTCATATGGAACCAAAAAAGAGCCCGCATCGCCAAGTCAATCCTAAGCCAAAAGAACAAAGCTGGAGGCATCATGCTACCTGACTTCAAACTATACGACAAGGCTACAGTAACCAAAACAGCATGGTACTGGTACCAAAACAGAGATATAGATCAATGTAACAGAACAGAGCCCTCAGAAATAATGCCGCGTATCTACAACTATCTGATCTTTGACAAACCTGAGAAAAACAAGCAATGGGGAAAGGATTCCCTATTTAATAAATGGTGGTGGGAAAACTGGCTAGCCATATGTAGAAAGCTGAAACTGGATCCCTTCCTTACACCTTATACAAAAATCAATTCAAGATGGATTAAAGACTTAAACGTTAGACCTAAAACCATAAAAACCCTAGAAGAAAACCTAGGCATTACCATTCAGGACATAGGCATGGGCAAGGACTTCATGTCTAAAACACCAAAAGCAATGGCAGCAAAAGCCAAAATTGACAAATGGGATCTAATTAAACTAAAGAGCTTCTGCACAGCAAAAGAAACTACCATCAGAGTGAACAGGCAACCTACAAAATGGGAGAAAATTTTCGCAACCTACTCATCTGACAAAGGGCTAATATCCAGAATCTACAATGAACTCAAACAAATTTACAAGAAAAAAACAAACAACCCCATCAAAAAGTGGGCGAAGGACATGAACAGACACTTCTCAAAAGAAGACATTTATGCAGCCAAAAAACACATGTAAAAATGCTCATCATCACTGGCCATCAGAGAAATGCAAATCAAAACCACAATGAGATACCATCTCACACCAGTTAGAATGGCGATCATTAAAAAGTCAGGAAACAACAGGTGCTGGAGAGGATGTGGAGAAATAGGAACACTTTTACACTGTTGGTGGGACTGTAAACTAGTTCAACCATTGTGGAAGTCAGTGTGGCGATTCCTCAGGGATCTAGAACTGGAAATACCATTTGACCCAGCCATCCCATTACTGGGTATATACCCAAAGGACTATAAATCATGCTGCTATAAAGACACATGCACACGTATGTTTATTGCGGCATTATTCACAATAGCAAAGACTTGGAACCAACCCAAATGTCCAACAATGATAGACTGGATTAAGAAAATGTGGCACATATACACCATGGAATACTATGCAGCCATAAAAAATGATGAGTTCATGTCCTTTGCAGGGACATGGATGAAATTGGAAATCATCATTCTCAGTAAACTATCGCAAGAACAAAAAACCAAACACCGCATATTCTCACTCACAGGTGGGAATTGAACAATGAGATCACATGGACACAGGAAGGGGAATATCACACTCTGGGGACTGTTGTGGGGTGGGGGGGAGGGGGGAGGGATAGTATCCGGAGATATACCTAATGCTAGATGACGAGTTAGTGGGTGCAGCACACCAGCATGGCACATGTATACATATGTAACTAACCTGCACATTGTGCACATGTACCCTAAAACTTAAAGTATAATAAAAAAAAAATGTTAAAAAAAAAAGAAAATAACAGATTTTGGCAATGTGATGGAGAAAAAGGAATGCTTATAAACTACTGGTGGGAATGTGAATTAGTTTGGCCACTGTGGAAAGCATTTTGGAGATTTCTCAAAGAACTTAAAACAGAACTTCCATTCAACCCAGCAATCCTATTACTGGGTATATACCCAAAGAAATATAAATTGTTCTACCAAAAAGACATATGCACTCATATGTTCATCATAGCACTATTCACAATAGCAAAAACATGGAATCAACCTAGGTGCCCATCAGTAGTGGACTGGATAAGGGAAATGTGGTACATATACACTGTGAAATGCTATACAGCCATAAAAAAGAACAAAATCATGTCCTTTGGAACAACATGGATGCAGCTGGAGGCCATTATCCCAAGTAAATTAATGCAGGAGCAGAAAACCAAGTACTGTATGTTCTCACTTACAACACACATGGACACAAAGAGGGGTACAACAGACACTAGGTCCTACTTGAGGGCGGAGGGTAGGGGAAAGGTGAGGATCAAAAAACTACCTATCAGGTACTATGCTCACTACCTGGGTGACAAAATCATTTGTACACCAAACCCCAGCAACATGCAATTTACCCAAGTAACAAACCTGTACATGTGCCCCCTGAACCTAAAACAAAAGTTGAAAAAGAGCTCCTCTTCCCCCTACTCCAGCCATGTAAGATGTGCCTGCTTCCTCTTCACCTTCCACCATGATTGAAAGTTTCCTGAGGCCTCCCCCACGATGTTACCTGTACAGCCTGCAGAACCATGAGTTAATTAAATTTTTTTCTCCATAAATTACTCAGTCTCATATTTCTTTCTTTCTTTTTTTTTTTTTTTGAGGTGGAGTTTTGCTCTTGTTGCCCAGGCTGGAGTGCAATGGCACCATCTCGGCTCACCACAACCTCCACCTCCCGAGTTTAAGTGATCCTCCTGCCTCAGCCTCTCAGGTAGCTTGGATTACAGGTATGCACCACCATGCTCAGCTAATTTTGTATTTCTAGTGGAGATGGGGTTTCTCCACGTTGGTCAGGCTGGTCTTGAACTCCTGACCTCAGGTGATTTGTCTGCCTTGGCCTCCCAAAGTGCTGGGATTACAGGTGTGAGCCACCATGCCTGGCCAGATATTTCTTTACAGCAGTGCCAGAACTGACTAATACAGAAACTTGGTACCAGCAGTGGGCCCTTGCTATAAAGATACCTGAAAATGTGAAAGCAGCTTTGAAACTGGGTAATGGGAAGAGGTTGGAACAGTTTAAAGGGCTCAGAAGATGACAGGAAAGTGAGGGAAAGTTTGGAATTTCCTAGAGACTTGTTGAATGGTTGTGACCAAAATGCTCATAGTGATAGGGACAGTGAAGTCCAAGCTGAGGAGGTCTCAGATGGAGATGAAGAACTTTCTGGGAACTGGAGTAAAGGTCACTCTTTCCTTGCTTTAGCAAAGAGACTGACTGGCATTATGCCCCTGCTCTAGGGATCTGTGGAATTTTGAACTTGAGTGAGATGATTTAGGGTATCTGGTAGAAGAAATTTTTAAGCAGCAATGCGTTCAAGAAGTGACCTGGCTGCTTATGACAGCATATGCTCATCTGCATGAACCAAGAGATGTTCTGAAACTGGAATTTATATTTAGAAGGGGAGCAGAGCACAAAAGTTTGCAAGAAAATTTGCAGCCTGACCATGTGGTAGAAAAGAAAAACCCACTTTCTGGGGAGGAATTCAAGCTGGCTGCAGAAATTTGCATAAAGAGGAGCTAAATGTTAATAGCCAAGACAATGGGGAAAAATGCCTCCAAGGCATTTTCCCAGCTGCTTTAGCTCCAGCCATGGCTAAAAGGGCCCCAGATATGTCTCAGGCCACTGTTCCAGAGGGTGCAAGCCAAAAACCTTGGCGGCTTCCATATAGTTAAGCCTGTGGGTGCACAGAGGGCAAGAGTGAGGCTTGGGAGCCTCCGCCTAGATTTCAGAGGATGTACGGAAATGCCTAGACATCCAGGCAGAAATCTGCCGAAGGGGTGGAGCACTCATGAAGAACCTCCACTAAGGCAGTGCAGAGGGGAAATGTAGGGCTGGAGCCCCCACACAGAGTTCCTACCAGGGCACTACTGAGTGGAGCTGCGAGAAGAGGGCCACAGTCCCCCAGACCCCAAAATGGTAGATTTATTGACAGCTTGCACTATGCACCCGGAAAAGCCACAGGCACGCAACACCAGCCCTTGAGAGCAGCCGCTGGTGATGTACACTGCAGAGCCACAGGGCCAGAGCTGCCCAGGGCCTTAGGAGCCCACCCCTAGTATCAGTGTCGTCTGAATGTGAGACATGGAGTCAAAGCAGATTATTTTGTAGCTATAAGATTTAATGACCCCCTGCTGGGCTTCAGACTTCCATGGGGCCTGTAGCCCACTTTGTTTTGGCTGATTTGTCCCTTTTGGAAAGGGAGTATTTACCCAATACCTATACCCCCATTGTGTCTTGGAACTAATTAATTGCTGTTTTATTTTACAGGCTCATAGGCAGAAGAGACTAGCTTGTTTCTGATAAGACTTTGGACTTTGGACTTTTGAGTTAATGCTAAAATGAGTTGAGACTTTGAGGGACTTTTGAGATGGGATAATTGTATTTTGCAATGTGAGAAGGACATGAGATGTGGGAGAGGTCAGGGGCAGAATGATATGGTTTGGGATTTGTGTCCCCACCTAAATCTCATGTTGACCGTAATTCTGAATGTTGGAGGAGGGGCCTGGTGGGAGGTGACTGGATCAAGGGGGTGGATTTACCCCTTGCTATTCTTGTGACAGTGAGTGAGTTCTTACGAGATCTGGTTGTTTAAAAGTGTGTAGCACCTCCCACTTCGCTCTCTTCCTCCTACTCCAGCCATGTAAGAAGTGCCTGCTTTCCCTTTGCCTTCTGCTATGATTGTTTCCTGAGGCCTCCCCAGTCATGTTACCTGTACAGCCTGCAGAACTGTGAGTCAATTAAACCTATTTTCTTTATTTTAAAAAAAGTTGAAAAAGAAAAAAAAGCTCATCAGCTATATACACATCAAAAATTTCATATTCAATTAATAAACTAAATGTTGCATAATAAAAAAATTAAAATGAGTTCCTTTGAGATAGTGAAAAATAAAAAATAAAATAAATTTGACCTAACAATTCCATTTATGGAGAAATTCACACACATGTTCACAAGGAGACATACATCAATATGAATAGTCTTATAATGAGTGAAAAAAGCTACACATTTATATATCAGCTCATATCACTTACATAAAGTTTTAAAATACAGAAAATAATACTCTAATGCCCGTAACTATATCCAGACATAATAAATATACAGAGGCATGAGAGGAAGGATACCAGCTTCAAGACAGTGGCCATCTCTGCAGGGAAAGAGAGGGAGAGAGAATAAAATGAGTAGGAATATACTGGAATATACCATCTGTCTTCTCTGGGTTCTCGTAGGTGATCTCATTTAGTACATAGTAGGCACTCTGGATATATGTGTTGAAAGAGTGAATGAATTAATCTAATACCATAGCATTAATTGAATACTGTATAACTGTAGATGACTCCCAAGTTTATATCCCCCGTGTGGGCCTCTTTCAGGCTTCAAACTCAAAAACTCAATAGCTAGAAAATCCCTCAGCTGTCTAACAGTCTTTAAACTCTAGTCTCCTCCCCTTAACACCACCTTTTTCTCTGGCCTTCCATAATTTAGCAAATGGTACTCCCACCCACTCAGTTGCTGAAAACAAAATCCTAAAAATTATCCCCAATCCCTGCCTTTTATGAGGTACTTCATTTCCAGCCTGTTACACTCAATTGGGTCCTTTGATACGGGTCCCTGCACTCTTCAGCTCTCCAAATGCTGTCTTCAGCAATGTCCAAGCTATATCAGATCTCTGTGGCCAGGCTCCAGATTCTGAGCTGACACGGGTTGGCAAGCCCACACCCGTGACCTCAGGGTAAGGGAACACAGTAGTCAGCCGAGGGGTGTGTGCCCCACTGGCTGGCCCTCCATGACACAGCTGCGTATGTTTTGGTCCTGAGAGACCTCTTCTGACATACGGTCCTCTGCAGCAGGCCTTGTGATGGCTACTTCAGATGGTTCCTGCTGGACAGCGCTGCATCCCTGTCTCGGAGGAGCGAAAGTGCTATTGTTGGCAAGAATTCCGAATAAGGAAAATTTTAAAAGTATCTCATCTGTGCTTCTCCAGGGATAAACAAAATATGACTTGTTCTTAGGCAATGCCAATCTATCAGCCCATATTAAGTGGAAATGAATAACATTATCATCTATTGGCCCATAGATGAGTGGCCATTACGTGAGGCTATTCTATACCAGAAATTCCCAACGGATGTGCCAGGAAAGGGTTAAAAGTTATGCTGAGACATTAATCCTCTCAGGCCTTGGGGTAGCAAGGCAGAGCCTGAAGCTACCAGAGCCCCAGGTGCCTGGATTACTTGTACTGTCTTCTCCTGCTTTGAGGCCCACCTCAGTTTACCCTTGTGTGCTGCACAAACATCAATCTCTCGGGTACGATGAAGTGATGAAGATTGGGAAGTACTGTCCCAGACTCTGACTACAAAGCCGAATGAAATTTTTCAATAGGTAGAAACTGTCATTCATTTTCTTCTAACAAGTCTTCCTCATAAATATGATGGCTTGAGCTAGAAACAAAAAGTTGTGTAGCTCAAACTCAGATTCTGTGCTTCCTGCCGAGAGACAGGTGAAGGTGGCCACCCCCAGGATGGGAACAGTTTTACTGAGTTAGACTCAGAAGGTAAAGAGGTCAGGTGGTGAAAAAAGCAATGAGAGAGCCACGTCACTAAGTGAATTAGAATGAATGAGGAACCACTGTTTGGCAGAGTCAAAACGGCCTCCCCTGGTGTGTCCTTCCCAGCCCTCATGGTACATAACAGTGAAGGAACTGAAGGTTATAGTGCAGAGTGCTATCAGAGTAAATGTTTTCTCAGATTGGGATTACAACTGACAAATTTGCTACAATCTCATTTTCTCCATCCATCAAAACTTTTCAATGCAGTTGCCTTATCTCAAAAGGAAATGGCTGGCAACTGTTTTCTTTCAAAACCATTATCATTTGAATAATTTTAAATGCCAATATTTCCATGTAAAGAAATACTAACCAGCTAATTTTGGAGAGCTTGGTTTCTCAAGGAATCATGTGTTTGGCTGTTCCTGCATAAATCAAAGTTTCCCCTGGATGAGAAGACACTGGCAGTGGGAAAGCAATGAATAATTTGGGAAAAACACCTTGCCACAAAGGACAATCAACCAAAAGACAGACAGTTCATTCATTCACCCCAAGGTTCACAACCTCGGCACTGTGGATATTTTGGGCCAGGTGATTCCGGGACCTTGCTGCCCATTGTGGGACGTCTAGCAGTAAGCACCTCCAGTTATCTGTATCATACTAGTGGCACCTCCCACTTGTGACAGACAAAAATGTCTCCACAGATTGTCAAATATCCTTGAAGGCCAAAACTGCTCCAGTTGAGAACCACCAGTTCAAAAAATCCTTTTAATACCCTGTGCCCTGTGCAAGACATTGGAGATATAATGGTCTGTTCTCAAATAACTTACAATCTATTGAAAGAACTGAATGCTACAGAATCAAACACACAATAAGAAATACATCGTTACAGGTTTGATGCATGTTAGGAAGTAGAGAATACTATGATATTTAAATAGAGGAATCTCACTTAGATGAGGCTGATGCCAGGAAGGCCTTAAGGAAATGAACTCAAGTTGTAACCTATAGTTTAACAGGAGTAGCCGGAGAAGAGTGGAATAAACCTTTCAAGAAGAAACAACGTGGGCAGAGGCCCTGCGATGTGAGAGCCTTGCATGCTCGGGGATTAGCAAGGACAGCACAGCTAATGAATGCTGAGAAAGGCAGGGCCTGACCCCAGGTGAGGCCTCAAATAAGCACAGATCAGATAATGAATTTCACAGGTCATGGTCAGAAATTCAAATTCATTTCTAAACCCAACTAGAAGCCACTTTATAGCACTGTTTTGGGTGTTTGCAGTGTATCAGTGAGAAAACAGACAAGGTGTTTGTCCTCAGTGAGCTTCTGCACCGGGGGAGCTGGTTTCTATAGCAGTGCTCTCTGCCACTGTGTGGAAATGGCTGGAAGGAGCCCAGCTGGCATACTTGGGAGGCCGAGGTCACAGTCCAGGAGGGAAACTCTGGAGGCTATCGGAGTAGCACTGCGATGTGGAAGGGGTATTACGTAAGAAACAGCAGTATCTGTAGACCTACAGGTTTGAAAGGGACCTTTAAGTGTCTTCTAATCCAGTTTCTATTTGATGGTGATAGGCTCTTTACAACAACCCTAGCAGAAGACGCACACCCCTGCCTGTGTCTCTGCAGTCATTCACTATCTGCTTCCTTTCATATTTGGGGCTGATCTCTGCCTCCCTGGAGCGCCCACGCATTCCTCCAAGTTCTACCCCTTTGTACCAGGCAAAAGAAGTCTGTGTACTCCCTTCAAACATTGGTTAATTTTCCAAACATTTAAAGATAATGAACTCCTCTTCCAGCTAAACATTCCCCCATCCTTCAGTTGATCCTCACATGACACAGCACGGAAAAGCTTCACCATCTGTGTTTCTTAAATAAACATACTTATCCACAGCCATCACCCCGTATTGTACAATATGTGTAACACAACCAGCATCACTCAATTAATACACAAATTCCCACCACTTTAATCTCCACCAAAAGAAAAGGTGAGCACAATAAATTTAAAGTCAAATCCGGATGTCTACACTTTTGGCTTTACTTTTGGTGTATTTTTTTTTATATATTTATATATATATATGCTTATACATAATTCACTTGGGCTTCATCTGTATTCCTCAAAAATGATTGCAAGAATGACCAAAAAAGCCGGGCGCGGTGGCTCACACCTGTAATCCCAGCACTTTGGGAGGCAGAGGTGGGCGGATCACGAGGTCAGGAGATCGAGACCATCCTGGCTAACACGGTGGAACCCTGTCTCTACTAAAAATACAAAAAGTTAGCCAGTTGTGGTGGGGGGCGCCTGTAGTCCCAGGTACTCGGGAGGCTGAGGCAGGAGAATGGCGTGAACCCGGGAGGCGGAGCTTGCAGTGAGCCGAGATCACGCCACTGCACTCCAGCCTGGACGACAGAGCGAGACTCCGTCTCAAAAAAAAAAAGAATGACCAAAAGAAAACAAAAACAAAAACAAAAAACTTGACAATGAGAAAAAAAATACATTCTAATGTTAATAAGATAAAATGCTCATTTGAACTAAATGAACAATCTTTGCCCACAGCATTTCCTTACACCTCTGGGAATGACATCTGTACTACAGCTTCCATAAAATCATAGTGCTGTGTTTTTGAAGTGCTGTAACTAAATGCTGTGCTTGGGAATCTGTGGCTTTGCAGAAATGTCAAAAGCCCAGAAGATTGTGAATTACTCATAATGTCCCACTGCTCTTTGAATGACTCCATGTCTAAATCCGCAGTTGGCAATGAAACAAAGAGCTATATAATAAGCATTTTATGCTGTTTTGAAAGCAAATTTTTAGCTTTCACTGTATGAAAAAAATACATTCAGTCAGTTCAATTTTCTGAACTACTAGCAAAGTACATTCCTTTTTGTTATATAGGTTCTAATTATCCAAGTTGACAAGGTCACAGAAAAAAACAAATTGAGTTTTTTCCCCTTTTTTCCCTCCTCAAGGCAGTTGCATTAAATTTAAATTGAGTTCTGTGAACTCTGGCTACGCGTGGCCGTTTTCCTTTCAGTTGTCTGGAATATGAATTTTCTAGACCAGTGCTTCCCAAACTGTAACATGCTCGCAAATCACCTAGGGTTCTTGGTAAACTACAGATTCTCATGCTGGAGGTCACTGGTGGGGCCTGAGATATTGTATTTCTAGCAGTCCCTGGACTGTACCTGGGCTGATGGTCAGACTGCACTTTGGAGAGCATGGTTGTCTGTTAGACCACAAACCCTCTCTGGATTGCTACTCTTTGTGAAAAGAAAAAGTTGCAGCAGAGGGTTGCCTAAGGGTCTTTCAACTTCTAAAATTCCATGCTTTCAAATAACTTTGACTTCCTTAGTCTCTATATTTCACAAGTAACTTTTCAGTCCAGAAAGGCAACATAAAATTGCAAGTATGTCTCACTTTATATAATAAATGGTTCTTTAAAAATAATCATTTTATAAAATAAATCATGTTTTTAAATTCTCCAGAAAAATGTGCTATTTAAAGAATTCTGTTTTTCTACAAAAGAATCCCAATGTGCTTATTTTCAAGTCTGAATTTTTATCAGTTTTTTTTTCTTTTAGTGCAGAACATCAATGTAACACAAAAGTCCACTAATTTTGTAATATTTTCAAGATGGGAATGTTTGTTGAGGTCATGCCAATTGACTTTACAAATGTAGGGAAGAGTATAGTGATCTCCGCTTTTTAAAAAATAGACCCAGTAAATGGAGTGGCACCATGGACATTTTTCCAGTGGGGAGAAGACACATGCAGCTGGTTTTCTCTGCTTAATCTTGTAGATCTCAGCCTAGGATGCAAATTAGAATCATTTAGTGGAAGAAGAGGACTGTCAAAAATTCCAGTGTCTCGATCTCACCTCTGTAGATTTAACTGGTCTGTGTTGGGACCTGGCTGTATTTTTCTATTAACGCCCAAGCCACTCTAGTTAGCTGTAGTCAACATAGCTAGCATGTAACAAGCTAGCAACACAGCAGTAACAAGTTGATCTGAGGCAAAAAGTCTGGAATCCTGGGAGATCTTCTTTACGGTGTGAGTAGTAGATCTTCTTGTGTGTTAGGCTTAAGTATAATTACAATCCTCCTCTGATTCAAACAAAATAATTAGGACGTTTTCATGAGCTGCCTTGTATAGCATACTCCTGAGTTCCTTTAATAGGCCCTCTTTTGTTTTTTTTTTTAAGAGACAGGGTCTTGTTCCGTTTCCAGGCTAGATTGTGCAGTGGGGCAATCATGGCTCACTGAAGCCTTGACTTCCTGAGCTCAAGCAAACCTCCTGCCTCAGCCTCCCAAACAGCTAGGACTACAAATATGTACCACCACTCCTGGCTTTAATAGGCCTTTTAAACAACAGGTCATCAAAAATATTTAAGCACCTGTCACCAAATGTCAGGCTTTCCCATTCTTAAACAAAAGGCTGGAATGATAACCTGATCAAGCAAAATGAAGTTTAACAAAAAGAAATATAACTTCCAACAAAAACGAAAAACCACTCTCAGCACCAGACAATTCCCCAGTGGAGGAAATGTTGCTTAACAATAGTTCATGTGGAAAAGACATGGAGGCTTAATCAATTTCAAGCTCAGTATGAATTAACAGCATAATGCGACTAACAGCAATGGAAAACTAACCTACATCAATAGAAACAGAATTTTCAGAAAAACAGAGAAAACAGACCTGCTTGATTTTGTATGAGTCAGACCACATCTAGAAAACTGTGCTGACTTCTAGGTATAACATTTAAATAATCTGGATAAAATAGAACAAGAGAGTGATGAGGTAGGTGAAAAGACTCCACAGCATGTCTTAGGAGGTACGTTCGAAAGAGTTGTATGTATTTAGCCTGCAGAAACAGAGTCACGTACGTTCGAAAGAATTGTATGTATTTAGCCTGCAGAAACAGAGTCACGGAAGAGGTGGTAGGGCTTGATGACTGGTATCTGAGGGGCTACCATCTGGTTCTGTGCTGCTCTGCGGAGCTCTCCATAACTGAGATATTGTCAAGGTCACTTGCAAGGTATGTGGTATGAAATTTGGTATTAAAAATAGTTCAGGCCGGGTGCAGTGGCTCACACCTGTAATCCCAGGACTTTGGGAGGCTGAGGTGTGTGGATCATGAGGTCAGGAGATCGAGACCATCCTGGCTAACACGGTGAAACCCCATCTCTACTAAAAATACAAAGAATCAGCCAGGTGTGGTGGCGGGTACCTGTAGTCCCAGCTGCTCAGGAAGCTGAGGCAGGAGAATCGCTTGAACCCAGGAGGCTGAGGTTGCAGCGAGCTGAGATCGCACTGCTGCACTCTGGCCTGGGCAATAGAGCAAGACTCTGTCTCAAAAAAAAAAAAAAAAAATTCAATTCAAGTACCTAAGATTGCAAATGACTTGAGGACTTCTGGGGCTGAAGAACAATGGTGGTAGCCTGATTACAAATTCCCCCCGCCGCCCCACCATTCTCCCCAAACAGCTATAGAATCAACATGAACATATAGCTTCAGGTTTCCTAGGAAACAGAACACTGTTCAGCTTATCTATAAGGAGAAGAAAAAATATATACAAATTCCCCTCTCTAGATGGCAGCCCATATCCAGTAACAGGTTAATGTCCAAATACAGAGGCCCAGCCTCCTTGGCTCAATTGGGTCATCTCTGAAGGGCCACCCAGAACTAGAGCTCTCTGTAGGGTTGGTGGAGGCCTTGGTTGCACCCACATCAGAGTTCAACTTCTCCCTTTGCCCAGCCCAGCTACCCTCACTCCCTCACAGGTGTGGAAGCCCAGGGTATCCCCAGATCCTCCTGTGTATGCATGCCCATGCACACATGTGCACACACACACACACCTATACATGCACACACAAACACTCTCAACTGACATGGCAGGAACAAATAGCAACAGAAAGCTTCAAAGTGGGCAAAGCTTGCCTCAGGCTTTCGCCACAGCCTTGCTGACTTAGATCTCCCCCATTACTCTCTTCCTCTGGACAGCCAATACCCTGGGGCCCTCTTGAGGCCTGGGCTTTCTCCACATTCTTCATGCTGTCTTGCATGCAGGTAGATTTAGGGGCTACCATCCAAACATTAAACAGGTAGCTGCCCATGTAGGGCCTGTTCTGGCCTTAGCCCCTGCAGTCAGGCCTCTGTGGAGAGCTATGAGGAGTGGATCTGGGTTTCCAACCCATCTAGATGACTCAGCAGAGTCAGTTCCATTCCTTTGAAAGACGTGACCATGTTTCCAGGCTCAGACTGAAGACGTCCTAGAAGTATGTCAGTTGCATGGAGGAATCTTGAGGCCGAGGCCCATTGGAAAGGACAGGCATTCCATGATGTCTTAGCTCAGGCATCCAGGTCATTGGCCATGGATCCACGCGAAGAGTGCGTGCCCAGGACTGCTTTGCTCAGGACTTCCTGGGCCTGTCACATGTGCCAAGGAGACACCCTTTGAAGAACACAGCCCCTTTGAGCACCCAGAGTTCCACAGACGGCATGCGTGCTGTTCCCAAATCAGAGCACAGATCAAGCCATCTGCATCATAAATCACTCAGGTGCTAAAGCCCACATGATAAATCAAAATGAAAATGTTTGAAAAACTAATTTCTTTTACCCACATCTACACACTGAATGAGTGTTCAGGAATAAGGTTTCTTTTGTGTCACACAAAACTCTCTTCTGAGACTTAGGTAGTAGGGGTGGGGAGATGGCCACAGGGAGGGTGTGGCCACAGAAAACAGTGGGAGACTAGCAGGGACAGTGCTGGCCAGCATGGGGCCTCCCTATACCTGTTTTTACCAAGCTCTCTGGCCTAAGAACACATTAATAAAACTCTCATATCCTGCTGTGAATGTGCAGATTTATTAACAGGCCACAAACTGTGCCTGTGCCCCGGTCTAAAGTTCAGATTCCATATACGACATCTGTGTGTGTGCGTCTGTTTCTCTACTAATAAAAAGGAGACTATCTCTTCCTTTCAGGATTACATAAAAATTCATTTCGTTTTGGGAAACGACGTTTAAAAATAATGGGAACAAGGGATGTCAGAGTTTCTTGTACTTGGTTCTTCCCCCTCCCTCACCCTCCTTTCCAACTTCAGCAAGACATGGTCTGTGGTTCTGAGGACATCACAGTCCACATTTGGGACAGAGGAAAGAGAGGCAGGATTGGAATCCCACAGATATCAATGCCGTGCTCTCAGGAAGCAGCTCTCATCTTAAGCCCTTTCATTTGCAACTGCCTCCTTTGACTTCCTGCTGGCCAAACGACTTGGGTAGCCCAGCACCTCCAAAGAACTAGTATTTTGAAAACCATTGCCAGAAAACATACAAAGCAAGAACTTTAGCACACTGGAGCTAATATGCAATAAATTGGAGTACGGAAGATCCCTCGTGTGACTAAGTCAGTCCTGAGTGACTGCAGGGAAGACAGGTCTGCTGTTGGAAACAGATGCCAGCAGCCAGAACCTCTTTGAGGAAACAGGGAGTACCAAAGAAAACTGGAATAAAAGCTTGTTTTACACTGGCTAGCCATACACAAAAAACAGAAACTGGACCCCTTCCTTACACCTTATACAAAAATTAACTCAAGATGCATTGAAGTCTTAAATGTAAAACCTAAAACCATAAAAGCCCTAGAAGAAAACCTAGGCAATACCATTCAGGACATAGGCATGGGCAAAGACTTCATGACTAAAACACCAAAAGCAATGGCAACAAAAGCCAGAATTGACAAATGGGATCTAATTAAACTAAAGAGCTTCTGCACAGCAAAAGAAACTAGCATCAGAGTGAACAGGCCACCTATAGAATGGGAGAAAATTTTTGCAATCTATCCATCTGACAAAGGTCTAATATCCAGAATCTACAATGAACTTAAACAAATTTACAAGAAAAAAACAAACAACCCCATCAAAAAGTGGGTCAAGGGTATGAACAGACACTTTTCAAAAGAAGACATCTGTGTGGCCAACAAACATTTGAAAAAGAGCTCATCATCACTGGTCATGAGAGAAATGCAAATCAAAACCACAATGAGATAGCATCTCACACCAGCTAGAATGGTGATCATTAAAAAGTTAGGAAACAACAGATGCTGGTGAGGCTGTGGAGAAATAATGCTTTTACACTGTTGGTGGGAGTGTAAATTAGTTCAACCATTGTGGAAGACAGTGTGGTGAATTTCACAAGGATCTAGAACCAGAAATACCATTTGACCCAGCAATCCCATTACTGGGTATATACCCAAAGGATTATAAATAATTCTACTATAAAGACACATGCATACATATGTTTATTGTAGCACTATTTACAATAGCAAAGACTTGGAACCAACCCAAATGTCCATCAATGATAGACTGGATAAAGAAAATGTGGCACATATACACCATGGAATACTATGCAGCCATAAAAAAGAATGAGTTCATGTCCTTTGCAGGAACGTGGATGAAGCTGGAAACCATCATTCTCAGCAAACTAACACAAGAACAGAAAACCAAACACTGCCTGTTCTCACTCGTAAGTAGAAGTTGAACAACGAGAACACATGGACACAGGGAGGGGAACATCACACACCGAGGCCTATCGGGGCTGGGGGGCAAGGGGAGGAAGAGCATTAGGACAAATACCTAATGCATGCAAGGCTTAAAAACTAGGTGATGGGTTGATAGGTGCAGCAAACTACCATGGCACATGTATACATATATAACAAACCTGCATGTTCTGCACATGTATCCCAGAGCTTAAAGTAAAATAAATAAATAAATAAATAAAATAAGATGCTAATAAGAAAAATGTTTTTAATAATGCTAACAGACCAGTTTTGCATAATCATAGTGATAGGACACCAGCTATAGGGGATTCTAAAAGTACAAAAAAAAGAGATTGTTTTACTTATTTAAACATCCTAGTATACTGTTTTCCATCAGAGGTCAGTTTGCCTAAAATTAAGAGCTGAAAAGACACGCTGTTATCATCAGCAACAGAGAGAGACACTGCAACATCTAAATGTGGTAATCATGATGATCCTATAGGAAGTAGCATCTGTTCTTTCCTGACTTTTTTTTTTTTTTTTTTTGAGATGGAGTCTCACTCTGTCATCCAGGTTGGAGTGCAGTGGTGCAATCTCCACTCACTGCAAGCTCCGCCTCCTGGGTTCATGCCATTCTCCTGCCTTGGCCTCCTGAGAAGCTGGGACTACAGGTGCGCTCCACCATGCCCGGCTAATTTTTTTTGTATTTTTAGTAGAGACAGTGTTTCACCGTGTTAGCCAGGATGGTCTTGATCTCCTGACCTCG
The DNA here is from genome assembly GCF_000001405.40 of Homo sapiens. Classification (NCBI taxonomy): domain Eukaryota; kingdom Metazoa; phylum Chordata; class Mammalia; order Primates; family Hominidae; genus Homo; species Homo sapiens. The sequence goes on from NC_000015.10 coordinate 100,437,182, forward strand.
TGATCCGCCTGCCTTGGCCTCCCAAAGTGCTGGGATTACAGGTATGAGCCACCGCACCTGGCCTACATTGACAGCATTTCTAACATACTTTATTTCAACAATCAGTCTTTGTGATATTTTTATAAATTATTGTTCAGGAAAGTGCAGTTTTACATTCACTCTTACCTACTAGCAGAATAGACTTAGAGGCTTCTTGGATGTTACAGACTTTGTGTTCTTCCCTAACATGTTGACATCTACGAGGATGTGTCAAAAATGACCACCTGGAATGTGAGTCATGAAAGTCAACTGGCAAAAGACAGCTTAGAAAACTGTCACTGGAGCCTTGGGTTTCAAGTCAAGGACTCACAATGTCAGCTGCAGCACTGTCTGCCTGAGCAAAATGAAGAGGCTTGCTGAGAGCCAACTGCCCGACAACGACTCATTCCCAGGCTCTCTGTAGTTTGGTAGAAAGAACCTGCTAAAGTAGTAATATTGATCATATTGATCATGACAATGGCAGCTAACATTTATCATGTGCTTACTATGTGCCACCCACTGTTCTAAGGGCTTTATCCTTCAATGCAGGCACTAATATCATGATCCCCATTTTACAGGTGAAGAAACCGAGGCAATGAACAAAGTAATATACCCAAGATCACATTGCCAGTGAATGGGAGAGCTGACGTTTCAATCTACACAGAACCTGTGCTCTTAGCTATCTAACCGCTTTACTTGGAAGTGATGTGAGATTAAAAAAAGAAGAAAAACAAAATATTTTCTTATGCTTTCAAAAAGTTCAAAAGTAAGTTACAAGATTTATGCTGCATTTTAATCTATGATCTTGATTACTCATCAATTGGATTATGTACCCACTTTTTTTTTTTTTTTTTTTTTGAGATGGAGTCTCACTCTGTCTCCCAGGCTGGAGTGGAGTGCAGTGGTGTGATCTTGGCTCACTGCAACCTCCACCTCTCTGGTTCAAGCAATTCTCCCACCTCAGCCTCCCAAGTGGCTGGGGTTACAGGCCCACACCACCACGCCCAGCTAATTTTTGTATTTTTAGTAGAGACAGGGTTTTGCCATGTTGGTTAGGCTGGTTTCAATCTCCTGACCTCAGGTGATCCTCCCACCTCAGCCTCCCAAAGTGCTAGGATTCCAGTCATAAGCCACTGTGCCCGGCCTGTATTCACTATTTATTTTTATTTTTTGAAATTTTTGTGGGTACCCAGTAGGTGTATACATATATATATTTTAACTCTTGAAAATTTTTGAATATTCACTATTTTATAACTCCATACAAGTATTTTAAACTAATTTTCTGGTTTTTCTAGTTATTAATTTTTTTACCTTAACTCAAATAAAGAATAATTTAAAAGGTGAAGTGTTACAAGTTAAGAGACTCAAGTTCTAGTCTTGGCTTTGCCATGAAATTACTGTGTGAATTTGGTCTAGGCTTTGGTTTCCTCATGTTTGTTAGCATGTTCCTCTCTTTAGCTAAAACAGTTCAGTGTATGTAAAGTGTCATTCTATGAACTGAAGAGATCCTGCCTGTTGAGTTGCAGATGGCTGGGCAGGTTGCCAAGGGGCTGGTTTCTCCATGCTGGCTTTTGTGTCTGCATGCTACAGTTCCCCCCGCACGTCTTGACTACTCACCAGCACAAGATATCACACAGACATGCTTGAGCTGGCCAGGATCCAGGATGATATTTAGAAAGAAGAGAATAAAAGCTTAAGGATGATCAAGTCCTCTTAAGTAATATTAAACAAAAGCATACTATTTTCCTTCTAATTTCCTCTCAAGGCACTTCTCATGTTAGCAAAGAAAATGACAAGATGAGTGTCAGCCTGTCATATTTTCTGATGTAATGTATGGGCTAGTAGCTCATCACAAAATCAACCATTTTATAGGAACTAGATAAGTTTCAGTGCCAAGCCTTGTTCTCAAGCAGCAGGATGCCTGCTAAGCAGGGTCCATATAAGCTAGAGTTTTGAAATTATAGTGATATTTTTATTTTAAGGCATTCAAGAGCAAAAGCAAATAGTGGAAGGTTCTCATTCATCAAATGCAATGACCTTATTGTTTAGAAAAAATAAGATGTGACTATTACCAAAAATGCTATTTTAAAAGTATAATCACCTTCTTTTCAGTCTGCCATGAAAATTCATGGAGACCAAAAATGATTAATACATTATTTTGTAACTTGCTACCCAAAACAGGGTGGTTTGTTTTCCAAATTTTGTATTCTTTGCATATTTAAAGTTACTTACTGAGAGTTTTCCATGTGTAAGGAATTGAAGGAACAAACTCACAATCTCTGTTACAAGATTTAAAAGAAATTTTTGGAGGCACATGAACATCTGCAATTTCATTTGTAAAGTATCCAAGAATCTGTCGCCTTAGTAACAATCAAATGCATTAAATGCTAAACGCTGATTAAATAGAGTTGAAAATGGATTTGTTAGTTATCCCTCTAAGAATTTTAACTCCAGCCGCTAGCCCTCTCCTCCCCTTTGCAATGCAACTATGCCTTCAAATAGTGTTCTTTAAAAGGAGGCTTTACGGCTTTGGAGGAATAAGCTGATTTCACAGCCAGTTTTGCCACTGCTGTGGAAAACAGAGTACACATGCAAGACTGCTGAAGTCATACAAACTGCAAGGATTATGGCTGTGGGGGCCTCCACAACTCCTGTCAAACTGCAATTGGAAACAGCTTCTCCAAAGGACAACATGAGAAATCAGGAATTCTTGTCCATGGCTCCCCAACCTGCTGGGTTTCTAATCAGGCCTGGCATGACCCATTAGAGATCAGACATAGGAAAATCACAATGAAACTAGGGTATCTTCTGTTTTCCAAGCTTCACTCCCCCAGATCCTTTTCAAGCCTGTAATTATTGTCTCTCACCAGTTAATAAGGGAACCGTTTCTCCATGGGGACAGGAGCTTCTGGAAGGCTGGACCCAATCATTACAGGCTCAGTCCAGGGCCTTTCCTTCACACCAACTACTGCAGGTACAAACTGTCTAACTGATCCAGTTCTTATTTAACTTGTCTCAGTTACTTCGACTTTATCACTCACTCAGAGATAAGACAACTGTCAGTCCTCTGAGCCTAAGCTAAGCCATCATATCCCCTGTGACCTGCACATACACATCCAGATGGCCTGTTCCTGCCTTAACTGATGACATTATCTTGTGAAATTCCTTCTCCTGGCTCATTCTGGCTCAAAAGCTCCCCTACTGAGCACCTTGTGACCCCCACTCCTGCCCACCAGAGAACAAACCCCCTTTTTCCTTTACCTACCCAAATCCTATAAAACGGCCCCACCCCTATCTCCCTTCACTGACTCTCTATTCGGACTCAGCCTGCCTGCACCCAGGTGAAATAAACAGCCTTGTTGCTTACACAAAGCCTGTTTGGTGGTCTCTTCACACGGACGTGCGTGAAATTTGGTGCTGTGACTGGAGGGGGGGAACCTCCCTTGGGAGATCAATCCCCTGTCCTCCTGCTCTTTGCTCTGTGAGAAAGATCCACCTACGACCTCAGGTCCTCAGACCGACCAGCCCAAGAAACATCTCACCAATTTCAAATCCGGTAAGCGGCCTCTTTTTACTGTCTTCTCGAACCTCTCTCGCTATCCCTCAACCTCTTTCTCCTTTCAATCTTGGCACCACACTTCAATTTCTCCCTTCTCTTAATTTCAATTCCTTTCATTTTCTGGTAGAGACAAAGGAGACATGTTTTATCCATGGACCCAAAACTCCGGCACTGGTCACGGACTAGGGAAGGCAGCCTTCCCTTGGTGTTTAATCATTGCAGGGACGCCTCTCTGATTATTCACCCATGTTTCAAAGGTGTCAGACCACGCAGGGATGCCTGCCTTGGTCCTTCACCCTTAGCGGCAAGTCCCGCTTTTCTGGGGGAGGGGCAGGAACCCCGACCTCTTATCTCTGCGCCCTGATCCCTTATTTCCACACCCTGACCTCTTATCTCTGTGCCTCAATCTCTTATTTCTGCACCCCGACCTCTTATCTCTGCGCCCTGATCCCTTATTTCTGCACCCCAACCTCTTATCTCTGTGCCCCTACCCCTTATTTCCATGCCCCAACCCCTTATCTCTGCGCCCTGATCCCTTATTTCTGCACCCCGACCTCTTATCTCTGTGCCCCGATCCCTTATTTCCATGCCCCGACCCCTTATCTCTGCACCCCAATCCCTTATTTCTGCACCCTGACCACTTATCTCTGTGCCCCAACCCCTTACTTCCACGCCCCAACCCCTTTCTCGCTTTTCTGGAGGGTAAAAACACCCGAACCCCTTCCCTCCGTGTCTCTACCCTTCTCTTTAAACTTGCCTCCTTCACTATGGGCAACCTTCCACCCTCCATTCCCCCTTCTTCTCCCTTAGCCTGTGTTCTCAAAAACCTAAAACCTCTTTAACTCGCACCTGACCTAAAACCTAAATGCCTTATTTTCTTCTGCAATGCCGCTTGACCCCAATACAAACTTGACAGTGGTTCCAAATAGCCAGAAAATGGCACTTTCAATTTTTCCATCCTACAAAATCTAAATAATTCTTTTCGTAAAATAGGCAAACGGTCTGAGGTGCCTGACGTCCAGGCATTCTTTTACACATCAGTCCCCCCCAGTCTGTGTTCCCAGTGCAACTCATCCCAAATCTTCCTTCTTTCCCTCCCGCCTGTCCCCTCAGTCCCAACCCCAAGCGTCGCTGAGTCTTTCTAATCTTCCTTTTCTACAGACCCATCTGACCTCTCCCCTCCTCACCAGGCTGAGCTAGGTCCCAATTCTTCCTCAGCCTCCGCTCCTCCACCATATAATACTTATATCACCTCCCCTCCTCACACCCAGGCCGGCTTACAGTTTTGTTCCATGACTAGCCCTCCCCTACCTGCCCAGCAATTTACTCTTAAAAAGGTGGCTGGAGAGCTAAAGGCATAGTCAAGGTTAACGCTCCTTTTTCTTTATTCCAAATCAGATAGTGTTTAGGCTCTTTTTCATCAAATATAAAAACCCAGCCCAGTTCATGACTCGTTTGGCAGCAACCCTGAGACACTTTACAGCCCTAGACCCTAAAAGGTCAAAAGGGCCGTCTTATTCTCAATATAAATTTTATTACCCAATCTGCTCCCAACATTAAATAAAACTCCAAAAATTAAATTCCGGCCCTTTAACCCCACAACAGGATTTAATTAACCTCGCCTTCAAGGTGTACAATAATAGAATAGAGGCAGCCAAGTAACAATGTATTTCTGAGTTGCAATTCCTTGCCTCCACTGTGAGACAAACCCCAGCCACATCTCCAGCACACAAGAACTTCCAAATACCTGAACTGCAGCGGCCAGGCATTCCTCCAGAACTGCCTCCCCCAGGAGCTTGCTACAAGTGCCAGAAATCTGGCCACCAGGCCAAGGAATGCTCGCAGCCTGGGATTCCTCCTAAGCCGTGTCCTGTCTATGCGGGACCCCACTGAAAATCAGACTGTTCAACTCACCTGGCAGCCACTCCCAGAGCCCCTGGAACTCCGGCCCAAGGCTCTCTGACTGACTCCTTCCCAGATCTTCTCGGCTTAGCAGCTGAAGACTGACACTGCCCGATCACCTCGGAAGCCCCCTAGACCATCACGGACGCCGAGCTGCCAGTAACTCTCACAGTGGAAGGTAAGCCCATCCCCTTCTTAATCAATACGGAGGCTACCCACTCCACATTACCTTCTTTACAAAGGCCTGTTTCCCTTGCCTCCATAACTGTTGTGGGTATTGACGGCCAGGCTTCTAAATCTCTTAAAACTCCCCAACTCTGGTGCCAACTTAGACAATACTCTTTTAAGCACTCCTTTTTAGTTATCCCCACCTGCCCAGTTCCCTTATTAGGCCGAGACACTTTAACTAAATTATCTGCTTCCCTGACTATTCCTGGGCTACAGCCACACCTCATTACTGCCCTTCTTCCCAATCCAAAGCCTCCTTTGCGTCCTCCTCTTGTATCCCCCTACCTTAACCCACAAGTATAAGATACCTCTACTCCCTCCTTGGTGACCGATCATGCACCCCTTACCATCTCATTGAAACCTAATCACCCTTACCCCGCTCAACGCCAATATCCCATCCCACAGCATGCTTTGAAAAGACTAAAGCCTGTTATCACTCTCCTGCTACAGCATGGCCTTTTAAAGCCTATAAACTCTCCTTACAATTCCCCCATTTCACTTGTCCTAAAACCAGACAAGCCTTACAAGTTAGTTCAGGATCTATGCCTTATCAACCACATTGTTTTGCCTATCCACCCCATGGTGTCAAACCCATATACTCTCCTATCCTCAATACCTCACTCCATAATCCATTATTGTGTTCTGGATCTCAAACATGCTTTCTTTACTATTCCTTTGCACCCTTCATCCCAGCCTCTTTTCACTTTCACTTGGACTGACCCTGACACCCATCAGGCTCAGCAAATTACCTGGGCTGTACTGCCCCAAAGCTTCACAGACAGCCCCCATTACTTTAGTCAAGCCCAAATTTCTTCCTTACCTGTTACCTATCTTAGCATAATTCTCATAAAGACACACGTGCTCTCCCTGCCGATAGTGTCCGACTGATCTCTCAAACCCCAGCACCTTCTACAAAACAACAACTCCTTTCCTTCCTAGGCACGGTTAGATACTTTCACCTTTAGATACCTGGTTTTGCCATCCTAAAAAAACCATTCTATAAACTCACAAAAGGAAACGTAGCTGACCCCAAAGATCCTAAATCCTTTCCCCACTCCTCTTTCCGTTCCTTGAAGACAGCTTTAGAGACTGCCCCCATTCTAGCTCTCCCTGACTCATCCCAACCCTTTTCATTACACACAGCTGAAGTGCAGGGCTGTGCAATCAGAATTCTTACACAGGGACCAGGATCACATCCTGTAGACTTTTTGTCCAAACAACTTGACCTTACTGTTTCAGGCTGGCCATCATGTCTCCGTGCAGTGGCTGCTGCTGCCTTAATACTTTTAGAAGCCCTTAAAATCACAAACTATGCTCAACTCACTCTCTACAGCTCTCATAACTTCCAAAATCTATTTTCTTCCTCACACCTGACATATATACTTTCTGCTCCCCGGCTCCTTCAGCTGTACTCACTCTTTGTTGAGTCTCCCACAATTACCATTGTTCCTGGCCCGGACTTCAATCCGGCCTCCCACATTATTCCGGATACACACCTGACCCCCATGACTGCATCTCTCTGATCCACCTGACGTTCACCCCATTTCCCCACATTTCCTTCTTCCCTGCTTCTCACCCTGATCACACTTGGTTTATGGATGGCAGTTCCACCAGGCGTAATCGCCACACACCAGCAAAGGCAGGCTGTGCTATAGTACAAGCCGCTAGCCCGCCTCTTAGAACCTCTCATTTCCTTTCCATCGTGGAAATCTATCCTCAAGGAAATAACTTCTCAGTGTTCCATCTGCTATTCTACTGCTCCTCAGGGATTATTCAGGCCCCCTCCCTTCCCTACACATCAAGCTCAGGGATTTGCCTCCACCCAGGACTGGCAAATTAGCTTTACTCAACATGCCCTGAGTCAGGAAACTAAAATACCTCTTGGTTTAGGTAGACACTTTCACTGGATAGGTAGAGGCCTTTCCCACAAGGTCTAAGAAGGCCACCATGGTCATTTCTTCCCTTCTGTCAGACATAATTCCTCGGTTTGGCCTTCCCACCTCTATATAGTCCAATAGCAGACCGGCCTTTATTCATCAAATCAGCCAAGCGTTTTTTCAGGTTCTTAGTATTCAGTGAAACCTTTATATCCCTTACAGTCCTCAGTCTTCAGGAAAGGTAGAACGGACTAATGGTCTTTTAAAAACATACCTCACCAAGCTCAGCCACCAACTTAAAAAGGACTGGACAATACTTTTACCACTTTCCCTTCTCAGAATTCAGGCCTGTCCTTGGAATGCTACAAGGTACAGCCCATTTGAGCTCCTGTATAGACGCTCCTTTTTATTAGGCCCCAGTCTCATTCCAGACACCAGACCAACTTGGACTGTGCCCCAAAAAACTTGTCATCCCTACTATCTCCTGTCTAGTCGTACTCCTATTCACCATTCTCAACTACTCATACGTGCCCTGCTCTTGTTTACACTGCCAGTTTACACTGTTTCTCCAAGCCATCACAGCTGATATCTCCTGGTGCTATCCCCAAACCGCCACTCTTAACTCTTAAAGTAAATAAATAATTTTTGCGGGCAAGGCTATGCTGCACCTCCTTTGGCACTCTCTAATTAGATGTCCTAGGTCCTCCCAATTCTTAGTCCTTTAAAACCTGTTTTTCTCCTTCTCTTATTCCGTTTAGTTTTTCAATTCATACAAAACTGTATCCAGGCCATCACCAATAATTCTAAATGACAAATGTTTCTTCTAACAACCGCACAATATCACCCCTTACCACAAAATCTTCCTTCAGCTTAATCTCTCCCACTCTAGGTTCCCACGCCGCCCCTAATCCCACTCGAAGCAGCCCTGAGAAACATCGCCCATTATATCTCCATACCATCCCCCAAAATTTTCACCGTCCCAACACTTTACCACTATTTCATTTTATTTTTCTTATTAATATAAGAAGACAGGAATGTCAGGCCTCTGAGCCCAGGCTAAGCCATCATATCCCCTGTGACCTGCACATACACATCCAGATGGCCTGTTCCTGCCGTAACTGATGACAGTCCACCACAAAAGAAGTGAAAATGGCCTGTTCCTGCCTTAACGATGACGTTATCTTGTGAAATTCCTTCTCCTGGCTCATCCTGGCTCAAAAGCTCCCCTGCTGAGCACCTTGTGACCCCCACTCCTGCCCACTAGAGAACAACCCCCCTTTTTCCTTTACCTACCCAAATCCTATAAAACGGCCCCACCCCTATCTCCCTTCACTGACTCTCTTTTCGGACTCAGCCCGCCTGCACCCAGGTGCAATAAACAGCCTTGTTGCTCACACAAAGCCTGTTTGGTGGTCTCTTCACACAGACGTGCATGAAAACAACTTTTTCAGAGATCACAGAAAAGCTATTTAGAACTTTAATAAACTAGAACCATTCAATGAAAGTTTTTTTTTTTTGGCACCACAACTTTAACAGGAAAAGTTGGCTCTCAAGAAAACAAGGTCATCAGTAATTCAGTTCAAGAAGAAACTTCTCAGGTTTTTTTTTTTTTTTTTCTTTAGATTAACCGAGATGTGGGCTAATTTCCCATACCTCTGTGAAGATCTAGAAGCTAAGAGATGGTAGAAAACTCAGAGGTCAATTACGGCAGTTTCCATTTCCTTTGCCAACTCTTCAGTGATCTTTGAGGCACATTTACTAAAGTTGGAAAACTAATTAATCAAAGAGTTGATTAAAAACTGAGCTTATCAGACTAACTGCCAGCATCCTTGGTACACACAAGTCACTCAATCTGACAATATAGTGCTGTATATATTATACACGGATAGTAACACCTAAATGTGAGCCAGCTATAACTTTCAACTCAAAAGATCCTTAATGAAAACTCCCTTATGTAAACCAAAAATAAAATTCTAAACCCCCAACTGCCTGATGGACCCCCTCTCAGCCAAGGACATTCCAATGTAAACCTGAAAATCTAGTTGAGGCCATGATGGGAAGTGAGAGTCAGACACACCTCATTATACACCCTCCTTCCTTTGGAATCCAGGCACAGCTGACCATCAGTAACATTAAAACAGAGATCTTAAGACTGACTTTTGTAGCAATAAGACACCAAGTTCCAGCCTGACTCTAGTATAACATCACATAATAGATAGCAGCCCCTGAAAGAAATTGAAATATTTTACTCCAAAATATATTCCTTTGATATAGTTTGAAATGGCCCTACCAAACTGTCTCTTGTGGAGCAAACCTACATTTTGCGGAGAATCACCTTTCCTTTCTGGATCTTTCCTCTGATCCAGGAGAGAATGAATTAACAGTCTGGCACCTTTTAAGGTCTCATAACAGCACTGAAGTCAGCTACCTGGAGGCTCATCAGCATAATAAAACCTTGGTCTCCACAACTCCTTATCTTAATACAGACATTCCTTTCTATTGATTTCAGCTCTTATCTAATGAGTTATCTAATAACTCTTTCAAGCAATTGCCAATCAGAAAAATCTCTGAATCTGCCTATGACCTGAAAGCCCCCTACTTCCAGTTGTCTTGCCTTTCCAGACCAAAGCAATGTACATCTTACATGCATTGACTGATGACTTATATCTCCCTAAAATGTCTAAAACCAAGTTGTAGTCCAACCACCTTGGGCACATGTTCTCAGGATCTCCTGCGGCTGTGTCATGGGCCACTGGTCATTCGTATTTGGTTCAGGATAAATCTATTCAAATATTTTACAGAGTTTGACTCTTTTCATCAACACTTAGTGGTAGGTTATGATTTTAAGACAAAGCAGAAATGCGATCTTTTTCACTTGCTTTAAAGGCTCAACTCAAACTCCATCACTCAATGAAACATTTCCTGGTCCCTTGAGTTAATTTCTCTTTTTAGCTTTTCTTCCATGGCAAGTTTCTGGGGCCTGTATGTACCACAGGACATTCTGTATGCTATAGTTAGTTGCCGGTAGATGAACATTCCCCCACTAGATGGTGGGCTATTTCCCCTAAAGTCAGGGATTATCTTATTCATCTCTGTTGCCTTTCCCTCACTGTGTTCTGGAATTAAAGCACAGAACCTAATTCAAAACAACACAAACAAAAAACCTTCAATAGTCTAAAAGTTTGAATCAATAGTCTAATCAATTTGTTATTATTTAGAGAAGATGTTTTCAGAAACAAAGCATAGTAAAATGATGGACAGTATTTCAGAGGCTAGTGGGGAACAAGCTCGGGGGAGAGCGTTATGTGCAATTTGGATATTCAATAAAAATAAACATAAGGCTCTGAAGTATTATTCAATTATCATCATAAAGGTTGTCCAAAACTGGAGCAAGTTTTGACTCATTAGGGGATTCTTTAAAAAGCAGCAAAATCGAGAATAACTAGAGGCATCGGGTACATGCCTCCTCCACAGAGGAACCAAATAGCGAGTAGATAATCACACTTTGAACAGATCCTCTAAGAGAAGAGTAGAATTCAACAGAGAAGTGACAGGAAACACTTAAGGCAAAAAAGGAAAGGGAAGCCAAGACCGTCTGCTCAGCTAAGAACCTGGAGATACTCCCCAATGTGGGAAAAGGGTAAGTAAGAGATCTCAGTAGTCCACATTCCCATCATGGACTCCTGCAATCCTAGCCACAGGAGAGGCTCTCAACTCTCACAGGCCATAAGACTAACATAGAGAGCTGCCTAGAGTTGACACAAAAGCATTGCTCCATAGAAGGAGCTCATACGAGGTCCCACATACCCCCTGAGTCCTAAGCAGCTACAGCACAGTGCCATTTTGAGAGCCTAGCCTCCGCCAAACTGCAGCCTGTGCTGAAGCACAACAGTCCCTGCATCTACACATTCCTGGAGCCCCACTGACATTCCCCATGTGGGGGCACTGCTGTGGCTGGCTGTTGCTACCAGGGCTGAAGCAGTAACTATTGACAGTGGCCCTGATATCCCCAGTAGTGTGCCATCACACATTTTTATGTGTCCCACTGCTGGATGCCACTACCAGGGCCAAAGTGCAAGCCACTGGCAGTGACCCCACTTCCTTAGTAGTAGAGTCAGCATGCATTTACAAGTGTCCTAAGGACAGGTTACCCTATCCACAGCTGCTACCTGGGGATGAAGCTTGTGCTCCCTAGCCAACCACCTGCAGGTGCTGCCACTGAAAGTAACCCCACTCTTCCCAGTAGCAGGGCACCCTGCCCCTGCCTACCACAACCAGCACATGCGTGCACCACAGCAGGGCCTGAGGATAGGTCTGCTTCGCCTGGTTCCACACTCCCTCCCCCTACTGCCCAAGTATACCATTGGAAGGCCCAGAAATTAACTGGCTGTGTTCACAATGATTGGTATCTGAGCACTCCTCCCAGGTTGTGCCGACCTAACCTGCTGCTATCACCACAGCTAGTACTCACCTGCACATGCAACCTGCAGGCCTGGGGACTGGCCGTCCTATCCCATTGCAGCCACTGCCAACACCAATGCAGACCACTTGGGAGCCAGAGGATTGTTAAGTGACTGCTACCGCCATTGCCCATGCCACAGCTTCTGCCTAGGGGCCCAAAGGCCAACCTACCTCCTGCCCCATCACTGCCACTGTTGGCACCTGGGAAAGCTATCTGAAGGCCCAAGAATCAGCCCGCCTGGAGCTGCTAACACTAGTGCCCAAGGACAGGACCATTTGGCCCACTGCTGCCACCACTGGGGCCCAAGGACTAGCCCACTTGGCATTCCCATCCCCAGCAAAACCTCACCACAGTCTCCAATAACTGCACCCTGAGCCAATGAAAAATTCACAGACACCACTGAGGTTGTTTATAGCCAAAAAAAATCACATAATGACTACAATATTGCATGCACCCAGAATCACAACCAAAGTTCCCTACCAACAACCACTGCAAGTACATCTTCAGGAAAATATCCTCCTCTATGAAAACAAATTTTAAAAAATGTAAGAAGCAACTGTTATACCAGATGTGTAGATATCAATTTAAGGACACGGAAACATAAAAAAGCAAGGAAATCTAATACCTTCAAAAAACACAATAATTCTCCAGCAACAGGTTCCAATAAAAACAAACTTAAGATATCCCTGAAAAAGAACTCAATATAATTATATTAAAGAACCTCAGTGAGATATAAGAGAACACAGATAAACAATACAAGGAAATCAGAAAAACAATTCATAATGTGAATGAGAGGTTTACCAAAGAGATAGAGATCGTAAAAAAAAGAACCAAACAGAAATTCTGGAAGTAAAGAATTCATTTGAATGAAATACAAAATACTTTCAAATGCTTTAAAAATAGACTAGATTGGCCAGGTGTGGTGGCTCACTCCTGTAATCCCAGCACTTTAGGAGGCCAAGGTGGGCAGATCATGAGGTCAGGAGACCAAAACCATTCTGGCCAACATGGTGAAACCCCTTCTTTACTAAAATACAAAAAATTAGCTGGGCATGTGGCATGCACCGGTAGTCCCAGCTACTCAGGAGGTTGAGGCAGGGGAATTGCTTGAACTTGGCAGGCAGAAGTTGCAGTGAGCCAAGATCGTGCCACTGCACTCCAGCCTGGCAACACAGCAAGACTCTGTCTCAAAAAAAAAAAAAAAAAAAAAAAGACTAGATCAAGCAGAAGAAAGAATTTCAGAACTTGAAGACAGGTCTTTTGAAAGAACTCCATTAGATAAAAATAAAGAAAAAAATGAAAAAAGAATGAACATAGCCTACAGGACATATGGGACACTGTAAGGGAAACAACTTATTGAACTTTTGGTGTTTCAGAGGTGAAAATAAAATAAAAAAGATAGAAACCTATTTAACAAAATAATAGCTGAAGTGTTCCCAAGTTTGCAAGAGATTTAGACATCCAGATACAAGAAGTTCAGAGATTCACAAATAGACATGATTCTTAAAGGTCTTTACTGCATATTATAGTCAAACTGTTGGAAGTCAAAAACAAAGATAGCATTCTAAGAACAGCAACAGAAATGTGTCTAGTCACCTGTAAGGGAACCATCATCGGACTAACAACAGAAACCTTACAGGCCAGGGGAAAATGGGATGATATGGCCATAGTCCTGAAAGTGGGGGAGGGGGGGAACCTGTTAGCCAAGAATTCTATACTCAGAAAACTTATCTTTTATAAATGTAGAAGAAATAAAGTATTTTCCAGATATGCAAAAACTAAGGGAATTCATCACAACTACACTGGCCCTACAAGAAATGCTTCAGGCAGTTCTACATCCAGAAGTGAAAAAATCATATCTACCAGCATGAAAACAGAAAAGTATAAAACATACTGGTAGAACAAACACATAAATGAAGAAGAGAAAGGACTCAAATGTTACCACTGCAGAAAACCACCAAACCACAATGATAAACAGTAAGAGAGAAAGAAAGAAACAAAGGATATACAGAACAACTAGAAATTAATTAATAAAATGACAGAAATAACCCCTCACATATTAATACTAACCTTGAATGTAAACAGATTAAACTTTCCACTTAAAAGATATAGACTAGCTGAATGGATTTAAAAATGACTCACTATATGCTGCCTACAAGAAGTTTATTTCACCTGTGAAAACACATATAGACTAGGCCAGGCATGGTGGCTCATGCCTGTAATCCCAGCACTTTGGGAGGCCAAGGTGGGAAGATCACAAGGTCAGGAGATTGAGACCATCCGGGCTAACATGGTGAAACCCTGTCTCTACTAAAAATACAAAAACAAAATTAGCCGGGTGTGGTGGTGGGCACCTGTAGTTCCACCTACTAGGAAGGCTGAGGTGGGAGAATGGCGTGAACCTGGGAGGCGGAGCTTGCAGTGAGCCAAGATCGTGCCTCTGCACTCTAGCCCGGGTGACAGAGCAAGACTCTGTCTCAAAAAAAACAAAAAACAAAACAAACAAAAAACCAAAACAAAACAAAACATATAGACTAAAAGTAAAGGAATGTAAAAAGATAATCCTGCAAATGGAAACCAAAAGCAAGCAGAAACACCTATACTTATATCAGATACAGATAAAACAGACTTTAATTCAAAAAACAGTAAAAATAGACAAAAAAGACCATTATATAATGATAAAGAGATCAACTCAGCAAGAAATACAATTCTAAATATATGTGTAGCCAACAATAGAGCACTCAGATATATAAAGCAAATATTACTAAAGAGAGAGATGAAGTCCAATACAATAATAGTTGGAGACTTCAACACCCTCCTATCACCATTAGATGGATCATCTGGACGGAATATTTATAAAGAAACATTGGATTTAAACTGCACTTTATGCCAAATGGACCTAACAGACTTTTACAGAACATTTCATCCAATGGCTATAGAATACACATTCTTCTCATCAGCACATGGGACATTCTCCAGGATAGACCATATGTTAGGACATAAAACATGTCTCAACAAATTTAAAAAAACTGAAATTATATGTAGTATCTTTTTAGACCACAATGGATTAGAACTATAAATCAATAATAAGAGAAACTTTGAAAACTGTATGAATACATGGAAATTAAACTTTGAAAACTGTATGAATACATGGAAAAAAACATGCTCCAAAATGACCACTAGGTCAAGAAAGAAATTAAGAGGGAAATCAAAACATTTCTTGAAACAAGTGAAAATCAAAACACAACATATCAAAACCTATGAGATACAACAAAAGCAGTGCTAAGAGGGAAGTTTATAGCAATAAACTTCTACATCAAAAAAGTAGAAAGATGTCATATAAAAAATCTAGTGATGCACTTCAATGAACTAGGAAAGCAAGAATAAACCAAATGCAAAATTAATAGATGGAAAGAAATAACAAAGATCAGAGCAAATCTAAATGAAAGAGACTGAAAATAATTACAAAGAATCAACAAAATTAGAAGTTAGTTTTTGAAAAGATAGACAAAATAGATTGCTAGCTAGACTGACCAAGAAAAAAGGAGAAAAGACCAAAATAAAGAAAATCAGAAACAAAAAAGACACATTACAATTGATACCACAGAAATATAAAGATTATCAGAAACTATAGTGAATAACTATACACTAACAAACTGGAAAACCTAGAGGCAATGGTTAAATTCATAAACACATACAACGTCCCAAGGCTGATTGAGGAAGAAACAGAAAACCTGAACAGACCAATAAAAAGTAAAGAGATTGGATCAGTAATAAAAAGTCTTTCAACAAAGAAAAGTCCAGGTCCAGATAGCTGTATTGCTAAATTCCACCAAATTTACAAAGAAGAATTTACAGCAATTCTCCTTAAACTATTCAAAAAAAAAAATTAAGTGGAGGGAATTCTCCCTAACTCATTCTACAAGGCCAGCGTTACCTTGATATCAAAACCAGACAAGGACCCAACAACAAAAAAATACTACAGGTCAATATCCCTGATTAACATAGATACAAAAATTCTCAACAAAATGCTAGCAAGCCAAATCCAACATTACATCAAAAAGATAACATACCATGGCCAAGTGGGATTCAACCCAGGGATGCAAGGTTGGTTCAATATAAACAAATAAAAAAATGTGATACATTACATCGACAGAATGTAGAATAAAATCTATATGATCATCTCAATAGACGCAGAAAAAGCATTTAATAAAATTCAGCATCCTTTTATGATAAAAACTCTCAACAAACTAGTCATAGAGGGAACATAACTGAACATAATGAAGGGCATATATGACAGATTCATAGCTAACATCATACTAAATGGTGAAAGGCTGAAAGCCTTTCCTTTAAAAACTAGAACAAGACAAAGATGCTGACTTTACTACTCCTGTTTGACGTAGTACTGGACATTAAAGTCAGAGCAATCAGGCAAGAGACAAATAAAAGGCATCCAAATTAGAAAAGAGGATGTCAAATTGTCCCTCTTTGCAGATGGCACGATCTTATACCCAGAAAAACCTAAAGACTTCACCAAAAAAAGCCTTAGATCTGATAAATAAATTCAGTAAAGTTACAGGATACAAATTCAACATAAAAAATAGTGTCTATATATGAACGACACACTAGCTGAAAAAGAACTCAATAAGGGAATCCCATTTACAATAACTACAAAAATACCTAGGAATAAATTTAACCAAGGAGGTAAAAGACCTCTACAAGGAAAACTACAAAACACTGATTTTTAAAAATTGAAGAGGACATAAACAAATGGAAAGACAGCCCATGCTCATGGATTAGAAAAGTTAATATCATTAAAATGACCAGACTGCTCAAAGCTATCTACAGATTCAATTCAATCTCTACCAAGATAGCAATGTTGGCCAGGCATAGTGCCTCACACCTGTAATTCCAGTACTTTGGGAGGCCAAGGCAAGAGAATCGCTTGACCCCAAGAGTTTGAGACCATCCTGGAAAACATAGAGACCCCATCTCTACGAAAAATTTTAAAAATTAGTGAAGTGTGGTGGCATGGGCCTGTAGTCCCAGCTACTTGAGTGGCTGAAGTGGGAGGGTTGTTTGAGCCTGGGAGATTGAGGCAGCAGTGAGTCATAATCATGCCCCTGCACTCTAGCCTTGAAGACAGAGCAAGGCATTGTCAAAAAAAAAAAAAAAAGATACCAATGCCATTTTTCACAGAAATAAAAAAATACATACATTGGGGGAAAGGACATCCTCTTCAATAAATGGTGTGGGGAAAATTGGATATCCACATGCAGAAGATTGAAACTAGATCTCTGTCTCTCATCATATACAAAAATCAACTCAACACAGATTATAGACTTAAATATAAGATCCCAAAATATAAAACTACTTGAAGAATACATAAGGGAAGTACTTCAGGGAAATACTTCAGGACATTGGTCTAGGCAAAGATTCAATGGCTAAGACCTCAAAAGCCAGGCAACAAAAACCAAAATAGACACATGGGACTATATTAAACTAAGAAGCTTCTGTGCAGCAAAGGAAACAATCAACATAGTGAAGAGACAACCTGTTGAATGGGAGAAAATATTTGCAAATCCTTCATCTGATAATGGACTAATATCCAGAATATACAGGGAACTCAAACAGCTCAACAGTAAAACAACAACAACAACAAATAATAATGATAATTCCATTAAAAAGGGGCAAAGGACATGAATAAATATTTCTGAAGAAAAAACATACAGTGGCCAACAGACATGTGAAAAAATGCTCAACATCACTAATCATCAGGGAAATGTGCAAGTGAAAACTACAATGAGATATCATCTCACCCCAGTTAAAACTGTTATTATTAAAAAGGCAAAAAGTGATTGAAAGACACTGGTGAGAATGTAAAGAAGAGGGAACTCTTATACACTGTTTGTGGGAATGTAAATTAGTACAATCTCTATGGAAAACGGAATGCAGATTTCTCAAAAACTAAATGTAGAACTACCATATGACCCAGCAATCTCACTACTGCATATTTATCCCAAGGAAAAAAAAAAACAATATACCAAAGAGTAGAATGATAGACACCAGATTGGGAAGGGTGTGTTGGTGGGGTTGGGAGAAGATGAAGAAAGGCTGCATAATAGGTAAAAACTTACAGTTAGATAAAAGGAATAAATTCCAATCTTCAGCAGCAGGTGACTGTAGTTAACAACAATACACTGTATATTTCAAAATAGCTGGAAGAGAGGACTTGAAATGTTCCCAACACTTAGAGATGATAAATACTCAAGATGATGGATACCCCAAATGTCCTGAATACATATTCTATGCACGTACAAAATATCACATAAATATGCACAAATATTACATATCAATAAGCAAAAGTTTAAAAATTTTCTTCAAGCATAAAAACAAGCAGCAATTTTTATAATTTTTGAAGTTTTGACATTTTAAAAATGTCAAAAATAACATATCTTCTAATAAAAGCAATTTCTTAAAAGCACCTTAAAGACCTACTTATGAAAAATCTAGCTCTATTTTTCCAAAATTTTAATCAAAAATAATAAAATCAAGAAAAAAGAATTCTGGTTAAAACTATGAATTAACTTGAACATTCAACAGTCCGGGCCTCACCATTAACCTGGCAATGACATTAAGAGCAATAATATTTGGACAGCCCTTACCTTCATGAATATACATCTGTTGAGCATCTTCAAGATGTAATAACCCCAGTAAAGGTGAAGGACCTGCAAGATCATGAGCTGTAGGTTGAGGAAGATGTATGAAAAGAAAGGCTCGAGGTGATACATAGGCAAGATCAGCGTGCAATATAAAATCCTGAAACACCAAACAGTTGAGAGAATTTCATTACAACCAAAGCACCTATGAATTTTCAATAATAAAACAAATAGTTTTTCTCCTAAGCCATACATGTATTTCGTTTCTAATAAAGCCCAGAAAATTATCAAAAGAAAAGATACGATAATATTATCTTAAATATCATTACTGGCAAGCAACAAAAAAAGTACAATCTGTCTTCCTGAAGAAAAGTTAAAGAAACAGCATTTTTATTACCCAGTGTTTAAACTGGAATGTTTCTGTACCTTGGTTTCCTTTTTTCAAACAAAAGCATACACTAACCATTTTTACCTTCTGGTGATGGGGCTAGAGGATTTTGAAGAACAAATAAGATAATGCATGTTTACATGAGGTTATTATTGCCTTAAAACACAATCTCATTTATTTGGCATCAAAGGTGAATAGAGAATTCTACAAAAGTACATTTTCCAAATAAAAGAAGCTTTAACAAAGCAAAAATTCCATGAGTACTTAACACTTCTGCTTCCTAAAGTAAATTGTATGCTTTATTAGTTTCATAAACAGGCTCCTGGACACAATTTGAACTGCTCCTGATGACCTAAGATGCACAGTGTCTTCAGATATTATTGCCATATGGGCCGGGCATGGTGGCTCATGCCTGTAATACCAGCACTTTGGGAGGCCAAGGTGGACAGATCACCTGAGGTCAGGAGTTTGAGACCAGCCTGGCCAACATGGCAAAACCCCATTTGTACTAAAAATGCAAAAATTAGCTGGGTGTGGTGGCATGCACCTGTAATCCCAGCTACTGGGGAGGCTGAGGCAAAAGAATTGCTTGAACCTGGGAGGTGGAGGTTGCAGTGAGCCGAGATTGTGCCACTGCACTCCAGCCTGGGTGACAGAGCAAGATTCCGTGAAAAAAAAAAAAAAAAGATATTATTGCCATATGAAGGGCTATTTGTTTATTTCTCAAACTTATATAGCACTATGAATTTAGAGTCTTTCAATAGGTTTGTTTGTAAGTATATTAGTTATAGAAATAATTTTTTTCATGTAACATTGGGGAAACAAGAAAATTGTCCATAACACCATCACCTTAAACAAACAATATTGTAATTTTCATGCATTCTCTTCCAGTATTTTCCTATACAATTTTTTAATTTTTTTATTAACATGCAGTAAAATTTACTGTTTTTTGGTATATTGTTCAATGAATTTAATATGTCTATAGGTTTATTTAAACACCACTACAATTAGGATACAGAACAGCCTATCTTGCCAAAAAAATTCTGTGATGCTATCCCTTTATTGCCACACCCTCCTCCACACATAAACTTGGCAAACACTTTGCTCTGTATCCTTTGGTCTGTCTTCCAAGGACATAAATGGAATCATACGTTGTGTGAGCTTTTAAGGCCACCTTCTTTCACACAGCATAATGCTTTTAAGATTCATTCAGTTGTCATGGTTATCAATAGCATGCTCCTTCTTATTACTGAGTGGCACTCCACTTTATGGCTGCATCACTGTTTTTTTACCTACTGAGGAGCATTTGGGTTGTTTCCAGCTTTTGACATTTATGAATAGAACTGCTATAAATATTCATGCAGATATTTATATGTGAACAGAAGTTTTGATTTTTCAAGGGTAAGTATATAGGGGTAGAATTGTGTGCCATCTGGTAAATATATGCTTAACTTTATAATAAACTGAAAAACTATTTTCCAGAGTGGTAGCTTTACATTCCCACCAGCAAAGCATGAGAATGTCAGTTGTTCTATACCTTTGTTGGTACTTCATATTGTTCTATATTTTTGCCACTGCAGTAAACATAACATTTGTGAGATTTTATGTTCAATTACATTTAGCTTTAAATCAAAGACATTTTATGCTATTTAGACAACTTGATGTATATAGTCTTTCATAAACTGAAATTATTTCTATGAAACTATATATTTCTAAACGTGAGATTACTGTTTTAAGGTGTACATTAAAGATATTAAAATTCAAGATTGTATATTAAAAGGTACTAAAATGTTGCCAAATTATTTTCCTAAATTGTAACTATTTATAAGGCCACCAGCAATTTATGAAAGAAGAGTTTCACTGAACTCAGAACCAGTATGAAATAGTTTCAAAATTTGTTAATTTAAAAGATAAAATACTTTCAGTTTACATTATTTGCAAGGCCTTAACATTTCCCCTATGTCTGCTTAGTAGCTCTATTTCTTCTTTTGTAAGTTATCAGTTCAAGTTCTTTGTTTGAAAAACAGGGGCCAGGTGCAGTGGCTCATGCCTGTAATCCCAGCACTTTGGGAGGCTGAGGCAGGTGCATTACCTGAGGTCAGGAGTTCAAGACCAGCCTGACCAACATGGTGAAACCCCATATCTACTAAAAAATATAAAAATTAGCCAGGTGTGGTGGCAGGTATCTGTAATCCTGGCTACTTGGGATGCTGAGGGAAGAGAATTGCTTGAACCTGGGAGGCAGAGCGTGCAGTGAGCCGACATCACGCCATTGCACTCTAGCCTGGGTGACAGAGCAAGACTCCATCTCAAAAAAAAAAAAAAAGATGTAATAACTCGATTGCTTTTAAAAATTTAGGAATTACAGAAAAATATATAGAGGTTAAGGAATGAAAAATCACCTGAAGTCTCACAACTTACAGGTAACCCAGAATATTTTGTTAAACGATTTAGGATATCTCTCTCAAAACTATATTCTTTAAAGTGCTTCTATTTTGCCCCTCCTATCACCACATGCTTTTATGTAACGAGGTGATCACTACCTATGTGTGATTTTTGTACCCTACTTTTTTCATGCAATAACATGTTACAGAGAGCTTTCCACAACAATAAACAAAGCTACATATCAAGAGTTAGCAAACTTGTTTGTAAAGGAAAAGATAATAAATATTTCAGGCCTCTGGACCATTTGGTCTCTGTTGCAACTACTCAATTCAGCCATTACAGTACAAAAGCAGCCATGACAGCTAACATTACATAAACTAATTCATGTATAGAAAGTACATACATTAGTGTGTGTGTCTGTGTTCCAATAGAACTTTATCAACAAAACCAGGCAATAGGCTGAATTTGGCCTTTGAGCCATAGCCTGCCAACCCCTACTATGTATCACCATATATAATGGCTTCACAGAAATCCATTTTATAGATATATCATAATTTAACTAATCCCTTATTAATAGACATTTAAATTCTTCCCAAATGTTCATTATATTAGAAAGAATACTGTGAGAATTACTTGTAAATACATTTTTTTTTTGAGACATGGTCTCGCTCTGTCTCCCAGGCAGGAGTGCAGAGGCATGATCACAGCTTACTATAGCCTCTACCTCCCAGGCTCAAGCAATCCTCCAACCTCAGCCACCTGAGTAGCTGGGACTCCTGGTATACGGCACAATACCTGGCCAATTTTTGTATTTTGTTTTTTGTAGAGACAGGGTTTTGCCTTGTTGCACAGGCTGATCTCGAACTTCTAGGCTTAAGGGAGTTAAGCCTTCCAAAGTTCTAGGATTATAGGCATGAACCACCACGTGTGGTTCTATAAAAACATTTTGATGTAATTGTTTGATTATCCACTTAGAATAGCTAAAATCCTGAATCAAAGAGTAGACTCATTTTACAATTTGGAATATAATGTTACACTGCTTTCCAGAAAGACTATACCAATTTATATTCTTGCACCCAATATATAAGAGTATCTGCTTCCTCAGATATTGACCAATATTGTATTTTATCAGTCTCCACCTAAAATAACAGAGTACTGTTTATATTCATATTTTTATTTAATGTATAGTGACTATATATATTTATACATCTATTTATATCTCTTATTGGTTATTTTACTCGGCTACTTTTATTTATTCTTTATGAACTGCTTTTGTGGCATCTGTCCATTTTTCTATTGGAGCATTTATTTTTCCTGTTGATTCTTAAATGCTCTTTATATACTAAAGATATCAACACTATTTTTAAATTATGTTAATTAGCTTTATACAGTCCAGTATTTTCTTTCAATACTGATTTTTTTGGCAAAGTAATTAAAAAAATTTTTAAATCAAATCTGTCAATTGCTTATTTTATACTTTGCATACATGTTATGCTTTAAAGGTCCTTTTTCAGCCCCATCAATATAAAACATATTTTCCCATATTTTCTTAAAGTTCTGGCTTTACTACTTAGATACCATGTCACTTATTTGTGCATTTCCTCATCTGTAAAATGCGAGCAGAGAGTACCTACCTTATTTATTCAATAAACCATTACTGAGCACCTACTAAAGTGCTACCTGACACTTGGTAGTAGCCAGGAATATAGCAATGAATGAGAGGGACCAAAACCCCTAAACTAGTAGGGTTTACCTTCTGGTACCCACATTTATTTATAGGCTTATTAGAGGAAATGATACATGTAAAAACCTACTTGCCATTCTGGTTTGCTGGATCCTTGGGCCTTATTCTGTACTCTTTCTGCCTAGAATGTACTTTCTCTTTTCAACTGAACCCCTTTCCATCCATTAAAGCATGGGTCTCTCCACAACAAAAGTTTCCATGTAATTCTGGTCACCCCTGAATTTATTCCCTTCCTCCTGGCTCTCCCCTCCTCACTAGCAGGCAAGCTTTCCAAAGGCCGTGGCCAGGACACCTTCACCTCTGGGTCCTTCCCTTGTCTGGCTCAGGGCCTTGCCCCTTACTAGGTCCCCTATTGGGAATTTGTCAGTGTTATTATTGACAAAAGGACCTACTCAAAAATACCTTCTTTACACAGTCTACCGGAGAATGTGAATAATTAACTAAACATAAAATTGCCCATTGTGATCCATGTAAAGAAAGAAAGAAAATGACAGGGCATATGGCAGGGTTCTACATGTACAAAGGCTGTCAAGTGGGAAGCATCATGGAAAATTCGAGGAGCTAAAAGAAGACCAGTGTGGCTTAAAGGAGAGGAGTGGCAGTGAAGGGTGGTGTAAGATGAGGTGGGAGAGGTGAAGAAGCCATCTCAGGTAGGCCTTGCAAGTCAGGGTGGAGGTGTGGCCTTCATTGTGAGAGCAACAGGAAGCTTGGCTGGTTTTAGAAAGAGGAGTGACACATGTGGAACAGAATATCAGAGCTGGGTTCAAGGCTCAACACCACTAATTTCTTGGCTCGAAACCTGCATAAGTCACTGAGCCTTAGTTCCTTAGTCACTGGGTAAAACTAGCTGCCCCTCCACCACCTCCTTTGACTAGAGGCTCCCAGGAGACACACAGCCAGCTTTACAAACTGTATAGCCCTCAGAATGAAAGAAGCTGCCATTAAGATGCAAATGTCTTCTAAGAGAGCTGAGCCTCTGGGCAGAGAGGAGAGGCCAGTGGAATTGGCGCTGGAGTCTTCAAGATTTCAATCAGGGCTCCCAGGATCTTAGCAAGTTCCATAATCTCTCTGGGCTTCAGTTTCTTTTGTAAAATGAGAACACCACCCAGGTGGTTATGAGGATTCAATGAGTTGACAAATGGAAAGTGCCTATTACATAGTAAGTATTCAAAAATGATAGTTACAACTATTACTCTTACTACCACTATGGCCACTACTACTTTCCCACAACTAGCCCTCTCCTACTGCAGAGAACTTACACCAGTAACACAGTTAGAGCAACACCCCCCAAGAGGGTGCTCCTGAAATGGCTGGATTTCCTGCCAAGGGGAAGAGGAGGAGTCCACTTTGGAGAGGGTAAGCAGGATCCGAGGAATGGGGACTCTGCTGCCTGAACATTCTCTGCAAGAGGACAGAGGGGACTGGAGGCCAAAGAAGTGGAACAGGAGTCAGAGGGGAGTAGCCATTGTGGCACGGGTAACAACCAGCTATGATGCCACAGTTAAAATTTCAAGACTTCAATAAAGGATGGTCTAGTCTCTCAAGTTTCCTCTCCTTCTACGCTAAAAGAAGACTGGGAAAAAGAAAAAAAATTCCATCTGCCCTTCCCAGCTCTCTTCCTAACACACGTGCATACATGTGTGCAGGCACATGCATAGAACACACAACACTTGCACATTATCGCTAGTCACCACCTTACAGCAACTGAATGGAATTTTCCTTTTCATAAAGAATGCCGAAAGACTGCTATATTCCTAAATTCTTAGAACCACTTTGTCCCTGTCCACTGGATTTAACCTTTCCAAATGGATAAGCTACTACCATGCCCTTGGATTGCAAAACTCAGCTTTTTCTGTTTTCAGTTTTGTTTCCAATTTTAGCTCTTCCAATCACTGGAGTTGGCATGGTTTGAATAAATTGCAGTGTTGGTATAAATATTAGCTGGTTTTGCTGGACTAGCTAAGGCA
Source organism: Homo sapiens (assembly GCF_000001405.40). Taxonomy (NCBI): domain Eukaryota; kingdom Metazoa; phylum Chordata; class Mammalia; order Primates; family Hominidae; genus Homo; species Homo sapiens. Next base: position 100,462,371 of record NC_000015.10, read on the forward strand.
ACCACCAAAAAGTTGTATTTGTCTAATGAAAATTGCAAGGTAAGGGTCTTATTTTCTTGCTAATTGTGGGTATGAGCATTAAGCCCTTTTAGGATAGCAAATACTTGTTCTACAGGTGAACAATTATCTACCTCAGTGATCTCTTAAGTTTCTAAATGACTGGGTAGTTGAAGAAAACTTAATAAATATTTAGTGAAGGCAAATGATACACTCTTAACCCTACTTTCAAATTTAATTTGAAGCCTATCTGTTCTGTGTTTCAAATATCCTGTTTCTAGTCTTGATTCTTCCATAACCAGCTATGTGATCCTGGAAGTACCTTAACTCTTCATCTGAGAAATAAATGTGGTGTCTAAATGTTTCAACAATGTCAGCGACATGAAAGACAAAGAAGAGGTAAGCAACTGTTCCAGATGAATGACAGCTAAATGCAATACGTGATCTGGAGCTGGATCCCCACACAGTCAGGGGGAAAAGCAATAAAAGACATCATTGGATTGATTGACCAAATTGGAACATGGAAGGTAGATTGCTACATTTCCTGCGATTGATAACTGTATTGTGATTATGTAAGAAAATGTCCTTCTTCTTAGGCAATACACACTGAATTACTTAGGGCACAAGGAATTATTTAGTTGATGTTTACAACTTGCAAATGATTCAGAAACAAATATGTATATTCATACATGTGTGTGGTGGGGAAGTAGAGAGAGAAGGAATGACAAAGTAAATGGGGCAAAATGCTAACTGGTAAACAGTATATCTAGGGGTTCTCTGTAGTATACTAGAAATTTCTTTGTAAGCTTAAAATTATTTCTAAAATTGGGAGGCTGAGGCAGGCAGACCACAAGGTCAAGAGATCGAGACCATCCTGGCCAACATGGTGAAACCCCGTTTCTACTAAAAATACAAAAATTAGCTGGGTGTGGTGGCATGCACTTGTAGTCCCAGCAACTCAGGAGGCTGAGGCAGGAGAATCGCTTGAACCCGGGAAGCAGAGGTTGCAGTGAGCTAAGATCAGGCCACTGTACTCCAGCCTGGCAACAGAGTGAGACTCTGTCTCAGAAAAAAAAAAAAAAAAAAAAAATTCTAAATAAATGAATACATGAATAAAAGGATTGGACTACATTATAAATAAAGTTCCTTATTCTAGGATTCTATGGTTTGAAGAGGGGTGATTGTTGTAGCTGTTCTTCGTGAACTCAAAAATAGCATAAAGAAGGTACCAAGCACATGGGCAAGATAGGAGAGCTCTTCTAAGGGCCCCTGTGGAGTGAGACAGTGAACACATGTGGTAGAACAGGTAGTCTCCTTCATCAGGTGTGGAACTGGAAAGTCTAGTTCTGAGATACATATCTGCAGTGGTGGCTCAAGGGAGTGGCCCAGCTTCAACAGAGTCTTTCTTGCCTTGTACCTTCCTTTTCTTTGCTGGTTGCGCAAACGGCACTAAGCTGACCATGGTGCCATCAGAACCGATGCTCTGCCCTCTGCTTCTCATTTAGGACCAAGGCTTCAGGCCTTCAGAGGAAAAGAAGGGTCCATCATTCCCTCATCCCGGGTCCCCACTGATGAACATCAGCTAAGAGCACTGTTGGGTGCTTTCAGCTTTATCTTTCTCTGTTTTTTAAAACTCTCCTTTCTCTATTAGCCATTCCAAGTATTTACATGGTCTCATTGTCGATAATATTCCCTTTCACATGTGGACTTCCCAGGGTACCATTTTTCTACACTTGTAATAGCTGGATCATCAAACGCTGAAATCTGAAGTCCAGTGAACCAGTGGTGAGGGAGAAACCTTACAAGCATATGTATCCTTGGAAGTAAGGGAGCTAGGTATTTCAGTATTATTTGCAGTTGAAAATGTTTTGTATTTTTCTTTTTGAGACATCTGAGAAACACAGGTCAATGTGAATAGTCTTCAACCACATGAAACAGGGTTAGACACAAAGATCTCTCTACTGCCTTATATAATGCACTCCTGAAAGGCATGAGCTGGGTCTCACTCCCCTTGTACTGTTCGTAACACCCAGCTGTGATGAATTCAAGAAATGAAGCAACAAGCCACCCTGCCCCCTGCACACTCAGCTGTGACAGACACTGAACTCACAGGTTGCAAAACCAGCAAAACAGGGCACACACACCTTCCCTTCAGGTGGACCTACCTGCGTGGAACCACGATCTGCTCTTGTTATTTGTGGAGGAAAACTGTTAGTAGTCAGAGGAAGTGGTTTGCCTGGCCTTAGAAAGGTCTTTCTAGCCTAATAACTCTCTGTGAGTATTTGGATAATGCTCAAGAAGATAGATACATCCAATAATTCCAAACTAGAGAAATCATTTTTAAGAACAATAGTTGGGAATACAGTGTGAAAAACATCCACCTGCGATTTAAATGGTTTTGAACAGGAATGCAAACAGATGGAGTTACCAGGCAATTAAATTAAAACAATTTGACCAGTGTGCTTTTGAATTTCTGCCTAATGTTAATGAAACAATGCTTAGAAAACCAACGTAACTAACTCTTGCAGATGCTGACTGAGAATGGGATAAGATCCTCAGAAGTAAAAGAGTGCAGTGGCTGGACATGAAAGGGAGACTCGTTAGGAGAGTATGCAAATGTGCTTGAGGCTGGGGAAAATCAGAGAAAGGTCAAAGAAAGGGCAAGGGAAATGCACACACTCCAGCTCTCCTTCTCAAGGCTTCCAGACAAATCTCAGATGGGCACAACCCCAGTTAGCTTTCGCCCCGCCCTACCGTGTATATCACCACAGGATGTGCAACAAAAGCAGCTGGAAAGAAGAACAGAGCAACTAGATTGCAAACTGCCGCCCACAGTGCCTCTAAAATGTCTGAATGGTGAAATAGGTTAGTTAAGCCACCCTCCAATGATACCTATGATCTGCACATTGCTTGCTCCATAGTAAAATCCCAGTACATTTGGATAGAATAAAGCATCCTCGAAAAATGAATCTACAGAGTTATAAGTTTTAGACAGAGGGTTGGGGCCAAGCTAACAACAAGGAACTAAATCTTCCCCTTTGACTCCATGAAGATGATTGTGCTGGTGGCAAGTTCATGCTGGTGGGAAGACCATTTAAACTAGAGCAGTACACTGTACCTGAAAGAAGCTCCCTCTCTGATTGACATACTTCCTTCAGAGACCATTGAAAATTGATCTGCCAAACTTCCAATGGCTTGGTGAGGTTTTTCTCAACTTTCCAAACAATGAGAATCAGTCAACGTCAATACAGAAATATTTTTACCAGGAAAAGTTTTTGCTGTTGTTTTGAACTTTTTTTTTTTTTTTTGAGATGGAGTTTCACTCTTGTCACCCAGGCTGGAGTGCAATAGCAAAATCTTGGCTCACTGCAACCTCCACTTCCCAGTTTCAGGTGATTCTCCTGTCTCAGCCTCCCGAGTAGCTGGGATTACTGGCACTCGCCATCACACCCGGCTAATTTTTGTATTTTTAGTAGAGATGGGGTTTCACCATGTTGACCAGGCTGGTCTCGAACTCCTGACCTCAGGTGATCCTCCTGCCTTGGCCTCCCAAAGTGCTGGGATTACAGGCGTGAGCTACCGTGCCTGGCCTGTTTCGTTTTATTTTACAGTCAAGTCTGTTCATATTGGTTTATTTGCAACCCAACTCCTTGAAGACAGCAAATAGGAGTACTGGCTGCCCTCTCCAATGGGCAAGTGAATTCAGTATAAAGATCAAGAAAATGCCAAACACATGTAACTCAATTCTCCTTGAAAACCAGAAATGCTGGCATGAGAATGAGTTCTTAAATGTAGGGTTTTTAAAGACAACAGTGTGGGAAAATAGCGCACTACCCCGACAATCACTGAGCACCACTGTGTTGCTCAATTGTTTATGGGTAAGTAAGCTTGCTTGTTTATTTTGAGACATCATGGGATAGTCTGAGGTGAATGTTCTCCATTGCTAAATCAAAAGCCAACCATGGCAGCAATATTGCAGAAACTTCTCAGAGAGTTCCCTGGACCTAGAGCTTCCATGGTGTGTGCTTTTTAAAAACATCCGCAAATTCTTCGAAACTGCTCCCATCAAGAAATGGAGTCTAGTTTTCCTTCCCTTGAATATGAGTCAGATTTAGTGACCTGGTTCCAATAAAAAATACAAGGTTGGAAATGACGTGATGTGACTACTGAGGCTGTTTATGAAAAAAGATGCAGCATCTCTCTAGCACTCTCTTGAAATGCTCACCCTTGAAATGCAGGTGCCATGCGATGAGGAGGCCAAGGCCAACTAGAGGGGCTGTGGGTATTCCAGCGGACAGCCCCCAGCTGAAGTCCCAGCCAATAAGCACAAGCAGCATCAGCCAGCTGATTTTCTTATCTTCTTTCCTTCTTTCCTTCCTTCCTTCCTTCCTTCCTTCCTTCCTTCCTTCCTTCCTTCCTTCCTTCCTCCCTCCCTCCCTCCCTCCCTCCCTCTCTCCCTCTCTCCCTCTCTCCCTCTCTCTTTCTCTCTTTCTTTCTTTCTTTCTTGATGGAGTCTTTCTCTGTTGCCCAGGCTGGAGTGCAGTGGCACAATCTCGGCTCACTGCAACCTCCGTCTCCCAGGTTCAAGCACTTTTCCTGCCTCAGGCTCCCGAGTGGCTGGGATTATAGGCATGTGCCACCACACCCGGCTAATTTTTTTGTATTTTTAGTAGAGATGGGGTTTCACCATGTTGGGCAGGTTGGTCTCGAACTCCTGACTTCAGGTGATCCACCTGCCTCGGCCTCCCAAAGTACCGGGATATAGGCGTGAGCCACTGCACCTAGCCTGATTTTCTATATATGACTTCAGCCATGTGTTGAGGACTCTAGACACTATGTGACTGCCCAGCCGCCATATAACTGTAACCACACAAGAGACCCTAAGTGAAAATCATCTAGCCAAGGCCAATCGACTCCTAGAACCATGAGAAATAATAATAATAATAATTAATAAATGTTGTTGTCTTAAGACAGAGGTCTGCAAACTATGGCCTGTGGGTAAAATCCGGCCTGCAACCTGGGTGTATGTTTTCGTACAGCCCATGAGCTAAGTAAGTATGGCTTGGTACATTTTTAAAGGATTATAAAACAAAATAAAATGAATAAAAACTTGCAAAAAAGATCATAGGTGGCCCTCAAAGCCTAAAATATATATTCTCTGGCCTTTTAAAGAAAAAGTTTGCCCACTGCTGTCTTAAGCCACTAGACTTTTAGATGCTGTGTTATACAGCAACAGGCAATTGGAACGTGTAGTGCCTTTGGGACATGGCGAACTGAGGGGCAAATGCTGGATTGATAGTGTCATGAAAGTCACACTGAAAAGCTATGCCCAACTGTCATCAGCAAGTCAATATTATTCTATCAATAATTGCTATCATTCTCTCTCTCTCTCTCTCTCTCTCTATATATATATACACACATATATATGTATATATATATACGTCTATATATATGTGTATATATATACGTGTATATATATATATATAGATAGATAGATAGATAGATAGATAGATATAGATATAGATATAGATATATTTAAAGACAGGGTCTCACTATGTTGCCCAGGCTGATCTAGAACTCCTGGGCTTAAGTGACCCCCCCGCCAACCTCAGGCTCCTGAGTAGCTGGGACTATAGGCATGCACCACCATGCCCAGCCATTACTAAAATTTCACAAACACACTTGCTCAGTCAAAGTAAAAGTGATGGTAATGATTTATCAACCAAGGAAAATATCTGAGACATTTATCTTAGATTTGATTCTAGTTGAACTTCAAATTCTGAGATACTCATTAATATGTTTAATTATAGTAGGTAGTATTTACTGATTCTTTACTGAGTACCAGACATTGTTCCAAACTATATAAACTAGTTAAGCCTCATGCCAACCCTTATTTCCATTTTACATATGAGAAAACTGAGGCACAGAGAGGTGGTATAACCTGTTCAAGATCACAAAGGTCGTAAGTGTGGAGTCAGGATTTAAATCCAGGATGGACTCTCACATGTAGCAACTTAACCACTACACTCTGTTGTTCCTCTCCAGAAAATGCCGAATACACATGGTCTAAAGAATGCAGCTGGCTTCCAGGAAAGGGCATTGACCTCTCTGGCTGGATTTCCCTGGATGCCAGCCAAGGGTGCTGTCTATACACTTAAGAATGAGGCCTGGAACTTGAGTCTCCATCCATTTCCCCTGCATCTAGGCTCTTCAACAGCACTAAGTCTTCTGTTTGGAGGATCCCAAGTTCCCAGACTAGCCCCAAATTATGGTTGGTTAAAAGCTGTTCCTTCCAAACCATCTAAGTCTTCCCCACATGTTACTCTGGTTTCTGTCAATCAACACATGGAACATTATGCTTCCCAAGGAAATGATTGTCATGGGAGATGTAATATATGCTTTTCATTGCTGGTCTGTGGCTAAACAAAATCAACAGACTGATCGAGAGCCAATCATATCGAAAGGATACTCAAACCATAATTAGAACCAGTGGTCATAGAGAATGAAATAAACAAGTATCAGTTTTCCTTATCTGGGAAGTGGAAGTGATAATACTCATCCTTATGAGTTATTGTGTAGACTAGAGCCAAGATATGGGAAGGACCTAATCCAGTGTCTGGCATTCAAGTAATGGCTATAATTATTGTAACACAGAACATACCTCTCTTTTAGAGAACTGGTGATTGGACAGTGACTTTTCATTGAGTGACTAGAAAAGCTGTTAATCACAAAGAAAGGTCTACATCCATGAAACAAGACAGAGTAAGAGCTGCTGCTTGCCCGTCAGGTCACACATTTTCCATCTCCCGTTGTAATAAGCCTTTTCCACACCACAGAGTGTTGTTTTAATTATTTATAAAAATGGCTCCATCACATTCTTTTCTCCAACTGCACTTGACACAAATAACTGGAGACCCACGTATGGAAAGGGCAATGCCCTGAGGGTAACCATGCACTGAGGCCACCTCTGCACACTGACCAAAGGCAGGGCACATCACCGGTCTACTCACCAGAAAGGAAAAACAATGAGGCGGCTGATGAAAAATATGGTGGAGAAGATGAAAAACAGGGTGTTACAGGTCTGCGTCCATCCAGCATAAGAAAACATCTTAGCAGACTGCAAAAAAGAAAGAAACTGCAGATAAAGTGACAATAGCCTACATTTTTAAAGTTAAATTTATAAATGAAATGATATGAGGTCTGGGATTTGCTTCAAAACAATCTGGGTGGAAAGTAGGGGGTACAGGTGGGGCAATAGATAAAACAAGACTGGCCATATTGATAACTGCTAAAGCTGATGGGTCCATTATATGATTCCCTTTATCTTGCCATATGTTTGACATTTTGCATAATATAATGTTTTTTAGAAATATATTTAAATGCCTGTAATACCACTCGTGTCTTTTGAAAACACTTTAAGTTAGCATAATCAATTTTGGCATGCACTTCATGTGGGCATTTATTTCATATCTCCATTTAACTGGGAGGAGAACTGGACTGAAGAAAGGCTGGGACAAGTGGGAAATCCTGAGCTGGGCTGGGAATGCTGCAGTCAAGGAGGCTATTTCAAGGCAGATGAGGGAAGAGGCAAAGTTGGGAGGCAGCTCTCGGGGTCCTGAACTGGTTGAAATAAAGTTTCAAGCATTTGATCTTTCCTAATTCTTTTATGCTAGTCTATACTGCTCATATTATCTGTGTTGAATAGAAAGAACTGCAGAAAGGGTTGCTGAGTGTGGTAGAAGACAGTTAATTGATAAGCGCTCTCTAGTGCATTATCCAGCAGTGTCCAGGGCTGAAGAGGGAAGTTTCTGGTGGGAATAGGGAGTGGGAGTCTGGGAGCAGGAGGTGGGAGGAGTTGCTGGGGCACAGATCACTCTTCTAGGGAACGTGGCTTAGACTTGGTCAGTTTCAGAACCAACTTCATCCCAGAGGCTCAAGGCCCTTCCAGAGCAAGAGAGGCAACACATTTACATTCCAGAAAGGGTTCACGTGGCATCTTTCATATTTTGCCATACTACCAAGGGGTGAGAATATGGCCTGACTGTGGGGTTGGCAGAGGGCCCCCAGAGAACAGCTTCAGTTGCTGACATAGAGAGGTTGGTGTGCCTGGTGGGTGGGAGACGGGTGTGGAGAGAAACGCCCAAATTCAGAGTGACTGTAGTGGAGTGGGAGGCTGGTGGAAGGATCAGGGGCTAGCTGGGTGGGAAGCAAGGGATGTGCACAGGCATGGGAGAGGATCCCTGTGAGTCCATTTGTGAGGGTGAAGTAACACACTTTTGGGCAAAACATACACAGAACATATTCTGGATTGTGTAATGATGAAATGGTAGACAGCAGCCCCTTTGCTTGCTAAGTATCAGTCAGGATATTGGGTCCTGGATCCAAACTTGACCATGTGGAAACTTAGAGGATCAGGAAGATGAATGAAGAAGTCAAAGAAGGTCACTTACGAGTGAGAGTGGTAGATGTGAAGGCTGTTTTTTCTCCAAAAGAAAGAGCTAAGAAATGACCCAGTGTCTTGAGAAATATGAAAGATGAATAGGCACCATCTCAAAGAAGCCAGGTGCAAAAGTTGTGCCATGTCTGGGTTCAATTAGAACTTGATTGTGAAAACAAACCCTAAAACACACTATTCAAGTAAGCCATGGGCTGTGCACCCTGGGAGAACATCACAAATAGGCCCCTGCCACCACTTAATATTTTGTCTACCACCAGCTGATGGGAGGTACCAGCCTTGCTCATCGAACCTCACATCAGATCATGACTTGTGGATCAAGAATGATTCTCAATCATTAGCAATATGAAGCTGTTCTTAAAGTTTGCCCATGAGGGAACCTCTAAGATTGGACAGTTCATTTTTCTTCTTCTTCTTTTTTTTTTAACCTAAGGACCTCAGAACGTTTTCAGGTAATAATGAGCTAAACTTCATCACATACCCCAATGGACAGATATGAATTCTCATGTTACAGCTGGGGCTAGAAAACAAAACAATAAGTGATTTGTCCAAGTTACTTAGGGAATCATGTCACATCAGTGAAAGGGTGGGGAGGGTGGCAGGGCAACCCCGTGTTTATTCCCAGGGTGAACATCTAACTCCCCTTTAATAACACAATGAGGCTGTTTTTACATTGGACACACACCAAAGGCAATTGAATATGAGGGTTTAGAAGCAACAGAGTCGTATAAAATTCTTAAGTCGGGGCCAGTGTGGTCTTAATCTTCTGTCAGGATTACTGAGATACGATCAGAGAAGGAGGTAATTACACCAGCGAGGGCTGCATCCAGACAGCACCATACAGAAAAAAACGGCACAATCCTTCTCCTGCTAAGTCATTTGTTGCCCTGAAGCACATATAATAATCTTGACCTTTAGAATGGGATTTACATGTCTAATGATGATTACATACAGGGTAGAAACAAAATTCTGTACGCAGAGGATATTTTAATAGTGGCCAGTTGCTTTGAAATGGCTGCAAGTGACTTCTGGTGGCTTCTACAACAGGGTCTGGTAAATTACAGTCCCCCCATGGGCTAAAGCCGATCAGCCCTTAAGAATGATTCTCACAGTTTTAAGAGGGTATTTGAAAAAGCAAAAAACAAAAAACACAGAAGAATATGTGACAGAGATCATACGCAGCCCACAAAACTAAATTTACTATCTGGCCCTTTGCCAAGAAGTTTGCTAAACCCCAACCTAGAAGAATAAGATTCTATTAAATTTAATTTCTTCCATAGCAACCTGTATTCAATTGTTAGCCCTTCAAAAGTAATCCCAAATGTGAAATGGGTTAGCGTCATTTCCCCTGGATTCATTATAAATGAGTATATTTAAACAAATAACTCAGCAGTTCTGGGAACTGTTGCTCTAAATACAGCAAGAGATCTGGCAGAGAAGGGGACAATTCCATCACTGCCTGGGGTCAACAAGAATCAAAATAGAACAGAAACAGGTCCGGAAAACAATCCCAACGTGGCTTTGTTTCTTCTATTTTGTGTGGGGTGAGATTAGGAAGACTCTTGTTTTAATGTTGACTCCTTCAGAAAACATTCTAAGCCCTCTTCCTCCCTTAGAAAATGAGGGCCTTAAAAAAAATCATCTTACACTCCTTAAAGCAAGGGATTGGGCTCGGGGAGGGGAGGGTGGGGGAGTGTGAACATTCAACGGGTATTCAAGCATTGGCCTAAGTGAATAGATGGTGCCATCCAAATTTGGGAATCCTCAATGTCATAAATCCAAGTTTTCCTTTTAGAAGATTAGAGTCCATTCCTTCTTCAAATATCCCATCTTACTTCCTGAGTGGGCATGTGCATGCAACCTTCAGGAGTGGAATCCCACAAATTAACATCTCTCTAGTACCATGGAGAAGGATTCAAAGTTAAAACTAAGAGGTTTCATTTCTGTAATCTTGGAGGATCTGGGAATCTAGAGATATTCTCAGAATTTGGGTGTTTTCAGGACACAGAGCTCTGCTAAATTGCTCACAATTACTTCTGTGAGCAGTTACGGAAACCCAGGACATGGTATTGTCATTAGTTTTTTAATGGCAAACGTTTACCTCCAGCCAAATGTCAGCCACATCGTGTACAATCATCACGAGGGTCCCACTGCGAATATAATTAGCACACCAAGAGAAGCTCATCAGACTAATAGCAGCCAGGTGGTGGATGATATGAGCTAGAAAATCCTGTAAGATGAGGGAAAATGGAAGCCATTAAGGAAATGCATTTATTTCCCAATCACTGGAAGAGATAATCATAATAATAATGAGACCAATAACTTACATCTGCATGTTTTGAAATTTATAAAATGCTTTTACTTCCTAAACACAATCTTTGTGAGGGAGCTAAGACATGTATTATTCTTGTTGATGAAATCATTTAACGTTGAGATACCATCCCACACTGGATATATGTGTACACACACACTGCCCCCCAACACACAATAAATGCATACACACACAAGCATATTCCTGTGTACACCTACAGTTATTGTTTAGCCCCTGCCTATTCCCCAAAAAGAAAAAAAAGATTGATATAATAAATCTACACAACCATTAAATAAGTTAGTGCATATGAAATAAGACAATCTAGCCTAAGGAAAGCTACTGTCACTGAGTATAATAAAGACTTAAAGGTTTTCTGCAAAGAAAATATACAAATGGCCAATTCACACATGAAAGCATGCTCAATCATTAGCCATTGGGAGAATACAAACCAAAACCACAATGAGATATACTTCACACCCACTAGGATGGCTATAATAAAAAAGATGAACAATAACAAGTGTTGGCAAGGATGTGGAGAAACTGGAACTCTAATACAGTGCTGGTAGGGATGCAAAATGGTGTAGCTGCTTTGTTAAACAGTCTGACAGTTTCTCAAAAGATTAGACATAGAATTACCATATGGCCCAGCAATTCCACTCTTAGGTGGAATGAAAACATATGTTCATGCAAAAACTTGTGTATGAATCCACAGCATTACTCATAACAGCCAAATGGAGGAAACAACCCAAATGTCCATCAACTGATAAGAGGATGAATAAAATGCATCCATCCGTACAATGGACTATTACTTAGCAATAAAAAGTAATGATGTACTGATACATGCCATAACATGGATGAACCTGGAAAACATTACAGTAAGTGAAACAAGACAAACATAAAAGACCAGGTATTATATAATTCCACTTATATAAAATATCCAGAAGAGGCACATCTATAGAGACAAAGGAGATTTATGGTTGCCAGGGGCTGGGGAGGTTGAGAGAAACGAGGAGTGACTGCTAAATGGTATAGAGTTTCTTCTTGGGATGACACAAATGTTCTAAAATTGACTGTGATGATGATTGCACAACTCTGAATATATGTTAAAAACTACTGAATGTATACTTTAAATGGTTTAATTGTGTTATATGTGGATATCTCAATAAAGATGTTTAAAAAACTTAAAGATTTCAGCTTCCTCATAGCCAAAGTAAATACAATACCAATAATAGCTCAATTTATTGAGCACTTGCTGTATATCAGGAAGTTTCTTTTTTTTCTTTTTTTTTTGAGACGGAGTCTTGCTCTGTCACCAGGCTGCAGTGCAGTGGTGCGATCTTGGCTCACTGCAACCTCCACCTCTCAGGTTCAAGCGATTCTCCTGCCTCAGCCTCCCAAGTAGCTGGGACTACAGGCATGTGCCACCACACCTGGCTAATTTTTGTATTTTTAGAAGAGACAGGATTTCACCATGTTGGCCAGGATGGCCTCGATCTCTTGACCTCATGATCCACCTGCCTCAGCCTCCCAAAGTGCTGGGATCACAGGCGTGAGCCTCTGCGCCCAGCCTCAGGAAGTATTTTATACAGATTAACCTGTTTAATTCCCACAACAAACAGAGGAGATAGGAACTATTTTTAGCTTCATTTTATAGATAAGGAGATCAAGTTTAGAGAGTTTAACTAACTAGCTCAAGATGTTAGTGCGTGGTGAAGCCAGGAATTCAAACCCAGGAGACCTGACTCCAGGGCCTGTGCTTTAGCCACCTCCCAATAGCTTTATGTTTCTGAAGATACATCTTTATAAGACATTTAACATATATTTATATTTAATTTTTAAGAAGGTGTTCAATGCACCCGTAAATGATAAAAGGGAAGTCAACTACGGCAAAATCAAAGGTGGGTGAAATACATGATCGACCTACCTGTATATAAAGACTTTCTAAAAAATGATTATTTTCAATTCTATCCCTGGAAAAAATGACTCAACCAATTAAATTTTGATGTATTCCTAGCCTAAAGTTAGTATAGTTAATCTACAGCTATCATTGAGTTACATGGAAATGGAGATTATTTCTATCAGATACTTTCACAGTATGTGCTTATACTTAGATTTCTCATGTCTTAAGATGTCCAGTTGACTGCAGTGTGTCCCTTATAATGGCCACCATCACTCAACACAAACATTTAATCAAGCTAAACTGGTTTATCTAATATTAAATGTCATTGTATTTACCATACAAATTTTGCTACAAACCAGCCTTTTATTTACGGTGTAGTTTATGAGGTATATGCCAAGAGAATTTATCATTTGATCTGAATTGCTTACATATACGACAAAATCTTATGATTGCATTCAGGATTTAACATGGTTTGCTGGATTAGTAATTAGGAATCAGTAACAACCAAACCATTCCTAAAATACCTCACTTTGTGACTTCAGAAGTGGCATTTAGCATGCCTGTGACTGAGTTTCCCTGCACATAAAGCAAAGCTAATAATGCCCGAAGCAAGGTTTCCTCATAAATATATTTGATGAATTAATGGAAAAATGTTTTCAACGTCTTTGAAAATATCAAAAAGTTGTATATGAAGTGGTTTTGCAATCAACTAAAAGATGTGGTTGTAGAATTAATACTACTAACATATTTCTTCTTTGCACTGATGGACATTAAGTTCCCAAGAAACAGACATATAAAGGAAATGTTTTTTTTCTTATTGAACAGAGGTGGAGCTTCAAAGTTAAAGTTTTTATAATGTTTCACTACAAATGTTTACCAAGGCACCAAAGCATGAGTATAATTAGCAATATTTTATGTACTATAAAGCACACAAAAGCAATGAACTGGACCCAAAAACACAGAAAAATACAACTTAAAGATTAGAATTTGGGGCAGGGAGATGGCAATTTTTGAAGAAATTGATAAAGAAGCTTTGTAAATAAGACACTTACCTTTCTCTTGACATCAAAGCCAAGTCTAAATAACAGAGACCAATAAAAACTCATTTCTAAAATGTAGTACCAGTACTGGGATGGCAGCAGGGGCTGAGGAAAAGAAGAGTATTCATTACTTTAAATGCCATCATAGAAGCAACTCATTTTAATGCACTAAAACCTCCTTTTATACCTATTTATATCCCACCAGATTCCATAAAATAACATTGACTGATATTTCAATTTATATTTCAACGAAGGAATTAAAGATAATATTTTAAGGCATTTTATTTCTAAAAGGGTAGAGACAAGTATTCCAAACCCAAGTTGAATGTTTTGTTTAAAAAATTAAATACAACTGCCACAGGTGTAAATGCCTTCAGTTTATTCAGAGTCAAGTTTAAATTTTTAAAAAAATTAAAAATCTTTACTTAGGAACAATGGGAAGTCTTTTCTGCTGGTCCTACAATTTACTTTGATTAATGTTTCTTGAATATTACTCAAAATCTGATGTCTTAATCTCTTTTCTGGTGACAGGCTGGTGGTCAGAATTAGCCCATTCTAAAATGGGACAGTAATAAAATATGCATAATTATTTAAGAACTCCAAAAATATCTTCTGAATAAAATAATAAAATTTTCATAGCTAGAATTTTCTTAACAATTTTATAGTGGGAGTGGTGGTGTTTATTTTAGCTAAGTTGAGACATTATATTACTTAGTGTACCCAATGAATGTTGCCTTCTGATATCTAAGCCCTTGTGCAGTCTCCTCCAACACTGACTATGGACTTGATCCTGGTCTTTGGTCAAGGAGACATAAGCAAATGTGATGCATGCAGAGACTTTATAAGTACCATGTAAGAAACCTGAGCCATCCTGCTGAAGAGGCCACAAAGAAGAGAATCAAGGTGCTGATCGCCAATGCTATGAATGACGTCACCATAGACTTGAGCCATTCCCTAGCCGGCCTCCCAATTGTCTGAAAATGCATGAATGAACTCAGTTGACACCACATGGAGCAGAAACACTGCCTAGCTGAGCCTAGCCTAAATTGACAATCAAATCAAGAGAAAATAAATGGTTGTTGTTTGAAGGCACTAAGTTTTGGGGATGGTTTGTTATGTACCAACGGATAACTGATACACCTGAGAAGATATGAGTAAGTTGGAGACAGAAGATGATAGGCCTGGGGTTTGGTCTAGCTAATTCTTAGGTCCCTTATTGTCTAATTTTATTGAATTCTTTAATGCTGAGGCTAACGTATAACGAATTTTTTTGGTCAACTCCTCATCCTTGATAAGGCCATAAAAGAGTGAGACAGAGTTTCTGCTTTCTTCTATGACAGGACTATATGAGACTAATCCTCCTATTAAGAACAACTTAAAAATCTGGATAAAGGACAAGAAAGAATGTCTGTTTGAAGACGTCAGAGAGCAAGTAGGGCATCCAGAACCTGTGGAGTCAAGATCCTAAAGAGAAGAAAAATGCACTAGAGCGAACCTTTTATTTCAAGTGAACCCTGTTTCTTGAGAAGTACTGTAGGCCCTAAGAATAAATTCAAAGAAGACCATCCTATACATATCATAAATTCTGCATATGCCAGTTTATAAGCAGTATGGAGCCCAGAGACTAAGAAACAGCAGAAGTTAAGCAGTAGTGACTGTAATATCAGAGTACTAGGAAGCAAACTGGTGTTCAGGTTGACTAAGGAAAAGGAGTCATGGTAAGCACTGTAATATTTTATTTGAAATCATTGAAAAGGAATACCCTAGAATATGGGTAAGTTGTGAATATACTTGCCTTCACAAAGACTGAAGTCTACCTTGAATCAGCTCAATCAAGGATTAAAGGTGATCTGCCCTATTCTAACACCTAACAGAAGTGAAAGTAAGTCCTCTGTGAAGGAAGATAATATCATCCTGACCATCTATACTTTTTTGTATACAGTGTCTGTCATTTAATCAAAAGCTATGAAGCATAAGGAGACAGGAGCAAGAGAGAAAACAGATCCACAGGTGGTCAAGAGATGAGACTAATCAGACTTTGACTTTAAAATAACTTCAAAAACAGCTTAAAAGAGAAAATTTCAGTAGAGAACTGGGATCCATTAAAAAATAAAATAAAAATTTGAGAATCAAAAAATATAATAACTGAAATTGAGAATTCAAAAGATGTGTTTAATAGTAGATTAGACATGGCTTAAGAAAAGTACCAGTGAACTGGACAACAGGAAAGTAGAAAATATCCAGAATAGTGAAGTGTCTGACATTTTACCCTAGTTGCAAGCTAACAAGTTAGTTAGCCACAAGTTCCATGAATGCTGGTAGAAGATAGTAGACACCTTGGTAGACAGCATGTAGTTTATGACTCACAGTAATAGCAGTAGCCAGAGTATCAGTATTTGGGCCAATCCTTCCATCCCTAATCCCCATAGGGCTAAAGGTCAGATGATAACTGCACACATCATGGGTTGTGTTATGAGGGGAACAGCCAAAAAGAGAAAAAAGGCATTATGTTCAAAGAAGCAAAACTAAAAGTGACAGCTACATTCTTTTAGAACTGATGAGATCTAGAAGACAATGAAATAACATCATTTAAAGTGAAGGAAAATAAACTGCTAATCTAGAATTCTATACCCAGCAAAAATATCCTTTAAAAGTCAAAGGCAGTATAACATCTTTCTGACAAACAAAATCTGGCATACCCACCATTAAAAAAAATAGCAAAGGTACTTCTTCAGACAGGAGGATAATAATCCCAGATGGAAACATGGAAATATAGGAAGCAAGGAATAGCACAAAAAGGGTAACTTGACCGATTTACAGAACAATAATAGCAATGACTTCTAAGGTTTTAAATATTTGAAGGAGGAGGGTGTATGGTGTATTCTAATTACCTTTCAGTGAGTGGAAAGAGGTAAGAACACCGATTTGTATCAGACTGCAATAAGTCAAGGACATATACAGTAATGTCCAAGATAATTACTAGAAGAACAAAAGCATGTGTAACTGAAAAGTCAATATAAGGGATGAAAAAGAATAGTATTTTTTTTAATTACTTGACTGTCCCATAGAAAAGCAAGAAGGGAGTACAAAAGAAAATGCATCAGGTGGTACAAGTAAAAAATAAATAGTAAGATGGTAGATTTAAACCCAAATATGTAATTACATTAACTGTAAACAAACTAAAGGAATGAGACAAATGAGGGTCAATAAGGATAAGGAAGCTCAAGTAGAAAAAGTGCCAGGGATGACACAGTAGTGAACAAAGAGTAGCAGGGGACCAAGACGTAACTAAGGAGATAATTTGAGGGATCTTGGTGTTCAAGTAAGGGGAGGAATATGTTATAGTGGACTTACCTGTTTGGGATAGCCATTCCAAACCTCCCATAAGTCATATAGCCAAGGTTTCTGAAAGAAGAAAAAAAAAAAGAGCCAACAGATGAGAAATAAATTGGTCGGTGTCAAAGGTCAATTTTGGCAGAAAACCTAAGCTCTTCCTTATGTCATTTACAGCAGGCAAAGATGCACAGGAAATTGACCTTTGCCATATTCTTTTGCTTCTATTGCACGTATTTCTCCCTCTGTAGACTATTTCTTACATATTCCTATATAACATCTCTGTGAAATTCACTACTAGTGAATCTAAGATAAGTAAATAGTGCTGTCTCATAGAGGAAATGGTTTCAAACAAGTAACTGTATGAACCAAATTATTTCTAAACCAATTGTATTATTGCTTCTGCAGCAATAAAAAAATCTTGAGACATCTGTAGCAATATTTGAGACAAATGTTGAATCTTGAGAGAAATCTCTAAAACTGGTTATCTTATTGAAAGTACTATACCCTAAAGGAATTCACAGACAAGAATTTCAAAAATTAAAGACAAATTCCAATCGAAGATATAAAAAGATAACTTACATCATAAAGAAACGCAATTCCAGCAACAGTGATCATTAAGTAAAATGCAAATCTCCAGCTGCCAAAAGAAAGAAAAATCTTTACTCCCTTGTAAAGGTAACTGAGATTTGAGGAGAAAATGATTAGGTATGGCAGATTTTACAAAGAACACACATTCTGGAGTCAGACAAATCAAAGTTTCTATCCTGGCTCTGCCCCACTTATTAGATGGTTACAACCTTAGGTAAATCATGTAACCTCAGAAGGCCTGACTTTCTTACCTGTAAAATGAGAATAAGAACACTACCTCAAAATGTGAAAAGAACTGAAAATCTGTGATAACAGGTCTAGCATAAAGTAAGCAACAATAAATGGCAGCCATTATTCTGGTTATAATGGCTAGCCCAGTTCCAGGCACACAATAAACAGTGGATTGATATTAGCATTATCAGGAAGGAACCTAATAAGTTTAATTATTTCTCTTATCCCCATTTAATTCCCAGTTAAAAGGTTTTTATGTGGCCAGACTTTACTCTTTTCTCCTAAAAGTAGGTTTTGAAAGAGAAGATTTTCCTCATGTATGGAGAAAAACCTGTAGACTAAGAGACTGGAAAGACACATCAAAAAATTGTAACAAATGGATCTTATTTAGATCCTGATTCAAATCAAGAAATTGTAAAGAAAATTATGAGACAATCAGGGAAATCTAAACACTGAATATTTTCTATTATTAAGTAAAAATCTTTTATTAAATAAAAAATCATAAGATACTGATATTGCAATTATGCTGAAAATAAAGAGTTCTTATCTTTTCGAGATACATGCTAAAATACTTACAAATGAAATAACAGTGTCTGATATTTGCTTCCAAACCTATCTGTGGTAGGCGAGAGGTGTAGTGGGGATAGAGAGGACATAGGATTGGCCTTGAGTTGATCAACTAAAGCTGGTGATGGGTAATAACACTTAATTCATTATGCAGTCTTTCTACTTTAATATATGCTTGCAACGTTCCAAATAAAAAGTTTTTTAAAGTTATGTCTATTTTATCTAATGATTGCTGGAGAAATAATAATATTAAAATAAGATGTTTTCTTATCTTTGTGTAAGGCCTTACAGTGCTTTCCTTGACACACCTGTAAGATAGGACATAGGAATGTAGATAAATACCCATTTTGTAAATGTAGAATCAGAATCAGAAAAATGAAGCCATCTCCCCAGCTCATGTAGCTAAGAAGGAGGAAAGCTGCACCTTGAAGTGCAGCTCTTTGGACTCTGCATCGAGGAGTGTTTCCTGAACATTATCATTTCCCCTAAGCTAGACGACAGTCTTTCTTCATGGCTTGTTTTGATAGGAGAAAAAAGTAGGGTTCAATAGTCAAAAAGTTGAACCATAAAAATATCCAAAAGACATTTTACAAAATGAAAGTTGAAACTTTACTGCACTCATTTGATTTGCTAAGAGCATTTCCTTGGCTCCCTGGATTATCTTGTCCAAACAAAACCCACAAAATATAGGAGATGATAAGGCCAGCCAACCCACAAATGAAGCCAAAAGTGTGGGTGCTCCCCCGGTGTTTATTTCCCAAGCATCTATTGATTTCTCAGCTCCATCGGGCACGGTGCTGCGCACACATGCGCTATGTCACATTTTTCTTTTCACAAGATTATGAAGCCGATGCTGTAATTAGTCCCTTCTTACAGACTGTTGCTAACAGCCAATATCCTAAAGGAAATTGAAGCTAAGAAAGATCATAAAACTTACGGAAGTTTGAGGAGTAATACTCAGATCCAAGAGTACAGCCAAGTCTCACATGTTTCTGGACAAATCCTACTCAGAGAAGCCCTAAACCAGGGATTCTCAAAGTGTGTGCCAGAGAACCCTGAGGTCAGAATATTTTCAGAATATTACTAACACATTATTTGCTTTTTTTCCTGTCATTCTCTCACAAGCGAGGTCATGTGACATGTGATCACAGTATTGCTCTGAATGAAATTGCACTGATGAAACGTGCGCTTGTGTAGTCTCCTGTTTTATAAATATCTCAGTTTTCACTTCGAATACAGTAAATACCAATAGGTATAACACACACAAATGCTCTTTGGCATTTCCAAGAGTTTTTCAGAGACCAAGGGGTCTTGACACCAAAAAGTTGGAGAATTGCTGCACTTCACTGAAAAGATGAATGATAATATCCTTGTCAATGTCATTTCACTAGTTTCACCTAAGAGTAAAACTTCTTTTATTTTTTTCCAGGAAAGAATGAGATAAACATAAACGTGGGGGGAGAGAAAACCCACTGAAAAGCCATTCAGAAACGAATTGGTTGGGTAACAATGGTGATAGTGAAAGGAGGGACTGCAGGGTGCAGCCAGGGAGGAATGGGCAGAGTGGTGAGAGACACTGCTGGGGCCAGATGGGAGGCCTGTGGTGGGGACGCTGCATAGAGTGGGCCGTGGACTGCATGGATCAGATGAGGGTAAGGCCGCATCCACCCAGCCGGGGAGAGCCCTTTCTCCAACACTGAGGAGTTCTCCTACCTGGATACCTAAGGACTTGGTGTTCCTTCTTATTGCTAGGTGGAAATCTGTATTTTAAAATGAAAAAGTGGTCAGCTAATGTGGAATTTGATTTTTTTTTTTTAAAAAAAAGGGCCCATTATGTATTAAAATCCTGAATGCTGTGGAATAGAGCACAAGGGTCACCATGAGAGAAAGTCACCAAGGAACAAACACACTGAACCCAACGTGCCTGGGGGCTCATCCCTCTGGATGTTACAAAGGAATTTTTGCCTGTTGGAAAGTAATTTTAGGAGCTGGGGTTAAGAAATAAGCGCCCGGAGATTTTCAAAAGGCTTGAGGTTAGGTAACTCATGCTGTGATTTCTGTAGCACATCCCACAGCTGATTTTTAAAAAGCAGAGTCCCTGTACAATTCAACATGGCACTAGGTTTAGTCTGTTTATCTAGTCCATAATAACTTTTAACTTAGAATAAACATGTGACATTGCTAAAGAATAAGATAAGGCTTAAATTTTATTCATGGGCCCACTTACTGTGTCCTGAATATATTGCATAATTTCCTGCTTTGTGTCTTTGCTTTACTTGAAAATACTGCCTCAAACCTGCTTTCTTTTCTTTTGGCAACCTGACCCATTCTTCAAGGTCCAACCTATGTCTTCCCTTCTCTAGAAAGCCTTTCTTTAACTACTTCAGCCATGCTGATGCCATCACCTCTAAATTCCCACGACACATCTAAACATGATGTTGTATCTGCTGGTGTACACTCCCATGTGCCACTGGGGTGGCGCGACAATAGATGTTGTGGTTTCGTGTGTGATAATCTGGCCTCCCTAATTCACTGTTTAAGGCCGGTAACCACGACTCACATGTTACCCCCTTCTTAAAATCTAGAACGCCACAAAATCTAGGACAGTGCTATGCACAGAAAAGATACTAACCTGTACCTCTGCATTGCCTGACTGATTGATAAGGGTAACTCAAAATTCCCTTCTCCAGCCTGAACTCTGGAAGAATTTTAGTAGGCTTACTGACATGGCCAGATGCCCAAATATTACTCAATTTAAGGATCCTCTGCTTGCTGGGAGGTAAGCATTAGGTGCCAGGGGCAGTATGATACAACAAGAAATAGTATCGGAATAGGAGTCAGAAGATCTGAATGCAACAGCCATTCAAACACCTAAGAGACCCTTAAACTAGATGGATGTGCAGTTTCTCATTGAAACAGGATAGCCCCAACTTCCCTGACTGTCTCACATCATTGGCAGAAGGATCAATAATAATAATAATTATTATTATTATTTTTTTTTTTGAGACAGAGTCTTGCTCTGTCACCCAGGCTGGAGTGCAGTGGCGGGATCTCGGCTCACTGCAAGCTCCGCCTCCCAGGTTCACGCCATTCTCCTGCCTCAGCCTCCCGAGTAGCTGGGACTACAGGCGCCCGCCACCACGCCCAGCTAATTTTTTGTATTTTTAGTAGAGATGGGGTCTCACCATGGTCTTGATCTCCTGACCACCTCTACTAAAAATCCTGGGAAACCAAGAGGATGGGCTGTGCACCCTACAGGAGGGCTGGGGTCATGAGCCACGCCACACAGAGAGGCCTTCTCAGTGTTCTGAGAGGGAACACACGTCCTTGCAGACATTCTCTGCTCTTACAGTTGTGATGGTTGGATACAGGTGATAAAGTCTGGTGACTTAGGGCCAACCCTGACCCTAAGAAAAGAGAAACACCAGTTAAGACATTTTTATGATTTTTTCTGGGTTTCAGGCTGAGTACATAACATCTCCTGTTCATCTTAGAGAGTTCATAGTGTGGGAGTCTGTCTGAATCTATTCTGGTTCGGGAGGCCCGATAAATAGAGTTCAGAGCTTACTTGATTTATAAAGGAGTGGAGGAAGCAGAGAAGGCAAATATGTGAGGAGCCTAAAACACCACATCAGTGGGTGACAGAGCTGGGTCTGAACCCTCCCTCTGCTGCTCCGGCAGTATTCTCTCTGCAAGGACCACTCAGCTCCAGATAGGACGGCAGCATTCCTAAAGCTTGGCCCATCCTCCTTACCAAGCTTCCTGGAATTTCTTCAGCCTGGAAGGCCTCTCTTGATTCCGCCGACTCCTAAACCATCTTTCCACCTGGCGCTCCGTCAAGTTACACTTCTTTGCCAGTCCATAAATATCAGTCTGAAAAGGGATGAAACGCATAAATGAGTGATAAAGAACAGAGTCAGACTGGCAGGCAGACAAGAGACGGAGATTGAGTTACAAGAGCTTCGGTACTGGGGATGAGAGAAATTCTGTCATGAGACCTGGAGCCAGGGAATTTACCTCTTTTGCTTATGGAATCACATATATGCACACATACCAAAAAACAAAATGTTACTATCCCAGCTCTCTAAGTTACTGAGAAAGATCAATTCTCCATACGCTGGCAGCAACCCGGCATTCAAGTTGCATGTGTGAGCTCACTTGTTCAGCTAAAATGTGCTTAGGACTTCCCAGGCGCCAGGTAGAGTAGCATAGTTTAAATCAAATCCAATAAAATCCAATCTCCTCATTTTTCCTATGGGGAACTGAAGCCCCAAGAAGTTCAGTGACTTGTCCAAAACCTAAAATTAGAAGCAAAGTGTGGACGAGAACTTAGGCTAGTGCATTTTGTTATTTCACATGATCTTTCTCACAGCTCCAGAAGATAATGCAGGAAAAACTCCAACCAGTGTTAGCCATCCACTTTTACATTTAATTATATAGAGAGCCTATTTCAAACTAATCCAAAATAATTTCAATAACAAAAATAACAATTGCAAAATATGATGATGATGATTGCTTCTCTTTTGGGAAGTAGAAGTTGTAGGCTATGATTTAAAATTGGAAACAATATGAATGATAGATCTGCTCAAATGTTACCAATTCGAAGGTCTCCCCAAGCCAGACAAGAAACATAAATGACCAAATGGACCAGGTCTGTTTCACAGTGGGATTTTAACATAGGCAAGTTTTGTACTTTAAACCTATGGTAACCTTCTCCACGTCTACAAAGAAATATGCTCATAAAAAATGCCAGCCCTCTTGATTTCTTATTTCCCAAGTAAGAATAAGAAATATTTCTGGCTGGGTGTGGTGGTTCACGCCTGTAATCCCAGCACTTTGGGAGGCCGAGAAGGCGGTCAGGAGTTCGAGATCTGCCTGGCCAATATGGTGAAACCCCATCTCTACTAAAAATACAAAAATTAGCTGGGCGTGGTGGTGGGCTCCTGTGATCCCAGCTACTCAGGAGGCTGAGGCAGGAGACTTGCTGGAATCTTGGGGGCAGAGGTTGCAGTGAACCAAGATTGTGACACTGTACTCCAGCCTGGGCGACAGAGAAGGACTCCATCTCTAAATAAATAAATACATAAATAAATAAAAGAAACATTTCCATTTCCTCTTAATTCTATTTTGTGAAAAATAAAATGGCATAAAACTGACCTTCAGCTTCAGTGCTGAGGAAAGAAGTGGGAGCCGTATGGATACAGCAGGCAGAGAAGCACACATCATGTCCCAAAAGGCCAGGCATGACCAAGATCTGGCGGACGCTTCCAGAGAAAACGTGCAGACCCAGGATTTTGATGAGAAATCACTAGGTTTTTAAAAATGTTGACCAATCCCTCAAAGTAAATTTAAACCAATTGTGGATGAGTATTGTGAGGGCCAAATAAAGCCTGCCTGTGGGCCAGATGGCTGAATACCCAAAAGTCTGTGACCAGCCGGATAGCTTCTGCTAGATTATCTTACATGTTCCCTTGCAGGAAGGAAAGAACACTGCAGTGTCAAAGCAATCGGATATGGTAGGAAGGGCAGGAAGCTGAAAACAGAAGATCCAGTTCTGCTACCTCCTAGCTATGTAGGCGTAAGCACCGCACTTTGACCCCCATGGAAAATGGGATATTAAGAGAATGTTTGCTACCCACCTCCGAGGGATGATTTGAGGACCAAGGGATTAGAATGTGCTAATGAAACTACTGAGTGCCGTGTCAGTGCTAGAGATTTTGATGACCAAACACAGAAAGGAAACCATGGACTACAAATCATTTAAGAAAAAAGTATTCCTTTACTTTTAACATAATTTGCAAACACGAACAGACCCCCAACATGGAGAATACAATTCAAATTCTGTTGGCTGGTGCACAGCAGGACATATTCTGGCATGCTGCTGCACTACACTCTGTGTGCTCAGACCGAAGGGGCTCTGGGCCTAGCTTTACTATTTCAAGTGTTTTGCCATTCATTCATTTGAAAGGATTTAAAGAGTCTCTAAGCACTGGTGCCAGGCACCATCTAGGTGTGGGAGATTCAGTAGTGAGCAAAACAAACTAAAGTCCTTGTCTTTATTCTGGAATATTCTCAGACCTTAGAACAACTCAATTTTATTCTCCCATGACTTCTGCAAATAATTGCCCAATGAATTATTAATAAACATATATAGAAGACAGTAACTGTTTATGAGTCGAAGCTTTTTTTTTCTATTTTGGAGTACAGAAGAATCTAGTTGGAAGTCAGTCTTGTCAATACTGGCCTCATGCACTATGATATTATTAAGAGAGAAAACTCCTTGCAAACAAAAGTGTCTAAAAGTGTTTTCTTGAATTAATGTGTGAAACATGAAGCATTTATTGACCATCTGTAATGACCAGAAAATAGTGCAAGATGTCATGGGAACAAAAACAAGCATGATTAAGAAACAAAGTGACAATTCCCTTGAGTGAGGAAGACATGCTTAAACACGCTCCTTTGGAAGTCAGTGCATGACAGGCACAAAGTTAATGGTACAAATAATAATAGCTGACCTTTACTGAGCATCTACTATGTGCCAAGCACTATTCTAAGCACTTTATATGTATTAACTCAATTTGATCCTCACAAGAGCCCTATGAGATAAGCAATATAATTATGCTCAATTCACAGAAGAGGAAACTGAGGCATGGGAAGTTTAATCTGTCCATCTCCACACAGAAAGTCGGTGACAGAGCCAGGCTCTAACCTTACATGGTCTGTCCTCACAATTTGTATTTTTAGCCTCTACACTACCTATTGCTGTGAACATTCAGAAGTGGGTTGGAACATGCAGGAAAGGTCTCTCTCAGACACAGCCTCAAGGAGAGGTCGAATGGCCTAAAGGAGGAGTGCTGAATGGGGCCAAGAGACCTGGCCTCTGGACTGAAAAGGGAACCCTCTGTGCCAGTAGAGGAGTCACCCTACCTCTTTGGCTCTCACATGTCTTCCCTGTACAATAAATAGCACTAGAAGAGGTTTTTGCTCTAAAAATGTTTGAATCTATGAATGACTCAAGCTAGCACACTGGAATACCTTTATTGAATGTAGTAACTGGCTTGAGTTCAGTCTCACAGTGCCACGTTTTCTTCAGATCTCTTCCAGAACTTACTTGCTCTGCATCAGTTCATATATATATAATTATTTTTTATTTTGCTAAGGAAAGGGCTAGATAATAAGTTCCACTGTTACTACACGTTACCTATAGCACTATAATTGATCTGTTGGTCAGAGTTGTTGGTCTTACCCCAAACATCTGGAAGTTGTTCTTGATACGCACACATACACACGTTATCAGACACACACCTGCATAGATACAATCATAAGAGAACTGTGCAATATCACAGACCAAAACTCTCACTGAGGCTCATGTGTATAGTATTTTAGGCCTCATCAATACCATGTTATGCCCTTCTGTGCTAACCAGCCCACAGTAGATGTCATATGCATGGAAGTGTTTTGTTTTCCTGGTGCAGCCTATAGCTGCTGAAGAAGCATCCTTGGGTCTGTGTACTCCATTGTTTCAATCAAGTCAGGTGTTATCTACAAATATTACCAATGCAATATTCTACTGTTTAGGTTTTGAATACTTTTTTTTAGTGGTAATACCCTAATCTTGAATCAGTACAAAACTGTTTTTCATCCACCCAGCAACTTGTCTTATTACCTCAGCCATAATTAAGCAAAGTGCTATCTGCATGACACTGGCCAGGTTAATGTGGTAGGTATGGTGAGACGAGTTTGTTTCTGTATCTGCAATTGCTATTAAGTCATGAACTCTGTCCTCCTGTATTACATTCTATCTTCCTAAGTCCTAGTGCTTTTAGGCTATGGACATTTTGCTGGCCAAATTATTGTTATCTTGATATACTATACGAATACTGCCTCAGTTTTTTAATCTCAGAGCAATATAATTTAGGAATCTTATATTCCTTCACCTTTTTGGTTCAATAGATGAAGCTAACACTTCGGGGGTGATATATAACTGTTTTTTTTTTTTTTAGATGGAGTCTCACTCTGTCACCAGGCTGGACTGTGGTGGCGCAATCTTGGCTCACTGCAACCTCCAACTCCCTGGTTCAAGCTGTCCTCCTGCCTCAGCCTCCCAAGTAGCTGGGATTACAGGCACTCGCCACCACGCCCAGCTAATTTTTGTATTTTTAGTAGAGACAGGGTTTCACCATGTTGGCCAGGATGGTCTCGATCTCCAGACCTCGTGATCCACCCACCTTGGGCTCCCAAAGTGCTGGGATTACAGGCGTAAGCCACTGCGCCCAGCCACTTTTTTTTTCCTTCTTACTGGATGCAAATGTCAAAATTCTGTCTTTATTAAACCATACTGTAATGTCAGTTGAGTTAGAATAATTACTATAAACACAGCACCAGTCTTTAAAATATATTTTTAACATTCCATTTACAGATAAAGAACTCACTGTAGCATGGTGGAAAGGTCACTGGACTGGAAGTATGGGCCAGGTTCTAGCTTTTGATTCAGCCACTCATTAGCCGAACGACCACTCATTTTCCTTTGGCTGGGCCTTAAGTTTCCTCATCTTAATCATGAAAAAGAAAGACTACCACCCTATAAACCTTTTCAGCTATCCTTAGTTTTCCTTTGGCCATTTTTTCTCCATAGCAGAGAAGCTTGGTAAGGACCAAATTTTCTAGATAATTTTAAATATTCTGAAAAGCTGACTAGAAGCTCTTAGCAATAGCAAGGATAGCAACGAATTGGTATTATAGCACTGTTCTTCCCATTTTATACAAAGTATTACTAAAGTTAGTTGTTCCCAAACAAAGAAGGATAATAAAGGACCCAGAAAGAGCCCTATCTTTTTTTAAACACAGCTAAATAATTTCCCATTTGAAACATATAAAGGGATGCTTAGGTATTATTATCACCAGTGGTAACAAAAGGATTTAGATGAATGATGGCAGTCATTTAAAGCACATGGGAATAAAAAACATATAAAGATGGCTTGTCAGACTATTCCTAGGTTACAAAAGCAGTCAAATACAGGAGCTGAGGGCAGAACAAGTTAGAGCCAGCTCTCACTTGCTATGAGCAATTCTGGACACCATATCTCACGCGAGGTGGTCAAACCTCAATGTGCTTTCATGTGCAGAGAAACCACGAGGAACAAATTAGAGCAATTGTCATAGTAGAGGCAACTTAATTCAGGAAATAAAGTTCAGGACCCTCAGAAATCTATTTATCCTAGAACTGTGTTAGCATATGTACTTGATTTTTAAAATTACTGGGGATAGCTGTTTGTATTCATCATAGAGGTTGTATCACTTTTGGAGAAGTTTTGTTTCATCTGTCATTTTAACTGTGGAAATATAACAAAACTGGAGTGAACACTAGACTTACTTAGACATTATTTTTTTAACTATTAGATTAAAAACTTTTTCTTTTTTCTTTTTCTGAATGTATTTAAGCATGCAGTGCACTACAACATAAATGAAGGAAACTTTATATTGTGAAGAGAACTGTGACTCTTAGAAATTGTCTCTGGAGAATAGTCGGGGCACAGCATATTTCTGAGTATGTTGAGGCTTTGAATAAAATAACAGTCCTACTCATGAAAGCGACCCCAATGAACATTTTCATAATGTGTGTAATGTATTTTGATGATGCCACAATCATCAAAATTGTCAGATATGGGCTTCTCTGCCCTAACAATTATATTTCTTCATCTGTATACTTTGTATATATTTGACCATTAAAAATTAAATGTTGACCTTTATTCCCAAATTATGGCACTGATCATTAGTGCTCTACACTATAGTTAAATACAATAGTTCAACTGTTAATATTTGTTATTTTATATTATCATATGTATCACACTTGGGATGTTCTAAACCTGTCAACAGAACAAAGAAACAATAAATCCAAGTGAATCCAGATCATTTGCTGGTCAACTAGAATAGATTTCTTGCACACACAAGGTAAGCTATAGATAATTGAACCATTAAGAAAGAAGATTTTTAAGTCGAAAAGCAAAGAATTTGTACTTACTTGCAATGGTTGCCTTGTGGAATGTTTGAAAAAATTCTCTAAGACAGTATTTGGTGTAACCTTTCGAACTGTCTCTTTAATGCCAAATGATTTTGCTAGAGGTGAAGCAACAAATCTACAAAAATATGAAAAGAAAAAAAGTTCAAAATCTAAGAATAAATCCACGATGACACCAGAAAATTAAAGCTGTAACTTCAGGTTTCTAATGAAATCAGTCATTTGTTTATGTTGACACTGGGGCTACGTACAGCCAAAATCTGTCTCTCAAAACAGAAAAGTTTCAGTCCATACAAAAAAGCAATGATTAAAAAAAAAACACTTGCACAATTCTAAAATGCATTTTATGTTAATCCAAACATATTTATAGATAAGATTTAGGAATTAGAATAAGCTGTTCTACTTAGAATTTTAAAGACTCCCGGGGATTAAAATAAATAGGAATTTTGTTAGAAAATGTTTTATTTGGTGTTATTATCTTAAAGAAATTACTACATTCCCATTTCAAGTTCTAACATACGAAAAAATGGCACAACTCTAGGGCAAATACGTAATAATAGGATTGACGGGTGGTAGGGCAATTATACATTTAACTTTATAAAAAACTGGCAAGTTGTTTTCCAAAGTGACTGTACTATATTGCATTCCCACCAATAATTTGTCAGAGTTCCAGTTAGCCCATATCCCTGCCAACACATGGTACTGTCAGCCTTGGCAATTCTACTGGGTGTGTAGTGGTTTTTGTTGATTTTCCACTATAATCTTTATTATTTCCTATCTTCTACTTGCTTTAAATTTAGATTGATTTTATTTTTCTAGTCCGTTAAGGTGGAACTTTACATTATTGATTTGAGGTCTTTCTTCATTTTAAATATAGGTGTTTGCAGCTGTAAGTTTCCCTTCAAACACTGCTATTGCTGTATTCTATTAAGTTTTAGTATGGCATTTTCTTTTTCATTCATCTCAAGTATTTGCAAATTTACCTTGTGATTTCTTCCCTGACTGGTTGGTTATTTAGAAATATGTTATCTAATTTACATGTATTTGTTAATTTCTTGATTTCTTTCTGTTATTGATTTCTTTTTTTTTTTTTAAGAGATGAGGGTTTTGCTATGTTGCCCAGGCTGGTCTCCAACTCCTAGTCTTAAGTGATCCTCCTGTCTCAGCCACCCGAAGTGTTGGGATTACAGACATGAGCCACTGTGCCTGGCTGTTATTGATTTCTAATTTTATTTCATTGTGGTTGGAAAACATACTTTCTATCTAAATCCTTTCACATTTATTGAGACTTGTTTTGTAGCCTAATATGTAATCATGCTGGAGAATGTTTTTTGTGCATGTGAGAAGAATGTGTATTCTGGTGTTGTTGAGTAGAGTGTTCTATAGATGTTTGTTACGACTAGCTGGTTTACAATATTGTTCAAGTCTTCTATTTCCCTGTTGATAATCTTCTGCCTAGCTGTTCTATCAATTATTGAAAGTGAGTATTGAAGTTTACAACTATTATTGTTGACTTGCCTGATTGCCCTTTAATTCTGTCAGTTTTTACTCCACGTATTTTGGAACTCTGTTGCTAAGTGTGTATATGTTTACAATTGTTATATCATCTGGACAGATTTACCCTTTTATTATTATAAAATGTCCTTTGTCTGCAGTAACAATTCTGAAATCTATTAAATTACATTTTGTCTGATATTAGTACAGCTACTCCAGTCCTCTTTTAGTTACTGTTTGCATGGTATATCTTTTTCCATCCTTTTACATTCAACCTATTTGTGTCTTTAAACAAACAGGTGTCTTTTGTGGACAACATATAGTTGGATCGTGTTTTCCTAACTATTTTATCTATGCCTTTAATTATTTAATCCATTTACATTTAAAGTAATTCCTGATAAAATAGGATTTATGTCTGCCATTTTGCTATTTGTTTTCTATACATCTTATGCCCTTTTGTTTATTTGTCCATCACTACCTTATTTTGTGTTAAATAGATATTTTCTGATGGACCATTTTAATTTTCTTGTCTTTTTGGTTTTTTACTATTTTAAAAGTTATTTGCTTAGTGATTCACTTGGGGATTATAATTGACATATTAATTTATAACATCTTACTTCAGATTAATATCAAATTAATTTCAATAGGGTTAAAAAACTCCATTCCCCGTCCCCTTCTTTGTGCTCTTGTCTCACAAATTACATCTTTATAAATTGTGTTCTGATCAACACAGATTTAGATTATTGTTTTATACAATTGCCTTTTAAATCAGATAGGAGAAAGTGTTAAAAACAAAAAATATGCTTATACTATCATTTTATTTTCTTATGTAGTTACTTTTACTGGTGCTATTTCTTCATGTGGATTTGAGTTACTATCTTGTGTACTCTCATTTCAGTCTGAAGGACTTCCTTTCAAACTTTTTGTATGCTAGGCCCACTAGTAATGAATTCTCTTGGTTTTTGTTTATTTGAGAATGTCTTAATTTCTCTTTCATTTTGAAGGAGAGTTTTGTTTGGTTCACAGTGTTTTTCTTTCAGCACTTTTTATGTGTCATTCCGCCGCCTTTGGCCTACATAGATGCTGATGAGAAATCGATTCCTAATCATAATGAGAATTCCTTGTATGTGATGAGTTGTTCCACTCTTGCTGCCTTCAAGATTCTTTCTTTTTGGCTTTTGACAAGTTGATTATGACATATGTAGATGTAGTTCTCTTTAAATGTATCATACTGGGAGTTTGTTTAGCTTTTTGGATATGCAGATTCAGAATTCAGGGAAATTTTCGGCCATTTATTTCTTCACATTTTTGGGGTCCTATTTATTCTCTTCTCTCCTTCTGGAATTCCCATTATGTGTATGTTGGTATTCAAGTCTCTAAGACTATTTTTCTTCATTCTCTTTTATTTTGCTGTTCCTCACACTGCTGACTCTTTCTTATGCCTGCTCAAATATGCTATTGAGCCTCTCTCATGAAATTTTGATTTCAGTCATTGTAGTTTTCAACCCTAGAACTTCTATTTGGTTCTTTGTTATAATTTATAGTTTCAATTACTTTATTGATGTTCTTGATTTGGTGAGACACTGTTTTCATGCTTTCCTTTAGATCTTAAGCATGTTTTTCTCCAGTTCTTTGAACATATTTAAAATAGTTGACTTAAAGCCTCTAATAAGTCCACTATCTAGGCTTTCTCAGAAACACTTGCAATAATTGCTATATTTCCTGTGTATAGTGCATAATTTTTTGTTTCTTTCCATGTCTCATAAGTTTTTGTTGAAAATTGGACATGTTAAATACTATAAGGTGGCAACTATAAAAATCAGATTATTTCTCCTCCCCAAAGTTTGTTGTTTTTGCTATTTGTCATTGTCCATTTGTTTGCTTAGTCACCTTTTTTCTTTTCATATATATATATATATATATATATATATATATATATATATATATATATTTGTTTTGAGATGGAGTCTTGCACTGTCGCCCAGGCTGGAG
The DNA here is from genome assembly GCF_000001405.40 of Homo sapiens. Classification (NCBI taxonomy): domain Eukaryota; kingdom Metazoa; phylum Chordata; class Mammalia; order Primates; family Hominidae; genus Homo; species Homo sapiens. Next base: position 100,494,300 of record NC_000015.10, read on the forward strand.
TGCAGTGGCATGATCTCAGCTCACTGCAAGCTCCACCTCCCAGGTTCATGCCATTCTCCTGCCTCAGCCTCCTGAGTAGCTGGGACTACAGGTGCCTACCACCACGCCCAGCTAATTTTTTTTATTTTTAGTAGAGATGGGGTTTCACCATGTTAGCCAGGATGGTCTCGATCTCCTGACCTCATGATCCACCCGCCTTGGCCTCCCAAAGTGCTGGGATTACAGACGTGAGGCTTAGTCACCTTTTTTGAATTAATCTGTAAAGTCTTCTTTGTGATGTGTGAGCACTGAAGGCTTTATTAGGTTAGCTTAGTGGTCAGCTAATGATTAGACAGAGATTTCCTTAAATGCTTAGAACCAGTAAGTCTCTCAGTCTTTCCTGAGGAGCTCTGTGCATATGTTGGAGCACACCTTCAACATTTAGCTAGGCAGTAAGCAACTCTGCCTTAGCCTTCACTTAATGTTTGCACAGAGCCTAAAGGTCATTCAGAGGTGAGAGCTTATGGCCTTCCCAGGTCTTTCCTGAGCATGCAGATAGCCATGAACATGCATTAACCCTTACACAGGTCTTCTAGATTTCCAAGAACATGTTGGAGTTTTTCAAAGCCTTCAATGCACATCTCATGTTCTAGGTTTTCCTTTAAAGCTTTTTGGTCATTTTATTGTTTGCCCTAATTGTTATCCACTGTCTTAGACAGTTATGAAGTTAATCAAGTGCCTCTAATTGTTTTAGACAAACACCCTCAGGGAAAAGGCTTTTTCACTGGGTGAGCGCTGAGTCAGGTCAGATAAAGACAGCATTGTGAGTAGTGCCTTCCAGAGAACCATCAGACAGGTCAGATAGTGACAGTCCCCTGATAATGAGCTTTGAAGGAGCTTCTACTCTGTTCTGCTCCTTTCAGTGGCAGCCAGGTTGCTAGTTTCCACTGTAATTGTGGGCCATTGGTTCTTCAAGGCTATCCAGAGATGGAGAGGGCAAGATGGGAACAGGGCAAGTTAAAAATGTCACACAGCTTGCTATTCCTTCCAAGAATCTGCTGTTTTTCTTAAATAACAACTCCTACATCCCTGTAAGCCTTTGGCTGATTCTCAATTCTGAAAAAAACTGACTGTGACAATTTTTGCTAGTTTTCTGGTTGCTTTTATGGAAGAAAGAATTTTCAGAGGTTCTTACTCTGACATTTTTGCTAATCCAGTGCATTGTGGTTTTAATTTATATTTTCCTAATGACTAATAATGTTGAGCATCTTTCCATGTGCTTGTTTTCTATTTGTATATCTTATTTGATGAAGTATTTGCTCAAATCTTTTGCCTATTTTTAAAACCAAGTTATTTCTTTTTATTATTGAGTTCTGAGTTATTTATATATTCTGAATTTAAGTCCTTTATCAGATATATGTTTTACATATAATTTCTCCCAGTCTGTGGCTTGCCTTTTTATTTTATTTACAGTAATGTTTCCTAAAAAGATAACTAGTAAGGTATTTTGCATATCATATAATTCAATATTTTCAAGTATACAATTTTTAATATATAAAATGACTTCTTAGTACATTTACTAAGTTGTACAACCATTACTATGAATCAGCCTTAGAACATTTCCATCATTCATGTCTATTGTTAATCTCTGTTTCTTCTTGCACCTGCCCCAGGCAACCACTCATCTATTTTCTGTTTTTCTAGTTTGCCTTTTTGAATATTTAATATACATGAAATTATACAATATGTGGTCACTTGTGTCTGGCTTCTTTCACAGAGCTGAATGTTTCTGAGGCTCACTCATGTCACGGCATGTATTTGTAGTGCATTCCTCTTCATTGCAGAACAATATTCTATTGTAGGGATATACACTAACAGTGCCTTGAAGAGCAAATGTTTTAGCTCTTTGCCAAGAGAAATAAAAGCATATATCTGCACAAATTCTTGTACTCAAATTGTTCATAGTAACTTCATTCATAACAGCCTAAAACTGTATGCAACACAAATTTCTTCCCATCAACTAAAGGATAAACAAGTTATAGTATATATGTATGTTGAAAGACTATTCAGCAATAGAAAGGAACCACTGATATACATAACATGAAAAAAATCTTAAAAGCATTAAGCTTAATGAAAGAAGTCGAACACAAAAGACCATAATCTATATGATTTCACTTAAAGGAAATATTAGAAAATACAAAATTATAGTGACAGAAAATAGATTAGTGATTGCTGGTGGCTAGTGGGTAGCGAGGGTATTAACTGAAAGCATTACAAGAGAATTTTTTAGCTGACAGAAATCTGTATCATAATCGTGGTGATGCTTGCAAGACTGTATACATTTGTCAAAATGCATCAAATTTTGGATGAACTTTATTGTATGTAAATCAAACCTCAATAAAGCAGATATTTTTAAAATAATGAGATTTCCTTATTCTTCCTTCAGTTCTGACAAAGGTACTATCTTCTGCCAGTCCAGTCAATTCTAGGACTTACTTAAGAAGAATTTTTGTGTTGAATTAAATGCTGACAATTTTAGTTATGAATGATCATTTAGTTCTTAAATTCATTTTTATATCGATGGAAGTTGAATAAAAACTCTCCTAAGATAATCTGATTAAATGTATGTCAGTCCAACTTCCAGATGAATTAAGTTCTCTTGAAAATGGCCCCTAAATTTCAGAGACATATAAAAATAAGTGAGTTATGCCCCAGATGTACACAGAGCAATGTGGAGAGATCATAAAACATAGTGCTAAATTTTAAAAAAGAAGAAAGAAAAGGTCTTAGTGCAATACCATTTGTGTCAACAAGTGATACCTGTACATGAAGCACATGTTTTACTGGGTCATACAAATAAAGGATCACCAAATACACAGAACACGACAGAGAGGGGAATGGGAGTAGTGCATGGGGAAAAAAAGGAATTAATGAAAAAGTCATCCATCACTCAAGATTGCTCTTATATAGACATATATATAGAGAGAGAGACAGAGAGACACACACAGAGAGAGAGAGCATATATGTATGTGTGTGTGTGTGTGTGTGTGTGTGTGTGTATGTATATATATATATAGAGAGAAAAATACATATATATATGACAGGGTTTTGGATAAATAATTGAATTAGTTCATTTATCCAACCTAGTAGCTGGAAAATTTTAGTGGAGAAAACATCCATTTTTTTTCTCTATTAGAACAACACAAACTGGAAATAGTTTCATAGGGTAGTGTTTTCAATATATCTGCTCAGTGCTATCTCCTCAAGTGCTAGAAATGAAGAAATTAGGAGGGGAAAGCAAAATAGAATTAAACCAAAGATTTATACAGTAAGGAAACAAAACTAATCTCAAAGCCAAATGAAGCATAACATTCTTCTCTAGAGGGTCATGTGAGAAATAGCATATGGGTAAGTATACACATAGATAAATATACACATTCATAGCATCCTTGCTGATATGAGGAATAAATACCTGTTAAAATCATTAATTTAAACAAGAAAGAGAACTACAGTCCTCTTTGTTAACTTCAAGGACAGACTTAATGATTTTTGTTTTACTGGATACCTATCTCTTACACACACACACACACACACACACACACACACACACACACACACTTTTTTTTTTTTTTTTGAGATGGAGTCTCACTCTGTCGCCAGGCTGGAGTGCAGTGGCGTGATCTCGGCTCACTGCAACTTCTGCCTCCTGGGTTCAAGCGATTCTCCTGCCTCAGCCTCACGAAGAGCTGGGACTACAGGCATGTGCCAACACACCCAGTTAATTTTTTTGTATTTTTAGTACAGACGGGGTTTCACTATGTTGGCCAGGATGGTCTCGATCGCCTGATCTCGTGATCTGCCTGCCTCAGCCTCCCAAAGTGCTGGAATTACAGGCATGAGCCACCGCGCCCGGCCAAAAAATAACATTGTTAACAGAACAGAGTATAGATATAAATGTAGTTGTCTAATTGAGTGCTATCCTTCCCTTTCAAATAAATCTAGGAAATCAATCACCTAATAAAGTGTAGATGAATATAAAGTCACTTAATTAAAAATCTATTTTGAAGAAGGAGAGAAGAAAGAAGCACAATAAATAGTTGATAAATTGAACTGAAGAGATAAGGGAAATTGTAAGTCTTAGCCCTAGAAAGAAACTTAGAGATTAGCTTGCCAGCTAGCTTGCCTAAATTTTCATTTTATTGATATGGAATAGAAAAAAAAAGTCTGAGAGGAAGAAAAAAGAATGAACATCTGCTCCCATGTAAATGGTTCAAAGTTAGGTTAATTACCAGGGAATGAGTCCCTTAGGTTTGCTACTATTGCAGAACTGAGCCTTCAGACAAACCCATTCAGACACCCAGACGGCCCCCCCTTTGTCTAGCACCCCATCAGTTACCTGGGAACCAAAAGCCTAGACATCCCATATCTCCCTTTATTTTTAATATTTTAATGGAATAAAAGGAATGTATCCCTAGGCAGATATTAGGCATGTTACATTTAAATACTTCTCCTAAATAGATACACTAGCCTATTGGCATAAGATTGATTCCCAGTTCCTAAGGATTCAGAGGCTCTGTGAGCAGAGCTTTCCAGAGGTTTTGCTTTGTTGTGTTTTTTGTTTTTATGTGTGAACAAAATATTGCGAGCAAAGTAGATCTCAGATGAAAAAGTCTAATGTGCATATTTTAAGACTATTTCCATTTGGGACAGTTAGTAACAATACTTCTTCAATTTATGTAAGTCGCTACAGATAGGTTACTCCAGCTACCCTACCCTTCTTTAAAGAACGATGGACATACTGCCCCATCATGACCTTATGTTGCTGGGGTGGAGAATCTACTCGTGTATAATTAAGTAACAACAATAATAAAAATGTGTCCTTCTGATTTTACCACCTGCACCCCTGCCTTGGACTCTTCTGGGACCATGATTTACTCTGAGACAATGTGTTTATTCCATGAGTGTTGACATTTGAGCAGGTTAGGTTTCTTTTAAATCACACTTCAGACACATAAAAGAATGCACAGAAGATAAACTAATTAGAAACTAGTAGTCTGGACAAAATAAAAATCAAAACATTAGCCACACACACACACAAAAACAAAAAACAAAACATAAGACACAAACTATAACTTTCAAGGAAAGAAAATCTTAAATACAAAGTAAATGTCAGTTACTTTCAAATTATCTGCTTCTTTGTTTCTCATCTGTCTGTCTCTCTCTTCTTGATTTTCTAGGAAGAAACATTAATTTCTGATCTTAAATAGTTCTTGGCTAGTACTAAAGGACAATAATGAACCAGCCAAATCACAACTCTTGGTCACTTCATAGAATGAGAAGATGTACATAAATGCAGTCTAGAACAAAAGAAGGAAGCTTTGTTGTGTTAAATATATCAGGATATGCTGAAACATAGGGTTATATTTACATGAATTTTTAAAATAGTTCAGACATTTTTATGTTTGCTGTTATCTCTTTAAGCTTGCTTTCTGTATTCCCAAGAGACATTTGTGTACTCTCTTCTGCCATCAGGAGTCTTTCGCTGTGAAAGTCTAAGAATTACTGAAACAGTCAGAAAATAAAAAACCAACAACCCTAAACCTGAGCTCATGGGTTCGAGTCCCAGATCCATCCCCTTACATGTTAACTGTGTGACCTTGGCCAGGTCATTTACCTCTCATTTCCACACCTGCAGACTGAGACCACACCATTTGTGATTTTATGTAGCTCTTAAACTATAAACTCCTATTCAAATATAAGGTATAAGTGATATTTTATTTATGATATAAGTGGTTCAATCTCCCACTAATGATATAGAAGCCCTGGAAAAAAACATAAACTTATACTTCAAAAAGTATGACCTCTCTCCCTGTTAAATTTTCCTTCCTTCTATGGCATTAAAAGAGATATGGCATTAGTGAAGCAACACATAGTTTTCTGCAGCGTCACAATGGAAAAGGCTGAGAGTGAGTTATTGGGAGCTGAAGTTATAAGGAGATAGAATAGAGAATATAGACTATACTTAATCCCTTGAGAAGAAGCAACAATGGTCCTAGGAATTAAGAGAGGGTTGGATTCCTTCCTGATTGTTGTTGGAGAGGCCAAGACAGGGACGTAACAAGCTGGTCCTCCACAGCTGTGCTTCTTTGGCAACCTAAAGATGTTTCTGGCTCACAGTCCTGGCCAAACTGTGAAAAATGGAGCTGTCCACCAAAAAGTAGGAAATCTGCAATGGAAATAAGTAATGGACCTGGATGCCAAATTCAAAGATCACCGGATACAATGCAAAAACACCTAGTATTTCAGGATAGTAATTCTTCTACTTTATTTATGCATTCTTGACATATCCAAATACGTGAGTAAAAAGTAGAATTAACTGTCAGAAAAGAAGTACATTTTCAAATGCTCTCAGCCAGGGTTTAGTGGTTTCCAGGGGCTTTCTTTTCCTCCCAATAGGAATAGCACGCTGTTGGCCCCAGTGAAGTTGTTGTTTGTACAAAAACTTTTTCAAGAGTTCATGAAACAGAGTTGGTCAAACTAGCTCTCAAGATAAGGACCCTGCAAATGTTTATAAACATATGATCTGCATTACAGTTAGTCTTGGACAAAATGATCTCTATCAGATTTTGTCTCAAGTTTTTCCAACTCTTGACATTTGAATATTCTCTTTGCTCCAAATAAATTAATGTGCTAATAACAGCTTTTTGAAATAGAGTCAACAACAGAGATTATAGATGAACATTTATCTACTGTTATCATAACACTAGTACAATTTTAATAAAAAGGCTGGAAATAATATCCATTTAAATTAAATCAAGAAAAAAATAAGTTTACTTTTTCTGAGAAAGCAAACTGATAGTTTTTCTCTTTGATTTCCTTGCACTTTAGAACGAAGGGCAGCTATTAAACCTTTAAATAAACCTTTAAAATAAGCTATACTATATAGCAATATTTGGTTTAGACTTTAATGAGCCATTTTTGTTATTTTATAGGCACTTGAGGATGCTAATGCTTCCTGAGTCATAGACTCTTCTAGCACAGCCTTTCTGGGAATGCACATGCATTGTCAGACACCGTGGAAGAGTAGATGAACTGGGTTCCCGTATTGTCATTGATACCAATAAGCTCTGTGGTCCGCAACCTCTCTTGATCTTGATTTTCTTCGTTATAAAACTAAAGCACTCAGTGGGATCCATGTTTCTAATTTTTTGTTGTTCAGCCTTTAAATAACATTTGGAGCGCATCTGATTACATTAACTCATCCCCAGAATCTGTGGCCCATTAGTGGCAACCTCTGAACAACAGATTCTTTAAGGATCTCACTAAGCCTAAGACTGTATTATTCTAGTGTTAGAGCAAAGAGGGGGAATGGGAAGGAAAGACACAAGTACTACTTACTTTTCAAATACACGTCTGATAATCAGCAAGAGAAAAGCATATGGAATTGTCACGTATAAATGAGAAGGTTTTACAAAGACGAGTCCATCGTGATCCTCAAGATCTGACCACTTTATTGTTGGAGGAAGCCAGAATCTTTCCAACCAGAACCATTCTTTAAACGTCCAAAACATTCTAGAGAAATGGAAACAGACATTAGGCTTGTAAAACAAACACGTAACTTTAGGATAACATTGATCACCTTGGCTCAAAATGCCAGATCCAGAGAGCTTAGAAAATAAGGCAAGAGGCCTAGCGCAGTGGCTCACACCTGCAATATCAGCACTTTGGGAGACCAAGGCGGGCGGATCATGAGGTCAAGAGATCAAGTCCATCCTGGCCAACATGGTGAAATCCCATCTCTACTAAAAATACAAAAATTGGTCAGGTGTGGTGGTGCACACCTGTAGTCCCAGCAACTTGGGAGGCTGTGGCAGGAGAATAGCTTGATCCCAGGAGGCGGAGTTTGCAGTGAGCCAAGATCACGCCACTGTACTCCAGCCTGGCGACAGAGCAAGACTCCACCTCAAAAAAAGAAAAAAAAAAAAAAAAAAAGAAAGAAAGAAAGAAAGAAAATAAGGCAAGAATGGAATACTATTATTTAATGGATTATATGATCCTTCATTGCATTAAACAGGAATTACTCTTCCATACCCTCAGGACAATTTTGTTTATGGAAAAACTCAAGTTTAACACATCACTATTCACACTTTTGGCAAAACATATGTGAATATTATGCACGTGTATTTTCTTTGTGTATGATTCTATGGTATAAAAAAATAACAATAGGCTTTACAACTTTAACATGCCAAAAGTCAATGTCCTGAAGGCTCCAGGTAGGTACAAATCATCACTAGTACCCTAAAAAATTCCCCAGGAAATAAGGGGCAGGCACGTTTCACTTCATATTACAAGGAGATCAAATTAGTCTATGTAAAGGAATATTTATTAAGATTCTGTTATTTGTGAAGAGCCGTGCTGAGCACTGAGGATAAAACAATTAATAAGACAGGCTTCCTGCCTTGAGGACATAATAGTCTCGTAAGCAAGGCAGGCCTGAACTCATGACTTCAACACATTTTTTTTTTTAGGTATGCTAAAAAACGTATACAGGTTGCTGTGGGAACAAGATGATGGGCACTGAGCCCAACCAGGAAATATCAGGGAAAGGTAACTGGAAGAAAAAGTCCTTGAGATATCTTGAACAATAAGTGGACATAAGCCAGGAAAGGCAGGAAAATGGGGAAGAAGGAATACAAGTTCTAAGCAGACAAAGTATTCAGACTACAATCAAGTAACCAGAGCATAGAATAATGTAAATTAGATGTTTTAATATCATTGTTTAGGCTGTGATCATTTTGGACTTGGGATTTTGACTTGAGGATGCATGAATTTCATCTTTTAATGTTTAATCAGAAAAAGGAATCAAAATGTCCTCAGATTCACAACAAGGTTGTCAAAATCACTCTGTCAAAACCTCTTAATCGGGAAATAACAAGGCGCACATAGAAAACTACCAGTGGGTTGGTACTACCACAGTGAATGAATCCAAGGTGTGGAATGGTAGGTTACAAATAAGTGCCCAGGCACTGCAGTGGATTGCCCTGGCATAATCAGTAACAGCTCTTCCTTCCTTTCAGAAGTATTCTGAAAGGAATACTTTGGACAATAAATCATATGATCACCCTCATTAAAATGCTGGTGGGACAAGCAGGCTAGGCCTTAGAGCGTTTGCTTGCATTCCATGCTAAGGAGTTTGGCATTTAGCTGATAGGACCCACTGAAGGGTATTATGAAGAGGAATGAGATGGTCAGCTATTTTAGAAAGGTCAATTTGGTAGCCAGCTCCTCTGTGAGCCCATAGGGTGTCTTTGTGCTGATTAGAGGAAGGTATTCTCTCTAGGCAGACACAGCTCTACCAAGCCCAAAATGATCAGTGGAATGAGGACTGGATTTCAAGCCCCCTCCCCACTTTGCTTCACCCGGGCACATGCCTGGCAGCTCTTCTGGCAGTGGTGTGAAGCATGCCTCAGGAGATGGAGAAACTAGAGGACAATCAGCTCACAGCAATAGATGCAGTCAGCAGAGAGAAGGTTTGGCCAGAGCAGTGGGGACCAGAGGGAATAACGCCATCTGTGGGATGCAAATCGGGTAGAGGATAAAGTGAGCCCCAGAGAGAAGTGAGATTGATGGGGAAGAAAGAAAACTCAAGGGAGTGAAGGTCAAAGACATGTGTGTTGGGAGTGAGGCCCGAGGGTAATGGGAAGACTAGATCAGAGGGTAGGATACAAGAGGGGAATACTGAAGTGACAGATTTCTGACTTCAGATGAGAAAGAATTCCACAGTGTGGACCCCAATGTCCTTCAGAAAGATCCACACCAAAACCAAGAATTGAACCCTGGTGAGATAATTCCGTACCTCATCTCACTTCTTACCCACCATTCGGAGAAGTGCTAACCCAGTCGCCTCCACACCTGCAAGGCTGTGCCCCTGGAGAAAGGCTGCCTTTTCCTTGGACTATTCTTTTTTTTTTTTTTTTTTTTTGAGATGGAGTTTCGCTCCTGTTGCCCAGGCTGGAGTGCAATGGCGTGATCTCGGCTCACTGAAACCTCTGCCTTCTGGGTTCAAGCAATTCTCCTGCCTCAGCCTCCCAAGTAGCTGGGATTACAGACATATGCCACCATGGCCAGCTAATTTCGTATTTTTAGTAGAGACAGGGTTTCTCCATGTTGGTCAGTCTGGTCTTGAACTCCCAACCTCAGGTGATCCGCCCGCCTCAGCCTCCCAAAGTGCTGGGATGACAGGCATAAGCACTGCGCCCAGCCTCAATGGACTATTCTTTTATTAGAATTTCTACCCTGAGAGGGAGGAGTGAATCCTATTTATACCATTGCGAAGTTGTGTAAATATGGTGGAACAAAGATAATCAACAAAGACTTAGTGATACTTCCTCTTGATTAGGCTTCGGGGACACAGAAAGGACAGGGGTGAAGGGGTGACCACGGACTGCAGACTTGATCTGGGTACAAAGGTGCAGTAAGAGCTGTTGACAGAGCTGTTAGGAAGGAAGAATTGATCAACTTTCATGGTTAGTTTGGTAAAATAAGTGAGGACTCAAGCTTGGTTGCCTGAACCATCTGACATAACTGACCAAAAGGGGAATTTAGAGAAATCTATTTTGAAGTACTTGCCCAGAACATCTCAGAACAAGAGCATACACAAGCCTTTGAGTCAAACTCCAGCAAAAGTTCAAACTTCCTACAGACTTGAGAAACCAGTCGAGGCCACAGAGGCTCTCTGTAATGGACAAAGCTTGTGCCAGGTCTGTGTTCCTCAACTGCATCACAACTAGATACTCCTGCAAGGGCAAAGATATTTTTTTCCTAGAAGTTTGCCTCAGCATGTTCCTTACTTTATTGGTTCCAAATTTAATAGATAAGGACTCAGGGAACACATAGCAATGACACTGAGTTAGGTTTCCCCCCCAATATTATTATAATCACTGTTATACAAAATAGCTTGCTCACCTGTAAAACACAACTCAAGGCAGTACAGATTATTTTGTATCATGTGAAATATAACGAATCAAATAGTTTATCATGGTTATGTAGGGGTTACCACTCTAAACAATTCCTTGTGCATTACATGTAAGCAATGGATTAAGATCTGTTGAAAGCCATAGAAACTTTAATACTCAACAGCCAAAAATTTTAGGGAAGATGGAAAGAACTCAAGAGTTGAGGATGACCTCTTGGAAAATGTAGTCCAAACTGAGAAAGACAATAAATCTACATTCTTCACTCTTTCTTCATGTACTGCCACCAAACATCAATTATTGCAGCTTCAGAAGTATTAAGAACCCATTCTTCACATCATACTCAAAAATGAAAACAAAGCACAGATCTAAATATAATGGCTAAAATTGTAAAACTCTTAGAAGAAAATATAGGAGTAAATCTTTGTGACCTCGAGTTAGGCAAAGCCTTGTTATATATCAAAAGCACAAGCAGGCTGGGTGTGATGGCTCACACCTATACATCCAGGACCCTGGGATGCTGGGGTGGGCGGATCGCCTGAGCCCAGGAATTCAAGACCAGCTTGGACAACATAGTGAGATCCCATCTCTACAAAAAATACAAGAATTAGCTAGGCATGGGGCATGGTGGCATGCGCCTGTAATCTCAGTTACTCAGGATACTGAGGTGGGAGGATTGCTTGAGCCCAGAGGCAGAGGTTTCAGTGAGCCAAAATGGGGCCACTGCACTCCAGCCTGAGTGACAGAATTTGGTAGCCAGCTCCTCTGTGAGCCTATGGGGTGTCTTTGTGAGCCATCGGGTCTGAGAGACCCTGTTTCAAAACAAACAAACAAACAAACAATCAACAACCAAAAAGCACAAACAACAAAAGAAAGAATAGACAAATGGATACCATCAATGATGACCCACAGAATGGAAAAAAATACTTGAAGGTCATATATCTGAGAAGGGACTTGTGGTTAGAATATGTAAAGGACACTGACAACTCAATGAAAAAAAATGACGAATAATCCAGTTTAAAAATGAGCAAAGGATCTGAATAGACATTTTATCAAAGACAATATAGAAATGGCCAATAAGCACATGAAAAGATGCTCTGCCTCAGCCATGAGAGAAATGGAAGTCACACCCATACCCAGAGAGGCCCTTCACACCCATAGCTGCCATCCAACAGATCACAAGTGCTGACGGGGTGTGAAGAAATCGGGACCCCCCCGCCGCCCCACACACACACACACCAGACATTGTTGATGGGAATGTGACAAGGTGCCACTGCCATGGAAAACAGGCTGTTGGTTTCTCAAATGGTTAAATACACAGTTCCCATAAGACTTTGTAATTCTACTCCTAGGCATGTACTGAAGAAAATAGAAAAGATTCATGCTCAGTATGGATGACTCTTGAAAAGATGATGCTAAGTGGCCAGACACAGAAGGCCACATATTGTATGATTCCATTTACGTGAAATGTCCAGAGATATAAATTAGGTTAGTAGCTCCTCAGTGAGGTAAAGCAGAAGTGGGGACAGACGAGGGAAAATGAGAAATGGCTTCTGATGGGTACAGGGTTTCTTTTTAAGGTGGTGAAAATGTTTAACATTTGAATGTGGTGTTGGTTGCACAATTCTGTAAATATACTAAAAAATATTGCATTTTGCACACGTTAAATGGGTGAATTGCATGGTATGTAAATTATACCTCCAAAAAAATAAAAAAGTTAAGAAGCCTCCTTCTCAGCTTCATCAACTTTTAACCTTTACACCTTTTAATCTATGGCTTATCCTGAATTTCATGCTGCAGCTGCCTGTTCTTCATTTATGGTGCTTAAGTTTTACCTCCCAAATTCTCCTGAGTCAAGCTTGCATCCACGAACCCCGAAAAATAAATAAAAGAAATAAAGACTATAACCAGGTTCAGAGTTCAGCATGACTTTAAATTTTATGACTTTATGGAAGAAAAAAACAGTATGCTTTAAAAAGCAAAATTGAACTCTCCTGAAGAAGTGTCTCTCCCAGATGATGGCCCCTTGAAGATAAGGGTGGTCATAGACTCCATAAGCCAATATTTCAGCTCTAGGCATGGGCTTTAATGGTCCAGGCTACCCCTCCAGCCAGCCTCATCTTTTCTCAAGATGAGATCAGAGGCTAAACACACAAAGGAAGTGAAGACTGTGACAGTCACTCTTCTCTAATCCTCTCTGCTACTTCAGACTGTTAGCAACAAACAAGTGACATTCTCATGGCCTCACCATGGCTGCTCTCAGGCCACAGCCTGTGATAATCCACAGCCAGAACCTCTGGGATCTTTCAGAGTCACATTTACCTGATCCTAGTGTACTGGACATGTCATTTTGGACATGCCACCAGCTCAGCATCCAGCCCACATAGTAGTCAGTGAAAATTGCCACCAGGTGTGAAGTTGGTACGATGCCTTTCCCATTGTGAATGCCAAAGGGGGCCATTCTCCATCTGCTGGCATTGGCCTGACCTTAGATCTGGTCATTCAGATGCTTTTGTTGGGATTGAATCTGGAGCAGACAATGCTATCCAGCAGCAGCAGCAGATGGCATCCTGCCGAGGCAGCGGCGGCCGTGACTGCTGCTGAGGAAAAGATAGTCGCGGTCTCTCAGCTTCTTGGCTTTCCTGATTGCCTTGGTTTCCACTGTCATCCAAGTCTAGTCCATCAGCCTTCCTTCAATGATGTGAGTTGCCTCCAATGAAGTATTTTATTTAAGGTACTAAGAAAGAGGTAGATTCTATTGCCTACAACCAAGAACCCCAACTTATACATCCAGCATCTTCCACACCCTCCTTTAGAGAAACTGATGACTCCAATTTGGTTGTCTGAACCGTAAGTGTAGCAGAGGTACCTGTTTTTAGGATTTATAACTGAGAAGTACACAGCCTGCAGCATTTGTCAGTTTCTCCCCGTTTAGCCTCTGACCTCATCTTGCTGACAGTGGGCACTCATTTGCTCATTTGTCTCTTTTTCTTCTTTCTCTCCCATTTTTGCCCCTGTTCTTCCTGTTGGAAATGTGATAATGACACTCTTAGTTACTGCTTAAGGTGGTTTTTTTCCGTGTAAAGGAGGCTGCTGGCTTCCCTGAATAGCCTTAAAAAGATGCTTGGTAGATGAAAAAAAACATATCACCTATACTGTCAGTAGAACAATACTTTTGTGCTGGGTTAACTGTGTAAGCATCGCAATACTTCAACAATACTCAGATGGAAAGGACAGTTACAAAACATCGAGATGGAGAGATACCTGTGTTTTTAAAACCCCACATGTCACTGCTGTGAAAAATTCTTGAGCCTTCACAGCAATGATTCTGTCCTTTAAGGACCTTGATTTTGACTCACTCACTTTTCGGTCAGTCTCAGGAGCCCACTGATGCCCACATTAAGTTCTTAGTTCATGTCCCATCTTTAGTCATTTGACCCAATTCTAGCAATTTCTGGCAATTTAAAAATAAACTCTGTTAACAGCTCCTCAGTATCTCTGCTTGGAATTCTCTTGGAAGCAAATGTACTTATTTACCCCCGGGTCATTCTCAGTTCCTTTTTCTCTCTTCAGCTACTCAAGGCCCCTTTTTCTCATCCTGTGTGCATTCTCTAAGTTCTGCAATTTTTACTCATGTAAAAATATCAGAAGAAATTGTGATTTTATTTACATAAAAAAATCTGAGGCTATTTTTTAAAATATGAAATATTTGCAAGAAAAATGCCTGCGTTTATTTCTTTGTACTTTGGGGGAAGCAATAGTAACGGATGAGGCATCTCAGCCCCAGCTGTGTTTTTTGCTAATACTATGGAATTCTTAAGCCCTATTTTTGACTTCAGCTGCCAAAAGTTTCCAAGAAGACAATGTAGCTAATGTAGGGGGTTCACGGTCATTCTTTTCTAACCTCGTGGGTATAGAACCCAATGTGTAAATGAAGCCTGTTGAGCTACTTCCTCAGATGGACGCCATTCCATTCGAACTTAGGATGGAAGGAATAAAACCAGTTGGGCCACAAGTTTATCACTATTTGAAGCAACATTTTTGTAAAGTATTAAAAAATATGACAGTCTAACTTTTGCTGATGTAAGAACTCCAATCCAAGCTGAGGCTTTGGACAACATCTGGTAATTATTCATCCAATTCATACTGTAAATTCCATACCAGTTTAGAAGATATTGCTACAGAACATATCTCTCAGATAGAGGAGAGCAACAAGAAACTATCTCTACAGAACAGAAGGTTTCTCTCAGACAGACAGCAGGAACAAGAAATGGCAAGGTGGGCAAACAAGTCAAACTGAAGTAAAGGTATTTTTCTGACTGACAAAGTGCAAGGATGCGCTTGAGTTCACATTCGCGATCTCTGAACATTATTATGGTTGGAGGATATGAGTTGGCAAGAGCTTTTGAAGGTCAGGTGACCAGCTAGGTTATAGGTGACCGGCATTCTCTGGTGAAGGGAAAGTCAGCTCTGTAACAAAAGGACCTTCTCTGTCTTGCTCGCTATTGCCTACTCAGAGCTGGCCACACAGTAGACACCAAATGAATATTTATTGAATGAATGGATGTAAAGCTTACTGGGGCTAGAATGCATTTTTGAACACTCAAAGAGTGATGCTTCAGCCAATAATAAAATCTGATTTAATTATCTAAAAACAACTTCATTTTTATTAGTTGTCAAACAATTCTTAAAATTTGGTTAAAGGGTCGGGTAAACATGTTTATCTACATTAGTCTGTTTGTGCTTTCTTTGGAACCAGCTCTACAAACCCAGCCAAAAAAAAAAAAATAGTATGTCTTTAAGATAAAACACAAAGGAAAACATTAGCAGCTACGCACCTCCTGTGCACAGTGTTAAGACCAAGCCCATGGTAAATTCCAATTCTAAATGCATTTAAAATTGTACCATTTCACATGAAGAAGACAATGCAAATGATAGAACAACTTAACCTTGAAGGATATTTACTGTTTCTAAGTTAGTGCATTAACAAAACTATGAATGCCTTAGGCTATAACTGTAAAAAAACTGAAGAGAGAGAAAAAAAAGAAAAATATCCTATACTGTAATGAAGAGGAGCAATTAACTTACTACAAGACAAAAAATAATTTTAAGGAATTCTCCTATACAAAATTTAACAATTATATTAATTTAAAGCCTGGAAGAAATTCATAATAGAGTTTCAAAAAAAAAGAAAAATTCAGAATATTTGTGACAAAAATATGGTATCACTTCAAAGATGTCATTAAGTGATATCAGGATGCTCCCAAGTATCCATTTATTCTTTTTAGTTACACACCCCCAGCCTCCACCCCAGTTACACCTGGTATGTGGCTGCCCGCTCCATGAGGCAGCATTCTCCAGCCTCCCCAGATGTGGCATGTGTGACTATGCCTGGGTCAATGACATAGGGGTGGAATTGATTTGCATAATCTCCCTAAAGACCAAGCTGCATGTCCTGGTTTCTCTCTGCCTTCCTGATAGCTGGAGATGTGGCTGACAGGACAGGAGCGATTTTTAAAGCCAATTAACTCATTAGCCCTGGGCCATTCATGTCTGTACTGTTACATGCAAGAGAAATGAATTTCTATCTTAGTCATTGAATTTTGAGTTCTATTTGTTACAACAGGTGAGACTGTGACTCTAATAATACAGAGAAAATAATGGAAAAGATAAGTAAACAAGAGCTATGGTTTGTATTATTTCCAGGTAGACTGTAAAACATGGAGACTTCTGCTCATCAAAAGATACCATTAAGGTCGGGCACGGTAACTCACGCCTCTAATCCCAGCACTTTGGGAGGCTGAGTTGAGTGGATCATCTGAGGTCAGGAGTTTGAGGACCAGGCTGACCAACATGGTGAAACTGCATCTCCACTAAAAATACAAAAATTACCCGGGCGTGGTGGAAGGTGCCTGTAATCCCAGCTACTTGGGAGGCTGAGGCAGGAGAATTTCTTGAACCCTGGAGGCGGAGGTTGTAGTGAGCCAAGATTACACCAATGCACTCCAGGCTGCGTGACAGAGCAAGACTCCATCTCAAAGAACAAAAAAAGAAACATTAAGAGAATAAAAAAGCCACACTACAGACTGGGAGAAAATATCTGCAACACAAAGAACTTTTATCTAGAATATATAAAGAACTTCTATAACTCAATTTAAAAAAATAATCCAGGGACTTTTTCCATCATAAGTCCATTGGGAGCCTGGGTTTCCATTAACAGTCTGTTACATGCCCTAGAGAGGAGCATCATAAGTCCATTGGGAGCCTGGGTTTCCATTAACAGTCTGTTACATGCCCTGGAGAGGAGCATCGTAAGTCCATTGGGAGCCTGGGCTTCCATTAATGCTCTGTTACATGCCCTAGAGAGGAGCATCGTAAGTCCATTGGGAGCCTGGGTTTCCATTAATGTTCTGTTACATGCCCTGGAGAGGAGCATCGTAAGTCCACTGGGAGCCTGATTTCCATTAATGTTCTGTTACATGCCCTGGAGAGGAGCATCGTAAGTCCACTGGGAGCCTGGTTTCCATTAATGTTCTGTTACATGCCCTGGAGAGGAGCATCATAAGTCCACTGGGAGCCTGGGCTTCCATTAATGTTCTGTTACATGCCCTAGAGAGGAGCATCATAAGTCCATTGGGAGCCTGGGCTTCCATTAATGTTCTGTTACATGCCCTAGAGAGGAGCATCGTAAGTCCACTGGGAGCCTGGGCTTCCATTAATGTTCTGTTACATGCCCTGGAGAGGAGCATCGTAAGTCCATTGGGAGCCTGGGTTTCCATTAATGCTCTGTTACATGCCCTAGAGAGGAGCATCGTAAGTCCACTGGGAGCCTGGGTTTCCATTAATGCTCTGTTACATGCCCTGGAGAGGAGCATCATGAGTCTTTGCTCTTCTTACAGGGCTTCTTTCTTGAAGCTTGGGCCAGTTGTCAAGTTAATGCCTCTCAACTCCAAATTCATCCTTTTTGCCTGCTTGGGGAAAATGGATCCAATCCCTTTACATATTTTCCCTTTGCCAGCTGGTCAGGAAGCTTTGTCAGAAGAGGGTCATGTAGCAACATGGTGGGAGGAAAGGGTTTTGCTTTTGAGATCTGGGGCACACAGTGAAGGGCTCCAGCAACCCCCAGCTGCCAGCAGATTTCAGCACCTCCCTTGGGGGTGTTGTGGCAGCGTGCCTCCAGGGAGATACCTGCTAATGAGCAGCTCTCCCAGAACCCTACAGGGCAGATTTATGGCAAGTTCCAGAGGGCTGGTTTCCAGCAAGTTCCGCTGGTACCATAAAGACTCCTTTCAAGAGGGTCTGCATGTCAGCCTGTGGGGAGCCTCTTCCTTGGGTGCTCAATATCCCAGAGGTGTGACTGCTTCTTATACCTGCTAGTCCTATATTCGTCAGAGTTGTTACTAGCCAATCTCCCATTACTCTAATCCTGACTGGATGCAGTGTGCCTTGATGGAAAAGTCCAACCATCTTTATGTGCTTTACTCTAATACTAGATATCAAAGGCTGAGGGTATTCTGAGCAAGTCAAAAAAGGCCTCGGAAGTCCAAATGAGAAGGGAGAGCCCCCTCATTTTCCCTCCTAACACTGTTGGTAGAGTTTGCTTTACTTTATTGTGCTTATAAATTAGGTGATGACTTGAGGTTTCAGGAAGATGTGATTCTGCCCTTTTGCTCCCACTGATTCCAAAATTTAATGTCTCCATGAGCCAGCTGTCACTTTCCACTAGGGCAATACTTTCTCACTGTTACTAAACATAATTGGGATATTTTCCTAGCAAAACTAATAAACCTCAAAAATGCCAATTAGACATTTGGCATCTGAAAGGGTCAAGTTCCCTTTCGAGCCAGAGCTCTCCCCTCATGGTCTTCCCTTCAAGATGTGTTTCTCTTGGCTCTGTAATAAAACTCCACAATATACTGTGATCTAGGTTGCCATCTATCAGCCCCTTCCTAACCTAAATCTTGACCCAATGAATTAATTCTTAGAAATGCTCCAGGCGGCTACTGCTGTCTCCTGTTGTATGCAGAAGAAACTCCACTTGGGGAAGGTTGTGTCAGAGGCTTTTTCTCCAAAATGAGTCCACCTCTGTCTGGAGGCAGCTCCCTGTCTTCCCTCTCCCTGCACTCTCCTGTAACTGAGATGCTTGCAGGAGGGCCCGGGGCGGTTGGACCCCTGCCTACTTTTCCAGTTCTTCTGTGCCCCTCTTCCCCTCAGTCTGTGATACTGCAACTGTGAGGGGTCTGCTTTCTAATCTTTGAAAGCAAAAGGCAAAGTTCTTGTTTTCTTTTCTTTTTTTTTTTTTTTGAGATAAGATCTTGCTCTGTCACCCAGGCTGGAGTTTAGTGGCATGATCATGGCTCACTGAAGCCTTGACTTTCTGGGTTCAAGCAATCCTCCCACCTCAGCCTCCTAAGTAGCTGGGACCACAGGCATGCACTACCACACCCAGCTAGTTTTTCATTTTTAGTAGTGATGAGGTCTTACTATATTGCCCAGGCTGGTCTCAAACTCCTGGGCTCAAGCAATCCTTCCACCTCAGCTTTCCAAAGTGCTGGAATTACTGTCAAAGTTCTTTTTTTAGCCTTGTGGCATGTGCATAGGCCATTCCTTCTGCCTAGAATGCTCTGCTCACCCCTTCACCTCAAGTCTCCATTTAAGCATCTATAAGATCCTCATCTAGTCTTTCCAGAGCCCCAGATCCCCCAAGGTTCCATAACCTGGCATACAGTAAGTGTACAAATAGTAAGTGCTCAATACATATACCACAGCGGTCAAGCACATGGACTTTGGAGCCAGGCTCCTCAGGTCTAAAGCCTAGTTTTGACACTTAACTAGCCATGTGCCCATGGACAACTAGCATGACCTCAGTTTCCCCATCTACAAGATGGAGTTGATCATTGTACCTCCCTGCAGGGTTGTTAGAATGAGTAAGTGGGTAAATGCTTGTAAATCGCTTTATTTCATGTCTGTTAAATGATAAATTGGAGTCAAACTATTAAATACCATGAAATTGCCCTTCTAAGGAAGGGAACTAAATAAACTTCCAGGTCCTAAAATTCTTTAATTGACACTTATTAAGTTAGAAGAAGTTATTTAAAAATAATATTCAGTGCTAACTACGATATAGTAAAACTACTACATGCATCTGTTACTGATGGCAACACAAATGATACTATCCTTTTGGAAACTAGATAATAAATTTTAGGAGTCACTAAAATGTTCAAGTGTACCTGGGAATATACATAAAACATAAAACTGGACACAATTTTTGAAAGCTACAGTTAATAAATAACACTTCAATGTTAGTAATATTAGTTTTTTAAAGACCAGAATGTTTAAGCACATTTGAAATATTAACTCCAGATAATAATATCCAGCTAATGTTAGAAATTATAAAATTTATCAACATGAGAAATCCTAATGACATATTAAAAAGTAAAATCCAAATTCAAAGTTACATCATACTATGATTATATGATAAATATGATCTCATTATATGATACTATTTTATACATATCACATGTATGTGTGTGGGTATAAAAAAACTAGAAAGAAACATAAAAAATAATTGATATACTAACATGATAAGTTCTGGGTGGCTTAAACTTTTAAAATATTGTTATCACTGATTCAACATTAGGAAAACTTATCACTCTTTTCTTATTTGATTATTCAAATCAGTGAAAGCAAATTTTATTCTAAAAATCATGCAACATCTAGCCCAGCGCTATAGATATGAAGAAACTGAGTCCCAGGGAAATAAAATTGCTGTATCTGAGTAAACCCAGGAAAGCCAGTGTTTTTCCAATACACACCTAGCTTCCCCTGTCTAAATGGTAATTTGTTTCACATTAATATTTTTAAGAGGCTAATTTTTATAGTAAATGTTTCATATACAAAAGCTAATGGCTTGACACAGATAATATGTGGATTAAACTGATTTGAAGTAAGGCAAGTTTGTTACCTACATAAAAACTTATCACAGCCATTTTACTCACACAAACAGCTAACTATTGGAATCTTTTGGATTTTAACAATTTCAGAGAAAATACAAAGTGTACTCCCTTAGTCAGTAGGAAGACAGGCTCTTGAAATCTACCTGTAAAATGACTTTACAGTGTGGAGGTAATAAAGACACAATAGCACATGGCTTTCCAGGAGGCAGTGCTCACCAAAATGGAATTCTCCCAAGGCCCCTTCACCTTAATCCGCTTGGGCTTATCTTGGCCTGATCATTACCTTGACAGAGATTGCCAAAGGCCCACTCAGGACCCAGGGAGGTAAGTGAGGCAGGAAGTTGACTTAGAATAGTAATGTGGATAGAAATTTGCAGAAAAACAGGTATGACTGAAGTCAGAGGGGTGTAAAGCAAAGTCACAGAACAGATAGGTCTTAGAAGAATGTAAATCTTAGGGTTCAAAAAAAGGGGTCCAAGGTGATGGGGAGGAACACTATGAGATTGATAGTTCTGTTTTCAAAGGCAGAACTCCCCTCCCCACCTTTTGGTTGTTCACTTTAGGAATGTAAAATGTAAGCTGGTGGCTGGGTAAGTAGGCAATGGTGTTGCAAAACTGAGAAATGTTAATCCAAGGAGCATCTGTCAGCATTTCCTTTCCAATTGCTGATAAACATCTTGCTCCTCTTCACTGGCCATCTTCGCGAACTCTCCTCCCTCGCCTGGTGAGTCACACATCATTTCTCACAAATTACCCTGTTATTAGTGTCGGGCACAAGTGACTGGTCCAGGGCAGAGCAAAGGAGTTGGGAACCTGCTGCCAGTAAGTCACAAAGGGCCTAAGGTTAGTCACCTGGTTCTGTCTCAGTTTTCCCATTTGAGAGACTAAAGGATTGCCTTAGTGTCTGCAAAGACCTCCTGTGTGCCACTCAAGGGTGCTGCACTGGCTTCCCATCAACTCATCCGGTTAGAAAGGGGTGGGTAAGGCCATTATACAGATTGCAAGCTGGCAATTGATGGACACAATAAAAATAACAAACCAAAATGAGTGAATGCAGCACTTCATATACCACAAGCAGCTGTAAGTCTTGCCTAAAAACTTTCGAGAGAACAGTGGCTCTGCAGTCAGGAAACCCAGTTTAAGGGCCAGTCCTGTCACTTAATAGCTGAGTGATCTCAGGCAACTCAATATCTCTGAATCTTTGTTTACTGGCCTGTTAAATGGGGTTAATTCCACCTACCACAAAGACCTGTCGTGGGACTAAGGGAGATTAGGTATACAGACATACTTGAACACTGTAATGTGCTGGGTAAGCGTTATACAGTAACCTCATCTTATTATCGTCACCTACTGGGTACAGGAAAGAATCAGATGTCAGGCTGGTTTAAACAATAAAATTAAATACTAAGTTAAAAGATTCCCCAGAGAGAGAAATGGGAGAACCTCCTGTGGCTTCATAGCCTCCTCCCCCATTGTGTTCTCATCTCTCTCACTACTGGATATAGATAACTGGTTTCACAGCTGTCTTTCAGTAAGGAAAGCCCACATAATGGGTACCAACTGTGCTAAGTAAAATACCCAGGGACAGGTCCTGGAGAGGCTGTGTTGCAATGTCAGGTGGTTCCAAGCTTTCCAAAGATGGGCCTCACCTGGGAGAATGCCCAGATCTCCCTCCCAACCTCAGCAAACAAGAGTAGGATTTCCAGGACAAGACATGTGAGAACCCAGGACCTAGCGACCTGCTAATAAAAGGAGTTTGGGAATCTGAATGCCACTTTCACCACTTTCCAACTACATGGCTTAGGGTAAGCGATGTTTTCTAAGCCCTGAATTCCTCACAGAGCCTGAAAGCTTAGAACTGTGGCTCTGGAGTCAGGAAGCCCAGTTTGAAGGTCAGTCCTGTCACTGAATAGCTAACGGATCTAGGACAAGTCAGTCTGTAAAAATAGACACAACATTTTATGTTTATTTTGTAAGTTCTAGATCAGGATTAAATAAAGTACATCATGTGTCTCAGTTACCTAATGTAATGCCTGGCACATGGCAAGTGCCCTATATACTGTTGGCATTGACACTGCAGTCACTATTTACATTTCCTCATTGATGGCACTGTGCCTCCAAGTGGTACGATGGCCAGCCAGCAGTCCCTCATTTCCTACAATACCCTGATCAGGGTTTAGGTCACTCTGACCAAGTGTTGGTGGGGGAGTGGCTTTTCTGAGGGATAGTGTCTTTTGCGGGGTGATTTCCTCAGTGACAGCAGGATTTCTTACCTCATGAAACTTGCTTGGGCAGTGCCACCAAAGGAATCATTTTATGAAAAAGAGTAGGACCTTGATCAAGAAGGAATTTGGAACATCTCTCTGTTGCCCACAGATAAAGAGGAAGCTGGGTCACTTTTAGGAAAGGATTTGGGGTTACTAAGGTACACTGATGAAGCAAGCTCCAAATTTTAATATTTTAAAATGTGTTTCTTATGTAATGTTTGCAGGCAGGGTTTCCTGTTGTACAGCCTACAGCCCCCGCAAGATAAAGCACCCCTTGGAAAAGAACAAGATGACAAAGATCCTAGTTCTTGGAGGAGGGTGGGGTGCAGTGGGTGTGAGCGTTTACAGGAGAGGCAGGGAAATGGTGCAGGAGTGCAGAAAAACATCCC
Organism: Homo sapiens; assembly: GCF_000001405.40. Taxonomy (NCBI): domain Eukaryota; kingdom Metazoa; phylum Chordata; class Mammalia; order Primates; family Hominidae; genus Homo; species Homo sapiens. Next base: position 100,517,864 of record NC_000015.10, read on the forward strand.
CAAATATAGTCTCAACTGCTTTCTTCTCAGACTCCGAAATCACAAGAAAAGTTAGAGCAATATCTCTGGCCAAGGGCCAATGGCATTGGGCTGGGGGATTAGGCACCTGTTGGAATAGTTACTGTTTTCTACCTTGAGCAAATGGGGATGGGTCATTCATCTCTCTGGCCAGGGCAGCTGCTCCCTCTGTCAGTGATCACCAGCCCTTGCTAACTACTCACCAAGAGAAAATAAATCGTAAGACCTCATACTGGAAAAAGGCTAGTCTTTTCTGTCTAGCCCTGTCTAATGCAAGAATCCTCTTAAAGAAAAAAATGTAAAACACCCCGATTTTAAATAGATAGGGGGTGACAGAGACAGAGAGATAGACAAAGACAAACACAGAATGACTGAGACAGAGAGAGGGACAAAGAGAAAGAGACAGAGAGAGACACACACAGAGAGTGAGAGAGAGAGACAGGGACACAGAGAGAGAGAAGGACAGAGAGAGAGAGAGCATGGCTCATACAGGATATCTGCGGTGCCTGGAACATTAGAGAATAAATTTCATTTATTCAATTTTTTTGATTAATGATTAAATCTATGACTGAATTTACAGATACTTCACTTGCAAAGATGTCTGGCAGAAAAAGTCTTGGGCATATTGTTTGAAAATGTAACATATTATTTAAAAATAAAAATTTCCAGACTTTTCAAATACACATTCTTTCAAAGGAGTATCCTTAAATTTCTGTCAATATGCATTTACACAATTTTCACGTCATCTCTCTGCCTATTAGTGAAAATCAGCTGGTGTGAATGTGAGACGATACTGTGCTAACATACACAGGATTTCCTAGCTCGACACCACACCAGGCACATTATCAGCTCCTTTTCCCTGGGGGATCAAACATGTGGCAATGTGATCTTCTGATTCTGCTCTATTGATCTTCATTTGGGGTCAATGTGTTCCTAAGCCTTCTTTTTAAAATGCTTTCTGTAAGACTTATTGGATATTTTATTTTAAAAAATTCCACCTGGCTGGGTGTGGTGGCTCATGCCTGTAATCCCAGCACTTTGGGAGGCCAAGGCAGGCAGATCACCAGGTCAGGAGTACGAGACCAGCCTGACCAACATGGTGAAACCGTCTCTACTAAAAATACAAAATTAGCTGGGCGTGGTGGTGCGCATCTGTGATCCCAGCTACTCAGGATGCTGAGGCAGGAGAATCGCTTGAACCCGGAAGGCGGAGGTTGCAGTGAGCTGAGATCGCGTCACTGTACTCCAGCCTGGGCGACAGAGAGAGACTCCATCTCAAAAAAAAAAAAAATCCGCCAAAAAATATACTTGGCCAAAGTGCTACTGTGAATCACACGTCCACATTTTGTGGAGGAGAACCCTGGAGATGAGACAGTGATTGAGGTGGACTTGGAGTTGAAGTGACCACTCTGACCCCCTTCACTCCCATCCCCACCTTCCAGCAGCAGCTCTGGGTGCTGTGTGAGGGGATTCAGAGTTCCTCGATGTTATTCATGTTCATGAAATTTAAATATAGATGTCTTTAGGTTGCTCTAAAGGAAAGAAATGTTCTGAAAAAAAAGTGAACGGAAGGGTCATATGATATTCAGCTTCAAATATACCAGCTACTCCCTGGAATATACATACGAAAGACACTAAACCTACATGGATTCTAAAAATATACCAAGAGACGCCACCCATCTGAGCCCCAGTGATGTCCTCTTGTTTGGGGAGAGGGAAAGCCTTGGATTGTTTCTCTTCCCTGCCCAGTGAAGCTGTTTCTCAGTAAATTGCTCTTCCTGCTAGTACACAAGGTTGGGAATGTTACTCATCTGCCATCTTATGAAATCCCAGCCACTCCAACCTTTGCCATGCTGCTAGGTCGATGTTTATGGAGCATGGAGGTGGAAGAAGAGCAATACTTAGATATTCCACAGCAATTCTGAAATTGCTCAGCCTTTGTCCCTCTGTCACACAACAGTCAAAGGTATGATTAAGTGCCAACTGTGTACCAGGACCCTGTGCTTGATCCTCAGGAGCAGCCCCACCCTTACATCTGGCTTTAATTTAAAAGAGCCCCCTTTGGCCCTCCTCTGGCCTCACTTCTCCCTTGGGTGAGGAGTCCATAGGTTCAAGGAGACATGTACACCCACATCCATGCCCCCTTTCCAGACTTGCTAGGTGATCAAGGATCCTAGAATTCCCTGCCTGAGCAGCTCTGAGCCCACTTCCAGGACCTGCATGGGCCCCTTTCTAGGTCTGTCCTCTTAAAAGTGACAGCACAGCATAATGCTAGGCCTGGAGAAGGCCCAAAGAAGACTTGGGGAGGGGAAGGCAGGGGACGTAGCATGCAGTGGCCACACACATGCACATCAGGCTCCTAGCAGAGCAGGACATAAGTGAGGCTGGGAGGAAAGACAGGGCCCAGCTGAGGGCTGGTGCCTCCATTTGTATTCTTGCCCTGTGTCCTGCAAATGTTAGGGGTAGGCCTGTCCACAGGGCCTTGGGATAGGTCTGAACCTCCAGAATTCCTGTGAATTCTGGAAGCCAAAGATCTGTTCGGGCTGTGTAGCCACCAGAGGGGCTGGTAGCATGACCAAGACAGAAGTCTTCATGTGACTCCTGAAGGCCCCGCTGAACTGCTCCTTCTCACAGCGAGCACTTTCTTTGTGAGCAGGAAGTATTTCTTCACTCTGTGGCTTATAATGCTTCCTCCTTCTCTTCCTCCCAGTAGGCTACCTCTTCACCACTGTCACCTTCACTAAAAAGCAGGCTGGGAAAATACATGTGTGATAAACTGCCTTTGCTGTTTAGCAAAACTTTTGGTAAGGTGTAGAAAATGACAGGCCCAAGGCAGAGTGTTGCCTTGGATGGGAGCCCCTTCTGCCTGAGCCCTCCACTGTCCCACTAGGAGTGGGCAGGGTGGGGAGGAGGGGAAGCTCTGTGTCAGCAAGCACAGCTGGTGCCGGGAGAGCATAGACCTGGGATCAGGCATCCAGCAGCATGAATATCCGGTTCTTGCAGGTCAAAACCGGGAATAATAATACCAGCTTTTCACAGACCGTTACAAAAAGTAAATAAGATGATTAAAATTATAACGAACAACTGTACATACCACAGCTTACAATGTTGCACCCACACTCATTGAATCCTTACAACAATAATAATTATGCATGCTTCCAATTTGCAGGTGAACAATGAAGTTTAGAGAGATAAAGTGACTGCTCAAGGTGATACAGAGCCAGACTCAAATTTAGGCATTAACGGTAAAAGTGCAACTCCTCCCCTCTACGTTACCTGACTTTGCCTTTCATCAAGTCAATATTTGCGAACATGCTTCATGAATGACTCTTCCTCGTACAAATGATGATTTTTTATCATTTGGGGTCATATTTTATGATTTTGAAGGAATGTGGTTTTGAAAGTTTCTCCTTACAGGTAAGACGCTGGAAGCTAGAGACCTGCCCAGCACAGCCAGCTCTTCCTTCCTTCCCATCAGAACAGCAGGTGTTATGGGGGTGGAAGACCAGAGCACAGACAGCAAATGCCACCCCCTGATGGCTCTTTGCTACCTGCTGCTGTCACATGAAGCTTTCTCCTGCATCTCCGCTTTCAAAAGGAAAGAATACAAATCTATAGTATTTCATAAAGAATAGCATGGTACTGGCTTTGCCCAAACTCCACTTGTCCCCAGAATATGCAAAACAATGCCAGATATCAACTTCTGAGTCACAGATGTTAATTTCCCAAGATTATAGTTAAGAAAACACAGTAGAGGTAAAATAAAATAAAATAAAGATAATTACCTGAGTATATATGATAGCTTTCTACTGAGGAACTCAAATACTGTATATATGTATATATATATAAATGTCAGCTTTTGTTTCACAACATCCCTAAAGAAGCAGAAAAAGAGAAACATAATTAATATATTACACAACTGTGCCCATAAGCGTCCTTCTATAATAGGTCTAAAACTTAAGTCAGAGTTTCAAACCAACGGGAGAGCTTGGTGCTGGCAAATTTGGGTCTACCAATCAGTTTGGACTGGTGCATGGGGCTTTAAAACAATTTGAGCCAACACTGAAAATTCAAGAATTTGCACATAGAAATCCAGATTTGCAGCTTCACTCAGAAACTCAGAAGACTGGCAAGAATCACTGGAGCCCTTAAATGGAACACACGCTTACCAACCTGGCCAACTGTTTTCAGGCACCTGACCGGCTTTCTAGGTCAGTTAACTTTGTGACTCCTTATGTTGCTAACATTTCTCAATATGAATTATGTCGTCAAGTCAGTGTAACTTGAACAGAGATAATAAGGGCCTAGCACAGCCTGGTGTAACAATTACAGTTTGTCATAGCACATGGGTTTTCAAAGGACCAGTTGTAAACCATTAGTGCACTGGTTCCCAACCCTGGTTCTACATGTGAATTCCTTGGGAGAGATTTTTTGACCATGCTTTCTACCTAACCAGATCAACTAAACCAAGATCTCTGAAGGTGCAGTCCTGGTATCAGTATTGTCACTGCTGTATTGTTACTGTAATATAATTATTGAAGTATAACATACAGATGGTAAAGAAACAAAGCACAAAAGAATATGACCAGCACCCCAGACTCTTCCTCATGCCTCTCCCTGTCACCACCATGGATCCGTGTTGCCTGTTCTTGAACTTTATGTAAATACGATTGTTTTGAGCACATTCCTGGCATCTGGATTCTTTCACTCAACTTTTAGAACTGAGATGCATCTATGTTGTTGCATGTAACAGTAGCAAACTCATTTTCGTTGACTTTTAATATTCCATCCCATGACTATATCACTATATCACGATCTGTGTTCCCATTCTGTTGTCGATGGAAATATGGGTTGTTTTGAGTTTGGGATTACAACACTTCAAGGTGCCATTTATGAACATTCTTGAACATTCTTGAACATGCTTTAGGTAAATACGTGAATGCATTTCTGTAGAACATATACCTGGGAGTGGAAACGCCAGGTCATAAGGCATATGTATATTCAGTTTAACAGATATTGCTGAACAGTTTTTCAAAGCTGTTGTGACTATTTACACTCCTCCCAGTGACGTATGAGAGTTCCAGTGGTTTAATATCCTTGCCAAAATTTCTATTGTCTGTCTTTTAAATTTTCACCTTTCTGGTGGGTGTGTAGTGGTACTTCATTGCAGTTTTAATCTGCATTCCCCAGAAAGCTAACAAGGTTGAGTATGTTTCAAGTCTCTTGGCTGTCTGAATATGTTTTTCTGTGAAGTACCTGTTCAAACCTCTTGCCCATTTTTCTGTTGTGGCGGTCTATCTTTCAAAATTGCCTTGTTTCTGTTTTGGATAGGACTCCTTGTTTGTTACATGCATAACAAGTCATGTTATATGCATGACTCCTTACATGTTATTTGCATGGCAAATGTCTCCTCTCCTGCAGTTTGTCTTTTACTCTTTTAGTGGTATGCTTTGAGAAACAGAAGTCCTTATTTTTAACATAACCAATTTACAGATCTTTTTCATCATGTTAGTACTTATTGTATCTTGTTTAAGAAATCGCCAAGTGTAGTGGCTCACACCTGTAATCCCAGCACTTTGGGAGGCTGAGGCAAGCAGATCACAAGGTCAGGAGATTGCGACCATCCTGGCTAACACGGTGAAACCCTGTCTCTACTAAAAATACAAAAAATTAGCCAGGCATGGTGGTGGGCGCCTGTAGTCCCAGCTCCTTGGGAGGCTGAGGCAGGAGAATGGCAGGAACCTAGGAGGCGGAGCTTGCAGTGAGCGGAGATTGCACCACTGCACTCCAGCATGGGCAACAGAGCAAGACTCCATCTCAAAAAAAAAAAAAAAAAAAAGAAATCACTGTCTACCCAAGGTCATACATATATTCTGTTTTGTCATCTAGAACAATGCTGTTCAGTAGGAAGAAAACTGGGAGTAACATATGTAATTTTAAATTTTCTAGTATTTCAGGTACTCAATAGCCACATGTGGCTAGCAGCTGCCATATTGGACAGTGAAGATCTAGAAGTTATATTGTTTTACCTGTCACATCTAGATTAATACTTAGAGCTGTATGAATTTTAAGATGAGAATCAAGACTCATTTATTTGTACATGGACATTCAAATGTCTGTCCTTTCCTGTAGTACCAATGTTGTCATAAATCAAAGGTCCAAATTTGTGGAGGTTTTTTTTCTAGCATCTTAGTCCATTCCATTGGTCTATTGTTCCCTAGTTGATTTTAATTTTCAGACAGTATTGAGAACCACTACCAGTAGGTCACAAAATTAATTAGTCGGTTATGACCAGAAATGTTGTAGAGTGTAATGAAATGAAATAGAAAACAATACCTATAAGTATTGTTTTATGAAACTATTATTTCAGAATTGTGTGTGTATATATGTCCTAAGTTGAGATCTGAAAAGTATTTCTTACTAACAGTAATGGTTAAAAACGTTTGAAAATCACTGCAATAGTGTAATCTACACAACAACCACTTAGGAAAATTCAAGTTGCATACGATTTTATAGTCATCATCTAGAAAAGCTCTGAAGTTTTACTCTTACACAATTAGTTATAGTCCAGAATTCCACATAAGGCGGATCTCTGTTGGAATCAAGCCAGGTAAAGCAAGTTACAGCTAATGGGATAGGAATAGCTCATTATGAAACCCTGTAACTTTGACCCAAAGTGGAATATAGTAATGATCCTCTGATGTGAACATTACAAATGAAAATTGCTAATCTGCAGAATTTGACATTTGTTCAGCATCAGCATGTTGTATGTTTTTAAAGTTTTTAATCATATGTCAAACAAGAAAACAAACTTTGAGGGGAAGAAATTGAAGCCAAGTTAGTTATTAAATGATGTCAAGTAATCTTCATTATTGAAGAAAATGTTTTCAGAATTTTTTGCTTAAATTTTGAAATGATTAGTTTATTGTTCAGCCTGTGTCAGGGTCAATCTAATCAACAAGTATTTATTGACTATCCAGTAAAATATGTCTGGCAAAGAAATCAAAATAAAACAAATAGACCTTATCCCAGCAGAGAATTAAATGGATTATCACATATGATTTTTCTTCACTAAGTACTTCATCTTAGAACCTGAATATAGTAAGTAAAAGTGGTTTCAAGCTCCTTAATGTAATATTTTACCTCTCCAAATAACCTAAATATATGCCTTACCTGTGAATTTTACACTTTTTCCATTAATGAGAAATGTATGCATCTTTTGGTTGTGTTTTCATATTATGCACATACACACATGTGTATGAATGTGAGTGTGTGTTTACCAATCCTGAGCAGACAGATTTGGGAATTTTGGTTAAATATCTTAGTTTCCTGGTATTTCCTAAATATTTAACTCAGAAAACAATAAAGAGGAAACTTTCCATTAGATTGAAACATATAATCCACCACCAGCACAAATCATCTCCACAGATTTTCCAGTGGGCAGGTAGGCCAAAAAAATAAATAACCAGAACCCTTTAATTTTATATTTAAGTAGCAGGAAGATACTCACAGATGAAGAAATTTTAAATTCTCATATTTGGGAAAGGTAAAATTTGTTTCATGGACATCCAAGCCAAATCTCCTTCTTATCAGAGCTATTTTCTATTTATTAATGGAAATTCTCAGCCTTGAAATTATGATAATAACAACCTTTGGAAGTGATCTAACTGAAGCCCATTTACAATTGAACATCTGTCCACCATCAACAGAAAGCCCTGTGGAGAATTGTGGCTGTTACAGTTTTGTTACAAGGTCAAAGATTCTTAATCTCTCCGTTCACTTGCCAATTGGGGTTTTTATACATAAGCCCTAATTTATTTATTTTAATTAGACTTTTAGCTTCATTTATGTTTTCATCATTGTAAATTCCAGCTACAAGGACAAATCTTAAGGCAGCACATACAGCATGGCTGTAAAATGATGGGCTTGATTGTTGCACAGGACTTAGGAAAGTAAGTCCCACTACTTTAGAATGCCTTCTTTCATACTGCCAACTGTCTGGTCTGTCTAGTGTTGGCACAAGGATTTTTTCAATCATCCTGGGTCCATCCAGTAAATAAAACCATAAACTCGGGCTGTATAAGATCAATTAGATCGTTGTATTGTGTGTTGAGGTGTTTCCAGGAGAAAGAAGAATCTACCTGCATCTGATTCCAGAGAGAGCTTCTCTGTGTTCCCCTCTGCTATCTCTCTGCTATGATCTGCAGTTTCTCTGGATTCAAACATAGAGATAGATTGCCAAAACACCATTCTTGATGCCAGCTGGCCTACTTGATGAACTTGACTGCAGGCTTTTTGCCAAAACATAAGTCAATCGTTTTTGTCCCAAATCCATCCTTATAAAGGTGTACACCTGCAGGTCAATCTTTGCATCGCATCCCATAAATTCGTGTTGGGGAGGGCTTGGAAAGTCCAAGCTTCTTGTGTGGATGGCTTGGGGCCCAAGATAAATGAACAGTTGCCACGATACACTCCGTGCTCTGTGAGCGGAGGGAGCTCCCTTGGAGCCAGCCCAGCACCCTCCTCCCATGAGCACTCTGCCAGCTCCTGGCAGTGCTTCTGCTGTGGTGTGGAGGCCAGGGAAAACCTACATAAACTGTGTGTGTGTGTGTGTGTGTGTGTGTGTGTGTGTAAAAACAACTTTCCTGGCCTACCACAACAAACTGACTTTTGAAAAAGAAGTATCTGATGTTCTTGCTTTTTGCTTGATTTTACTATGCTTTGGGGGACTTTTGGCATAGGACATTCATTACTTTAAGAGGCTGTTTGAAAGCTGGATCAGCTCCACAAAGAAAGATAATCACAAAGTGATTTCCCAAGAAAGTACACTAGGATATAAGGAACAAGTACCAGTGGAAAGGCAACTCCCTGAGGGCAGGGACTTGTCTGCTTTGTTCACTGGTGATACCCCCAATCCTAGAACAGGATCCAACATGTCAAGAGCATGAAGAAATCACTGCAAAATGGGGAAATGAATACTGTTTACCAAGGGCCTACCCTCTGTCAGGTCCTATGGAAGGCATTTGACATACCCTGCCTTTTTATGTCTTATAATAAACAACCTCGTTTGATGGATGTTATAATAATTATTTTATAAATAAGGAAACTGAGATTTGAAGAATTGCACTGAGGCCAGGTGTGGTGGGTTATGCCTGGAATCCTAGTACATTGGGAGGCTGAGGTGGGCAGATCACTTGAGGCCAGGAGATCGAGACTAGACTGACCAACATGGCGAAACCCCCATCTCTACTAAAACTACAAAAAAATTAGCTAGGTGTGGTGTCACATGCCTATACTCCCAGCTACTTGGGAGGCTGAGGCACGAGAATCGCTTGAACCCAGGAGGCAGAGGTTTCAGAGAGCCAAGATCATGCCACTGCACTGCAGCCTCAGTGACAGAGCAAGACTCCATCTCAAAAAAATAAAAAAGGAATTTCAGTGACTTGCCAGGGTCATAGTTAGTAAGCAGGATGCAGGAATTTGAATTTTGATCTGTCTTTCTAGTCAATGTTCTGTCCACCACACCAAGCCTTCCTCCAACAGCAGAAGCAGGTGATAGATTGATTGATTGATTTTGGCCTTTTGTTATAAGACACCAAATTCGAGTATTTGAATATTATCATAGCTTCAGGAATCCCTCCACACAAGGACCCTGTAGGGGGTTAATGGAATAGAATGGGAATATAGAATGAGCTGAAATCATATATCTTAGTGTGCAGAAATGCAATAAAGCTGTGGCTTTCTCACATCCCTACTGTACCACTGTAAATCTCACTAAGCCTCAATTCCTCGTCTGAAAGTGGCGTATCATGAGCCCTAAAGGGGAAAATGCACGTACACACAGCAAGGACTTAGTAAATGTAGATTATTATTAGCCCAGAATGATCTTCAAACTTATGTAAATCAATTTGATTGATATTTTAGAAAAAGGCAGAAATATTGTGAATGAGAGGGCCACATAATTATTACCTTTTTGAACATATACATATTTTCTCTTTAAAGAACTTTTTATCCAGAAATTCTACTGAAGAAATTATAAATGGAAACCCCTTTTAAGAAAAACAAAAGGCTTGTAGGGGGGAAGGCAATGAAAATGTGAAGTTTAAAGTCAAACACTCACTTAAGGTAGAGAAGGCACTTGAACATTGTGGGTTAATGAATAAATTAAAATTCATTATCTGGTCAGCCCTAAAGCTTTATTTCCCTTGTTTTGTGTAAAGGTTTCAAAAAAATAAAAATGCTTAACAGAACATTCTTGCTAAACATTTGCTTGGATCAGAAAAAGTAGTTTGATTTTGTTTCACTTTTCTGCATGAGACTGGCAGCCTTAGAACCGAACAGCTAATTTCTCCTGGCATGACATTGAGCACTACATCTCTCAAGACAGAAGCAGCTTAGGAAGGCCTGCCACTGTGGGGTGAGCAAGTCCCACCTTGTTCTCAGCTTAAGGCACTCTGGGATGGTCTGAAATGGCCTTTGCCACCTGGCAAAGATCTGTGCTGACCCCTTTCATTCCACCTGGATTCAGGGCTTTCCTGATAAACCAAGCTATGCTGAGCATTCAGCCGTGTGTGATTTCACTGCCCAGACCTTTCTTCCTAACCCTCAATGAATCAGTTTAAACTCGCCCGAGAGCAATGCAGGTCAGGAGTGGAAGTTTGGACTCGAAATTTACCCTCTACTACTAAACACTTCCAAGCAAAACTCTACAAAGCAAAGGGCCCCAAGTCTGTCTTTTCTGTATTTCTCCCAAACATCAGACCAAAAATGAACATTTCTTCATTTGTCCGCCTCTCCCCCAATCTCCATCTCCTCTCCCTCTCTGTTACGCACCCAGGCACACATACACACACAAGCTCACACGCGGAATCACGGCCACCTTGGTTTTGAAAGTCCTCAAATACTAACCACATCCATGGGATGGCGCCTACCTTTCTGAAATGTCAGTCCACAAAAGGTGCCCCTTGCTTGTGAAGTGTAGTCAGAGAGCAGCTTCCAACGTTCCAACCAGCTTCGTTCTCCTCAGAGAGCAGCACAACTCATCTCTGTGTAAGACCTGAAATTCCTTCAGAGACCCACCCTCCAAAGTTGCGAGTCAAGATTTCTGACTGAGGGCAGTCAGTGACGTGAGGCGAAGCTACTGGATGGCACCCTCAGGTTCTTCCTGATGGGATGTTGCTTCCTGTTTCACCACCTTGAGAAAAGAAAGCTGGAATTCAGTGAGACATTGAGTTACAAATGCATCAGTTGCCTCATCGTTGTTGCCTTTTGGTGCACACAGTCATCTGTCAACTGCTGAACAGGATGATCTTGCTGTTTGTATTAAAAGGAAAGGGCTTATGCGCAGAGAGAACCCCAAAACACCAGTCACAACCCTGTACTGTCCTAGGAGCTGGTTCGACAAGTATAGTACTCTCCAGAAAACAGGCAGGGCTTCTTACTAACTAAATCACCACCATGCCACAAAACTCATCCACTAAGGAGCATTGGTCCACAGGAATGTGATTTCTCTGCCCGCTTCCTAGGAATTGAGAAAACGATCAGTTTTTTGAAGCATATAACTGCCAAAAAATACAATAGTCTGGCAATCTTTTCTTCTTAGAACAGTCAGATATAATTCGCATTTTTATTTGTTTGTCTCTAAGAACAATCATCATAGACAAAGACAGACAAGCTCATTAGTATCAGGAAATAAACATTGTTGCTTGTCTCTGTGTGCTTGAACCACTACAATTTCAAAGGCAAGTGTGGATGCATTTTATAGTGTTTATTTGAGATATTGTACCTTTGAAGCCATTTTCACTTTCTCTTGCCTGAAGATGAAACAACTCTGGGCTTGGATTATTTAAAGGTGCTCTGACAAGTAGAGAGCTTCAACAAGTTGATTCCTGTATCTCTCACAAACCAAACATCAGCAGTACCGCCCACACTGAGAGCCTGATTCTCATTAGCTGTCTTCAACTGCTGAAAGACATTTTTCTTTTTTCATCAGCTAATAGATGACCGCAAATTAAAAATGGACTAGATGCAGATAAAGGGAAACACCAGTTTCAAATTCATTAAAGCTCCAAAGTTTCTCAGATTTCACTAATGAATTTAGTTCAAAGAGAGAGGATTGATAAACGCCCTTCCTTTCACTGGGTACTTCTCACTCAGGGCTTCCCGGTCTGCCTTTCTCTTCGAAGACGTTCTGTTTTTCAGTAATGGGCTCATGCATTTTTAAAACCATCTGGCAGAAGGGATGAATTTAAAGCAGACTTGGCCACTAACCGAGGTAGGCTCAGTTCAGGTCTGCCTCACCTTCTGCCAGGAGACCACTGCAGAATTGGTTTCCTGACATGAGGCTTCCATCTTCATCCAATTGTCACCTAACTCACATTCCCATTCTCATTTCTTTTTCTTCTGCTGATTAAACTCTACCAGCCACCTTCTACCTATAGGATCAAGACCAGACTCCTTGGCACAATGGCCTGCTCGCAACCTGCTGCTCCAGGACTTCCTTTTGCCCTTTCCCACTAGATTCCAGACACAACAGTGGGCAGCTTCTGGGCCCTTGCCATGAGCTGCTCTCTCGCCTCTGTGCCTAATGAAAGTCTGAATCCTGCTCAAGCTTCCCTAGCCTCGGCCCTCTCTGTTCTGTGGGTATACCTTTATTGCAACACCTACTACTCTATCACAACTTAACTGATTTTTGTATCTGCTTCCCCACTACTTTGGGAATCCTCACTGGACAAGCCTTAGATCTCTTTCTACCCCTGGAGCTCAGCTGTTCAATACTGGTCAAACAATTAGTACCCAAAATAGTGATCATCCAACACTCATTTTCACTCCGGGGATATCTCGGGAAAAGAATGTCCTGAACCCTATTTTGGACTCTCTTACTCAGAATTAAACAAGCCAAAAGAATATTGGGGAACCAGGCTGGGAACAGTGGCTCACACCTGTAATCCCAGCACTTTGGGAGGCCGAGGTGGGAGGATCCCTTGAGGTCAGGAGTTTGAGACCAGCCTGGCCAACATGGTGAAACCCTATCTCTATTAAAAATACAAAAAATGAGCTGGGCATGGTGGTGGGCGCCTGTAATCCCAGCTACTCGGGAGGCTGCGGCAGGAGAATTCCTTGAACCCAGGAGACAGAGGTTACAATGAGCCAAGATCACTCCACTGCACTCCAGCCTGGGTGACAGAGTGAGACTCCTGTCTCAAAAAAACAAAAAACAAAAAACAAAAAAACCAATATTGTAGAACCACATGTTTTCATGCTTTGTTTTAGTTACTTCTACAATGAAACACATGTTATTTGCTGATAAAATATAATGTTCAAATCAAATCGGAACTATTTAGACATAGTTCTATAACTCCTGTTAATCAAAAGAACCCCGTCAGCATCTGCTGTCTTTTTTGAGTCACTGTCAAGGTGTAATTCTTCCCCCTTCTTCAGGGGCAAGATGTAAAAATGAGGCTATTGCACAACTTGTGCTAGAGGAATGAGAGTGAGGAACTCGGAGGGTTTGCTGGTGAAGACTTTGTGGGAGCTGTGGGAGTGAGGAACTCGGAGGGTTTGCTGGTGAAGACTTTGTGGGAGCTGTGGACCTATGTGTAAGTCTAGTCATCTCCACAGCTCCTCTGAGGAAAATAACCCAGGGCAGGAAATAGGCTGTGTGTGGAGTTGAAAACAAAGCAAATATGGTTATCTCAAGGATTCCTAAGGTGATTCCTTTTTTCTTCTCTTTCTTACTTGTGCCTCACCATAAATGTATCAGTGCATTGCTAAGAGAAAAGATAGAACCCCAGGAAGCATTAAAGGAAAGAGCAAGATGCATGCACGTGGGTATCATTTCTCCTAGGTAGTACTTAGCTGTTTCCTTTTATGAGAAAACGGAAGCAGTGAGTTGAGACATTAAATCAGTTTTATATTGCGAATCCTCATTAATAGATATTAAATCACTTATTAGCATGTTAATGATTCATTGCATTTTAAAAAGTGAACGTCGGACCTCTGACAAATGAAATGTAGACAATTAAGCATGACAGTGGAGAGGTGTTGTCGGGAGCAGTAGGGGTGCATTACAAAGCGGGTACCGGGTGCCTTTCACCTAGTAAATTGGGAAGGAGAGGGATAGGAGAAGTGTAGACCAGAGACAAACCCAGTCAAGGTTCTGGAGAGCCACTTAGGAACTAGAAGAGGAAAACACAGTAAGCCGGATGCAGGAAAATTGAGTCTGGGCGCCAGCAGCAAGACACAGTGCCAAAAGCTCTCCTAGCCAAGGGCAGAGGTCCCACAGTTGCATGGGTGTAGATGGGGAAGAAGGGGAAGCGGGCAACTTCTAAGCTGCATTTTATGCTTTCAGCCGATCCTTAACCTAATTTCGTAGAGAAGAAAACGTAAGAATCAACAGGCTTTTCCCTCAAAGGAAGGAATCCCTTCCAAGAAACTTAACATATACAGTTTTTGCCCTATTGTTCTTAACCTAACCGGCAAAATTTTTGAGATTTTACTATCAACAAACTGTTTTCTTCTCATGTTTTATCTTATCATTTTCATAGACGTTTCAAATGCTATTTGTCCACAGACAGAAATTTAAGTCAAAATGCTACCAAACTGCCAGGTGCGATGGCTCATGCCTGTAATCCCAGCACTTTGGGAGGCCAACACAGGAGGATTGCTTGCGTCCAAGAGTTCAAGACCAGACTGGGCAAGATGGCAAAATCCTGTCTCTACAAGAAAAAAAAAAAATAGCTGGGTATGGTAGCTGTGATCCCAGCTACTTGGAAGGCTGAGGTGGGAGGATCACCTGAGCCTGGGAAGTCAAGGTTGCAGTGAGCTGTAATCGGCCCAATACACTCCAGACTGGGCGACAGAGTAAGACCAAACTGCATTCTTTAAAGAAGTGTGTGGAAAAGCTCCTGTTGGATAAAATGAAACAAGCAAATGTCTTCACAAGTGGTTCCCCACTACACTGGGAATTCTCAAGGGACATGACTTAGCCATCTTCATATCCCTGGATCAATACCTACCCCGCTCAAATGTGAAGCCTATGTCTTATTGTCATAAAGTCATCTCTCCTCCCTGCCACAATGATGCCTCTAGATCCCCACATGGATTATAGGATGAGAGGACCTGAACTTCATCTTCCCTTCCCCGCTCCACTCCGCTTCCACACTCATCCTGGCCCAGGGTTGAAAGTCTCTTTGCCGGATAACCTGAGAGGCCACTTGGTGAGAAAGTGAGAAAACTGAGGAGAAGACCCTCTGCTGTCAAATTAGTCGGGAGGACAACTGCTTTCCTGCATCCAGACTCACCTGGGGGCCTCCCTCCCTACAAACTCCAGCCCCTCTCCTGCTTCATTTTCCTCCACGTCACCTGTCACCTTCTAACTTACTGTATCTCTTATCTGCCTCTCCCCCACGTAAGCTTCAGGAGGACGGAATTTTCGTCTGCCGTGTTCAGTGCTAAATCCCCAGGGGTTAGAACAGTTCCTGGCACAGAGTTGACACTTGATGCTGACAGAGTACATTTATGTATCTATATATTTGCCATTGTGTCTCTTCCTCTCTACCACAGTAGGTAGTTACTTTTTGAGGACCAATTCATTGGGTTCTTTTCTTTTCTTTTCTCCTTTCTTTTCTTTTCTTTCTTTCTCTTTCGTTCCTTCTTTCCTTCCTTCCTTCCCTCTCTCTCTTTTTTTTTTTTTTTTTTTGAGTCTCGCTCTGTCACCCAGGCTGCAGTGCAGTGGCGCAATCTCAGCTCACTGCAACCTCCACCTCCCGGGTTGAAGCGATTCTCCTGCCTCAGCCCCCCAAGTAGCTGGGATTACAGGCACGTGTTACCACCCCCAGCTAATTTTTTTGTGTTTTTAGTAGAGACAGGGTTTCACCCTGTTAGCCAGGATGGTCTCGATCTCCTGACCTCGTGATTCACCTGCCTCGGCCTCCCAAAGTGCTGAGATTACAGGCGTGAGCCACCATGACCAGCCCACTGGGTTCTTTCAAAACTTGAAGTCAGTATGCTGTGTCATGAAGGAGGTCAGCTCTACTCTGAGTTTGCTGGGAAATAGGGAGATTTTTCCCTTGAAGAGTTTAGTCAATACTGAGAACTTCATGCAAAGGAGTCTTAGAATTAATTAGCATGTACTCTGGGAAGGCTGCAGTGCTGTATGCAGGCCAGACCATGTCACCATGTGAGCAGGCTCTCAACACGACTGTCTCTCTCAGCTCACCACTCCCTCTGAGGGCTGGCCAGATGGGTAATGGCCATTTGTGAATACAGCCCCTGGTTACAGGTGTGGCTGTCAGTGATGGGACAGGACAGGACTCAACTTGCCTCCTCCAGAAAATGTTCATTGCTAACCCTCAATACCATTTTGTGCTCACTATGTGACCTTATTCTTTTTAGCTGTGTGACTCCAGACAAGTCACTTAACCTCTCAGTCCTCAGGTTTCTCAACTGCAAAATGAGGAAAATAATAGTGATACTTACAGAGTTGTAAAAACATTGAATGAGTTAATATATTGAAAAGCACTTAGAACAATACCTGGCTCAGAGCAAGCACAGTGTGAATGTTAGCTGTGATTATGCTTATGATGACTATAATGATTATTAGTATTGTCAAAGGAAAATAAATCTTGGGGCCCCAAAAATCACTAAGCTAAAGGGAAAAGAAACTGGAAATCGCTTAGGGCAAACCTGCCTCCCATTCTATTCAAAGTCACTCCTCTGCTCACTGCGATAAATGCACATCTGATGGCCTCATTTGGAGAGGCTAATCAGAAACTCAAAAGAATGCAACTCAAATTGCTTAGGGCAAACCCTAAGCAATTTCCAGTTTCTTTTTCCCTTTAGCTTAGTGATTTTGGGGCCCCAAGATTTATTTTCCTTTCACAATACTAATAATAATTATAGTCATCATAATTATAATCATAATCACAGCTAACATTCACTCTGTGCTTGCTCTGAGCCAGGTATTGTTCTAAGTGCTTTTCAATATACTAACTCATTCAATGTTTTTACAACTCTGAAATTTGTCTCTTATCGACCTATGACTTGGAAGTCCCCTCCCCACTTCAAATTGTCCCACCTACACCTCAAGTTGTTCCACCTTTCCAGACTGAACCAATGTACATCTTACATGTGTTGATGTCTCATGTCTCCCTAAATTGTATAAAACCAAGCTGTGCCCCTACCACCTTGGGCACATGTCTTCAGGACCTCCTGAGGCTGTGTCATGCAAGTGTGTCCTCAACTTTGACAAAATAGACTTTCTAAATTAACTGAGACCTATCTCAGATTTTGGCATCCATAGTATATTTAATTAATTTTATTTTATTCTTATGTTACTTTGTAACAGACTTTATTTTATGCATATAGACTTAGTTTCTCCACTTAAATTTTGAGTACAAGGATTGTGTAAAGTTTCCAAGTTGCAGGCATTACTGTTCTCTGAACATAGTGTTCAGTCATTAACTCATTCAGCCAGTATTTACTGGGTTCATACCATGTGCCAGGCACATCACATCTTTTGAAGGAGCTAAGGATGTCAAGAATAAAAATATAGCATGACTGCCAAAACAGACACAAGCACACACTCACACAGATGAGCAAAAGTGTTCACACAAGTGCAGAAAGAAGTATCCATATGTGCACGGGAAGTGGGGATATGCCTATGCTCATATGTAAGCACGATTAGAAGTATCCATATGTGCACGGGAAGTGGGGATATGCCTATGCTCATATGTAAGCACGATTAGAAGTATCCATATGTGCACGGGAAGTGGGGATATCCCTATGCTCATATGTAAGCACGAATTAGAAGTATCCATATGTGCATGTGAAGTGGGGATATCCCTATGCTCATATGTGCACGGGAAGTGGGGACATCCCTATGTTCATATGTGCACGGGAAGTGGGGACATCCCTATGCTCATATGTGCACGGGAAGTGGGGACATCCCTATGCTCATATGTGCACGGGAAGTGGGGACATCCCTGTGCTCATATGTGCACGGGAAGTGGGGACATCCCTGTGCTCATATGTGCACGGGAAGTGGGGACATCCCTGTGCTCATATGTGCACGGGAAGTGGGGACATCCCTGTGCTCATATGTGCACGGGAAGTGGGGACATCCCTGTGCTCATATGTGCACGGGAAGTGGGGACATCCCTGTGCTCATATGTGCACGGGAAGTGGGGATATCCCTGTGCTCATATGTGCACGGGAAGTGGGGATATCCCTGTGCTCATATGTGCACGGGAAGTGGGGATATCCCTGTGCTCATATGTGCATGGGAAGTGGGGATATTCCTATGCTCATATGTTAAGCATGAATTAAGACCACAGAGAAGATTGACTCTCAAGATTTACTATTTCATATCCCACGTCCATGAAGTAATAAGTTGTGCATTTTGTTTTTTATGCTTGTTTTTGAGACAGGGTTTTGCTCTGTTGCTCAGGCTGGAGTGCATCAGTGTGATCATGGCTCACTGCAACCTCAACCTCCTGGGCTCAAGGGATCCTCCTACTTTAGCCTCCCAAGTAGCTGGGACGACAGGCACATGCCACCATGCCTGGCTAGTTTTTGCATTTTTTGTAGAGACAAGGTTTCACCATGTTGCCCAGGCTGGTCTCGAATTCCTAAGCTCGAATGAACTGCTCACCTTGGCCTCCCAAAGTGCTGAGATGACAGGCATGAGCCAGCATGACTGGCCTAAGTTGTGGATTTTAAATGAGGAGCTAAGACTACATAATATGAAATTAGGAAATGGACAGAAGTCGGCAGATAAAGTTTCCACCTCCCCAAATAACCAATCCCGTGACTGTCTTAGTCTGGAAGATAGAACTTAGTAGCTTCAATATCCACAATTCCTTTACTGAACACTGGGCTGGGCACCTCAGTCAATGTTCCATGTGCTTTGAATATATTTATATGAGTTGCACCACCACTAAACAGATAGGAGGAATAAGGAGGTAAAAGGGTGATGAGTGTCTGAATAATATCTGGGCTGTTGATAACATGTCATATCTGAACAGGACAATGAGGAAACAAAATGCTTCTTATTCACCTAGCCATCATTCATCTGACACATGTATTGCACAAGGTGCTTGAAATACAAAGATGAAGGCAATGTCCCTGATCTTAAGGAGATTATGACCTAGCTTTTCCCTCTTCCTCCTATTCTACCACCTATCCCATATCCTACCCTGCCACTTGCTAACACAGAACTGGGAGAACTACTTGGGAAACCTAGGACACTCAAGAAGGGGTACTCTCTCTTCAGCCTGTGAATTCTCTAGTGGGATTTTTAAAAAAGCACAAGGGGGTGCCCTGTGAAAAACACAAGCTAGGCTAAGGTTTGTAATGTCAGCCAACTATGACCCATTCCCAAGAAAAAGACACTCACACTGTCTGCCTTCTCATTAACAAAAGATTTGGTTGTTCCAGAGGGCATTAGAGAAATGTAGACCAAGCTTGAGATTGAAGTGAGCATGTGTAGCATTGTGGCTGTTTGGCAGTGTATTAGTCCATTTTCATACTGCTATAAAGAACTGCTTGAGACTGGGTAATTTATAAAGCAAAGAGGTTTAACTGACTCACAGTTCAGCATGACTGGGGAGGCCTCAGGGGACTTACAGCCATGGCAAAAGGTGAAGAGGAAGCAAGGCAGCAGAAAGGAGAAGTGCCAAGCGAAGTGGGGAAGAGCGCCTTATGAAACCATCAGATCTCACCAGAACTCCTTCACTATCACATGAACAACATGGGGGAAACTGCCCTCATGATTCAATTACTTCCATCTGGTCTCTCCATGGACATGTGAGGATTATGGAAATTACAATTCAAGATGAGATTTGGGTGGGACAACCAAACCATATCATCTGCCCATGGCCCCTCCCAAATCTCATGTCCCTTTCACATTTCAAAACCAATCATGTCTTCTCAGTAGTTCCCCAAAGTCTTAATTCATTCCAGCATTAACCCAAAAGTCCAAGTCCAAAGTTTCATCTGAGACAAGGCAAGTCCCTTCCATCTATGAGCCTGTAAAATCAAAAGCAAGTTAGTTACTTCCTAGATACAATGGTGGTACAGGCATTGGGTAAACACACCCATTCAAAATGGGTGAAATTGGCCAAAACAAAGGGACTACAGGCCCTATGCAAGTTGGACATTCAGCAGGGCAGTTAAATCTTAAAGTTCCAAAATAACCTCCTTTGACTCCATGTCTCACATCCAGGTCACACTGATGCAAGAGGTGGTTTCCTGTCATTTTGGCCAGCTCTGTCCCTGTGGCTTTGCAGGGTACAGCCCTGCTCCCAGCTGTTTTCACAGGCTGGCATTGAGTGTTTGTGGCTTTTCCAGGAGCACAGTGCAAGCTGCCAATGGATCTACCATTATGGGGTCTGGAGGATGGTAGCCCTCTTCTCACAGCTCCACTAGGCAATGCCCCAGTGGGAATTCTGTGTGGGGACTCTGACCCCACATTTCTCTTCTGCACTGCCCTAGCAGAGGTACTCCATGAGGGCTCTACTCCTGCAGCAAATTTCTGCCTAGACATCCAGGCATTTCTATACATCCTCTGAAATCTAGGCAGAGGTTCCCAAACCTTGATTCTTGACTTCTGTGCACCTGCAGCCCCAACACCACATGTAAACTTACAAGACTTTGGGCTTGCACCCTCTGAAGCAATGGCCTGGGCTCTATGTTGGTCCCTTTTAACCATGGCTGGCATGCAGGGCACCAAGTCCTGAGACTGCACGAAGCAGCCAGGCCCTGGGCCGAGCCCACAAAACCATTTTTTCCTCCTAGGCCTCTGGGCTTATAATTGGAGGAGCTGCTGTTAAGACCCCTGACATGCCCTGGAGACATTTTCCCCATTGTCTTGGTGATGAACGTTTGGTTCCTTGTTACTTATGCAAATTTCTGCAGCCAGCTTGAATATCGCCTCAGAAAATAGTTTTTTCTTTTCCATTGAATCATCAAGCTGCAAATTTTCTGAGCCTGTATGCTCTGCAATTCTTTTAAACATAAGTTCCAATTCCAAACCATCTCTTTGTGAATGCGTAAAACTGAATGCCTTTAAGAGCACCCAAGTCACCTCTTGAACACTTTACTTTTGAGAAATTTCTTCCACTAGATACCCTAAATCATCTCTCTCAAGTTCAAAGTTCCACAGATCTCTAGGGCAGGGGAAAAATGCCACCAGCCTCTTTGCCAAAGCATAGCAAGAGTCAACTTTATTCCAGTTCCCAAGAAGTTCCTTATCTCCATCTGAGACCATCTCAGCCTGGACTTTATTGTCCACATCACTATTAGCATTTTTATTAAAGCCATTCAACAAGTCTCTGAAATGTTCCAAACTTTCTCACATCCTCCTGTCTTCTGAGCCCTCCAAAGTGTTCCAACCCCTGCCTGCTACCTAGTTCCAAAGTTGCTTCCACATTTTTGGGTACCTTTATAGCAGCACCCCACTCTCTGCAGTACTAATGTACTGTATTAGTCCATTTTCATACTGTTATAAAGAACTGCTCAAGACTGGGTAATTCATAAAGGAAAGTGGTTTAACTGACTCACAGTTTGGCATGGCTGGGAAGGCCTCAGGAAAGTTACAATCATGGTGGAAGGTGAAGAGGAAGCAAGGCACTTTCTTCACAAGGCAGCAGGGAAGAAAAGTGCTGAGTGAAGTGGAGAAGAACCCCTTATAAAACCATCAGATCTCAGGAGAACTTGCTCACTATCATGAGAAGAGCATGGGGGAAAGAAGAGCATGATTCAGTTACTTCTACCTGGTCTTTCCCTCGACACATGTGGATTATGGGGATTATAATTTAAGATGAGATTTGGGTGGGGACACAAAGATTAACCATATCAGGTAGGCTTGGTCACTCTTTGATCATTTCAGACCCTCTCAAGGGGAAGATCAAAACTGAATGCATTTCCCCTTATCAGTTGCTTCTGTGACATCAAAGCATCCCAGGAGAGCTGGCCATCAGTGAGACTGAAAGTGGTGCTGAGATTGCAGTCCTAGGAGGCTGTTTCCCTTCCCTTTCTGGTCCTGAGGGGGAGCTGTCCTCCTGCTTGCTATTACCAAGTAATCTCAAAACACAGCCCCCATCAAATTACTTTCTTGCTCCAGAAATATGACTTCTTTATGCTGATTACATTAAATCTAAACTTCTAGGATTATCTATTTCCTAAACCACCCTCTGAAGTTCAATCCCTACCCCATGTGCCCCACCTTACTGTCCACCAAACCCAATACTATTGTCCCCTTTGGTTGAGCCCACTGGCTATGATCACTCTGACCTTGGCTCAGGCCCCATCTGTGATCCCTTGTTATCCAAGTCCCATCCCTTTCCTCTGGGAAACTGCTTCTCAGATTAACCTTTCTTGTCCAGGCGCAGTGGCTCATACCTGTAATCCCAGCACTTTGGGAAGCCGAGGTGGGTGAATCACCTGAGGTCAGGAGTTCGAGACCAGCCTGGCCAACATGGCAAAACCCTGTCTCTACTGAAAACACAAAAAATTAGCCGGGCGTGGTGACAGGCGCCCGTAATCCCAGGTACTTGGGAGGCTGAGGAAGGAGAATTGCTTGAACCTAGGAGGCAGAGGTTGCAGTGAGCTGAAATCGTGCCATTGCACTCCAGCCTGGGTGACAGAGCAAGACTCTCTCTCAAATAAAAAAAAATTAACCTTTCTCTTCCTAAACTCTTTATGCTAATTATCCAAATTACACCATTAGCCCCATTTTATATGCAGCCTTATTCTTTAACAGTATAGCACAAACTGCTTCTGCAATACAACTTGATCAGAGTTGCGTGTGGCACACGTGTACCTATGTGCGCGTACAGGTATGTGTTCTGACTCCAGTAAGCTCTTCATCCTATGAGCCCAGATCTCACCCCAGAAACACTGTTGGGTTGACAAGAGACCCTCAAATGTATTAGTTAAGAGTGGATAACACACTCTTATCTGAGGATGATATCAAACTCTGAGCAGATTATGTCTCTCCCCCTTTGTTTCAAGCTACGTATACTTTCTCCTGCTGTTCTTCCTTCTTTCTTTGGTGTTTTCATGTATTCAACAATGATTTACTATGCACTTTCTATGAGTCTAAAAATAGAGAAATCGCAGTGAACAAGGCAGATACCGTCCCTGCTTTCCAGCTACTGAGAGTCTGTAGCTTTGGTTAGAAAAAGCTAGGGCATCCCTGAATGCCAGCAGACATTCACTGTCCCTCTGTGGGGGTCTATCAACAGATCAGCTGAGCTACGTGGCAAGCAGCAAATGCTGGGGTCCAGTATCTTGGAAGGCACTTAAGAGATATGAAGAAAACCATAACTTACTAAGTTGGTTAAGCAGTGTCCCTCAGGCGGGTGGATCACCTGAGGTTGGGAGTTTGAGACCAGCCTGACCAACATGGCGAAACCCTGTCTCTACTAAAGATACAAAAATTAGCCGGGCGTGATGGCGCATGCCTGTAATCCCAGCTACTCCTGAGGCTGAGACAAGAGAATTCCTTGAACCCAGGAAGCGGAGGTTGCAGTGAGCCAAGATCGTGCCACTGCACTCCAGCCTGGGTGACAGAGCGAGACTCCATCTTAAAAAAAAAAAGTGTTCCTCACTGGCTTTTACTAAGACCTTAATAAGGAAAAGGAAACTGGAAAGAAACTGGAATCTTTGTTTTTTTAACCTCTGTTGTACTGGACCAGTTTTGAATTAGAAATTTAGATGTGAGCTAGCCTGTTTCTTTGTTGGGTGCTGTTTGAACGTGTTCAGTAAGACAGGATGATTTCTATTCACTTATCTTTGTTCAGACAGATGACTCATAGCTTCCCTGAAATAAACTTGCCAAAAATTAGTCTCTTATTAAAAAATGGAATAAAAATTAAATTTACTAAAAAGTAGTAACATGTCACAATATTTAGATAAATAAATTATAACGTTCATTCATTCATTTGTGGAGCTCTCATCAAAGCAGTTATGACAACAGTAAGTATGGTAAAAATAAAAATAATTTGCTTGATCCTGTTAAACTCTCGGCAAGGCCTATTTACAAAATGGGATACTAGTCATTTACAATTAAATGTCTGGAGTAACCATTAGAGGATAAATGGTACACCAGGAAATTATTTCCTAGAAATATGGTCCATACTTTCAGCTATTTAAATCCTTAAAATCAAAATCAACCAATGAATCAATCAAAATAGAAAATATAAAACTAATTATTACAATAAGCATTAAGTGCTTCAACCTTTGCTCAAAATTAAAAAAAAATCTTTTATCAAAACTGAAATGAAAATTATCTGACTTGTTAATAATGAAACCCCTTCAGCCTCAGGAATGAACTATTATCAAGATCCTAAGCTTTCTGAAAAAGTAACATAATAACTGGACTAGAAAAGAAAACTCTTGGACTGTTGAACTTCTTTACTTTGTTCCAGCAGAAACAATGTAAAGCAAAAGATCCTTATTTGGTCACGCATGGCAACAGTAGAAGTAATGTATAAATCATGCGTATTTTCATGGTAACAATAATGGCTCATGGCTTCCATAATCGGCAACCGCCACAGTGACCGTTCTCACATATTGGAGCAATTCTGCCATTGCATTCCTTACAAGTCAGGAATGATCTATTCTTAGTGTGATAAATCAGACACTCAAATGCATGCCATGCTAATACTATGTAAAGTAAATATAAAACATGGAGCTAATTAGTGCATAAAATACCACTGAACTCTTCTATAGTTCCAATTGTGGAAATAATTAGTATGCAATAATTATTACTACCATAGGGCACTTTCTGTATATGTAACGAATTTGTCTTGGTTCAAACTCAGTAACAATTTTAAGAATGTAATTCACAATAAATACATGTTATATCATGATCTAATACAAATACCCCTACAAATATATATGTATATGTATGAACATATACATATATATATATACACATGTATATAACTGAAACCACATTTTCATAAAATAATACTTATCTATGCTATCTGTTTGTGATAAACTCTGTTGCCTATTCAGGTCAAATTTTTTTGTTTGTTTGTTTTTGAGATGGAGTCTTGCTCTGTCACCCAGGCCGGAGTGCAGTAGTAGGATCTCAGCTCACTGCAACCTCCACCTCCTGGGCTAAAGTGATTCTCCTGCCTCAGCCTCCTGAGTAGCTGGGATTATAGGTGCCCACCACCACACCTGGCTAGTTTGTATTTTTAGTACAGGCAGGGTTTCACTATGTTGGCTAGGCTGGTCTCGAACTCCTGACTTCAGGTGATCCACCTGCCTCAGCCTCCCAAAGTGCTAGGATTACATGCATGAGCCACCACACCTGTCATATTCAGGTCTAATTGAGACTGTTTATTTTGAAAACTGTTGGTGTGGACCCTGGCACTGGTTCTCTGTTGGTTAATGCATGACGATGCACACTTACGCTGCCCAAACCAACCTAACTGGACTGCTTTACCATCTCTACACTCCACATACTACTTAGATTTTGTTCTCATTTCAGGTGATTTAAAAACATTTTCTAATGAGAGTTTTGAAATTGAGGGTAAGCTCAAATATCAGAGTGATTCAGTCCTCTGAACTATGACCACAAGAGAAGGCTTCCTTCCTTCCTTCCTTCCCTCCCTTCCTCTCCCTCCTTCCTTTCTTTCTTTTTTTTTTTTTTATTAGAAGTTTTGCTCTTGTTGCCCAGGCTGGAGTGCAATGGCGCGATCTCGGCTCACTGTCACCTCTGCCTCCTGGGTTCAAGCGATTCTCCTGCCTCAGCCTCCCCAGTAGCTGGGATCACAGGTGCCCACCACCACGCTCGGCTTATTTTTGTATTTTGAGTAGAGACGGGGTTTCACCATGTTGGCCAGGCTAGTTTCAAACTCTTGACCTCTGGTGATTCGCCCACCTTGGCCTCTCAAAGTGCTGGGATTACAGGCGTGTGCCACCGCACGTGGCTGTGGGTGGGTGCCTTTCTTACCTTTGAGGTCCTAGCATGTATAATTCTGGACCCCTGATACATGTTTTGAATTTGAGAATAAGTAAAAGGGTATCTTTAGTGTTCGTTTAGTCATGATACAGGGCTAATAACTGCTACCTGGGAAAAACAAAGCACACCGCAGGAGGCTTTGTAGCCGGGGGAAAGGGGGTGGTGGCAGTGGAATCACGTCCAGGCCTCCAGCACATTTCAGTGCTCCCCACTGAATCCCCCACCTCGGCACCCAGCAGGAACCTGGGCCAGATCCCTGTTTACCTGGGTGGGGTTAGCGTCCAGAGGAGGGGGGCCCAACCCAGCAACCCTCTTCTCAATTTGCAACGTAGAAACCCACGAAAGTAATTACAAACTTGTTAACCGCTGGGCACTGTCGCCCTGGAGCGCTCCTAACGGACTTTGCAAGGCCCAGTACACGGGGGCTGCCGCGAGCGGGGAGCGCGACTGGGCCCCAGGACACCATCTGTGCGAGCACGGGGACTCTGGGCCTTGACCTGCGCGGGGACACGGGCCCTCTCTCGGCCTTGACCTCCGCGGGGACACGGGCCCTCTCTCGGCCTTGACCTGCGCGGGGTCACGGGCCCTCTCTCGGCCTAGGTCTGCGCGGGGACACGGGCCCTCTCTCGGCCTCGACCTGGGCCTGCGCGGGGACGAGGACCCTCGGCCGGGGTCTGGGCGGCACCTGCGGGGGGCGCGGTCGGGCAGCCCCACACACCGCGGTGAGCAGGGCCCGATGCCCTCTTCCCTCCACCTGCCGTCCCCGCACCCGCCCCGGGCCCCGCACCTGCCTCCTCCTCCGTCCTGGGCCGAGGCGGGTCCGCGAGGCCGGGCGGGGGGTCCCCGCAGCGGTGCATCCCGGGACACTGCCCCTCCAGCCCGGGTCGAGGGATGCCCGGGTGCGGGCCGAGAGAGCGCCCAACGACCGCCGGCTCCCTCCCTGGGCGCCCTTTTCAGGTACTGCGCCTGGACCACACTCGTCCTACACCGGCCTCGCGAGACACCATCACTCGTGACTGGGTGAGAGGGGCTAAGCGGCTCACCTGCGCTGCACAGCTGGTACCCGGGACTGCTGAGGTTTGCACCTGGGCCTTCCGTGATTCCGAACCCAGCGCCTTACACAACCTCTTCAGAAGGTGAAAACACGAAGGGTCTACAGGCTGTTGATAGGAAGGGGAAGCCCTTCTGGAGTAAGTCCATAAGCACCCATGGATTATCTCAGCCAGCAAGCCCAGGTCTGCAGCCATTTCCCATTATGAGGCTGAATTAACAGACACGGAAAAATAGAAAATAGATAAGATAAGGCAATGAAACCATCCCCAGCGAGAGAGAACAGGGAGCATTGTTTCTCTGAATATTTGATTAAAATACAAATCTAGGAAAACCATTTACATGCAGTGAGCTGTGCTGGCACCACTGCACTTCAGCATGGGTGACAGAGTGAGACCCTGTCTCCAAAAGACAAAACAAAACATTTACAGAGGAGACAGTGTAGCAGAGTAGGGGAAAACAGGCATGATAGCCATACAGCCCTGGGTTTAAACTCCACTCATTCACTAACTTTGGGATGTGTGACTTCAGGCTTTTTAGTGCTTTTTTTTTCTATTTTATTTTATTTTATTTATTATTATTTTTTTTAAGATGGCGTCTCACACTGTCACCAGGCTGGGGTGCTGTGGCTCACTGCAACCTCTGCCTCCTGGGTTCAAGCGATTCTCCCCCCCAGCCTCCCGAATAGCTGGGACTATAGCCACGCGGCACCACGCCCAGCTAATTTTTGTATTTTTAGTAGAGACAGGATTTCACCATGTTGGCCAAGATGGTCTCAATATCTTGACCTGGTGATCCACCTGCCTTGGCCTCACAAAGTGCTGGGATTACAGAAGTGAGCCACTGCGCCCAACCTCTTTTTTTGTTGTTGTTGTTTTTTTGGAGACAGAGTCTCACTCTCACCCAGGCTAGAGTGCAGTGGCACAATCACAGCTTACCGCAGCCTTAACTTGCTGAGCTCAGGTGATCCTCTCGCCCCAGCCTCCTGAGTAACTAACGACAGGCGTGAACCACTATACCCGACTAATTTTTGTATTTTTTTGTAGAGATGGGGTTTCACCATGTTGCCCAGGCTGATCTCCAACTCCTGGGCTCAAGCAATCTGCCCACCTTGGCCTCCCAAAGTGCTAGGATTACAGATGTGAGCCTCCACACCCAGCCTTGTTAGTGCTTTTTAATAGCCTTTTGACACACTAATTCCCTCATGAGTAAAACCTGTTTTGGATGTAATGAATTGAATTGACACGGAAGAAGATCAAATCGGGTATGAAGAAGTAAAGAGGACCAGGCGTGGTGGCTCATGCCTATAATCCCAGCACTTTGGGAGGCCGAGGCAGGTGGATCACCTGAGGTCAGGGGTTCAAGACCAGCCTGACTAACATGGTGAAACCCCATCTCTACTAAAAATACAAAATTAGCTGGGTATGGTGGTGCATGCCTACAATCCCAGCTACCTGGGAGGCTGAGATTTGGGAGGCAGAGTTTGCAGTGAGCCAAGATTCTGCCATTGCACTCCAGCCTGGGTAACAAGAGCAACTCCGTCTCAAAAAAAAAAAAAATGTGGGATGGGTTTATAAAAGACATCATATTGCCATTAACCAAAAGAATGGCAACCAAAAGACATACTCTGATATACAAAGTCTCAGAAAATATATCTTTCTTCTTAGGAAATTGTTGGGATGCTTACATAACCCAGCCATTTTTCCTGGAAACATTACCAAAGAAAGGAACACAAATTAAGATTTTTTCATTAGACACATCATGAAATAGAGTAAAGACTAAATAATAAATATAATGGTGATAACAAGATGTAGTGTAAAAGTCAAGAATAAAATTTAAGGAGAAGATGTATAGTGTAAAAAATCATTGGGAATAGCAATTTGGTTTATAAATTCAAGTGAAATTAACAATGGCCAGAAAGCTGGAGGGGGCAGGAAGCCCATTACATGCATAATTTACTTCAGTCTTGGCTTTGATGACTAAAAAAAGGAATTTTCAAGCATATTTTTTGAAAAGAGGAGAAAAGTGCCTGGGTGCAGAGGCTCATGCCTGTAATCCTAGTGCTTTGGGAGGCTGATGTGGGAGGATCACTTGAGGCTGAGTTTGAAACCAAGCTGGGCAACATAGTGAGACCCTATCTCTACAAACAAATGTAAAAGGCTGGGCATGGTGGCACACACCTATAGTCTCAGCTACTCGGGGGGCTGATAGGGGAGGATCACTTGTACGCAGGAGTTTCAAGGCTGCAGTGGGCCACCATGATTGTGTCACTGCACTCCAGCCTGGATGACAGAGGTAGACCCTGTCTCCAAAAAACTAAAAAATAAAAGCATAGAAAGGCAATGATTTGGCTGGGCATGGTGGCTCACACCTATAATCCCAGCACTTTGGGAGGCTGAGGCGGGCAGATCTCTTGAGGTCAGGAGTTGGAGACCAGCCTGGACAACATGGTGAAACCCTGTCTCTACTAAAGATACAAAAGTTAGCTGGGTGTGGTGGTGCACGTCTGTAATCCCAGCTACTCAGGTGGCTGAGACTGAATTGTTTGAACCCAGGAGGTGGAGGCTGCAGTGAGCTGAGATTGTGCTACTGCACTCCAGCCTGGGTGACAGAGTGAGACTTGGTTTCAAAAAAAAGAAAGGCAATGATTTAAAGCAGATATATTTTCCAAATAACTATAAGAGAGAAATACAAATCACTAACAATCCATATGCAACCCAAAAGAAAACAAAGGAAACACTACAATAAAATGACAAATATGTAATTTATGACAAGAAAAATTATTTAAGAGGTTACACCTATGTATGTTTTACTTTAATAAAAAGGAAGAAGAGGCAAAAGCTTGTCACTTGTGTTTGTAGTATAAAATTCATTTATTATCTGCTACTTATAAATAATCAGACCAAAGAAATTACACCAAAAGGTTTAGACTAAGAGTCACATAATGTAGCGGTGGAACCTCAAAGCCTGGCCTTGGATTATCCCAGTGCACTTTCCTCTACATGCTACAGTTTTTTTTTTCTTAAAAGATACAAAGCTTTATTAAACAAACCTGGAATCAACATTATTACATAAATTAGACTGCAGTAAAAATTTCCTAGGGCATATATACAAATCACAGTGATTTCCATGGTGCAACAAACAGACAAGATTAAAAATAGGCACTCCCCTCCCCGACCCCCCATGAGAAGGCGAGATCACCCCACAGGGCTCCCAGTTCCAGCTCGCCAAGGGGTGCACAAACCTGCAAAGGCACTCTGCTTGTGTGCATGGCATCTGGCAGCAGTCACAGGGGCCCCAGAAGCACATTGACAACATGGTGAGGCTGCCCAGTGTTCAGCACAAAAAAAGAATTCAGCTACGACAGCTGAGCAGAGCTCAACAGCCATCTCAGAGCACAAGGACTGTGGAAAGGCTTCAATTCCCATCCGCTAAAACACACATGTAATGCCTTGTACATACAGAACAGATGTGTCCACCATGGAAGATCAAACTAAGCATCAACAGAACTTCCCAACACATGATAATTTACAGAGAACTGTGACAGGGCATCCTCCTTTTATTAGCAAGGACTGTTCTGCTGGGTGTAAGGCCATAAAGTTTGCAAAGCAAACTTGATTATGAAAAGGCTTGGTGAGAACACGGCCCCCACCTCCACCAAGACACACACACACACGCACACACCCCAAATAAATTATCCAAATGCATTAAGACACCTGTTCTTGTGCTTTTCTTCTTGCTTTTGTTAGGTGAATCCCGTCCGTTTAAGTTAGACTAATTAGAAGGCCTTCTTGCCTCCATCAGCAACAGAGAAAAACAGTGCATAAGACTCCTCCAATGTGTGTAAAATGCATGCTAGGTAGGTTGAAGGAAAAACGAGAGGAACCCGGGCACCCCATTTCAAATCTCTACAACTGGAGAAATCAAAGGCTGCAAGGACTGTGTAGACCTGATGCAAAGTTAACTGGCTGCAAAAATACAACCCAAGCCAGTGCTGTCTTGCACCCTGTTCACTCAGTAGCTGGAGCAATGAATGATTGTGACATTCTGGTGTGATATTTGTGCAGCCTGAGGTACACCCTGGCTACAGAGTTGAGCCTTGGGGTCTTTAACAGTATTAAGCCATGGTTTCACAGTTACAGTGGTCCAAAGAACTAGAGGCCATGTAGGTCAAACACAGAAATGGCGAACACATCCCAAACCACTCAACTGTTTAGTTCCACTGGTGATTTTTTTTAACGGGTAGTGATTTCAAATGATTTGGTGGGTGGTTTTTTGTTTTGTTTTGTTTTTTCTTTTTCTTCAGAGCAAACAAATGATTTGGTCTTTAAGTATGGAGAGAAAAAAACAAAACGCTGAACGAGAAATTCACTAACAAGTGACTGTGCAGTTGTTTGAGGGCATGGAGAGGGAATGGGGTTGACAGCATTTTGAGGGGATGAAGTGCACGATCTTACCCCACTGCTGGGGGGTTTCTGATTCTTATTCTATCATGCTGACAGCAAATATAATTTGCCCATCGCTGGCTATAGATATGTTTAGGCTAAGCAGGATTTAGACTTCTGTTGGGAAGGAATTAGAAGAATTCAGTAGAGACAGTGTATACTATTTGGTTGTGACTTTATTTTCTTCCTGGTTTTATCAATGCCTATGAAAGCAGGCTGGTGGCTTTTCCCTTGAGAAAAACAAGACTTGCCCCACTATACTTCCTATTGTGGCATATCCATTTCCTAAAGATATTATCTTATAGTGTTCCAATTTAAGAAAATACTTCCAACTCATAAAATTACATGAAACAAAGTACATTTGTAATTTTTTTCTGATACAAATTTTGTGATTATCGTGATGAATTTTCCTCCACATTTAGCACAGTGATTGTTTCACGTGATCATCTATGCGGAAATTTTGGAATGCCCACCCAGATAAACTATTTTTATTTTTATTTTTTGAGATGGAGTCTTGCCCTGTCACCCAGGCTAGAGTGCAGAGGCACAATCCTGGCTCATTGCAGCCTCCGCCTCCCGAATCCAAGCGATTCTCCTGCCTCAGCCTCCTGAGCAGCTGGGGCCACAGGCACCCACCAGCATGCCTAATTTTTGTAGTTTTAGTAGAGATGGGGGTTTCGCCATGCGGGCCAGGCTGGTCTCGAACTCCCAACCGTGGGTGATCTGCCCACCTCGGCCTCCCAAAGTGCTGGGATCACAGGCGTGAGCCACCATGACGGGCCAGGTA
Source organism: Homo sapiens (assembly GCF_000001405.40). Classification (NCBI taxonomy): domain Eukaryota; kingdom Metazoa; phylum Chordata; class Mammalia; order Primates; family Hominidae; genus Homo; species Homo sapiens. The sequence continues at coordinate 100,550,142 of NC_000015.10, forward strand.
AACTATTTTAAAATTATACATAGTGATTGTTCTATGTTTATAGCTCATTTTGATTAAATTAACCTCTACAGGACATTGGGCCATTTAAACTATGACCCCGCCATGGGGCAGTTACCAGGTAGCCTGTCTCACTTCAAATGTTGAAATGTGCATGATGGTCAAAAGTGGGTTTCACACCATCACACGTTCTTGGAAGTGCTTCTAATTTCTCATTTGTTCTGTATGGCTAGAGGCTGATTACAATGTCCGTAAAGAACAAGGTCATCAATGTGCTTTGCATATTTCATTTTCATGCATATCTGTTTGTTGCGGGAAGTCAGGGACCCCAAACGGAGGGACCGGCTGAAGCCATGGCAGAAGAACGTGGATTGTGAAGATTTCATGGACGTTTATTAGTTCCCCAAATTAATACTTTTGTAATTTCTTATGCCTGTCTTTACTGCAATCTCTAAACATAAATTGTAAAGATTTCATGGACACTTATCACTTCCCCAATCAATACTCTTGTGATTTCCTATGCCTGTCTTTAATCTCTTAATCCTGTCAGCTGACGAAGATGTATGTCACCTCAGGACCCTGTAATAATTGCATTAACTGCACAAATTGTACAGCATGTGTGTTTGAGCAGTATGAAATCTGGGTACCTTGAAAAAAGAACAGGATAACAGCAATTGTTCAGGGAATAAGAGAGATAGCCTTAAACTCTGACTGCCGGTGAGCCAGGCGGAACAGAGCCATATTTCTCTTCTTTCAAAAGCAAATGGGAGAAATATCGCTGAATTATTTTTCTCAGCAAGGAACATCCCTGAGAAAGAGAATGTGCGCCTGGGGGTGGGTCTCTGAACTGGCCCCCCTGGGCGTGGTCATCTCTTATGGTCAAGACTGCAGGGGTGAAATAGACCTCAGTCTCCCATAGCGCTCCCAGGCTTATTAGGAAGAGGAAATTCCCGCCTAATAAATTTTGGTCAGACCGGTTGATCTCAAAAACCCTGTCTCCTGATAAGATGTTATCAATGACAATGGTGCCCGAAACTTCATTAGCAATTTTAATTTCGCCTCGGTCCTGTGGTCCTGTGATCTCACCCTGCCTCCACTTGCCTTGTGATATTCTATTACCTTCTGAAGTACTTGATGTCTGTGACCCACACCTATTCGCACACTCCCTCCCCTTTTGAAAATCCCTAATAAAAACTTGCTGGTTTTTGTGGCTTGTGGGGCATCACGGAACCTACCGACATGTGATGTCTCCCCCGGACGCTCAGCTTTAAAATTTCTCTCTTTTGTACTCTGTCCCTTTATTTCTCAAGCTGGCCGATGCTTAAGGAAAACAGAAAAGAACCTACGTGAATATCGGGGCAGGTTCCCCAGTATCTGTTCACAATTAAGGCAAGGCATTTCAGGCTTTTCCTGATGCTAATTTTCATCTCAGTATGAAATCCTGGATTACAAAACAGGCAACCTAAAAATAGGCATTTTTTAGTACATGGACTTATGGGTCTATGTACTTTTTAAAGTGTGCTCAAGAATAGTGTTTCATTTATGGTTTTATTAATAATTTTTAAAGCAGAATTTTCAACAATATTATTACTATGATTTATTTTTATAGTCAGCAAACACGAGACTTCATGCTCTTCCTTCTAGCTGCACATCTCGGTGCACAGTGTAACCTTTTTTAAAAAAAAATATGGAATGCGGCATGAATCTGGATCTTCCTTGCACAGGGGGCCATGCTAATCTCCTCTGTGTCATTCTAATTTTAGTATACCTGCCGCTGAAGTCAGCACCAGTTTCACCTTTTCACATTCACGGTAAAAATTATGGGAAACTGCATGTGAAATGTTTAGAAAATGATGGCCCTCAACTGTTAATCCCAACAGGATGGTGACTGAGACACACAGGCTGAAAATACAGCTGTCTAAAACATTTCCACATTTCATCATCTGAACATCATTTTCCACTAAGTTATTAATTGTAAAGACTTTATTCTACTGAACCTACTAATTATTCTCACCTGCTGAGTTGACCACCACGTGAAGAAAAGGTCATTAATGAAAAAGGGTGGCTATGTTCTGTTTCTGCAGTTTCACTGTGTTTTAACATTTTTTTCCTTTTATAGAGATGGGGTCTTGCTATGCTGCCCAGGCTGGTCTCAAACTCCTAGGCTCAAGCAATCCTCCTGCCTTGGCTTCCCCAAATCCTAGGATTACAGGAGTGAGCCACTGCACCCAGCTTCATGGTCTTTTAAAGCCTTAAGGTGGATGTGTCTTCATTCCACCTTTCATTCCACCTTCAAAAGCACAAAGCCATTGCCTTTTTTTTTTTTTTAATTTAGACAGGGTCTCACTCTGTCACCCAGGCTGGAGTGCAGTGGTGTGATCTCGGATCACTGCGGCCTGGACCTCCCCGGGCTCAAGTGATCCTCTCATTTCAGCCTCCCGAGTAGCTGAGACTATAGGCAAGCGCCACCATGCCCGGCTAATTTTTTTGTATTTTGTAGAGAGATGACATCTCACCATGTTTCCCAGACTGGTCTCCAACTCCTGGGCTCAAGCAATCCACCCACCTCAGCCTCCTGAAGTGCTGGGACTACAGGAACAAGCCACTGCGCCCAGCTTAGATGAAATTTTTGAATGTGACACAGGTTTTTTAAATACAGTATATTCCTCCAACAACTTCAATGTCATTGTAGATTCTTGGAATAAATTCACTCCCATATCTTCTTCTCTTTGTTTCTTCTTTTAAAGTCTCAAGTTACCAGGTAGGAAGCACTAAAGATACTGAAGATGGACCTCCCCATGATGTTTTCTTCACCCAAACTAAAAAATGCATGTGAGATGATTTTTTTAAATCCATGCAACAGACCCTTCAGATGTTGTCCCCAAGAGAAGAGATTTTTGAAAAAACAAATTGAAAAATAAAAATTATAGGCTCTGTGAAGTATGAACATTTACATCATTGCACAATTTCTGTGGATCTGCCATAATGACTTCTATATATACACACAGGCGCGCGCATGCACACACACACACACACACACACAATTTGTGGTTATAATTGAACAAGTCCAGTTCAAACTTATAAACTTAAGTCTATGAGAAAAACCAAGACATCACAGTAGGAACACAACACTAAAGGATAAGATAAAATCTACAAGCAAACAATTTTCAAAACCTTCCTACAGTGTGGAATTCCAGTTGCTTAAATAATGCCAGTTACATTAATTTCAACTGTGCTCTGATCTGTTTCTATACATACAGGCACAAAGACAGAAAAGTGGAAATGTCCTTATCACGTGAAGAAGACATTGCTACTGGTCTGCTCAGGAGCAGCTCTTTGTTGCAGGCAGATTCCAGCCTTCCTGCTTCTTCCAGATGTGAGCTCCTGTCCTCAGAAATTCTTGAAGATTTCTAAACCCTTCTGCGGCACGGTCGCGGCTGTGTCCCAGTCATTCTCGGGGTAAGTTCCGAAGTTGGAGGTGTCGCCTTCGCGGGCTATCTTGGGCACGATGGGAGGCTTCAGTTTTCTCTGAGGAACAGCTTCCCAGTCCACAGAGCGGAACCACCGATGGCGTTTCACATCATTCGCCCCGTTCTTCATATTTCCTAACCACCTTGTTCTGTCAACCACGAGCAGTTTCTTAATGAGATCTTTCACATGGAAATCCAAATGTCTGGGGAAATCTATCTTGTCTGCAAGAATTTTCTGATAAATGCCAAACATGTTGTCACACACACACACACACACACACACACACACACACACACACACAAATGGAGGAAATCCCGAGAGCATCTCGAATATCAGGATGCTGAGGGCCCACCAGTCCACAGCCCTTCCGTGACCCTCGCTCTGAATGACTTCGGGGGCCAGGTACTCGGGTATTCCGCAGAGGGTCCAAGTCCTGTCTACCAGCTTCTTGGCGAACCCAAAGTCCGTGAGCTTGATGTGTCCGTCCCTATCCAGCAGGATGTTCTCCGGCTTCAAGTCCCTGTAGATGATCTCCTTAGAGTGCAGGATGGCACAGATGATCTCTGCAGAGTAGAAGAGCCCCCGGTTGCGCAGGTAGCTGAAGAGCTCACAGCCCGGAACATACTCCATGAGCCTGCAGAGGAAGCGCTAGTCATGCCCCGTCCAGCACAGCCTGATGAGAAACGGGTGGATGATTCCTTCAGGACGCAGATGAGGGACGGGTGGATGATTCCTTCCGGACGCAGATGAGGGACGGGCGGATGACTTCCTTCCGGACGCAGATGAGGGACGGGTGGATGACTTCCTTCCGGACGCAGATGAGGGACGGGTGGATGACTTCCTTCCGGACGCAGATGAGGGACGGGCGGATGACTTCCTTCCGGACGCAGATGAGGGACGGGCGGATGACTTCCTTCGGGACGCAGATGAGGGACGGGCGGATGACTTCCTTCGGGACGCAGATGAGGGACGGGCGGATGATTCCTTCCGGACGCAGATGAGGAACGGGCGGATGATTCCTTCCAGACGCAGATGAGGGACGGGCGGATGACTTCCTTCGGGACGCCGATGAGGAACGGGTGGATGATTCCTTCAGGACGCAGATGAGGGACGGGTGGATGATTCCTTCAGGACGCAGATGAGGGACGGGCGGATGACTTCCTTCCAGACGCAGATGAGGGACGGGTGGATGATTCCTTCAGGACGCAGATGAGGGACGGGTGGATGATTCCTTCCAGACGCAGATGAGGGACGGGTGGATGACTTCCTTCAGGACGCAGATGAGGAACGGGTGGATGATTCCTTCAGGACGCAGATGAGGGACGGGCGGATGACTTCCTTCCAGACGCAGATGAGGAACGGGCGGATGACTTCCTTCAGGACGCAGATGAGGGACGGGCGGATGACTTCCTTCCAGACGCAGATGAGGGATGGGTGGATGATTCCTTCAGGACGCAGATGAGGGACGGGTGGATGATTCCTTCCGGACGCAGATGAGGAACGGGCGGATGACCTCCTTCCGGACGCAGATGAGGGACGGGTGGATGATTCCTTCAGGACGCAGATGAGGGACGGGTGGATGATTCCTTCCAGACGCAGATGAGGGACGGGCAGATGACTTCCTTCCGGACGCAGATGAGGGACGGGTGGATGATTCCTTCCAGACGCAGATGAGGAACGGGCGGATGACCTCCTTCCGGACGCAGATGAGGGACGGGCGGATGATTCCTTCAGGACGCAGATGAGGGACGGGCGGATGACTTCCTTCCAGACGCAGATGAGGGACGGGCGGATGACTTCCTTCGGGACGCCGATGAGGAACGGGTGGATGATTCCTTCAGGACGCAGATGAGGGACGGGCGGATGACCTCCTTCCGGACGCAGATGAGGGACGGGCGGATGACTTCCTTCCAGACGCAGATGAGGGACGGGCGGATGACTTCCTTCCAGACGCAGATGAGGGACGGGTGGATGATTCCTTCAGGACGCAGATGAGGGACGGGTGGATGACTTCCTTCCAGACGCAGATGAGGGACGGGTGGATGATTCCTTCCAGACGCAGATGAGGGACGGGCGGATGACTTCCTTCAGGACGCAGATGAGGGACGGGCGGATGACTTCCTTCCGGACGCAGATGAGGGACGGGCGGATGACTTCCTTCCAGACGCAGATGAGGGACGGGCGGATGACTTCCTTCGGGACGCCGATGAGGAACGGGTGGATGATTCCTTCAGGATGCCGATGAGGGACGGGCGGATGACTTCCTTCCAGACGCAGATGAGGGACGGGCGGATGACTTCCTTCGGGACGCCGATGAGGAACGGGTGGATGATTCCTTCAGGACGCAGATGAGGGACGGGCGGATGACTTCCTTCCAGACGCAGATGAGGGAGGGGTGGATGATTCCTTCAGGACGCAGATGAGGGACGGGCGGATGACTTCGTTCCAGACGCAGATGAGGGACGGGCGGATGATTCCTTCCGGACGCAGATGAGGGACGGGCGGATGACTTCCTTCCAGACGCAGATGAGGAACGGGCGGATGACTTCCTTCAGGACGCAGATGAGGGACGGGTGGATGACTTCCTTCCGGACGCAGATGAGGGACGGGTGGATGACTTCCTTCTGGACGCAGATGAGGGACGGGTGGATGATTCCTTCTGGACGCAGATGAGGAACGGGCGGATGACCTCCTTCCGGACGCAGATGAGGGAGGGGTGGATGATTCCTTCCGGACGCAGATGAGGGACGGGTGGATGATTCCTTCAGGACGCAGATGAGGGACGGGCGGATGACTTCCTTCCAGACGCAGATGAGGAACGGGCGGATGACTTCCTTCAGGACGCAGATGAGGGACGGGCGGATGACTTCCTTCCGGACGCAGATGAGGGACGGGTGGATGACTTCCTTCGGACGCAGATGAGGAACGGGCGGATGATTTCCTTCCAGACGCAGATGAGGAACGGGCGGATGACCTCCTTCAGGACGCAGATGAGGAACGGGCGGATGACCTCCTTCCGGACGCAGATGAGGGACGGGCGGATGACTTCCTTCGGACGCAGATGAGGGACGGGTGGATGATTCCTTCCAGACGCAGATGAGGAACGGGCGGATGACCTCCTTCCGGACGCAGATGAGGGACGGGTGGATGACTTCCTTCCGGACGCAGATGAGGGACGGGCGGATGACTTCCTTCCAGACGCAGATGAGGGACGGGTGGATGACTTCCTTCCAGACGCAGATGAGGGACGGGCGGATGATTCCTTCAGGACGCAGATGAGGGACGGGTGGATGACTTCCTTCCAGACGCAGATGAGGAACGGGCGGATGACTTCCTTCGGGACGCCGATGAGGAACGGGTGGATGATTCCTTCAGGACGCAGATGAGGAACGGGCGAATGACTTCCTTCGGGACGCCGATGAGGAACGGGTGGATGATTCCTTCAGGACGCAGATGAGGAACGGGCGGATGACTTCCTTCGGGACGCCGATGAGGAACGGGTGGATGATTCCTTCAGGACGCAGATGAGGGACGGGTGGATGACTTCCTTCCAGACGCAGATGAGGGACGGGCGGATGACTTCCTTCCAGACGCAGATGAGGGACGGGCGGATGACTTCCTTCCAGACGCAGATGAGGGACGGGCGGATGATTCCTTCAGGACGCAGATGAGGGACGGGCGGATGACTTCCTTCCAGACGCAGATGAGGGACGGGCGGATGACTTCCTTCCAGACGCAGATGAGGGACGGGCGGATGATTCCTTCAGGACGCAGATGAGGGACGGGTGGATGACTTCCTTCCAGACGCAGATGAGGAACGGGTGGATGACTTCCTTCGGGACGCCGATGAGGAACGGGTGGATGATTCCTTCAGGACGCAGATGAGGAACGGGCGGATGACTTCCTTCGGGACGCCGATGAGGAACGGGTGGATGATTCCTTCAGGACGCAGATGAGGGACGGGTGGATGACTTCCTTCCAGACGCAGATGAGGGACGGGCGGATGACTTCCTTCCAGACGCAGATGAGGGACGGGCGGATGACTTCCTTCCAGACGCAGATGAGGGACGGGCGGATGATTCCTTCAGGACGCAGATGAGGGACGGGCGGATGACTTCCTTCCAGACGCAGATGAGGGACGGGCGGATGACTTCCTTCCAGACGCAGATGAGGGACGGGCGGATGATTCCTTCCGGACGCAGATGAGGGACGGGCGGATGACTTCCTTCGGGACGCCGATGAGGAACGGGTGGATGATTCCTTCAGGACGCAGATGAGGAACGGGCGGATGACTTCCTTCCAGACGCAGATGAGGAAAGGGCGGATGACTTCCTTCAGGACGCAGATGAGGGACGGGCGGATGACTTCCTTCCAGACGCAGATGAGGGACGGGCGGATGATTCCTTCCGGACGCAGATGAGGGACGGGCGGATGACTTCCTTCCGGACGCAGATGAGCGACGGGTGGATGACTTCCTTCCAGACGCAGATGAGGGATGGGCGGATGACTTCCTTCCGGACGCAGATGAGGAACGAGCAGATGACTTCCTTCCGGACGCAGATGAGGAACGAGCAGATGACTTCCTTCCAGACGCAGATGAGGGACGGGCGGATGACTTCCTTCCGGACGCAGATGAGGGACGGGCGGATGACTTCCTTCCGGACGCAGATGAGGGACGGGCTGATGACTTCCTTCCGGACACAGATGAGGGACGGGCGGATGACTTCCTTCCGGACGCAGATGAGGGACGGGCGGATGATTCCTTCGGGACGCAGATGAGGGACGGGCGGATGACTTCCTTCCGGACGCAGATGAGGGACGGGCGGATGACTTCCTTCCGGACGCAGATGAGCGACGGGCGGATGACTTCCTTCCGGACGCAGATGAGGGACGGGCGGATGACTTCCTTCCGGACGCAGATGAGGGACGGGCGGATGACTTCCTTCCGGACGCAGATGAGCGACGGGCGGATGACTTCCTTCCGGACGCAGATGAGGAAGGGATTCCTTCCGGACGCAGATGAGGGACGGGCGGATGATTCCTTCCGGACACACCTCTCAATGTGCACGTGCTGCTCCTGCCAGGCGGATGACATCAGGAATGCTCATCAACTTGAGGGCGAAGAAATGCTTGGCGGTCTTCTCCTTCACCGGGTGCACCCGCCCGAACGTCCCAGTGCCCACGGTGGCCAGTGTGTCGAAGTCCTGCAGGCGGTGGGCAGGCGGCTCCGGCGACCAGGCCTTGGGGCTGGGGCAGAATGCGGGTGCCCAGCCGGGGGTCTCCTCCCACACCTCTCGGGGGTCGCTCTCCGCCACGGCCGCCTGGGCCAGTCGGGGCTCCTCCATGCGGACACACTCAGGTCCGGGGCACCGGGCCAGGCCGGAGCGCTCGGGTAGCCGGGCTTCCCGGGACGCAGCCTCGGAGGGCGGCGTGGTGGTGGCATCAACGGAGGCTCCCCATGCGTGCCCTCGCCTCCCAGCGCGCGGCCCGGCGCAGCTGACAACGCCCCCGGGTGGGAGCAGCTGCCGGCCTCGTCGGGGGGTGGGCACTGAGTGCCGCGCAGCAGCGGGGAAGATGGGGCCCGTGGCCCAGGCTGTGGGGGCAGGGAGGGGGCCCTGCGCATTCCCAGTCTCGCGCCCGCCGCCTCCTCCAGCTTGGTAGCCGCCAGCGTGCTCTACGGTGTTTTTGTTTGTTTTTTACCAGCTGATTCACAACTCAAGTAGCACAGTGAAGGTGGACAATTTGGACTGCCTAAGCATCCCAGCATCGTCTGTTCTACATATCACTATTCCAAATGGCATGCTGCTGTGTTTGTGAATCCAGCCTCCCACATTGGGTATGTCACCATTGGCCTATAACAACTGGAATGACACATCTTCACTAGAGGCAGGCCTTGGCCATCCTCCACAGCAGACTATTGAGTAACAAAATAAGCAGTACTATTTATTTACTTCTTACTATGCTGTTTAAAAAAAAAGCCTCTGATGAAATCCTGGTGGCTTCTTCTCTGTTCTTACCAATCCAGGAAGTGTAGAGAGCTGTTGAGCCCTGTTTCCAAATCCCCAGGTGAAGCTGCGCTGACATGCCTTCTGTCCATACAGCCCTTTCCAAGACTCAGCTATTTGTGATCACCCCCAAATGTTACCCTGATTCTATTACCAATTTGTAATAAAACTCACTTGTATGGTGGAAAGGCTGTTGCCAATTAATTTTATTTTCGTCACCCATTTTCCCTTCCATGTAATCGTCAAATTGTTTATTGTACATATTAAAAATGACACACAATCAAGAGGGCATATGCTATATTCAAGCAAAGAATGCTATGTGAGCCACGCGTGGTGGCTCACGCCTGTAATGCCAGCACTTTGGGAGGCCAAGGGGGGTGGATCAATTGAGGTCAGGGGTTTGAGACCAGCCTGGCCAACACAGTGAAACCCCATTTCTACTAAAAATACAAAAAAAAAAAATACCCGGACATGGTGGTGCACGCTTGTAATCCTAGCTACTTGGGAGGCTGAGGCAGGAGAATTACTTGAACCCAGGAGGTGGAGATTGCAGTGAGCCAAGATTGCACCACTGCACTCCAGTCTGGGCAACAGAATGAGATGCCATCTCAAAAAAAAAAAAAATGCTATGCGATACAAAAATGATGTACTTGTCAATAGTCCAGTGAGTCAGGGGAACCCTTTCTCTTTATTGTGGAGAAAAATAGCACAATCAGAAAAAAAATTAAAAGATAATTTTCAGGAAAACTGACAGTTAAAAATCCAATTCTGTTTTACACAAGTAGTCTTTTGTGTTTTGCAGAAAAACAAATATCTGTTGATTTGGAGATGGACAATATATGGTCCTTAGCAAATAAAAGAAGTTTAGCTGTGGGGAAACCTGCACTTCCTCATAATTTATTGAATAGCTTAAAAAGATGTCATCAGCAATTATAAGTGTGCTTCTGGGGTGCTTACTTCACAGGCCTCAAAGGGAGAAATGAGTCTGACAGGAGGCTTGAGGCACTTAAAAAACACACAGACATTCTGATTGCCACCCCTAGAAAGTGCCTTTTTTTTTTTTTAAAGTTACAAAATATGAAATGCTTCATAAATTTACATGTCATCCTTGAGCAGGGGCCATGCTAATCTTCTCTGTATCATTCCAATTTTAGTATATGTGCTGCCAATATAAGCATAGAAAGTGCTTTTCAGATGGCCAGGCACAGTGGCTCATGCCTGTAATCCCAGCACTTTGGGAGGCCTAGGTGGGCAGATCACCTGAGGTCAGGAGTTAGAGACCAGCCTGACCAACACTAAGAAACCCTGTCTCTACTAAAAATACAAAATTAGCTGGGTGTGGTGGTGCATGCCTGTAATACCAGCTGCTTGGTAGGCAGAGGCAGGAGAATTGCTTGAACCCAGGAGGTGGAGGTTGTGGTGAGCCAGGATAGTGCCATTGCACATTTTTCAGGTAAAACCATGCTTCAACTCTACTGCCTTCAATGATTGGGTAGGCTCTACCAAACAGCAAACACCTGAGCCATTCTCACTGGAAAGAAAATCACAGGCAGATCACATTCCATATCTCAATGCTTCTAAATATCAGAGAACTGCTGGGACAGTGGTGTGTGCCTGTAATCTCAGCTACTTGGGAGGCTGAGGCAGGAGGATCCTTTGAGCCCAGGAGTTTGAGACTAGTCTGGGCAACATAGTGAGATTCCATTGCAAAAAAACAGTATGTGAAGTAAATTTAAAATAAATATCAGAGAAGTGTACTTTGAAAACAAAGCAAAAATCCTGAAAAGGAAAAACACAAGCAATCCAGGGTGTACACAAGCATGTATTGTACCCAATGCAGTAAGTAACTGGACTACAGTTCATTCCAACTACTTGGTAAGGTTCATTGTGAACTGCAAACTTAGAAAGGGATCACTGTTTGCTTTTCCTTTATCTTAAAAAAATATATAGGCCAGCTTTGCAATTAAGAGGGGATACATGGTGTTTACTGTAAAGGCTTTGATGTGAGTTCAGTTCTACCCTCTTTAAAATAACCAGAAAAACTCAGAAATGGTTTGCTAGTCTGATCTATGATCCTACTGTTAGAAAAGGCATTTTGTCAACCATAATTTTTGAATGTGCATTTTGATAAAGCAAGACAATTTTTATACTGTCATAAGTGACAATCAAGACCAATTAAAGTTTAATATTTAGGTCAAGTGTCCAAACATCTGGGCAGTCCATGTCTGCCAAGTGCAGCCCTAGTGGGTTGTGTTAAGGAAGAGGTAGGAGGTACAGCAGCAAGTCCAGCTGGTGCCCAGGGAGATATTTTGGATTTCTGGAACATTGCCTTTGGTGATTGTGTTAAAACTATTTCTGACTTGAATGGTATTGTTTTCAGCCTGTCATTTCAAAGGTGCAACCCAAAATGCCAGTATTATTTGTGTGCAGAGAATACAAATAAATTGAAAACCACCATCCTTGGTTTCTACCTCTTCCCCTCCTGTGCACACTTGAGTCCACCTAAAATTTCTCTCTTAAACATCATCAGCTACTTCCTAAGGGTCAAACCATCTGGTGGTTTCTCGGATCTCATCCCACTGTTGCTCTCAGAGATACTAAACCCCACATAAATTTTCCTTCTCAAAGCTCTATAAAACCTTTCTTAGTTTCCTCATAGAATTTTCTGTTCTCCTGCCTCAAATTTCCCTCACTTTCCTTATTCTATCCAGTACTCCCCCGACCCACCCTCACCTTTTCTCTCTCCACTCTCAGCGCAATCACACTTTCTTCTACGATTTTCATAATACTTGTACACAAATGACTCATATTTGGCTCTGTCCTTCTAATTTCCAACAGAGCATTTCTAACTCTCTGCTGGATGCCACGCTGTGCTGATAACAGTGTCAGAAGTCACTCAGGTGAGAACTGAACTTTTCTTCCTCCTAAGGCTTCCTACTTTCTTATTTCAGTAAACAGAGCAGCATCTCAGCATGCCAGTGAAACGATGGCTCTTTATTTCAGGTTGATCCTGTTCCTCCTTTTTAAATTCTTTTTTCCAGTTATACTTGCACACATTATTTAAAGACTAAGTCTTTCAGTTCTAAAAACTTTCCTTGAATTTCTTTTATACTTTCTCTTTTCCAGTCCTTTTTTCTCTTTCTGATACTTCTATTATTCAATTATTGGACCTTGGTGACCAGTTCTCACATTATATCATCTCTCTCTCTCCTATTTTCTAATTTCTTTGTCCTATTGCTGTAAAATCTAGATTTCCTCAACTTATTTTTACTACATTTCTACTTTTTCATTTTTGCTATCACATTATTAATTTATAAGAGGTATTTTTTTCCCCACTGAATATTTTTTTCTTTTTTGAGACAGGGTCTTGCTCTGCTCTGTCACCCAGGCTGGAGTGCAGTGGTGCGATTATACGATTGTAGTTCACTGTAACCTCAAACTCCTGGGTTCAAACCATCCTTCTGCCAAGCCTCTCAAGTAGCTGGGACTACTATACTCAACTATTTAGGTTTTTTTTTTGGAGAGACAGAGTCTCATGATGTCGCCCAGGCTGGTCTTAAACTCCTGGGCTCAAGTGATTCTCTTGCCTTGGCCTCCCAAAGTGCTGGAATTACAGGTGTAAGCCACCATGCCCAGCCCCTCGCTGAATATTTTTTATGTAGTATCCTTTATAATTTCTTTGAGGGTATTGATAAATTAACTTCCTCTTTGTTTAATCTGTTTCGTGTTTGTTTTGATCTCTGCCTTTTGGGTTAGAGGCTTTCCCCTAATTCCTGATGATCCTTGGCTATTCACTCACATTATATGTAAGAGTGAGCCACTTAAATGCCAGTTAGCTCTATGTACATGGTGATATTTGCCACTATGGGCTTCATAGTAGGGTGATTTGGCTGGGTAATTCATTTGGGGAACCCCAGTATCAGTGTCTTTAGATCTTTTTTCTTGGGTTTGTTAAATTCCCCAGAAAAGTCTCTTCTAGCCTCCTACTTAGAGTTAGAAGTGTTTTGGCAATAGGGTTGGGGAGAAGGCCAGGGAGGATGGTGGTTATATTTAGTATGTAAATGTTTAATTAATCCTGTTTTCAGTATGTTATTCCTATCTCCAGCTATGTCTGGTGTTCCCCAGTCCAAAGACCTGTTGTTTCACACTCTCCCGGAATTAACCTCTAATCTGCTAGGTGGTGGAGGGAGCAATGGCTAACTACATGGAATGGGGCAGAGGATCTAGAAGTAATTGTTTCCTGAATTGCTTTTCCACCCACCACCCCATGGTACAGCATGGTACTCAAGACTACAAGCTCCTGAGCCTTCAGAAGAATCCAGCTCATAAGTCAGGTTTTTCAGTTTTCCCCATTCCAGATAGGAATGTAATGTTCCTGGGTCGACTAAGTTAGTTTGAACCCGCCACTGCAAAATTGTAACTGGGACAGTGGAAGAGATCGGACTTAACCAACTCCATCTTGCTTCTTACCTCCAAGCTGTCCTTGTTCATCCCTGGGCATAGGCTGAACTAATTTTGAGAGGAATTTATAGTTTAAAACAAAGATAAGAGGCAAATCCCCTTCTTGCCTGGGGACGAGACTGCCTTTGTAGGATTAACAAATTAGTCACAAGATTAGAAATTATGGTTTAGGAGTCATGCAGCTGGAGGCTGCAAGATTCTGACCCTCCCTAAACTGCTCCTAAGTCAGGAACTATTTTGTAGACCCTGCACTTGATGGATCAGCTGGCACCACCCAGATCCATAAACTGGCTCATCTGATCTTGGTTCTTGTGGCCCCCACCCAGGAACTGACTCAGCACAAGAAGACAGCTTTAATTCCCTGATCTCTTCTCTTTCCCAACCAATCAGCACTCTTGACTCACATCCCCTTCCCACCAAATTATCCTTAAAAACTCTGATCCCTGAATGCTCGGAAAGACCGATTTGAGTTATAATAAAACTCCAGTCTCCCCTACAGCCGGCTCTGTGTGAATTACTCTTTCTTTATTGAAATTCCTGTCTTGATAAATCGGCTTCGTTTAGGGAGTGGGAAAGATGAACCCACTGGGCGGTTACGAGTTTTCAACCTACCTACCTTTGAGCTTCCAAAATTGTTTTCTCCTTTTCCATTTTGTCCGCATGTGTCTTGTTGCTTGTGATTTGGCCTCTTTCTTGTTGTTAGTGGGTGTCTGAGGGCAGAAAAGCTGATGTGAGCATTCAGCCAGGCCTGGATCCCATTCCCATTGCCCTTGCCTTCAGTGGGATTTCTGCAATAAACTCTTCCACTCTATTGTGGCAATAAACTCTAGCCACTATATTGCCACTAAAGTCACTTTCTTCAAATACAAAACCAGTCATTTACTCAAAAACCTCATCAGCTGTCCACTGTGTATAGAAAAGTCAATACTCCATAGCACATCACCCTAGGTCTTGGATGACCTGACTCCAGTATAAGTTTATAGTGTGACTTATACCACCTACCACACATATCCAAATCTGCAACAATTTTAGTTTTAATAGTGTACATCCCTCATCTTCTATCTTGAAGGCAGGAATAAATTATGTAGGGAGTCTGAGAAGAGGTTGGAACCCAACTACCTGAATCCATTACTTCAGCTCTGCCACTTTACTGGCTGGGTGATCTTGGGCAAGCTACTTAATCTCCATGTCTGCAAAACAAGAATAATAATAATAATAATAATAATAATAATGATAATAGGACCTACTTTCTAACATTGTTACAAGGATTAGAAGAGCACTTAACAGTGGCTAGCAAGTAGGAAGTGCAAGGTAAGGATAATGATTATAATTCTCTGCACATCTGTCTCCTCCAGTAGATTATCAAGTTCCTGGAGAAGGATCACTTCTCATTTATTCAACATTTGTGCTGTGCCTATGATGTAACGATGTAAAAAGAGCTTAGCAAATGGAAAGACTGTCGACTTATGGTTCAAATATAATGTGACAAATGATACAACACAGGAAAGAGCAAAGCACAGAGAATAGAGCATGCAGAATTGAATGGTGAAGAACGGATGGGGGAAGGCTTCACAATCTAACACTGAAGATGGGGCTTGATGAATGAATATGTAAGAGCCAAGAGTTGTGCAAGGAACAGTGGATGGGGAGAAAACCACAGACAGCCTGGAGAAGCAGGTTGGGGCCAGTTGCACAAGGCCCTGCATAACCTGTTTACCATACAATTTATTGTTTGACCAGTGTTTGCTAATCTCACTGTTCTAGCATATCAGGCGTGTCAGAGAATTATGAGGAGTCAAAGTATTTTGTTACTAATAATAGCTGAAATGTGGGTACTTAACTTTTTTTTGAGATGGAGTTTTGCTCTTGTTGCCCAAGCTGGAGTGCAATGGAGCGATCTCAGCTCACTGCAGCCTCTGCCTCTGGGGTTCAAGCGATTCTCCTGCCTCAGCCTCCCATGTAGCTGGGATTATGGGTGTGTGCCACCATACCTGGCTGGTTTTTTGTATTTTTAGTAGAGACGGGGTTTCACTATGTTGGCCAGGCTGGTCTCGAACTCCTGACCTCAGGTGATCCACCCGCCTCAGCCTCCCAAAGTGCTGGGATTACAGGCGTGAGCCACCATGCCTGGCCAGGTACTTGACATTTTAAAAATAAATCAGGACACACTCCCAAATGATGTTGAACAAAAGAATACATAATCTATGACTCCATTTATAAAAGAAAGAGAAAACCAGGCAAAGATTGTCTCTGTTGTCTCAGTTCATGACACAGTTACCTTCAGGGGTGGACAGTGACAGGGAGAGGATTCAAGAGGGACTTCTGGGTGCCTCATGCTATTTCTTGATCTGGGGACTGGCTCCACAGGTGTGCTGTTTCTGAAAATTCAACAAGCTGTATACTTATAGTGCACTTTTCTGTATCTCTTCTGCTTTAAAATAAGTCAGGTGCACAGCACCATGTGCTCACTTGTATTTCCATATTCTTTTACTGGAAGGGGTGAGGTTACAGACTCCTCTTGTGTTGTACTCTGGGAATTCACTGTGCAGACATGCATCAATAGTTTTGTGTTCCTTTAAGAAGTAACTCTGGGAATAGCGCTTAGATGCTCAGAAAGGCCAAGGATAGTGATCACACCAGCCAAGGGTCACCTTTAGCAAGAGCAGGGCTTAGTGAGTGTGTGATGAATTGACTTACACTCGAGTTAGTTATAAATGTAGAGATTCTGAAACACCAACTTCGCATATCTGTAAGATTGCTTTTCCCTCATTTTACATGTAATGAGGGGCTGACAGTTCCTTGCTAACCTTATAGAGAAACACAAGTCAAAACCACATCTGCATAAGCATGAGTTATAATGCATTCAACATTTATGTACCCTTAGGAACAAGAGTCGATTTTTTTTTCCCAGTTATTTCCATCAAAAAACAGCCATGTGTCACATGACAGGGACATGTTCTGAGAAATGAGCTGTAAGGCAATTTTGTTGTCATGTCATGTATGTCACAGAGTATACTCAACAAACCTAGATGGCATAGCCTACTACACACCTAGGCTATATGGTATAGCCCATTGCTCCTAGGCTACAAACCTGTACACAGCATGTTACTGTACTGAATACTGTAGGCAACTGTAACACAATAGTAAGTATGCGTGTATCTAAACATGCCTAAACATAGGACAGTCACAGTAAAAATAACGGCTTGATAGTCTTATGGGACCACTGTACTATGTGGTCTGTTATTGAAACATCCTAATGCAGTGCTGCATGTATCCCACTAAAAATAGTACAAAAAGATGAGACTTTGTCTTCCACATCAGACCTGTCTCCCAAGGCAACCACTATTATGACTTTCTTATGTAGTCTTACATACATATTTTATACATGCACAAAAGCATATATATGAATGTGTATTACTCCCGCCCTGCTTCTTTCCCTAAATAATTGCAAGCCCCATGTATTTACTTGTTTTTTACTGGAGATGTTTCACATCCACAAACGTGCATAGAACGCATCTACCATTCCACTGACTATACAAATTCTGACTTACTTTACCAGGTATTTCTAGTAAAACTCTAAAACCTTAACATTTTTTACAAACTATGTGGCATCCTTGAATACACATTCTTTGACGTGCTTTTTCAATTACGGTAGAAACTGCCTTAACGCATAGCCTCACCGACAGCATGTTAAAACGCAAACCTTTTGACCTTTGCATTGCTATTTGGCTAACACTGGTACTTCGCTGTTATTTTAATCGGCAACCTTCTATTTAGCTCCACTGATTTTTCCATGTCTACCTGAATTAAGTACTAAACTGTTTCGAATACCATAGCCTTAATATATATTTTAATGTGCGGTAGGTTTAGTCTTTGTTCTGTTTCTCTGCAAAGAGATCATTAAAAAAAAATGTACAGGCAATATTTTAGACTGCCTTAATGCCAGACTTCGCAGCACAATATAGCTATTGCTCCTATTACACAAACATATTACAATGGAATTTACGGCTTCCCCTCAAGAATATGGAACATAATTATTCATGTCACAATTTTAAATAGGAAAATTAGTGATTAAATTTTTTTTTAGAAAGAATCATGTTCATACAGTAGGCCAGGTATAATCACTTCTCAAAGAAACGGCTAAGATTTTACATTTGTAATATATCGCTTTCTGTGTAAATACCCCAGAAGGAAATAGTAACTGTATTTGGTTAGTGACTCTCCTGGATTCAAGTCCATCAAGGACACATGAAAGTGGCCATATCTGGGATTAGGGTCTTTGCAGCTGTCATCAAGTTGAGATCATACTGGATGAGGGTAGGTCCTAGTCCAATGACCGATGTCCTTGTAGGAGGGAAACTGGACACAGACACAGGAAAATGCCATGTGAGGCAGGAACTGGAGTGACGCCACTACAAGACAAGGGACACCATGGCTGGCTGGCTGCCACCAGAAGCCAGAAAGGGGCAGGGTGGGATTCTTCTCCAGACCCTGAGGGCATTGCCCTGCTGAAGCCTGAGTTTGGATTCTGGCCTCCAAAACTATGAGGATAATTCCAGGTGTCTGAAGCTGCGGCACACGTGGCAAGTTGTTACGGCAGCCCTAGCTGAGGAACGCAATCACCACCCCCGATTTTGTGTCACTTAGAACTGCCATAAATCTCCAGTGGTATATAGCTATAATGAGTGACTTGTCACTTGATGTCTCTTTTTCAGTCACTAGGTTGCTTCCAATAAGGCAAAAAGTAAGAACTTGTCTAGAAAACCCAGCCGGGCACAGTGGCTCATGCCTGTAATCCCAGCACTTCGGGAGGGCGGACAGGCGGATCACTTGAGGTCAGGAGTTTGAGACCAGCCTGGCAACATGGTGAAACCCCCGTCTCTACTAAAAATACAAAAATTAGCTGGGCGTGGTGGCGGGCACCTGTAATTCCAGCTACTCGGGAGACTGAGGCAGGAGAATTGCTTGAACCCAGGAGGTGGAGGTTGCAGTGAGTCGAGTCACGCCACTGCACTCCGGCCTGAGCGACAGAATGAGATTCTGTCTCAAAAAAAAAAAAAAAAAAGAAAACCCTTTTATGGTGATGATTTTATACTATTACCTCATTGAGACATAATTTATATTAAGGAAAAACAATACCTGGAAAATAAAATGTCAATGTTTTACAAAGTGTTCATAGTTTTATTACTTATCACCTCTATGTATTTTAACAACTTCAAAAGTGCAGTTGGATTATATGGGAAAAGATTTTTCTTTTGCAAACGGCAGATGGCATCTTGTAGTTCCTGGAAGCATTTTACTATTCTGTAAAATATTCCCACTTCAGAGACGACATCATTTGGGGCTACTTCACAATCAAAGGAGAAGGCAGTATCAAATTCTTTCAGAACCAGAGGCCTTGATGGAGGCTCAAGGCTAAATTCTTTTTTATCCCTGCTTGTCCCAGCTGCATCCTGAATCTCCTTAGTTGCTTGCTGGTGTAAAGATGTCTGTTTACTGTTAGCTAAACACTGCTCTGTGGATTCCACGTCAGAATCGTCAGAGCTGTCGTAATCTACCAGACTTTGAGAGGCCCGGGGGGAAGACAGACTAGAAGCACACATGGTGTGAGCCCCCTTGGACATCACAGCTTTCAGTGGTTCAGAGGGAGCATCGGAAGCCCAGGAGTGCCGAGCACACACATCTCTGTGACTATGAGGAGCAGTCAAACGATGGGGTATTGTTTGGTTGGAGCTTTGGTCTTGGACAAGTGAGGGGACACAGCCACAAATACTTATGTCATATTTAGATTCAGTTGCATCAAAGTTATTGCAAATGGTGAAAAAATTATCCCAGTCCTTTTGCAGTAATTTTAAATATCTAACAAAATATTCAAGAAAACAGGTTTCTGATGAAATCAAAAAGTCAAGAAGAACTGTGGAATCAAATCCTATATTTTTCAAGAAGAACAAGAAAATACAGTGAGGATTATAGCCATTTTCATGTGTGTGATGGTCCCACATTTCTTTTCCCTGAGTCAAGCTTTCAGTGGCTTCACATCCTCTGAAAATGAAGATAATGGAGAATGCAGATTAATGACCTTACAAAAATAAACAGTTTTACCAGATATAATTCACATACCATAAATTAACCTATTAGATTACTTTTAAATCTATGCATCACTTCTTAAAAGAAAAAATTTCAAAACCCATTCCCTTCCCCATAAGCTCTAAAGAAATCTGACTCAGTAAAGCAAAATCCACTGACTTTGGCAGTTCTAGTTTTTGTCTGCCCAATAAAAGTTACCTGTTGTTCTTTCTCTCGACATCAGAACTCCTCATTCTTATAGGTAACCAATTCCATGTGGTAAGATAATTCCTAAACCTCCTTCCTTACCCTCAACAAGGGTGGGCATGTGACCCAGATTGACCAATCAGAGCACTCCATGCTCCTGGCCACAATGACTGGTTCTGACAAGGCTCTGTGACCCAAGTGGGTTAATCAGGTCTCCCCTGGGACTTTTGCTGGAGCTATGGAAGATTATAACTGTAAGGCTGAGGTACGCCTTGAACTGCCGGTGGCCATGCCTTGAGAATGAATTCAAAACTGTGAGACAGAGAAAAATTGAGAAGTGATTGATGACATGATTGATTATAGTCCCTGTACATATAGTTATACCTGACTCCAACTTGACCCTTTAGAATTCCCAGTTATGAGCCAATAAATGCTGGCTTTTGCTCAAATTAGAGTTGGTTTCTATCATTTACAACCAAAAAAATCTTAACAAATACAACTACATCTGAAAAAAACTATCTATGTTGTAAGCACATGCCTCTCTGGACACACTGAACTGGATTCAGAAAGTGAGAAATTCACACACAAAGTCAGTTTCATTCAGGGGTTTCCACTTCCTGAGGAGTAAGGAGCTAACTTTGAGTACAATTAAGATACACTCTTACAGGCGTGTGCATTTTCAGACTGAACTTGTATTTGACCATTTTGAACCTAATTCAAATCACATGCAGGAATTTTGTGTTCTTGATTAGGACCTTTTGAAAATTGGCCCCAAACACTCAAGAGTCTAAGAGCAGCCATTGCCAGCAGTGTCATAATACAAGTAAGTACTGGCGGCACAACGCTGCACCACAGATCATTAGCAAGAAATCCCTTTCTCCCAGGCCAAGAAAGAAATGGAAATAAAGCAAATATGTGAGGGTTTTAATAAAGCAGAAGCAGAAACAGTGGAAAAGGTCATCGGTTATTAGCTTCATAACCAATTATAGATATTTGCCACAAGAAGATATTAACCCAAGTACAGCTATTTTAATAAAGCAGAGACAATCAGTATAAATCATCAGTAACATAACTTAACCAATTTCAGACATTTGCCTCAAGAAGGTATCAGCCCAAATTCGACTGAAACGAAAATTCAGAACAGCTTCTTTGATTATTTCTAAGTTTGTATTCACCTTTACAAAGGCAAAGATCATCTTACTGAAGCTTAATACAAAAAAGTAAGTCTTAGGGGTGAAAAGAGGTCTTAAATGAACAACAATTAAGATTCAGAGAAGTGTACTGACTTACTGGAGACCAAATCAGAAGCCATGTTTTCAGATACCAATCTAGTTATACTACCTGAGAACTGCCCAGCCAGCCAGGTTTTCCTAGCGATACAAATGCAATCTCCTTTTCATGTAAGTCAGGGTTAAAGAAAGGAACTGCAACAGGATGTTTTCCCCCAAATGATGAAAGTAAGCAACACGCCCAGCACATTCTCAGAAATGTTTTCTGCTTTCCTGACTTGTAGGCCGTTCAATAATTACTTTAAAATACACTAACCTGGTCAGTGTTAAGTAGATGCCCAGTGATGCCTTGGCAGCCTCCAGCATGTCATCGTCTTGTTCTATGAAAACCCGAGACAGCCATTTGCACGGATTGTGTAATTGCAGAGAGGGCTGAAGATGAGGCTTTAAGAAGGTCAGTAACTCAGACATGAACCTCTGTAAGTCAACTTCAAAAAATGAAAATTTCAAAGTGTAGGCAATAGTTTATGAATGAATGAATATCTTGCCTATATATAAATTCATAGTGTCTAAAGTACCTTAAGATGCAATTATCCTAATTCACTTTCAAAAAGTCATCAGGAATCAGTTAGGAAGCATCTTTATTTGGCAAATGAGGACACTGAGGCTCAGGGAAAAAAAGTGACTCATTCCAGAGCATACATTTAAAATGTACAGCTACATCATCTATTTGCAACAACTGCCTAACAACTGTCTCTTAGAAATAAAAGTTATGTGATTTCTTGCTAAAAGCAGATAAATAAATGAGCAGACAACTAAGATCACTTCATCGGATGCCAGAGCTGTCTGTCCAAGAATGCAACCAAGCAAAAATAATTTTGTCTTCAAAATAACAGAAAAACATATTTTTTGTTTGTTTAAAGCATAGAAGTACTACTATTAAGCACAAAAATAAAAAACGTTTTAGGTAGTTTGAACTACAATTTAAAACTGAATTATATAACAGGTGCCATCTAGTGTTATAAATTAAAACTGCACAGAATTATAACTAATGTGTAGTTATTAAAAGCTAAATTATATCCAAAGCAATTCAGTGATGTCATTGCTCACAATTCAAACTTTTCACTGAATCTGTATGCTGCCTGTTTAGAGACATTTACTATTCATTTTTCTCAAGTAAAATGGAAGACTTTGAACTCCTGAGTTACTATTCTGGAAATTATATATGTAACAATTTCTTTGTCAATATAACTTCTCATATATTAGCTTTAATTCAATATCTAATTTTCAATAATCTACATTAGTGGAAACACTAATTGTATGAAGGATTAATACAAATGGGGTGGGGAAACAGAGACGAGAGGATCACTTCAGCTCAAAACGTTGAGGCTGCAGTGAGCCTGGGAGACAGAGCAAGACCCTGCCTCAAAATAAATAAACAGTAAACACAACAATAACAAAGAAATAACAACAAACAATAATAACAATAAACACATAAGTGGGAGTGAACATATTTTTCTTTAATCTCTCTGTCTTCTCCTCTCTCTCTCTCTCTCTCCCTGAAAGGATCTCCATCTGTTGCACCAGGACTGGAGTGCAGGTGTGCGATGGGTCGCGGCTCACTGTAGCCTTGATCTCCCAGGCTAGGACCTCCCAGGTTGGGACAGGAGGAATAGCATGGGCCGAAGGGGGGTCAGGGCTGCAGTGGGCCATGGTCACGCACCTGCAGTTTAGATTAAAAAAAAAAAAAGGATTAATATAAATAAAATGCTGTAAATACTTGAATATGAATTGATTTCCATCACTTACTTTGAGATGACTCAACAGCAACTTTTTTAAACCTAAATCATTCCTTATGCTTTACAAATTCATTGTAGGCACAAAAAGCTGACATGTTTCTTAAAGGTAAATCCAGTTCTTTTTTTTTTTTTTGAAAATGTAATAAGTTACAAATAGGATAACATACAGCTTAAATTACTGGAATTTAAACTAGTCCTGAGATTTGATAATTATGAATTACTGTACTTAAGTAAATAATTACACACTGCATACAAAAGGAGTTTGGAGAATTACCTTTCACTTCACTTGCTGAA
Organism: Homo sapiens; assembly: GCF_000001405.40. Taxonomy (NCBI): domain Eukaryota; kingdom Metazoa; phylum Chordata; class Mammalia; order Primates; family Hominidae; genus Homo; species Homo sapiens. The sequence continues at coordinate 100,573,671 of NC_000015.10, forward strand.
GAATAATTTTGAAACTTGATTTCTAAGGATTTCATTATAACTAAGCTTGCTGCTCTAAGGATCACATGATCTGGACTAGTGATAAGTTCACATTCAGGTTGAACTTCATCACCTCCAAAAAAGGAATGTTTTTCATAAACAGACAGTGTCTTCAACAACCCCGAATTCACAGCTTGCAAAACAGCATTAGCTAAAGCCAGCATGTCCACCGCTACATGATGGTCTGGCGGCATTAAGGCAGGCACAGATCCACGACAGAGGTCTTCACCCACTTTACAGAGAAGGCACTTTTTGAGGAATATGATGACCTTCCTTTTAACAAAAGCCTGAATAGGCCAGGTAATAACTTCTAGCATGCAAGATGGTTTCAAAAATAAAATCCTCTGGCAAGTGAAATGTAACTTCAGGTGGATTCTGGAGGCGATGAGAAGCTCAAGCAAATCCAGGAAACACATCAGGATGTTTACTATTTTAGAAGTATCCCGGCAGTTTTCAAAATGCTGAGAGAATAAGGAATTGTAAAACACTTCAAAAATGGTGTCGAAATGAGTCAGGAACTGCTTTAGAATTTCTGCAATTATAAAAATAGGAATTATAAACAGGAAAAACAGTCTTCTTCAAACAATTTTACAATTCACTTTTTATAAATATCACTTTTTAAGATGAAAAAACAGATTTGGAATGTTTACCTCTAACATTAACAAATGAGGTTACACAGATTAATGGGTAAGAACCACGGTTAAAATTCATTTTATGGCTGGGTGTGGTGGCTCACAACTGTAATCCCAGCACTTCGGGAGGCCGATGCGGGTGGATCACTTGAGGTCAGGAGTTTGAGACCAGCCTGGCCAACATGGTAAAACCCTGTGTCTACTAAAAATACAGAAATTAGCTGGGTGTGGTGGTGAGCGCCTGTAATCCCAGCTACTCGGGAGGCTGAGGCAGAAGAATCACTTGAACTCGCAAGGCAGGGGTTGCAGTGAGCCAAGATCATGCCATTGCACTCCAGCCTGGGCAACAAAGCAAGACTTGTCTCAAAAAAATAAAACAAAACAAAACAAAAAATATTCATTTTACGAATATCAGTAACATCAAACAATGCAAGGGATTTGTGCTCATGAAAAGCTTTACTTTTTTCCTTATACTTTTTTTTCTTTTAAAACAGGTTATCCTCAATCAAAATATATTGGAAGAGACTGACTTTTTCATTACTTTAAGACAGATCAGATGTTCCAAATTAAGTTTTGTTTCTCATTATAAATGCAACGCTCCCAGGAGCAAGATGATGATTGTTTATGGGGCCATGTAATCCATACCTGTTTTCTGTGAACATGAATCTTTAAAGATTTCTTTTATTATTGCTGTAAGAGTCCAGAGGCAGTATATTGCTTTATTACTCTCAGAGTATTCAGAAAGATTTTTCTGGCAAAAAGCAATCCAGGAATTACTTAAGGTTATCTACAAGTGAGAAAATAAAGCAAGCAGTTAAAATACAATATTTTCTTTACATAATACAACTGTATACAACATTGTTTATACATTTGGCCAAAAGAAGTATGATAATATGTGGCACACCGAGAAGGAACAGAAGTATCCTAATATTATTTAAGTAAAAAAATCGAATATGCCACAGAAATAAAATAAAGGGATGGAGGAAGATCTACCAAGCAAATGGAAAACAAAAAAAGGCAGGGGTTGCAATCCTAGTCTCTGATAAAACAGACTTTAAACCAACAAACATCAAAAGAGACAAAGAAGACCATTACATAATGGTACAGGGATCAATTCAACAAGAAGAGCTAACTATCCTAAATATATATGCACCCAATACAAGAGCACCCAGATTCATAAAGCAACTCCTTAGAGACCTACAAAGAGACTTAGACTCCCACACAATAATAATGGGAGACTTTAACACCCCACTGTCAACATTAGACAGAACAACGAGACAGAAAGTTAACAAGGATATCCAGGAATTGAATTCAGCTCTGCACCAAGCAGACCTAATAGACATCTACAGAACTCTCCAACCCAAATCAACAGAATATACATTCTTCTCAGCACCACACCACACCTATTCCAAAATTGACCACATAGTTGGAAGTAAAGCACTCCTCAGCAAATGTAAAAGAACAGAAATCACAACAAACTGTCTCTCAGACCACAGTGCAATCAAACTAGAACTCAGGATTAAGAAACTCACTCAAAACCATTCAACTACATGGAAACTGAACAACCTGCTCCTGAATGACTACTGGGTACATAATGAAATGAAGGCAGAAATAAAGATGTTCTTTGAAACCAACAAGAACAAAGACACAACATACCAGAATCTCTGGGACACATTTAAAGCAGTACGTAGAGGGAAATTTACAGCACTAAATGCCCACAAGAGAAAGCAGGAAAGATCTAAAATTGACACCCTAACATCACAATTAAAAGAACTAGAGAAGCAAGAGCAAACACATTCAAAAGCTAGCAGAAGGCAAGAAATAACTAAGATCAGAGCAGAACTGAAGGAGATAGAGACACAAAAAACCCTTCAAAAAATCAATGAATCCAGGAGCTGGTTTTTTGAAAAGACCAACAAAATTGATAAACCGTTAGCAAGACTAATAAAGAAGAAAAGAGAGAAGAATCAAATAGACGCAATAAAAAATGATAAAGGGAGTATCACCACTGATTCCATAGAAATACAAACTACCATCAGAGAATACTATAAATACCTCTATGCAAATAAAGTAGAAAATCTAGAAGAAATGGATAAATTCCTGGACACATACACCCTCCCAAGACTAAACCAGGAAGAAGCTGAATCTCTTAATAGACCAATAATAGGCTCTTAAATTGAGGCAATAATAATAGCTTACCAACCAAAAAAAGCCCAGGACCAGATGGATTCACAGCCGAATTCTACCAGACGTACAAGGAAGAGCTGGTACCATTCCTTCTGAAACTATTCCAATCAACAGAAAAAGAGGGAATCCTCCCTAACTCATTTTATGAGGACAGCATCATCCTGATACCAAAGCCTGGCAGAGACACAACAAAAAAAGAGAATTTTAGACCAATATCCCTGATGAACATCGATGAGAAAATCCTCAGTAAAATACTGGCAAAACCAAATCCGGCAGCACATCAAAAAGCTTATCCACCATGATCAAGTGGGCTTCATCCCTGGGACGCAAGGCTGGTTCAACATATGCAAATCAGTAAATGTAATCCATCATATAAACAGAACCAAAGACAAAAACCACATGATTATCTCAATAGATGCAGAAAAGGCCTTTGACAAAATTCAACAACCCTTCATGCTAAAAAACTCTCAATAAATTAGGTACTGATGGGACGTATCTAAAAATAATAAGAGCTATTTATGACAAACCCACAGCCAATATCATACTGAATGGGCAAAAACTGGAAGCATTCCCTTTGAAAACTGGCACAAGACAGGGATGCCCTCTTTCACCACTCCTATTCAACAGAGTGTTGGAAATTCTGGCCAGGGCAATTAGGCAGGAGAAAGAAACAAAGGGTATTCAACTAGGAAAAGAGGAAGTCAAATTGTCCCTGTTTGCAGATGACATGATTGTATATCTAGAAAACCCCATCGTCTCAGCCCAAAATCTCCTTAAGCTGATAAGCACCTTCAGCAAAGTCTCAGGATACAAAATCAATGTGCAAAAATCACAAGCATTCTTATACACCAATAACAGACAAACAGCCAAATCATGAGTGAACTCCCATTCACAATTGCTTCAAAGAGAATAAAATACCTAGGAATCCAACTTACAAGGGATGTGAAGGACCTCTTCAAGGAGAACTACAAACCACTGCTCAACGAAGTAAAAGAGGACACAAACAAATGGAAGAACATTCCATGCTCATGGATAGGAAGAATCAATATTGTGAAAATGGCCATACTGCCCAAGGTAGTTTATAGATTCAATGCCATCCCCATCAAGCTACCAATGGCTTTCTTCACAGAATTGGAAAAAACTACTTTAAAGTTCATATGGAACCAAAAAAGAGCCTGCATTGCCAAGTCAATCCTAAGCCAAAAGAACAAAGCTGGAGGCATCACGCTACCTGACTTCCAACTATACTACAAGGCTACAGTAACCAAAACAACATGGTACTCGTACCAAAACAGAGATACAGACCAATGGAACAGAACAGAGCCCTCAGAAATAATGCCACACATCTACAACCATCTGATCTTTGACAACCCTGACAAAAACAAGAAATGGGGAAAGGATTCCCTATTTAACAAATGGTGCTGGGAAAACTGGCTAGCCATATGTAGAAAGCTGAAACTGGATCTCTTCCTTATACCTTATACAAAAATTAATTCAAGATGGATTAAAGACTTATATGTTAGACTTAAAACCATAAAAACCCTAGAAGAAAACCTAGGCAATACCATTCAGGACATAGGCATGGGCAAGGACTTCATGTCTAAAACACCAAAAGCAATGGCAACAAAAGCCAAAATAGAGAAATGGGATCTAATTAAACTAAAGAGCTTCTGCACAGCAAAAGAAACTACCATCAGAGTGAACAGACAACCTACAAAATGGGAGAAAATTTTTGCAATCTACTCATCTGACAAAGGGCTAATATCCAGAATCTACAAATAACTCAAACAAATTTACAAGAAAAAAACAAACAACCTCATCAAAAAGTGGGCAAAGGATATGAACAGACACTTCTCAAAAGAAGACATTTATGCAGCCAACAGACACATGAAAAAATGCTCATCATCACTGGCCATCAGAGAAATGCAAATCAAAACCACAGTGAGATACCATCTCACACCAGTTAGAATGGCGATCATTAAAAAGTCAGGAAACAACAGGTGCTGGAGAGGATGGGGAAAAATAGGAACACTTTTACACTGTTGGTGGGACTGTAAACTAGTTCAACCAGCGTGGAAGACAGTGTGGCGATTCCTCAGGGATCTAGAGCTAGAAATACCATTTGACCCAGCCATCCCATTACTGGGTATATACCCAAAGGAATATAAATCATGCTGCTATAAAGACACATGCACACATATGTTTATTGTGGCACTACTCACAATAGCAAAGACTTGGAACCAACCCAAATGTCCAACAATGATAGACTGGATTAAGAAAATGTGGCACATATACACCATGGAATACTATGCAGCCATAAAAAATGATGAGTTCATGTCCTTTGTAGGGACATGGATGAAGCTGGAAACCATCATTCTCAGCAAGCTATCACAAGAACAAAAAACCAAACACCGCATATTCTCACTCATAGGTGGGAACTGAACAATGACAACACTTGAACACAGGAAGGGGAACATCACACACCAGGGCCTGTTGTGGGGTAGGGGGAGGGGGAAGGGATAGCATTAGGAGATACACCTAATGTAAATGACGAGTTAATGGGTGCAGCACACCAACATGGCACATGTATACATATGTAACAAACCTGCACGTTGTGCACATGTACCCTAGAACTTAAAGTATAATAAAAATATATATATAAAAAAATAAAAAACTAAAAATAAAAATGAGCCAGTGATAACCACAAAAAAACCATGTCTTGGTAAAAAGATACTTTACATAATTGATGTTCACTTCAAAATCTCCTCTTAGGTAGACTATAACAATTCAGATTACTACTGGATTCTAAGTTTCAAGAAAGCAAAGACTGTGGCCCCTTTACTTCAACATTTTATCTTTATACCTTTAACTTATTTTTTTTTTAATTACTGCACTAGCCAGAACTTCCACAGTAATGCTGAATAAAAATTATGACAGTAAAGAAAAAAAAAAGAAAATAAAAATGAAAGATGAAAATGTTAGCAGTGTTATCTCTAAGTAGTGAATTTTTCATTTTAATTTGCTCTTTATACTTTGTCTATTTTCCAAATTTTCTACTGTAATATCACTTTTTATATTCAGAAAAGTTATTGAAAGAAGCAAGAGATTATAGTTGAAAAGTCAGTAGATATTTCATTTGTTTATTAACTAATTCAGAGATAAGAGAAAAACTCAACTCTGAATTTATTTATACTGTTTTATATTATGCTGAGGACTGTTGTTAGAATTTACATTAAACCTGTGAAAATAGGCTTGTTCTCAACTGGTGGTTCCTAAATCTTTTTAGGGGGAAGGGGTCCACCTACTAGTTCGAGAATCTGCAGAAAGTTATGGAGTCTGATGTGAAATTCACCTCTCAGGTTAAGAATCTGATTATGATTGACAACACATTTAAGACTCTAATCCTTGACACAAATCATCATATTCTATTCTTAAATTTTTATGGCTTTACATATGTTATTATGTGAGCAAATGTCTTATTAATACAAATATCTGAAGGGTAAAAATCAAATGTCAAAGAGCAATTTTAAAGAAACTATAAGAGAAACAGGTTAGGTGCCACGGCTCTCGTCTTTAATCCCAGCACTTTGGGAGGCTGAGGCAGGAGGATTGCTTGAGCCCAGAAGTTTGAGATCAGATTGGGCAACACAGTGAGACCTTGTCTCCACAAAACATTTAAATTTAAAAAAAATTAAGAAAGAGAAATAATAACATACTTTGATTACTTATCTTACCTTTTCTCTCAATTGGAAATATAGAAGCAATGCAAGGCACTGTGCAGCCATGTGAGATAACAATTTATCTGAATTTTGGAACATGCAGATCTACAGGAAAACAAATATAATTAACCACTATTGCTGAATGTTCTTAAAATTATTTTAAATATCTACATCTTTAGAAAAACAAATGGCTTACTAATTTAGAATCGACTTTGGCTGATTCTAAGAGAATTTTAATTACATCTCTGTACTGCTCCTTTGCATGGAACTCGGTTTTGACAGACAATATCCGGGTTGTCATCACTTTGATCACTGTTAACTGAAGGAGCATTACTTCTCTGGAACCGCTCATCTGAGAGTTGGTCTTCAAACACACAGGTGCTACAGCAATGGGAGCCACACCAACAGAGATGGGCTGATGCCTGCCCTGGATACCACAGGTGTTTGCCCATTCTAAGGAGGTGGCTGTAGAACAATCTTGATCTGAAACTGCTGGGTTGAGATAAAAGATGTAATCATGGCTGTCATTTTCAAGTGTGGCTCCAAGAAGTACCTTCTTGTATAACTCTTCTAAAACTTCACAGAAAACTTTCATTTTGACTTCCAAAATGTATCTTATAAGAAGGTCGACAACTCCAAGTTGTAAACATTAAATCTCAGAAGTGCAATGAATCTCTAAGAAGTTTCTTCAGTGAAACCTAAAATAGGAAAAATAATTTAAAAATTCTAACTGCTATATGCTTATTACAAGAGAAAGCAACTGTTTCCACTTAATCACTAAGTCTCTCAAGTTAAAGGGGATGCTGACTGCTTAATTTCTAAAATGGAAAATTGTAACAGGAACATTATTTCAAGACCGTAACAATGAAATGTATGCTTTCCACACAGATTTGAGAGCATAAAATTAGGTTTAATTTTAACGCAGCAGAAACTTGAGCTTTCCTCTAACAGTTTTCAATGGCTATCAGGGTTTCTTAACTTTGGCACTATTAATATTTGGAGCCAGATAACTTTGTAGTGGGGAGCTGTTTTGTGTATTATAAGATGTTTGGCAGCATTCCTGACCTCTACCTTCTACATGCCCAAAGCACTTCCCACCTGACCTGCCAGATTTTGACAACCAAAAAATGTCTGCAGACATTGTCAAATGTCCCCTGGGGGACAAAATCACTCCAGTTGAGAACCACTGAGCTAATTCAAATTCATTAACCTTCACCTCCAATTTATAGATAAAAATTTAAAGTTAGACTGCTATATGGTCAAACTAGATTATGGCTATTGCCAATGAAATTCCAACTTAAAATGGATCAACATCAGAAGCAGCAAGTAGTTACTATAGAGGGAGTATGGCAAGGAAAAACTTAGGACTTTGGCATAGGCAAAAGAGATTACTGAATATCATGACAATGGAATGCTGGAGCCTCTGGGAACAATCTGACCCTGGGAAGGAGGGGGGTTTTGCTCCTTTCATTGCCTTTGAAATATTTCACACCTCAAATAATTCTTGTCCACAGATCTGTGAAGAACTGTCTGATAAAGAGGCAACCCTCTCCCCAGTGGGAAAAATCAGTTTTGCTTCCACCTGTAAACTCATTTTAACATTCCTTCACCCTACATAGTTCATGGTTTTCTTACTGCTCCTTTAAACAGGTTGTGCCTGGTTCCCTTAGTAATAAGGTAAATAAAATCTTTGATACTTGGTCATTTTATATGGGTTGTGATTTCACACTCTTGAAATTTACCCTTTAACAAAATTACAGACTTCTCTGCCCTGACCCGTTTATAGACACACTTCCCATCTTCAACTTCCAAAAGACTTCGGAAGTCTACCACTTACACTGGGTCTTCCATCTACAATATGGCCACTAGCCTAGTCTTGGTCTTACACTGGGTCTTCTGTCTACACTACGGCCCACCAGCCTAGTCTTGGTCTTACACTGGGTCTTCCGTCTACACTATGGCCACTAGCCTAGTCTTGGTCTTACACTGGGTCTTCTGTCTACACTATGGCCCACCAGCCAAGTCTTGGTCTTACACTGGGTCTTCCGTCTACACTATGGCCCACTAGCCTAGTCTTGGTCTTATACTGGTTCTTCCATCTACAACATGGCCCACTAGCCTAGTCTTGGTCTTACACTGGGTCTTCCATCTACACTATGGCCCACTAGCCTAGTCTTGGTCTTATACTGGGTCTTCCATCTACACTATGGCCACTAGCCTAGTCTTGGTCTTACATTGGGTCTTCTGTCTACACTATGGCCCACCAGCCTAGTCTTGGTCTTACACTGGGTCTTCCGTCTACACTATGGCCCACTAGCCTAGTCTTGGTCTTATACTGGGTCTTCCATCTACAACATGGCCCACTAGCCTAGTCTTGGTCTTACACTGGGTCTTCCATCTACACTATGGCCCACTAGCCTAGTCTTGGTCTTATACTGGGTCTTCCATCTACACTATGGCCCACTAGCCTAGTCTTGGTCTTATACTGGGTCTTCCATCTACAACATGGCCCACTAGCCTAGTCTTGGTCTTACACTGGGTCTTCCATCTACACTACGGCCCACTAGCCTAGTCTTGGTCTTAACATGGCCCACTAGCCTAGTCTTGGTCTTACACTGGGTCTTCCATCTACACTACGGCCCACTAGCCTAGTCTTGGTCTTATACTGGGTCTTCCATCTACACTATGGCCCACTAGCCTAGTCTTGGTCTTACACTGGGTCTTCCATCTACACTACGGCCCACTAGCCTAGTCTTGCTCTTACACTGGGTCTTCTGTCTACACTACGGCCCACCAGCCTAGTCTTGGTCTTACACTGGGTCTTCCGTCTACACTATGGCCTACTAGCCTAGTCTTGGTCTTATACTGGGTCTTCCATCTACAACATGGCCCACTAGCCTAGTCTTGGTCTTACACTGGGTCTTCCATCTACAACATGGCCCACTAGCCTAGTCTTGGTCTTACACTGGGTCTTCCATCTACACTATGGCCCACTAGCCTAGTCTTGGTCTTATACTGGGTCTTCCGTCTACAATATGGCCCACTAGCCTAGTCTTGGTCTTTAATGGCTGGCTTCTTCCCCTGATTTAGCCTGAGTTTCAATTGTTGATTACTCCACAACACAAAGCTGCCCTGTTTTAGTCCTTTCATGGAGAAATAAATATTAAGAAACCTATAGATTTTAAAGTTATGAATGAAACTTTTGATAAGTTTTCTCTGAATCACACTTTCAACCTGTGGTATGCATCCCATATGATTGATTAATACAAATGTTGGTAATGTTGTTCTATCTGACAGTGTTATACTTTATCTCAGCCCTGCGTGCTCTCAGAAGGCCAGAATGGAAAAGCACCATACCCTTTTTTATTCCAAGAAAGGGTTAACCAGAAAGGACCAACCTACTGTCTACAATTCCCAAATAGGACCTACTTCTACCCTTCCTCAGTGACTCCCTTGTTTTATTAATCCCTACCTTTTCTCCTTCCTCTTCAAGAGGTTTCCCATTATGAACACTCTCCCTATTGCAACTGCCTGAACAAAATAATCTCCTTAATTGCCTGATATATTGTCTGTCACACATCAGAAATTAGTCTTCATGTTCCACCTCAAAGTCTAATTCCATTGCACTTACTTTATATTTTAGTTATAATAACATTTCTTTTCAAACTACTGACACTATAAGACAGAATATTTTGTTTTAATTACTATCACATGTTCAACTCTTTCAGTAAAAATTTCAGCAACAAATGGAATTATTTTTATTTATTATCCCTATTGCAACTGCCTGAACAAAATCTCCTTAATTGCCTGATATATTGTCTGTCACACATCAGAAATTAGTCTTCATGTTCCATCTCAAAGTCTAATTCCATTGCACTTACTTTATATTTTAGTTATAACATTTCTTTTCTAACTACTGTCACTATAAAACAGAATATTTTGTTTTAATTACTATCACATGCTCAACTCTTTTAGTAAAAATTTCAGCAACAAATGGAATTACTTTTATTTAAATGCTATAGCAATAAAAATACTTCCAATAATATTCCTATGGGTCACTAAGTCCTTAAATTTTACCAAAATGAAAATGAAATTGCTATCTGACCTAGTTTCAACCCATAAAAAGGGCAATTTCATATGGCTCAATCATTTTAGCACACCAACCAAAGTGAATGCCAGTAAATAAATATTCCAGGGAGTAGATGGGCTGTTTTCTCTCATGGTGGGACCCAGGTTCTTTGGTAAGAGTGATTGTGAGAAATTAGACTGAAAGGTTTTAAACTTTAAGAAATACAGATTCAAAATCAGCCTTTAGAGACAGAGGAAAAAAAAAAAGTATTGGGGTTATGAGAGGAAGAAATAAACTGTTTCTTCCACTATCCTCTTACAACATGCTTCTGACCATAGATATGTGAGGATTTCTCCCCACCAGCCAGCAAGCAAGCAAAGCAACTCTGCATAGACCATGACCTGGGCGTCCTCCAATTCAATTCTACATTATCTACCTGGGGATACCATCAGATCACACAGACTGAAGACTGAGCCACAATTCAAATGCCAACTGCAAGCCCCAGGATGTTCCACCTGTGCTTCTGATCAACTGGCTCTAAATTGGAGTTGCCCCGACTTCCCCTTTGGGTTTGATTAATATGTTACAGCAGCTCACAGAAATCAGGAAAACATAAGCATAAATTCTTCCTTTCCCCTACTCGACTGGCTAAGGACAAAAGAAGCCCACCCAGGCTCCAAATCCTGTCATTACAGTTCATGGCTGTCACTCTAGTGGAATGAGAAGCACGGGAAAGCATGGCATTATCAAATTATATGGATGTTAAAAGTTGGGGATTACACCCAGGTACCAAAGGAAAGCTCACAGTAAGCCATCGCCTCTGGAAGAAAAGTATGCAAAACAGCACCAGTGACCACCTAAGGTCAGAGACGTCTGACACTCTAAGATTGGACTCCAAAGGGGAACACCCCAGGGGGATCCTCTGGACCTCAGTCTCTACAAAGGGGATGCCCTTGGCAGAGGTTCTGAGGTCTAGTCCTAAACTCTTCTTAGAACCTTCTCTCGCAGTTGCAATGCTGTTTGGCCCCAATATTGTTTGGAATCTGGAGTTTGCTGTTGAATGGGAAAGTGGGATGGTGTTGCATGCATCCAGGCTTTTGTGCTGCTGTTCTGAGCAGGGGGCCTGGTTAACATGTGATGCTCTCGTTTGGAACTGTTTGGACCCAGTGTCCTTTGGAGTCTGGGGAGGTTTGGCCTTTAAAAATCAAACTGCCGTGGAAAATGTTTTACTCGAAATTTTGGTTCACAGCCTTCACTGGATTATCTATTGCGGCAAACAAAGTAAAACTGGCGAGCTTGTATTGCTATCTCATGGCTAGGGTTCCAAGCTATTGGATCTTCGTTCGTGTATGTGTACATGTACATGTCTAGACGTGTTTATTTGTATGTACACTTATTGTTATATGTTGTGTTTACTGAACTGACTTATAAGAGTGCTCATACATTAACTAAGTCTAAGCAATTTTTAAGTTCACATGACTTAAGTATAACTTTACTAAATAAGCTGGCTTTAAACTTATTGGTAAAATAAAAACAGAAGTGCCTTCAGAACCGTCAGCATACATTTTTTGTCTGGTTTTATGTTTGTCTTTGCTAGATATTTTGGGATGTCAGTGTTTGGCATAGAAGATTATTAAACTATAAACCCAGCCAAAACAAAATGATCTTGGTTTGCATGCCTTGTTTTTTTGACAAATCAGAGAAATCTGTGAAAGGAAAATATCTTGGGCCCCCAAAATCACTAAGCTCAAGGGAAAATTCAAGCTGGGAACTGCTTAGGGCAAATCTGTGTCCCATTTTATTCAAAGTCATCCTTCTGCTCATTAAGATAAATGCATATCTGACTGCCTCCTTTAGAAAGGCTAATCAGAAACTCAAGAGAATGCAACTGTTTGTCTCTCACCTACCTGTGACCTGGAAGCCCCCTCCCAGCTTAAGAGTTGTCCCACCTTTCTGGACTGAACCAATGTTCATTTTACATATCTTGATTGATGTCTCATGCCTCCCTTGTTAAAACTGAAAGAACAGAGCACAGTGAATGGGATAAGTGTTTTAAGTAAACTTTTTGTGTAAATTAAATGCTTTGAGCTATTTTTGATGCTCATTTAATATCTGGGTCATTTCCAATAAAGAAAGGATTGTGATATGGGGAAGTATGTTTCTAAATTGTGGAACTGTTCTTATTTATAAATGCCCACATCTTATGGTTCAGGATTTCTTGCTTTTTGGGGTTTCACACAAGTTTTAGGTTACTAAGAATTCTAGTTAACACATAATTCTGTAAACAAAATGTGCCAAAAAGTTTATATTACTAGTGAGAAAAATAATAATTTTGTCTAATTCAGAAGTTATCTAAAAGTTAGTTCAGATACAGATTTGAAAAGGTTATTTATGAAATACCATAGTAAGAAACCAGTAAGTAGCGGATAAACATGTGGAAAAAATTTATATAATAAAATATTATTTAAAACCTGACAGAGAATTGGAGACATTTGGCTAATTAATGTTTTCAGTTAAAGCTCTTAGTCTTGATTAAAATAAAGTAAGTATTGTAAAGAAATGTGGCCGGGTGCGGTGGCTCATGCCTGTAATCCCAGCAACTTGGGAGCCAAGGCGGGCAGATCACGAGGTCAGGAGATCGAGACCATCCTGGCCAAAATGGTAAAACCCTGTCTCTACTAAAAATACAAAAATTAGCTGGGCATGGTGGCCTGCGCCTGTACTCCCAGCCACTTGGGAGGCTGAGGCAGCAGAATCGCTTGAGCCCAGGAGGCAGAGGTTGCAGTGAGCCAAGATCACACCACTGTACTCCAGCCTGGCAATAGAGGGAGACTCTGTCTTAAAAAAAAAAAAAAAAAAAAAAAAACATTAGCAGTTTGGCAATTCTTTAATATAGTTAAGCCTGAAGCCGGATTTAGTGTGGAGCCAAATTTCACATACATGCTTGCATTGCTTCACACTATGTCTACTGTTTTGCATGGATAGTGCCGGCACTGAAGTACTTATATAGGTCATGTGCCTAGAGTGAATTTCTTGATTGCACAGGATGTATAATGATATTGGTGAACTTAAGGAAACTGAATTGTGTAATAGTAATAAAATATTCATTATGTGGGTTTTTTGGGGCCCTGGGTAACACTGTAGCCTCCAGGATAGACTCAGTGGGAAAATTTAGGGTTGGTTTTCTGTTTGTTTGTGCTTCCAGTTTTCATTCATTTGCTGTTTATTCTCCTCTGGGCTTTGCTCGTGTATGCATATATATAAAACCATGATTTTTTTAAGTTCCTAAGTGGAAGGCTTTTATTTGGTTCTGTGGATATTCTGTTTCCTATGTGTTTTTAGAAAGTCATCATTTGTCCCATTTATCCAGAATTCCTAGGCTACCTTTGTTGGGCCTGCAGGAATTAATGGAGCACACCAGCTTTTTAATCTTAAACTAACTTCTTTGGAGTTTAGGCTTCCTGATACTTTAAGTGTCTTGATTATACTTTTGTAAATAGAATTTGAGTAGTAATTCTCACTCTGCCTAATTTCTCCAAAATTTGAAGCTATTTGTGAATATTCTTAATTCATGGGAATGTGTTTGTTTGCATTACAGTTGACTAGGGTCACCAGGGCTGGTCAGGGAGAAAGAGCCCAGAAATCTGGCATGCCGGCAAAAGGGCAAGAATTTCTTAGTAGTCAGACACTGGCCTCTCTCAATTTGTGCCAAATGGTTAAATGAAAGGTAAATGTCACTGTTTATCTCCTCTATAAAGTTTTAATTAATACAAAAGGAATTCTGAGGCTGGTCTTAAGCTGTAGTGAATCTGGTGTGCTCTGTGTGTCTTCCTGTATTTTTCTGTCATAAAGAGGGGTACCCTAGGATAAAAAGCGTGTGTAGGGCCCCAAAAGCCCACTATTCAAGATGGCCCAGCCAATTGGTCAGTCATGTCCTTGGGAGCTTGACCTTGTAACTATGTGGCTGTACTTTCTCTTTTCACAATGGTGGCCTGGGTTTAGGGTTCAATTCCTGGCTCAGGGAATGAATCCTTTATCTTCTGTGTATTTATATGTGTTGTGTGTATAATATAAAAGAGTTTTAATTAACTGGTTAATAATAAGAGCTTAAATCAAATATTTTGTCAGAAAAGTAAAAAGTGTAATGCCTTTCATTTAGTTCATGTGACTTAAGTAATCTGAGAAATAAAGACAGTTTTTAAAGATTATTGGTAAAATAAAAATATCTTCACAAATGTAAACATTTGGTCTAAATTATGCAGGTCAGATATTATGTTGACTAAATGCTTTAAGGTCACAAACTGCTTCTTTGACTTTTAAAAATTGCTTAATTTATTCTGGAGCATTAGATTCTAGATAAGTCTTGGGGACATGTGAAATTAGCCATGCCCTCTAGCTATGCAAACAAGGTTTTATATAAGAAAGGATCTTGTATGATAAATTCTTGTCCTAAAGTAAAATAACTGCTTGTTTAAAAGAGGGGTGTTTAGGACAAGTCAGAAAGTCCAAGCATGTGATAGATGGTCTGTGTAAGTCATGAAATAATTTATGAAAAAGAATTTATGCAAGAAATGTTGTACAATTTAAAGGTGATTAGGCCTCCTAAATGCTTTGTAAATGCCACTGTGACTCTTAACTGTACAATTTGCCTGTTTTACAGCTAGGTAGGGCCCGGGACACATGGAGTTAGATGCTAGAAAAAGTCAGACTTTATCTGCATTTCTTTCTGGGTTCTAGGCTTCTCCACATCTAGTACTTAATTAAAACCCCAAACTTATCAAGGTTTTCACCAAAAGTAAAAGTTGCTAAGAGTTAACATTGTAACATGTAACTGAGACTACTGAAGAAACAGTTTTACATGCAAGGTGTGTAAGAAAAGTGAAAGGTGTTGTTGGTAAAAGACTATAAGAAAGCATGGGAATGTACATTTTTGCCTAATTTAAAGGGTTAAACCACAGAAATAACCAAATTTCCTTGTATAAAGCTGCTAACCCAAGTAGAACAAGAATTAAGTACCAAGAAAATACTTTTTGTCAGATTTTCATGTTAAATCAGCTGATACTGAAATTGTTTTAGATACATATTTTGAATGAACTCCACGATCTAAGTCAATTTACCTATGATAACCCATCAGTTACCAGTGCTATGCACCTAATGTGGAGAAACAACTGGTATTCAAGAGGATATAAGTCTAATATTAATTAAGCATGGACTCATGGAGGACCAGGTTGGTCACCTTGTCCTTTCTGAGTCCTTAAAGCTTTTATTATTGAAAGTTCTGCATTCCATGACTCATCATAGAAAAGATAAAATGATCCAAATTGAATATATTGGTGTGGTGGCTTATAAATTACTGAAATACTTTATAGCCAATGTTTGGGCCCATATTCCTGGGAAAATAATCAAAGCTTCAGGTACATTTGGTCACCTGATGGGCCATTTAAGGGATTTTATTCAATTATTATTTTCAATGCATGTTTTCTGGTTATATAAAAGCTCTCCCATGCAAGAGGGCTCATGTTATAAAACTAAGTCATTACGCCACAGTGTATTTTCACTAGGTACAGAAAGCTTTTTATGGTTTGCTGAGGACAATCAACCCCTTCACAAATCTAGAGCCTAAAGATTAGATCTTCTGAGAACATTGGAGAAAGATTGTCCTTGCCATCCACATTGCAGCAAAACTTTGGAACCCTGAACTTTGGGTTCATAATCTCACAACTGAGGAGGGTCCCTCCACACTCTTGGAACTGTACACCCATAGGAACCCTTAAGGTAAAGCTAACCAAGGAAGTCGCTCCCCAGAAGAACATGGCATCCTTGATGTGAACAGCTTTTCCCAAGATCACAGATCAAGACTTCTACTATTATGAGAGTCTTATCTTTGAATATTTTTTGTTTATGCGTCCAAGAACAATAGAAATGAAAAGGGGGTCTGTTGTATGCACTTATGGGGTACACTTTTATTTGTGAAGGATTTTGCAGCCAGCCTCGTATATGAATAACCTTATACTTTGACAGATAAAAGATGAAGGTCCAATGCAGGTGAGAAATTTTAATGGTACACACATTGCCTCATCATCAGTCAGAAACAGAACATTGGTTCACTCCTCTTAACCCATATCCCAAGTTAAAGAGAACATTGCTAGGAGGCCTTCAATCTTCTAGAAGGGCATCATTTGTTAGGTCCTTTTTCCATGGCCCTTTTCCATTGCAAAAGAAGCAATGATTAGAAATGTTTCCCTCATGATAGGCTGTATAACAGATTCTTCTCTAAAGGCTACAGTTATGTAACAGACTTAAAATTCTCTTGTTAAAGTTATGATAGAATTGGCTGAACAGAGAAGTATCTGTGCAGCTGCTGGCACTTGTGGCCTATGGAGAAATACATCAAATGAAAAGTATAGAGATTCATCGTAGGGGATTAACAAAGAGATTGCTTGGTTAAATGAGTAGGCTCTTTATCTAGCTCATTCTTTGATCTATTTGATTTTAGGTGGTTTGGTTTATGGGAACCTAAGGGAAGAAGCATACTCCAAACTCTTGGTATTATCCTCCCAATAGTCATAACAATAGTCTCGGCCAGGCATGGTAGCTCATACCTTTAATCCCAGCACTTTGGGAGGCCGAGGCGGGCAGATCACCTGAGGACAGGAGTTTGAGACCAGCCTGGCCAACATGATAAACCCTGTCTCTACTAAAAATACAAAATTAGCCAGGCATGGTGGCACATGCCTGTAATCCCAGCTGCTCAGGAGGCTGAGGTGGGAGAATCACTTGAACCCGGGAGGCAGAGGTTGCAGTGAGCCAAGATCATGCCATTGCACTCCAGCCTGGGCGAAAAGAGCAAAACTCTGTCTCAAAAAATAAAATAGGAAAAAAAATAATAATAGTTTCCCTTGTGTGCTGTATTCTCTCAAAGGTTTTAAATGGTTGCACGCAGCCATCTCTAGAATGTCAAATGGTCTCTCTTCAACTGGAATGACAAGAGCTGAAAGAAATGTGTGAACATGAGGACACCATAACCTATGAATCATGCACTGACACCAGAAACCCAAAATGAAGGTAACTGAGAGTTGTGCTAAGGCCCTAAGTTTTGGTCACACTCTCACCTAAGTGAGAACGTGACCAAAAAGGGAGAATTTTTTAAAATAAAATTATGGAAGGCCATTGTTTTGGACTGAACTCATGCACTAGGCCCCAACAGACCAAACCAAACCAAACCAAAATGGAGTTGCTTGCATTAAGACGTTAAGGAAACACATAGATCCTAGAACAGACTAGGTTTTGTTTTTTTTCCGCAAATCTCTAGAAAACATTCCTGGCAGCATAGGTATCCACTCCCTGAAGTTCCCATTAAATCTTTTAACCAAATTCATTTCCTCTCGCCTAGAAACCATCAAGCTTCAGATGATCATGCAACAAAGGTTCCAGCCACTACCCCTGGCCATCAAGGAGCTACCCTGCCTCCACTAGACAGAGAGGGGCGAGAGTTCCATGATTCCCAATAGGTAGGGACTGTGCCCCAAGCCAGCATGAAGCAGTTACAGAAGATAGACCATTGGTCCCTCTGCTTCCATAAAGATTTATGGGGATCACATCTTTCTGGGGGGAAATGAGACAGAATAGGGTCTGGAGGCAGGGACATAGGCTAATTCACGCTGACTTCCTAGAACTAAATCAAATGGAAACACTTCATCTATGAAACATCCTCTCCATTTACATAGGGTGTACACTAAGTAAGTGACTTTACTTCACCCTCTTCATTTACATAGGGCATACACCAAGTAATCAATGGAAACCTCTAGAGGGTATGTAAACCTCAGAAAATTCTGTAACGGGGCTCTTGAGCCCCTATGCTTGGCCCACTCCCACCCTGTGGGGTGTACTTTCATTTTCAATAAATCTCTGCTTTTGTTGCTTCATTCTTTCTTTGCTTTGTTTGTATGTTTTGTGTGTCTTCCCTTGCTTCGTTTGTGCTTTCTTTGTTCAAGACGCCAAGAACCTGGACACCCATCAACTGATAACACTTTTGGATTTTTACGGAGGCTTCTTTACTTAGGCATGGTTGATTAAATCACTGGCCCTTGGTGATAGACTCAACCTTGAGTCCCTCTCCCCTTCCTGAGACTGGGGGTAGGGCTGAAAGTTCCAACTCTGAGCATAGGGCTGATTCCCTCCCTGCAGTGAGCACTCCATCCTGTAGCCATCTAGGTGGTCCAAAAAAATCACCTCATTAACATAACCTGGGGTGTGTGAAAAGTGTTTATTATAAATAACAAAACACTGCCTTTTACCTTTAGTGCTCTGAAGCTGTCTTGAGCTGCTTCAGGAACCCAGGACAAAAGGCCATATATATACTTTAACAAAAGATCAACTTATTGTTCTAGTCCCATAGGAAGTAATAGGCTTAAAGGAGATGGGCCTGTAATCTTAGATGGAAATCAAAAAATATTCATCTTAGTAATACAGGTCACAAATGCCAAGGGGCCAGGCAGCTAATGAATGAATGACGACAATAGGTGCTAGGCTGTTTTATTGTGATCAAGTATAAACTCCTCTTAATTACACTGTCTTTAAAATAAATGTCCGTGGGTAGCCCATTGGAATTGAAAACTGTAGTTTGTATGTGTTTTTTAAAGCAATTGTGGTATTAAAGGAAAGGACAAATCCTTAAGAAAACAAACTAGGGGATTTAACTGACCACAATTTTTTCTGAAGTGGATGCTCTGAGGTTTGCACATCTCATTCTGCATTATCATGCTGGCCTGGGGGAATGTGTACTCTTCAGACAACAAGCTTTTAAGAGACACCAACAAACCCAAGTGTCTGACGGAGGGTGCACAGGATGCTGACAGGCTCTGAGGCCATCTATATGATAAATGAACGATTTCTCTAGCCTGGAAACAAACAATTGGGGCAGTCTTACTAGGTAAGTGAAGGAGCAGTGATTCTCTTAGTGTTTTCTCTTGGCAGAGGAGCTGAAATCCCACACCAAGTGGCCTAAGGGTTACCCATATTAAGTATAAAATCTATCTGAAGCCTCTGTTTATTTTTTAAGTTCTGTAAACTATTTGAATTTTGCATTATATGCCTAATAAAACCATGTGTTTATTAATATAAAATAACATACTTCCCACCCATCTTCACATAAAATTGCTGTGTTAGGAATACGAATCGTTAAACTTTATTGAGTACCTACTATGTACCAGATACTGCTCTAAGTGAGTTTTACAACTTTATGGGGGGGGGGGGTGCTTAATTATCATACCCATTTTACAGATAAGAAAACTAAGAGAGATGTTATGTCACAGAGCTTCAGGGACAGAGTCAGGATGTGAAGCCAGAAAATCTAATATCAGAGCCTGTGTCCTTCACCACTCCACCAAAGCACTCTTCAAACTTCCATTGGTGCTCCAAAAGCCCAGGACAAGAGTTCAACATTGGACTTCAAATTAAATAGTAACTCCTACAGCTTAACTGTTCACACTGTAAAACAATAGTGCTCAGAAACATTTTCACATGCTACGCGAGATCTAAAATCAAGGTCAATTACTATGCAATTTCCCAATATAAACTAAGATTAATTTTTTCAAAAGATACTCAGCAACTACAGGTTGAAATGTTAATCAGGATAGCGATTTGACTGAGTTTTTAAAATTGTATAGTCACCCCTCGGTATCTGTGGGGGATTGGTTCCAAAACCCACCAAGGATACCAAAATCCATGGATGCTCAACTCCCTGGCAAAAAATGGCATAATATTTGCATATAAACTGTGCACATCCTGCCATATACTTTAAATCATCTCTAGATTACTTATAATACCTAACACAATGTAAGTGATGTGTAAATAGTTGTTACACTGTATTGTTTTGATTTGTATTATTTTTATTATTGTATTGTTATTTTTTATTTTTTCTGAATATTTTTTTATCTGAGGTTGGTTGAATCTGTGGATGTGGAACCCGTGGATCCAGAGGGCCGACTATAGTTCCATTTAAGCCCCAGAATCAACAGGCCAGCATGGTAATCAGACCTTCAGGGGTCTTTGATTTTGGTTAATGATCACGAATCTTGTGGGATCAAATGTTGTTGGCAGTGCTGCTGTCAGTGACACGGTTTTCTGGAATTGTGAGTTTCTGAACAAAACAAAGGGCAGTTATCCCTCAGGATCCGTGGGAGATTTGTTCCAGGACTCTCTAAGGATACCAAAATCTACAGATGCCCAAGTCCCATATATAAAATGGTGTGGTATTTGCATATAATCTACACACATCCTCCTAGGTATTTTAAATGATCTCAAGATTACTTAAAATATTTGACACGGTACATTGTAAATGCTATGTAAATATTTGTTACACTGTATGGTTTAGAAAATAATGACAAGAAGAAAAAATCCATACATGTTCAGTGCCAACTCTGAGCATAGGGCTGGTTCCCCCTGGCAGCCAGCACCCCATCCTGTAGCCAAAATTTTTCCCCAATTCCCTAAATATTTTTGATCTGGGGTTGGTTGAATCCAGGGGAGCAGAACCTACTGGAATGGAATCCGTGGATATGGAGGGCTGACTATACTTTTAGTGGCTATACCAAACCCGGCAAGCTCCTCATGAAAAATCAACAATCCACTGTTCCTCCTCGGGCATCAACAGTTCATCCACATTAAAGGCACTGTGAATAAGGGTTACTATGACCTTGATTTTACTTTCTCTAAAATAACTCCAACCTTTTACAAAAGTCAACCCTAAATGGGTCATGGCTGTAAACTTTAAACTTTTAGAAAAAAAATGTAGGAAAAATCTTAGGCATCTGAGGCTAGTCAAAGGGTTCTCAGACTTGACCATAAAAGCATGATCCACAAATGTAAAAACTGATAAACCGGAACTCAGCAAAATTTAAAACTTGCTCTGCAAAAAAACCCTAAGAAGATGAGAAGACAAGCTACAGACTTAAAGAAAAATATCTGCAAAGCACATGACTAGTACCTAGAATATATAAAGAACTCCCAAAACTCAACATTAAAAAAAAAAATTCAATTACAAAATGGATCAGACATGCACAGACATTTCACCAAAGAGGATATAAAGATGGCAAATAATCCCACAGAAAGATGCTTAACCATATTAGCCATTACAGAAATATGAATTAACACTACAGTGAACTACCACTACTAGAAGAGCTAAAAATGACTCCAAATGCTGGGGAGGATGCTGAGAAACTAGATCTCTCCTACACTGCTGGTGAGAATGAAAAACGGCACATCCTCTTTGGAAAACAATTTGTGGTTATCTTTAAAAAGATATGTCTATGTTTGAATTCAGAATACAAAAATAATCTATTTTCATGGTCAATATTAGAAGTAAAAAAAATTACTAGTTTCTTTATATGATGTGGCTACTACATAGACTAATAGACTGGGAAAGTCAATAGTAGGCCTTCCCCTAATTCAACAACAGTTGGTTCAAATCTGACCACAGCCCAAGAGGCTACTTAATCTATTTTGCTCCATTAATGAAGATGCAGTGACAACTGTCGCGGAAGTTGAGGCCTCCAAACCCAGGCTGTCTTCCAGGATTCTGGTTCCCTCCACCAATCGAAACTGCACTTTTCACAGAAAAAATAAAATGGGTCTGGTTAGACAAGAGCACCTCCCTCCCCTATTAAAAGAAGTGGGGCAGATATCTTCCGACAGCATGCCATGTGCCAGTATCTTCCCTTTAGTTCCATTCTTCACTCTCCTCTGTGCCCCAACAGACTCCAGGAGATTTGGAGTGGGAGGGGCGGAAGGCAGGCTGGACTTTCAAGCTCCAGGAACTGCCAGCTCTCTTTACCTTCAGGGCTAAAGGGGGTGCTGGCGGTTACTGGCCTTGGAGTGCTACACCATCCTTCCTTTTCCTCAAAACAATAGTACTCAAACTGTGTCATGCACTAGACAGGTTTATGAAAGCAGACTGCAGGGCCCTATCCTAGGAGCTTCCCATAAGATAGTTCTGGGGTGGGGCCCAGTAATTTGTATTTCTAACAAGTTTCCAGGTTACTTCTGAGATAGTGAGAATACAAACTCTGTCACGTGTTTGTAAATTGTCTTCCTATTAAACTCTTGTCTTAGGACTCTGAAACAGGCCAGATTTTTTTGGCATGAAGGAAAAGCCTGGCAATCAAGTTATAGATAAAAGACTTAATGCTTAAATGCATTTTTCTGTCAAAGTGATATACTGGTAACAGCCTGATGATACAGGAGCTAGAAATTATTTAGACAGATAGTGAGGGTAAGAGAGTCCTCGGCAAGGTTTCCCTTTTAATAAAAAGCAGCCCCCAAATCATTTCTTTTCTAACAAAAAGCGGCCTGAAAAATCAAGCTGCAAGCATAGATACACAAGTAAAAGCTTGCATAGGTGAATGCCGGCAGCTGTGCCAATGGGAAAGGGCTACCTGGGGACCAGGCACAGATAAGAATGTAACAGAGGAAGCCTGCTGCAATTGGTTAAATCCAAGATGGCCAAAAACTTGACTGAATGCATACTCTTGGCTGCATTATGCCCCATTACCATAAAACTTCCCTGGGGAAACCGCCCACTCCCTGCCACGTACCTGAAGCTATGGCAGTTCCAGATTAACCACATTTAGTCAAGAAAAGGGTGGCGCCCTGATTCTGGGAACTGCCCACCCATTTCCTGGAAACCCTCTCCTTTCATCATAGAATATTTGTGCCTTCATCATGCCTGTCTGCGTAGCGAGCCCTGACCACATTACACGCCTCTTTTGAGCACATCCAGGCTCCTCTTTTGAGTGTGCACTTGCTTTCACTCTGCAACAAACCTTCTACATTTTCACTGTGGTCTCCCTTTCAAATTCTTTTGTGCAGAGAAGCGAAGAACCTGACCTGGCCTACTGGCAACAGTATCTTTCTCAAGTAGCTCTATTATGTGACCACTCCAAAGGCAAATCTTTTTTTTTTTTTTTAAACATAGCACAAATTAATGCTGGACATTAGAATCATAACGTGTTCATACTAGAAAAAATCTCAAGAGATAATTTAGAGATAATTCTCAAACCGTAGCATCAGAATTACCTGGAAGGCTTATTAGAACACAAATGGCTGGGCCCACTTTGGAGATTCTGATTTAGTGGGTCTGGGAGGGCCCAAGAATTGAACCAGGGACTACATTTTGAGAACCACTGCACAATCTACTTGATTTATTGATGAGGAATCTCAGCTCCTTAGGTTTTTATATGCTAATGCTAAGCATTTTTAAAATAAATGGAAATTATCCAGTGTATCAATATGAATACTTTTCTATACTTAGTTGCTAAATTATAACTGTATGTTTTAAGTGGTACTTCAGAATGAAATATTTCACTGAAAGGTTTTCCTTAGTCTTCCCCTTTTCCAGTCTATGCCTTGTCCCTTTTCCATCTGCCCCCACAAACCCGCCACCAGTGGCAGGGTAGCGTTGAGGAACTGTCTATAGATGTGATACTGTCTAGATTTTACTGAACTCCTAAATTCTGTACACAGACAAGATCTGATTTTTCAATTGATAAAACGAGATTATCTACCTACCTCAGCCAAGTAGCATACTCAAAGATTTGCAAAAATTAAATGGCTTATATGTGAAAACACCTGTATAACTCAAGTAGGAAGATGTCAATATGTCTTTATTTATTAACCTTGAAAGGTTCCTTCCAGCCTCTGGGCCTTGATACAATGCTTCTCCTTCCACCCACTTTCCCTTTTGTTTTAGGCTTAAATATGACTTTCTTTGGCAGGGGTAGGTCCTCCGGTGATACTGTCTTCCAGCTCTGGTGCCCTGTCTTACAGAATGTGTCACAATTATACTTTAACGATTTGTGCAATGATTTTTATGATTTAGAGTTGTCTGCTTGGTTCTTCCCTAGCTCCTAGCACAGCATTTGATACACAGTAGGTACTTATATTTGTGGAATACATTCCTGGCTGAAGATTAATTTAGTAGTGTATATGTAACAATCCTAAAATCAGTCCCAAAGTATATTTTAGTACCGTTTTGATCTCAAAAAACTTTAAAAACACCATGTAATATTTTAAGTTGTGAATTTTAAATTATAATAAAAATGTAGTATCAAAGAATTATAAACAGTAGTATCCATAGCAGGGATTAAGTTCTGAGCTCATTCAGTCTTTACCGTATGACACATCTGACAACGTACTTGACAGAAGCAACACACACTGAAGCACCATCTTAAAATGGCTGTGGTAGAATACCATAGAAGACCAAAATCCCTTAAATTACCAGGGCAAGAACTATAAGGAACTCAAAAGCCTCCAGTTAGCTTCCTTTCTTTCGGCGTTCTTTTTGCTGTGATGACCAAGGTCTGAAATACAATTTCTCTACCCAGCCCCATCGCCTTTTCTGCCAGGTACAGCTGAACTAAGTTGGGCTAACAAGGCAAATGATGGGCTCCAAACTGTGCTGCATCTGTCTTTATGGTGGCCCTCTTTATTACACCAAGATCCCCAGACACAACCTGCTGGCCCAGAACACTGCCTGCTGCCAACTAGAGCATAACCTGCTCATTCTCTCCACCACCAAGTGCTTTATGGGCCAGGACACAGCCTCCTGGGCAGTGGTCCTTGACCTTGGAATCTGACCTTGACACTGACATCACTGGAACATTAGGAAAAACCCATGAGCCTTGGACTCCCTAGAGACCAGCTAAATCAGAATTGCTGCAGTGGTGCTGGGGCATTTTTCCAATGACAAAGTCTCTTTCTACTCAAGAAATAAACTCAATTCTGATTGAGTCAGGGTTTCATGAATCAAGCTTCATGAATACTTATCCCAAATTATTTCACTTATATGTTGTAAGATGTTCCCATTTTTGTGAGTTTTATATTATTAACTAAGTTAATGGGAAATGAAGTGTATCTGTTAAAACCTAATCAATATTAACTTGTTATAAATATTCCGCAATCTAAACTGCTTTTACATCATTGAAAAGTTATAAAAATTAGCAAATCTGATAGCACCAATTCAATAAAGCAATTTAAAATTACCTAGTAGCACATTCTGTGAAACTTTGACAATATGATGTTACTTGGCTATGATATAATCATGTACTTCAATCATTTGAAAATGGTTGTTTAACTCAAAGGCAGGATTTTTAATGAAAAACAAATGGCCAGAAATACAAAGAACTAGGAATTAGGAGACAACTCTGTTTCTAGGCTCTTCACCAACAAGTTCTTAGGCCCCCATCTCTCTACTTAACTATCATTTAGCAAATACACCATATGAATTGCATGGGTGCCGAGTCTGCTATAAGAATGAATATGTTCTCCACAACAATTTACATATTTATTCATTTCTCTCTCCCTCTTTTTCCTTCTTTTTGGGAGTTCAAAACTTCTTGACTCTATAATTAGTAAATGTTATAAAACTGAACTTGTACATTATATTTGAACTGTTAAAAAGCAAAATTTGAGGCTGGGTGCAGTGGCTCACACCTGTAATCCCAGCACTCTGGGAGGCCGAGGCGGGTGGATCACCTGAGGTCAGAGGTTCGAGACCAGCCTGGCCAACGTGGTAAAACCCCATCTCCACTAAAAATACAAAAATTAGCTGGGTGTGGTGGAGTGTGTCTGTAGTCCCAGGTACTCAGGAGGCTGGGACAGGAGAACTGCTTGAACCTGGGAGGCGGAGGTTGCAGTGAGCCAAGCTCGCACCACTGTACTCCAGCCTGGGCGACAGAGGGAGACTCCATCTCAAAAACAAAAACAAACAAAATTTGAACAAATTTAAAGATGTAAATGGCTTTTATTAGCAATTTATGAATCTGGCAGCATCTCAACTAAAAATTTAGAAACGGTGTTCTGATTAGCTGAGCAGAGGTGGGCTGAAAACGGTTGAAGAAGCAAAAAGAGAATAAAAGACAGATTGGTCATTTCAAAGTTAAACTTTCCTCACAGAGACCAAATGGAGGAGAGACTTCTTTATCATGCTGGCTCAGGTAAATCAGGCCTCCTTGACTCCTTGCTGTGTATCTTCTGGATTTTTTGACAACTGGCCCATTTCTAAGTTGTTTGATTATGTGACACCTAGCACCAGCAACTCCATTCTGATTTGGCCTGGTCTGTTGGGCCTAGTGCAGGGGTTTAATCTAAAACAATGGCTTCCTATACATTTCATTTAACAATACTAATAAAATACCGCTTTTATTTTATTTGTTTACATTGGAGTCCTGCTGTTAAGCAAAAAAAAAAAAAAAAAAAACAGGGAGAAATCATGGTAGAATCGAAAGACCGAAAGCTACTAAAAATTGATAGCATTTAATAGTCCTGAATAAGTTGTTTCTAATTATAATTCAGCTACTAATTTCAAGAAGAAATGGAAATTTAGAAAGTTGAAATTATGAAATATGATTGCTGGGAAGTATAATGGGACAAAAATTAAAAAGCTGAATCTATCTTCACTGCCACTACTGCACTTCTACTCTGGACAACTGCAACCGATCCCTTCCAAAGTGGTTGTATCCAGGCCCACCCTACACCCACTTCCTTCTGAAAAACCAATCCACTTTCCTTAGGATACAGTCCAAACTCCTAAACAAGGCTTACCAAGGCCCTTCAAGATCTGACTCTCGGCGTCTTCTCATCTCTATGCCCCACTCCCCAGTCTCATTACCAGTCATTTTCCTACCACTCTGCTTCAGCTACCCTAGCCTTCTTTCTGGCAGTTCCTGTAAACAGCAAAGCATATTCTAGCATCAGAGGCTTTGCATTTCTAATTCTCTCTGCTGGCAAAATTCTCTCCCTAGATCTTGGCATGGCTGGCTCTTTGTCATTCAGATCCCTGCTCAAATGTCACTTCCTCAGAGACCTTTCCTATCTGTCTTAGTCCGTTTCCTGTTGCTTATAAAATAATTCCTAAAACTCGGTAATTTATAAAGAAAAGTAATTTATTGTCTAGTTTTGGAGGCTGGGAAGTCTAAGACTGACGGACCACGAGACAGCACCGCAAAGTATCACGTGGCCAGGGGGCTGAGCAGGCTCACGAGTTGTCAAGTCTCTCCTTAAAAAGCCACCAGTTCTACCTCCGTGATAACCCATTAATCCATGAATAGATCAATCCACTCGTGAAGACAGAACCCTCACGGTCCAACCACCTCTTAAAGACTCTACCTCTCAGTACTGCCACATTGGGGATTAAATTTCAACATGAGTTTTGAAGGGGACAGATATTCACACCATAGCACTACCTATCTAATACAGCCCATCACGTCCTGGTCAAAATCGATTCCACCATTCTGCTTGATTTTCCTCATATAACCCATCCCTATCTGATAATTTTGTGTTTGTTTCCCCGAAATCACTATCTTGTTCACTGTTGTCTCCCCAGGGACTAGAACAGTGGCCAGTAAACACTTGCTAATGAATAAAGTGCTTAACAAACGTGTCTTGATCAGTCTATCTCGCGTTTTCCCCACGACCCCTCTCCATTCATTCACAGGAACCCGCCAACGTTGCTATCCTTTCAGGAAGGTCCTTGGATCGTCATCGCTATCCCAAAGAGAGTCCGTTCTCCCACTTCAGGCGAGGCATTGCCAGCCTGGAAGCTAACGGGGTCTCAAGGACCGACAGCCGCGCCAAGACCGGGCACTTGCGTCTGACAAGCGCTGAACAGGGGCGGAGAAACAAGGCACCCCTCTACTCGCTTCCTGGAGCCTGCCGCCCTCCCAACCTTAAGCCCTGAACCAGGCTCTCATTTGGCCGCACTCGTGCCTCCCCTGCTGCCAGCACGGCGGCCGGTCCCGGTTACCTGCCTGGGATCTGGCTCAGGCGAACTCTCTTCACACCGCCATTTGAGGGAACACAAATGCCCGCTCTGGGCCACCGTAGTTCACAGAAAGTACAAGCTGGCACCTCCTCCCGCATGCGCAGAGACCGCCTTCGGCGAATAGTGTCTCTTAGCAACGGCTTTGAGTCCCTCCGCCAGGGGCGGAGCCTCGGAAGCCACCACGGGGAAGCTGTAAGGGGAAGTGAGTGAGACCAATCGGAGACGAATCTCTGCCCCGTTCGGCACGCCTCCCTTAACTGTCGCGAATGCAAAGGCAACTTTACGGCAGGCAGAGGGTGGGGGCTGCCGGGGGTAAGGAGGAGAGAAGGAAGCAACCAACCAACCAAGTCGTCCCTACTCCCTCCACCCCCACCCATCCCGGACCTGGTTTACGGCTCCAGGCTCAGGCTCCACTGCGGGCGCTGATTGGTTGTTGAAGGCTTGGTCCCATCCCAGTGACCCCAAAGTGCTGAAGGGAGGGGGCGGGGGTGGCCCAGTGCAAAGTGCATCCCGAAAGCCCCCTGTCCGGAGACCCCACGGCTGGCACTTCGGGCCCCGTATGACCTGGGACCTCGCCGTCCCGAGACCTCCTGGGTCCCTCCGTAGCTGGAAGCCTCCGGCCCGGAGCGCGGCAGCCCCCTGCTCCGAGCCCTGGACCGGGACTGCCCCCCCACCCGAGCCAGGACTTCCTCCCTGCCTCCCTGCACCTCTGCCCCAAGGCTGCCCGGCGGCCGGGATCGCCACCTCCTGCCTTCTCGGCTGTTCGGATGTTCGCCGGGCTGGGGCCGTGAGGCACCGAGGAGGATCAGGAACACCAGGGTCCGGCCCTGCCTGGGGTATTTCTTCAATGGAGAAGTTGGTGAGTGTAGAGGAGGCTGAAAGGAGGAAGAGAAGCAGCAGCTGAGGAGACAGGTAAAGTCCTTTACTTCCCCCGAGGGGAAGAGTGCTGGCTGGGAGGGTAGGAGGGAGGAAAATCTCTGCTTTTTCTTGCCTGCCCTTGCCACTCTCCAGCCCCTTTCCTGAGCTCCCCCCTCCCCACCTCTGAGACACTACACCACTCACTGGTTTCTGTTTTTCTAGGTTTGAGCTGGCTGAAGAAGACGCGAAAGCAGGAAGAGGTCTGCCCACCTATCAGAGAAGCAGAAGGCACAGTGCCTCTGACCAGCATCGTCTGTAAAGGTAATGAGCCAGCCCTCCCCTCCCCCGTTGTTTATTCCTGGCCCCTACCTCATTAAGCAGTGGTTTATTTTCAGGGTGGTTGCCTGGGAATGCAACCTTTCCTACCCCCCCCACCCCCACCCCCAGTTTCCCAGGAAAAACAAAAACATTACCCGTGCCTGATACTTAACATTTTATAACTTCTCTACCCAGGACAGTATTTTCCCACTTTCTTTCTGTACAGTGTGTTTCTGTGTTTTTCATTATCTTTTGGTACACTGTGCCATTTACTCTGCTCTGAGGCTTTGAGACCTTTTTGTAGCTACCCTCCCTTCCTTACTCTCATAGGAATTCCTCAATTCCTTGTTAATTGCTTGTTAATTCTGAATGACTTTCCTTTTTAATTAAACCACAATTTACTGTTTTCCCCCTTACTCTTTCCTATCACCTTTCTTCTACCTGCATCAGAAAAATCTTTTGAGTTATCTAACTGACAACGATTTGGTAGAGAAAGGTAAATTATTGGCCTGAGATTTATGAGTTTCAGAAAATAGTTTGATTTTATTTCCTACTAGAAAGCCAACCTGTGTACCTTAAGAGTGTGAATGGTATGAAGACAACATTATTACCCTGAAGCACTTAGGCATAATTAACTCTTTGGGCTTTCTGTGTGTTTGTGTGTGACAAATGTGGATGGGCTTTGAAACTTATAAAGATACAATGTTTCTTACACCTCAGATTTTCTAGGAGAACTTTTAAAAATTTGCACAATATCTTATTAATCGTTTGACTCAGGAATTTAAAAACAAAGGAACCTTTTGGTGTGTTTACATATCTGGGTCTTAATTTTAGCACTCTATAAAAAAGATTTCTCATTTTAAAACTTTTACGTAGAGTTTGCTGGATTGAAATTTAAGCATCTAATTCATGTGATCACATTTCTGCTGCCATATTTTGTTGCTGCTTCTGAAAATGCTCTGAAAGTAAACTTAGGACATTAGTGTAATTCCTAAAGGGGGGATATAAGCATGGAAATTATACAAGGTTTAATTCCAAAATTAGCCAAATGGATGACTTTTTTAACATCCAGTAGCAAAAGTATAAAGTGACTTGTTAATCTGAGTTATTTTAATATCCCAAATTGTTTAGGGAATTTTTGTTACAAGGAAGTGCTTAAAATAGCAGAAGTTAATATTTTTGATTTCCTATGTTCCACTGGACTTTCTGCCCTCCACAAAAAGAAATTAGTATCTTTACTGATTCTGTTAATTCTTAAGACATAGCTAAAGAGATAAAGACATAGCTTTTAAGGGGATCTGAGGTATGCATATTCTTGAGACATGGAACTGCATGCCAAAAGAAGAGATTCTAGGGAATAGGATTTAGAATCAGTATCTACCAATGACTGTTCCCTGTTGAAAACTTAGGGCAGCTTTTGTATGTATATGTAGGGAATCAGGAGTACTAGACTACATCATTTCAGTAAAAGCTACCCGGAAATCTTTAAAGGCTAATTTTTATTATGTAAGTATGGAAGTTGTCAGGGAGATGGCCTAATGATTACTTCAGAACTTTTAAAAAATGCTAAAATATTTGAAGTATGTTCTAAAGATCAAAATGAAGTACTGTGTTTTGTATTCAAGCCTCTCAGTTAAATATTTTTTCAGCTTTACATGTAACTCTAGGACGCTTTCATTTCTAAAGAGTAGTTTCACCTGAGATGGTAAAGGGAAGGAGTCTGTGGCTAGTCCAGCACATAAGGTAAGAGAGGATAAGTCTTTACTCTGGCTCTCAGCCAGTTCATTCTCATTGCTTAAATCGTATTTCATGGATCATCTCATTTTTTAATAGTTTTTCTAAGATTAGGGAATATGTGTAAATTGTCAACATCTGTCATGTTTCTAATATCAGAATGACTGAGAGTATTTGGTCTAGATTATACCAGGCATTTAGAATATTTAATTTGGGTATTTATTTACCAACATGGCTAGTTAGGTAGCTTACATTTTTTAACCTGGCAGTTAGCTTTGTATTAATTCTATTGCCAATCATGTGGCTTAAAAAAAATCCAATTTATTTCGTCACCAAATATAGATTTATAATCACGTAGGGAGAATAATTGATTTTAATTGAAGATATGCAATGATGCATCTTTAGTATACTGTGGCCAGTACTTACATTCTTTACACATAAAGTGATGTCATTTACAATTAGTTAATACTATGACACATACAGTATCTCTTTAATTTGTTCACGTTTAACTTTGGTGACATAGAGATACACACCATCCCTAAAAAGTCTAAAGCCAGATATGATTTATATGGGCATATCTGTTACCTGACTTTCAGCCTTCCACATCATAATCCCCTGAATGCCCTCCCTACGTAGGATGATTGTCTCCTTTCTTGCAAACTTTCTAGGAATTGACACATGAGGCTACAAAGATGGTGTTGGCAGACCTAGGTTAATAAGATAATATTGACAGGACCTCATCATTATAATACTTGTGATTTAAGCTTTGAGTTGGGTCTGGATAAGTCCAAAATTTCTTCTGTTGCTTCATCCACACTTCATGAAAATTATTGGTTTCTCTGCTGGAATTTATGTGGGTCATGGATAAGTTGTGCATGGTAATAAATCCTTATGTTATATGGAGGCCCAGTAATTTGGAGGAAATACTAATACCTTTATTTGTTTTGGATCATAACCACTATGCTATACTTTGTTGAGTGACACTAAAATAACACTTATACCTTATTTTGGGTTCCAGGCTCCTGATCATATCAGTAGAGCTTGTGAACAGGCATCTCAGCCATGTTCTCCGTTTTGGTACGGCCGTGTAGTGTTTTTCCATCCATCTTCCCTCTTAGATCTTGTGAATGTGAACCATTGAAGGATTGTTTTTTTTTTCTCAGACCCAATGTCGTCGGAGTTGCTGATTGCATTTATTTTCTTACCAGCATGTATTTTTGTTTACTTTGCAAAGAAATGCTTATTTCTTTCTTTGAGTAATAAGCCATTATCTTGTTGCTAAGTTTATGTGACATCAGAAAGCACAGTTCAGTTTGCATCACTTAATCAGAAATGTGTGGACTTTTAATGATAATAATATGCAAAAAGTCATTAATGTCTAATCATTTATGCCAAAGGAGATTTGGGAAATATGGTCAAATTTGGTGAAGGTTTTGTAACTTCGGACAGGTCTTAAGCATATTTTGTTTTATGTTTATTTTATTCTTCACGCTGTTCTATCATATAGACTTAACTATGTGAAGCAAGAAGTTTTGGGTTTAACTAAATGAACTTCACTTGGCATCTATATGGAAATTAGATGGTAATGTACTTGAATTTCTAAATTAGTAGTTTTTAATATGGTCAATAGTATTAAAGCTTGGAAGCCTAGATTCTTTTCTTTTGACCCCAAGTGGAAAAGAAAGTCTTCCTTGTTTGTTTGCTTTTTTTTTCCTTGTGACTGTGAAAGCTAGAATAAAATTTCTGAAGATCATACCCTCAGAGTATCAGTAGCTCCTGAGTCCACAAAAACATAACTAAACATACATAACTTACAAAATTACCTCCTGGCCGGGCGCGGTGGCTCACACCTGTAATCCTAGCACTTTGGGAGGCCGAGGCGGGCGGATCACAAGGTCAAGAGATCGAGATCATCCTGACTAACATGGTGAAACCTCGTCTCTACTAAAAATACATGAATTAGCCGGGTGTGGTGGCACGCTCCTGTAGTCCCAGCTACTTAGGAGGCTGAGGCAGGAGAATCGCTTGAACCCTGAAGGCAGAGGTTGCAGTGAGCCGAGATCGCACCACTGCACTCCAGCCTGGCAATAGAGCGAGCCTCCGTCTCAAAAAAAAAAAAAAGAAAATTACTTCCTTTGCTATATTCCTTTTCTTTTTATAGGTGACTTCCATGAGCTATCAGTTTTTTAATAAACTCCCTGAGGGAAAATAGGCTTTCTTCCATTCTCATCTCTGGACTTCCTCTGTTGTTTTTTAATAGACATATTTACCACTAGATATTGTGTTTGCTTTTCAGCTCCATAGTCTTTTCTTCATTTATACACGTGACTCGACTCTGTCAGGCGCAGCTCTCATAAAGTAACACCAGGAGGAAATTACTTGTTGATGCTTTTGACTATTTGGGGGTCTTTTGTAATAAATTATTTTCTGTCGTAATTCAAAGCAGTGTAGCTGACAGGGATCATGTGTGCATGACGTGTGTGTATGTTTTTTTCTGGTAAACGTTGATGCACTAGTACATGCAGGGAGTACTTTTTTGGTTTAAACCTGTGGTTATTGTTTATAGCACTTGGTATTTTCAGAAAAGAGAAAAATAATCTTAAAATGTCTGGGATTTTAAAAAATTCATTTTAAGTATGCAGAACTCTATTGGAATACCACCTGGAGGTGCTACCTGTGGCCAAACCCTATCACTGTGCCACGTTAAGTGTCAAGCATTCTGTAGACATTTGTTTGTTTGACTGAAGGAGCTCATATGGAATTAGCACAAGTTGCTACCACCTGTGAATCTTTCTTGTTGGGAGAAATAGTTTGGCCACTTCATCTTTTACCACCAGGCCTTTTCTTGATATTGTTAATAAATTAACACCATTTCCTATTCTGCTCAGCTCTCATGCCGTCTTCCCTGACACTTCCAGCTGCCTCCATGGAAGTGGCGGTGGATAGTTGGAAGCCAGCAACAACCACAAGGATTCTTCAGGCTTGAAGCTATGTTGGGTCATGTTTACTTCTTATGGGAAGTAAGGGGTGCTGAGGACACACTTGGAAGTGAGATGTCCAGTGATGTTCACTCTTGAAATGTAGATGTAGCTCGTGAAAAGTGGTGGCATATTCATTTGTGGCAATGTGTGAGGCTCATCACTGGGGACACTGATTTGCATTTTAAAATAAACTTTATTGTAGGAAAGCTTTGGATTTACAGAACAATTACTGAGGCTGTGCAGAGTTCCTACATGCTCGATACTCAGTTTCTCCTACTAACATCTTATATTAACATGTTTGTCACCACCTTGAGGAGAGACTACCTATACAAATTATTTGGAATTCTGAACAACAGATGTGTTTCTCCCCCTTTATTTATCGAATCAGTTATTTGTATCAATGTGAACTCTTGATATCCACTTTGTACTTTGTCATCTGGTACTGTTTTAAGTATTGCTGCAGTTATTCCCTCTTTGGCTATTGAGGGATCTTTCAGTTGGCTCCTGTGTCCCTTTGACCTCCCCCACCGTGGTGTCTTTCTTTGAGCACCTCCTTGCTTTCTGGCACCGTGTGATGTTCCAGTCTTAGAATCGGCCATTTGTATAAGGATCGCTTTGCATGTTTCACAGCTTGCTTTGTAGGAGTTGTTCTGATCTCGTCGGCCTCATTTATTTAGAAATAATAATAGAATTTTAAAACAAATTTTATTTCCAAGGGCAAGTTGGCAAACTCTTTACCTTCCTTGAAGAGGTTTGTCAAGGAAAAGTAGATGAGAATAGAGGAAAAGAGAGAAGTGGACTATACCAATTTGGATTGGTTGAAAATTCTGGTGTGCAGCCAGCAGGACATACAACTGCTGCGGGCCAGGTTGCTAAGTGGCCCGACCTTTTCTTGTCTGAAGGTTTAAGTGATGCTCACCCACCGTCAGGGGATGAGGTAGTAGTTCTCCCAATATGTAATTCCTAGAGTTTTATGTGGAAGTCACTTTGTGTCCTTAACTTTGTTGGAATTAACAGAGCTGGAATTTAATTGACACGAAGAAAGATCCCTTTTCTTTTAGTTGTGGAGAGAGTTTATTCAGAATTCACATGGGGAACCTGGCAAGGCTGTTGTTAATGTTTTATCTAGTTCGGTGTATGCATAAAGGAATAACAATTTCAAAGTGATTGACTTGATGCCTTTAGGGCACATGAAGAAAATGCATTTAAAGACACAGTCTCCTTTTAGTTGTCATAGATTTTATTTTAACCCAGGCCACCTATTATATTTCATGCACACGTATTCTCATTTAAGTCCTGTTTAGAAAGTGCAGGTGACTTATGGTGTCGGTTAAAAAGTAATTCAGATAAAGCAAGTCTGAAACTGTATTCTCAATAGAGGAAAATGAAGAATCTATGCTTGCATCCAAATTCCAAATATGTGATTTATTATTTTTTTTATTTGCTCTTTCTCAAATAGCTGCATTTTGGGGGGAAAAGCCTGAAACTAAATAGTATTTATTGGAGATGAACATATGTAACAAGATTATTTTCTGTAAGAGTTGATCTGAGTTCTTTCTCTGCTCTATAGATTTATTGTAAAGCACTGAAGTTTACATTCATCAAAAGGTAGACTATGCAGACAGCTATGATTATTATTTTAAGGAATTTTCCTATGATTGTTATTTTTATTTGTTTCTAGGTTAAGAAGGCTTTTTTGCTCTGTAGCCTGGACGTACTTTGAAGCCCCTCCCCACGATGCTGTACGTGCACAATGGTTACTAGGCAATCCGTACATCAGGAGAAGGGACACTCTTCCATAAGGCAAGTTGCCTCAGGGTCATTGGTCATCTGTGTTGTTCCGGGGGAAAGCTCACTTAACTTTTACTTCTCTCTTAAATCAGTTAATGTATACTAAATACACCACTCACTAAAGAAAACCCAGGTTTGTTTTGATATTGTTTCAGTCTTTTTCTTGCATGGTAGGCCTCGTTTAAGTGCCAACATAATCACTTAATTAAAAAGAAAAGCTGTTAAGGATGATTGTGAGCATAGTATGTTTCCATTAATTCCTTCAGACGGTCTTCAGCATTTTCTCTCATAACAGAATAAGCAAAAACCTATTCTGAAAGGATTCTCATTTTAAAATTTCTAAGAAGGGACAATTTTTGTGAAGGAATTGAGAGAAGAAATAAGAGGCAATCTTGTGGCCGGGCGCAGTGGCTCACGCCTGTAATCCTAGCACTTTGGGAGGCCGAGGCTGGTGGATCACGAGGTCAGGAGATCGAGACCATCCTGGCTAACACGGTGAAACCCCGTCTCTACTAAAAATACAAAAAAATTAGCCGGGCGTGGTGGCAGGCGCCTGTAGTCCCAGCTACTTGGGAGGCTGAGGCAGGAGAAAGGTGTGAACCCGGGAGGTGGAGGTTGCAGTGAGCTCAGATCGCGCCACTGCACTCCAACCTGGGTGACAGAGCAAGACTCCGTCTCAAAAAAAAAAAAGAGGCAATCTTGTTTATTCCCATATTTCTCTGAGGAAATAGCTATTTGTAGAAGTAGCTTGATATTTTTAAATTTGAGCACTTAGTTGTGATACTTAGGAGTAGGTAATGACACCATTTTCTATGTATAAAACAACATAGGATATTTGTATTCTTAAGTTGTAATGATTTGACTTAACCTAGGCCTAAGTTTACTTTTGTACAGTCTATAGTAAGTTTTGCAAGATAAACGATTGTTGGTAGCAAGATTATCCTGATATGTCTAACCTACATATGAGAACAGAAATGTCTTTAAAGGGCTTCATCACAGTTTAAAAAATGTTTAGAAACAAAGGGACTACTAGTTAAGAGATGAGTCTAATCTATTCCTTCCAGTTAGCACACCTGGAGTGGCTTTCTGGAAGCTTGTTAGTTTTCTGTATGTAGTTAAAAGCTTAAAAACACACTAAAAATGTTTTTGTATACACACATGTAAGATGCAACTTTTTACCATTTCACTTTGGACTGTTACTGTTTCCATGAAGGAGGTCTCATTTTACTTTCTTATTTTAATTTTTGAGACAGGGTCTTGCTCTGTATCCCAGGCTGGAGTGCAGTGGCACAATCACAGCTCACTGCAGCCTCAACCTCCCAAGCTCAAGTGATCCTCCTGCTTCTACCTGCCGAGTAGCTGGGACTACAGGTGCACACTACCATGCCTGGCTAATTTTTTAATTTTGTATTTTTTTGTAGAGACAGGGTCTCACTGTGTTGTCCAGGTTGGTCTTGAACTCCTGGGCTCAAGTGGTCCCTTTTTCCTTGGCCTCCCAAAGTGCTGGGATTACAAACGTGAGCCACTGTGCCTGGCCAGATATTTCATTGTATGTTGGGTTTTAGTACAGTCCTTTTTTGTGACCTATTAGAGAGTATGAGAATTCACTGTACTACTTTTCCTTTTAGTAATTTGATCATGTGGTTAATCACCAGATTGTTTCGATTCTTTTTTTTTTTTTGAGACAGAATTTCACTCTCTTGCCCAGGCTGGAGTGCAGTGGCGCAATCTCAGCTCAATGAAACCTCCACCTCCCGGGTTCAAGCAATTCTTGTGCCTCAGCCACCCAAATAGCTGGGATTACAGACATGTGCCACCACACCCGGCTAATTTTTGTATTTTTGGTAGAGACAGGGTTTCACTATGTTGGCCAGGCTGGTCTCAAACTCCTGGCCTCAAGTGATCTGCCTGCCTTGGCCTCCCAAAGTGCTAAGACTGTAGGCGTGAGCCACTGTGCTTGGCCTGATTGTTTAGATTCTTAAGGTTTTAAAATATATTGCTACTTTTTTTTTTTTTTTTTTGAGATGGGGTCTTGCCCTGTGGTCCAGGCTGGAGTGCAGTGTTGCTATCATGGCTCACTGCCGCTTTGATCTCCTGGGTTCAGGTCGTCCTCCCACCTCAGCCTCCCAAGTAGCTGGGACTGATCCCCTGGGCTCAGGTGATCCTCCCACCTCAGCCTCCTGAGTTGCTGGGACTATAGGCTTGCACCACCACACCCAGCTAGTAGTATGCACTGTCATTAGTAAGGTTTACTGATGTAGCAAATGGAATGTTCTGTGATATTTAATAGATGCAGTATCAGGAACCAGTTATTCTAAATTTTACCTTTTCTACCTTCTCTTCTTAAAGGCTGATCCCCGTAACCTAATGAATCCTTTGTAAAAAGTGGACTCAGCTAGGATGTTACACCATCATTGTCGAAGGAACCCTGAGCTCCAGGAAGAGTTGCAGATTCAGGCCGCGGTGGCTGCTGGGGATGTCCACACAGTGCGAAAGATGCTAGAACAAGGCTATTCCCCGAATGGCCGAGATGCGAATGGCTGGACTCTGCTTCATTTCTCTGCAGCAAGAGGAAAGGAAAGATGTGTTCGGGTTTTTCTAGAACACGGAGGTGAGTTTTGTAGAAGCAAATCTTTTTCCCCATGGAGAAACATAAATGATGTTTAGTTTAAAATGTGTCTATTTGTAATTTTTAATGCTTCTCTTCTGTTAATACTCAACATATTATTCTCTCTCCTTTGTGAAGATTTGCTATAAGTGTGCCTTTTTGTTTAAAACCAGATTGTTTAAAAGATCAGTTTTATGAATGGATTCTTTTCCCTGAAACTGTAGTGTCTGTACAGCCAGGTTTGCCCAGGTTATTTCAGCTAAGCTACCTTTCTTCAGGTTGTCCAGCTGCTTTTGTTTCAGAAGCAGAAGTGGCTGTGGTATGCCCATAATTAGAGAATTGCACAAGTTTCCCCTGTTGATTATTGCTTAAGCGTATAGACCGAGCACCAGTCCTTTAAACATCATGGCCTAATGATACCCTATCCTTATCTTTTTGTTTCAGATGCTTTCCTTTGTTATTTTAGAGCACTTGTTTTTTCCAGAAACTGTACATAGTTTGTAGGTATACTATAAGAAGATTGGTTATCTGAGATCTAATTTTGTATAAATATGTGCAATTGGAAACTATATTTGACATATTAATGTTTTTGCTTTGAAAAACTGTTCATTCCCATGGTTTTTAAACCAATGATTGTCCAAAACTACTTTCTCCAGTTGAATTTCAGCCTACTTTATTTTCCTAGAGATGGGTTTTTTATATATTTGATCATGTATACCCACATTATCTCTGTAAATTATGGTTGAAAGCAGCTTGGTTGGGGACTCAAATTACATACATGCCATTCTAGGGCTTTAATTGCTCATTAGAAGTGATTTAGTTTCCTTCCTAAGGTGCACTTTGTTACAAAACTAGCCAAACTTCCTTGCATTTTGAGGTGCAGAAAAATGTTGGAAGTTCTAGAATTCTTATGAGGGTCATGTGAATAATGTGAATATATGAATACAAAGGCTAACAGGATGGACTGATTGCAAGGCATGCTAACACTGAGACTAGGAGTAGCCACATGGCCCAGGGGCCCTGAAATGGGAACTATGTGCCTGAAATAGTTGACCATTGTCAGAACCCAGAAATTCTCTGGCCTGTGCCTACTTTGTAGCTTGTCTTCCATGTCATTTCACCTTACAACACAAAAACTTCAGTTCTGAAGTTGATGAAAGGGAAATAGAAGTGGAACGCCAGGAAAAAGATCTGTAAAAAGTAAAAGGTGGGTGTAAAGTCAGAACGGTTAAAATTCTATGCAGGGCTTCATAACATTAAGACCAAGATGAGGGCTCACAATGTTTATTCCACCTAGTCCTGTTGCTTTTCACTTCTGCCAGCCTTACTTTAAAAAAAGTTACTAAAAGTTCTGTTATTCAAGTAATACATGAATATTGTCTCTTTCAAATGAAGCAAATCTTCAGTTAAATTATACAAATAAAGCCAAAGTCCCCTTTGACTAACCCCTAATCCTTGTCCATCTGCCTCTGTGTGGATGTAACTGGGTATACGTTTGGTTTAGTGCTTATCCTTCTGGAGTATTTCCTGACACTATTACATGGACTCATAGAAATTCAGTCATATGACCAAGCGTGGTAGCTCACGCCTGTAATCCCAGCACTTTGGGAGGCCGAGGTGAGTGGATCGCCTGAGGTCAGGAGTTTGAGACCAGCTTGGCCAACGTGGCGAAACCCCATCTCTACTAAGAGTAAAAAAATTAGTTGGGCATAGTGGCCAGGTGCCTATGATCCCAGCTACTTGGGAGACTGAGGCAGGAGAATCACTTGAACCCAGTGGGTGGAGGTTGCAGTGAGCTGAGATCATGCCACTGCACTCCTGCCTGGGCGAAATTGTGAAACTCTGCTCAAAAAAAAAAAAAAAAGAAAGAAAGAAAGAAAGAAAAATTCTGTCGTATTATGTTGTGTGTGGTTTTGAACATCAATGATAATACTGACTGTATAATTCTACAACTGTTGTTTTTTATACAACTGTGTGACTTAAAGACTTTTTAATAGCAGGAGTCTGCAAACTTGTTCTGTAAAAGGCCAGATAGTAAACATGAGAGGCTTTGTGTGCCGTACTGGCTTTGTAACTACCCAGCTCTGCAGTCGGAGCCTGGAAGCAGCCACAGATAGTATGTAAACTAATGGGTGTGGCTGTGTTCCAGTAAAACTTTATCAAAACCAATGGTGGGGGGAAAAAAAGAAAAAACCAGTGAGGGGCTTAGAGGCTGTAGCAGGGGCATCCAGTCTTTTGGCTTCCCTGGGCCACACTGGAAGAAGAATTGTCTTGGGCCATGAATAAAATGCACTAACACTTAACAACAGCTGATGAGCAAAAAAAAAAAAAAAAAAAGCAAAAAAGTCTTATAATATTTTAAGAAAGTTTATGAATTTGTGTTAGGCTGTATTCAAAGCTGTCCTGGGCTGCATGCCCACCGTGGGCTGCAGGTTGGACAAGCTTGGGCTATAGTTTCTGAATCTTTCTCTCTGTATATATGTATGTATCTAGTTACGTGCAGCATAAGGACATTTTGCTCAATCATGGACCCCATTTACAATGGTGGTCCCATAAAATTATAATACCATGTTTTACTGTACCTTTTCTATGGTTAGGTACACAAATGCCATTGTATTACAGTTGCCTCCAGTATTCAGTACAGTAACATGCTGTACAGGCTTGTGGCCTAAGAACAGTAAGCTATATATAACCTGGGTGTGTAGTACGCTGTGCCGTCTAGGTTTGTGTGAGTGCATTTTATGGTGTTCACACAAGAGCGAAATCACCTAACAACCTAGTCCTCAGAATGTATCCCTGTTGTTAAGTAGTATATATGACTGTATATCTATATATATTTTAATAGCTTTATTGAGATGTAATTCACATGCCACAGAATTCACTCATTTAAAGTGTACAGTTAATGGCTTTCGGCATATTCATGGAGTTGGATATTCATCAGCAAAGTCAATTTTAAAACATTGTCATTACCCCCAAAGAAACCTTCTGTTGGTTCTATTAATACATATTGATTCACTCTTCTTTTCAGCTGCTGAATATAGTATTGATAGGTATGGATATACTATCATTTGTTTATTCTCTTTTATTTTTTGAGAATGGCTGGAATTTTCACAGCAGGAGATTTTGTTTTTTGAAAAGGTAGTGCATACATACATGGTTAAAAAGCCACTTAAAGCTGATCAGTGAGGGCAAGTCTCTAACTTTTAGCCCCAGTCCTTTACTCTTCTTCTAGAGGCCATCTCTTTCACCGGTTTCTTTTGTACCATCCAGAGATAGTCTATGCATGTAGGCAGAAATATTTTTCCGTTTTCTACCTTGTAGCCAGCTCCCTTTTTAAAATGTTCTGTTCCTCCTCTTGATTTTTTCACATAACAGTTAATTTCGTGATAGTTCCTTATCTGCATAGGACTCTGTCTCAGATTCCATCGTATGGATGTAATTTATTTACACTTCTTATTGTTGGACATTGTAAGTTTTCATTTTTCTGCTACTAGAAACATTACAGAGAATGTCCTTGAATGATCGTGTTACATTATGTGAGAGTTTATTTCTTGACTAACTCCTAGAAGTGCATTTGCCAAGTCAAAACATTTTTTATGGATATTGGCAAGTTGTCCTCCGAAGAGATTGTCATCATTTTATGTCCTTACTGACCGGGCAGGATAGTGCCTGTTCACCTGCCTTTGCTAGTGATGTACTTACCAGATGGTTTTTCTCTTTCCTGGTGTGATATACCTGCCTCTCTTTTTCTTTTTTTTTCTTGGAAAAAATGACATATGAGTAACAAACATTGCAAGACTGGGCTTTTTGTCTTACTGATTTGTTGGAATTGTTTATATATTCTCCTTTGTTAGATTTTGCAATGTTTTCTCTCTTTCTGTAGTTTTTTCACATTCTTGTTTTTGTTGTCGGGCAGAAGTCTACATTTCAATGTAGGTGAATTATGGTTTTCTTTAGCCTTATCGTTTGTGCCCTTGGTGTCTTGTTTAGGAAGTATACTGCAGGGTCATTATTTGCCTTTGTTTTCTTCTAAAATGTTTTATGGTATTTAGCTTTTTAATCTGTTCAGAATTGGCTTTGGTGTATATGAGGTAGCCTGGTACAGTTTCACTTTTTTCCCATAAAGACAGCCTAAATCATGCCTTCTTTCTTCATTACTGTGCACTAGGTCAGATATAAGGTTTTCATATATGTGTGGTTCCATTTCTGAGTTTTTATTTAAAACAACAAATATTTTGGATAAGCCCTGTATTTGTTTTTATGTAGCACCTTTTACCTGATACCCTTTCCCTAGTAGAATAAGAGATTCAGAAAGTGTTTCACCCAGTGTATTATGAACCAACTTAGAAAAATTAGTAGAAGCAAACACCTACTGCCCACTTGCTTATGGCCACCTGTGGTGCTTAGGCATGCTCTGTATTTAGTGTAGTCCTGGCTTATGACCTCTAGATCAGTGTAGCCAACTATGTGTTTAATGTCTGCACTCTCATGGCTCATAGACATCGCCAGCACAGCACAAGCTGTGTCCATTCTCACCACGGTGTTCATTCTAGTAAGTGTCACCACAGCCTCTGATTGCCATGCCAGAAATCTAGAAACCATCCTTGGTACCTTTTCCTTACCTCTAATATGACTGATTGCTAAGTCTTATTGATTCTGCCTCCTAAAAAGTTGTCAGAGCTTTTCACTTCCTTTCCCTGGAGATGCCACCCCATTTTTGGGCCAGGAAACATTCCTCACCAGGACTGCTACAGTGGTCTCTTCCATCCCTGCCTCCAGTCTTGCCCCCTCCCAACCAGTCTCCAAATAATGTGACCTGTTAAAATGGAAATAAAAATATTTCCTTTTAAAAATCCATAATTGGTTTCCCATTTCTCTTAGGATGATATTCAAAGTTTATAGTGTGATCCACATGGTGCTGCAGTGCCTGGCCCCTCTTACCTTTCCAGCTGCAGCTTTGAGCCACAGCCCCTCTGCATTCTTTCAGAGTCACTGAGTGCAAAGGTTTTGGCCTGGGACCCTCTTGGGTCACGCTTCTGCTCTCTCCCCACCCCTGCCCCATCACCTTGCTCTGCCTGCTTCTCTCTCAGCTCTCACTGATCGTTTTCTCAGGGAAACCTCTTACCAGCCAGACCGGGTCACCCGGGATCCTTGTATATATCCAGACCAGGTTACCTAGGATCCTTGTATATATCCCTGCTATGTGATACTGTTGTTCCCTGTGTGATGTTATCCCTCTGTTATATGATATTATTGTTCCCTGTACTTTTTTATTATTACAGCTATCATAAGCGTAATGAATTGTTTTATAGTTCTTTATTTTATGTCTATATCTCTGATTCATCTAAAGCTTCTTGAGGGTAGAACCCATATCTGTTTTGCTTCCGTCAAGAAAGAAAGCGAAAACTAACACCAGTTATCTAAAGTAATTGTTCCTCAGTTTTACAGAGACAAGACCAATCTTTTCTTTTATCAAAAAATACTGGAAATGGGCCGCGTTATGGTGGGATTATAAAGTTGCTTGAATGCATCATGCCTCCCCCCACCCCCCACGGGGTCTCCCTGTGTCACCCAGGCTGCAGTGCAGTGGCACAGTCATAGCTCATCACAGCCTCTACCTCCTGGGCTCAAGCAGTCCTCCCACCTCAGCCGTACCTGTTACTTTCAAAACAGTATAGTTTCTTTTCTTTTTTATTTATTTATTTATTTTGAGATGGAGTCTTGCTCTGTCACACAGGCTGGAGTGCAGTGGCGTGATCTCATCTCACTGCAACCTCCGCCTCCCAGGTTCAAGCGATTCTCCTGTCTTAGCCTTCCGAGTAGCTGGGACTACAGGTGTGTGCCACCACACCCAGCTAATTTTTTTTTTTAGTAGAGACGGGGTTTCACCATGTTGGCTAGG
This sequence comes from Homo sapiens, assembly GCF_000001405.40. NCBI lineage: Eukaryota > Metazoa > Chordata > Mammalia > Primates > Hominidae > Homo > Homo sapiens. Next base: position 100,618,327 of record NC_000015.10, read on the forward strand.
CTGGTCCCGAACTCCTGATCCCAAGTGATCTGCCCACCTCAGCCTCCCAAAGTGCTGGAATTACAGGCATGAGCCACCGCGTCCAGTCTCGAAACAATGTAATTTCTTTAAAAGTTTGTGAACTCCAGTCAGATTGGCTCCTCCTGTTAGTAGCTCATTTTGTGGTGGATAGTAAACCAAAATGAAGTCAAAGATCCCAATAGGGAACAGTGAGTGGACTAACTCATAAGAAACAAGACTTGACTTTTCACTCTCTCTTTTTCTCTCCCTCACCTTCTCACCCTGCTGTGTGTGTGGTGTGTGTGTGTGTGTGTGTGTGGAGAGACAGAGAGGAAGAAAGAACAAGAATTCATATAGATAGACAAGGTGGCCAGCTGATCCTTTATAAACTATGTATTCAGCAAATATTTATTGAGCACCTAATAGATGCCAGGCCCAGGGTTGGGCCCCAAGATGCAGAAATGAGCAAATATGGGACTCTCCTTCTGGTACTTCGTCATTTGCTGGGGGATGGAGTTATAGCCAACATTTATTGAGGGTTTAGTCTATGCCAAATTCCTCACAACTCTTTTAGGATAATAAGTATTATCAGTTTTTACATTAAAAATTCTAAGCTACGGAAGAGTAAGTAATTCACCCAAGGTCATTACTTCATAAGCAGTGGAGCTGGGATTCAAACCGTTTCTTACCTGTAATTCTGTATTGCCCCTAAGAAAACAAGGCAGTTCCAAAAGAGTGAATTTAAGGGCCATGTGTAATAAGGTCCTCACTGTCTGCTGGGGTGGGTGGACGAGTGCAAGGAAGACTTCCTAGATAAAGCGTGGTTGGAGTGGAAATCTGGAAAGGTGAGGCAAGGATGGAGGCTGGAAGGATGGGGGTGTGGAATTACTCCAACTCAGGGGGCACTGCGTGTGACGGGTTGAAGGAAAGAAGGAGCACTTTTGGTTTTAGGAGATGAAGAATGTTCAGTAAGATTGGAATATATCCAATAATTTATTGTAGGGACATTGGTGAGGTGTCAAAACCTTTGACAGAGGAATGGGAGAACAGATTCGTGCTTTAGTAAATTAGCTAGTTATAGTATGTGAACATATCAGAAGGGCGTAAGCCCTAAGGCAAGAAGAGTAGCTGGGATATGAGGTGAGAGTGAAGTAAATCAAGAATAACTGAGCTTTTGGCCTGAGGATCAGGAAGAAAAGAATTGCCGTTAATTGAAATGAAGATTAGTAAAGGAGCAGGAGGGAAGCTAGCCAGATGCAGTTTAATAAATGGGACATAGGTGTCTAATACCAGTCACTCACCCACCTAGAAATTACTCAAATATATTGATGGGTCAGATTTTACTAATGTTAAATTCATATACCCGCCTGGTAAAACCACCGATCAGTGATCACACAGAGCTAGCCAAAATCAGAGTAAGAGGTTGCTTGTGACCATAGTTTGGGGAGAGCGATGTGACCACAGGCAGCCTGGTGGGGAGCGGCCACGTGAAGCCACACTTGCTGCTGCTTCTGGAGAAATCCGTTGAGAAAATGAGCGAGTCTGAGTCGAGTAAATGATACTACCTGTATTCCAAAAGGGTAACAGTGTGGCTCTCTTTCTAGTTTAATCTAAGCCTGTGCTGTCCATAGCAGGTGTGGTTATTTAAATTTCAGCCAAGTTAATTAAAAAGTTCAGTTCCTCGGACACAGTAGCCATGTTTTAAATGGTTGCATGTGATGAGTGGCTGCCATATTGGAGAGCACAGTTGTCCTTTGGTATGTACAGGGGATTGGTTCCAGAGCTACCCCCTCAGTATAACAAAACCACAGATACTCAAGTCCGTGGTAGAAAATGGCATAGTATTTGCATATAACCTACGCATATCTTCCTGTGTACTTTAAAATCATTTTTCAATTACTTATAATACCTAACACACTGTGAATGCTGGGTAAGTAGTTGTAATACTGTATTGTTTTTTAAAAATGTATTGTTGTATTATTTCTAATTTTTTAATCAAGTTATTTTTCATCTGTGGTTTGTTGACACTGTGCTAGGGAACACGTGGATATGAAGGGCTGACAGTGGAACACTGGCCTGTGCATACAAGTGGTACTTTGCTGCTTTACCTTCAAGCATCCTGCGTCAAAATGATGAAAACTTAGGGTTTTACTGTGGTCCGAAAATACTTGAGGTTTTAAGCACAAATGGGATGCATATAATAGCACATCTGTACAAACCCTGGTAGTCTTTATGGGATGCATATAATAGCACGTCTGTACAAACCCTGGTAGTCTTTATGGGATGCATATAATAGCACGTCTGTACAAACCCTGGTAGCCTCTCAGACCAGGTTAGTGTACTGTTAGAATCGTGATGGAAGAGTCTCTATTATAAGGGTGGAAATTGTAACAAACTCATTATTATCTTCATTTTCCAATTTTGAGTCTTCTAAAAACTCCAAGACCATGCTGGACATTTCAAGAAAATAACGTTGGAAGAGACAATGTCTTAGTGCATTTATTCATCTTCAGATTCAGTGTTTATGCAAATTGGCCCACGGGCAGTTGGCTAAAGCTCCAGAAGTTAAGTCTATAAAGCAAATCCCCAGAGGAACCTGAGAAAACCTCTCGATAAAGTAGGTAAAATCCTTTTGGTGAAACACATGAAAAAAAGTAGGAGATAGGGGGGTAATCAAAGAAATGCACAGAAGAACGGTGAAAAATATTTTTAGCATTTCAAAAATGAAAGATTTTGCAAATGATAATTCCAAATGTGACACTGGCACACTGATGGGAATTTATGAGAGTACATTTGGAAAGCAGTTTAGCAGTATGTATTGAAGTCTTAAAAACAGTAGTTTATCTTGCCAATATAGAATTTATGTTAACTCTTTATTTAAATTAAGTTTAATTAATGATTAGATTAAATATAATTCTTTTAACGTGGCCAGAGGAATCAGTCTTAAAAGCAGGAAATACTTTCTATACAAAAGTTTCACCTTTCCGAATGTCATGATGTAGTTTTAAAAAAAGCCTACCTTTCATTGTATATAATTTTTCAAACGTAGGCATTCTCAATGCCCAAATATAGAGAAGCAATTCAGTAATTAGAGTATGGTTACAGCTATGTATAATTTTTTAAAAATGTGTAGAAGAAAAGCTGAAAGTCTATCATTGGCAGTAGTTATTAGGAAATGCTATTCTTTTACCTTTGAGTACTTTTGCCACAGACAGTGTAAATGTATTTTTATCATCATTTCATCTTTTAAAATAAAAGACAATAATTGTGAAATTAAATTGTTGGGCTTATAACATGTAAAGATGAAATATATGACAGTAATTGCACAAAGAAAGGAGCTATATTGAAACAGTTTCTGTATACTTCTAGAATCCAGTAATCCCAAAGTAAAAACAAGAATGAAATAATAAACAGAATAATTGAAATCAGTGGAATTGAAAATGGGCAAATGATAGAGAAGATAGATGGAACTAAAAAACAAATAAGGATTCTTTGAAAAGATCAATAAAATTGATGAATCTTTGTCTAGAATGGTGAAAAAAAGAAAACAGGAGAAAAGATACATAACCAATATCAAGAGTGGAAGAGAGATTCTCTGTAGTATTGGAAATCCTAGCCAGAGCAGTCAAGCAAGAGAAAGGAATAAAAGGCATTCAAATTGGAAAAGAGAAAGTCAAATTGTTCCTCTTTGCTGATGATATGATCTTATATTTAGAAAAACCTAAAGACTTTACCCAAAAAACTCTTAGATTGGATAAATCAGTACAGTTGTAGGATACAAAATCAACATACAAAAATCAGTAGCATTTCTATATACCAGTAATGAAACAGGCAAAAAAAGAAATCATGAAGGTATCTCATTTATAATAGCTACAAAAAGAAAAAAGAAAAAAAACCCAACAACCTAGGAATAAATTTAACCAAGAAGATGAGAGATCTCTACAAGGAAAACTACAAAGCACTGATGAAACAAATCGAAGAGGACACAAACAAATGGAAAGACATCCCATGCTCATGGATTGGAAGAATTAATATTGTTAAAATGACTCTTCTATCCAAGGCAATTGGTAGATTCAATGCAACTGCTATCAAAACACCAACATCAGTTTTTCAAAGTTAGAAAAAACAATCCTAAAATTCATATGGAACCAAAAAAGAGCCCAAATAGCTGAAGCAATCCTGAGCAAAAGGGACAAAGCTGGAGGCATCACACTACCGGACTTCAAAATATACTACAAGGCTCTAGTAACCAAAACAGCATGGTATTGACCTAAAAACAGACACAGACCAATGGAACAGAGAATCCAGAAATCTACGTATTTTTAGTAAACTGATTTTCGACAAAGATAACAAGAACATACTTTGAGGAAAGGACACCCTCTTCAGGCTGGGAAAACTGGATATCCATGTGCAGAAGAATAAAACCAGACCCCTGTCTCTCACCATATGCAAAACAACATAAGATGGATTAAAAACATAAACATAAGACCTGGAACGTCACATCTACTGGAAGAAAACAGGAAAAACACTTCAGGACATTGCTTTAGGCAGAGATTTTATGGCTAAGACCTCAGAAACACAGACAACTAAAACATAGGCAAATGGGACTATATTTTAGAAACTGAAAAACCTTTATACAGCAAAAGAAACAATTAATAGAATGAAGAGACAGCCTGTTGAATGGGAGAAAATATTTGCAAACTGGCATCTGACAAGGGACATTGTAATATCCAGAATATACAAGGAACTCAACAGTAAAAACAACAAATAATCCCATTAAAAAGTGGGCAGGTCAGGCGTGGTGGCTCACACCTGTAATCCCAGCACTTTGGGAGGCTGAGGTGGGTGGATCACCTGAGGCCAGGAGTTCAAGACCAGCTTGGCCAACATGGTAAAACCCCATCTCTACTAAAAATACAAAAATTAGCTGGGCCCACGTGGTGGTGGATGCCTGTAATCCCAGCTACTTGGGAGGCTGAGGCAGGAGAATCGCTTGAACCTGGGAGGCAGAGGTTGCAGGTAGCCGAGATCATGCCACTGCACTGCAGCCTGGGCAACAAGAGCGAAATTACATCTCAAAAAAACAAAAGTGAGCAAAGGACACAAATAGACATTTCTCGAAAGAAGACATGCAGATGTCCAGCAGGCATGTGAAAAATTGCTCAACATCATTAATCATCAGGGAAATGCAAATCAAAACCACAATGAGATATCTTATCCCAGTTGTAATGGCTACTGTTAAAAAGACAAAAAATAACAGATGCCAGCAAAGAGGCAGAGAAAAGAAAACTCTTAATACGGTGTTGGTGGGACTGTCAATTAGTATAACCACTGTGGAAAACTGGACATTTCTCAAATAAACTAAAAATAGAAATACTATGTAATCCAGCAGTCAAAGAAAACTCTTAATACGGCATCGGTGGGACTGTAAATTAGTACAACCTCTGTGGAAAACTGGACATTTCTCAAATAAACTAAAAATAGAAATACTATATAATCCAGCAGTCCCACTACTGAGTATCCAAAAGAAAAGAAATCAGTATATCAAAGGAATACCTGCACTTGTGTGTTTATTACAGCACTATTCACAATAGCAAAGATTTGGAATCAACCTAAGTGTCCATTGTGGTATATATACACACAATAGAATACAATTTGGCCATAAAAAATGAGATCATTTGCAGCCACATAGATGACGAGGTCATCATGTGAGGTGAAATAAGTCAAGCACAGAAAGACAAATATCATGTTCTCACTCATGTGGAAGCTAAAAAAAGTTGGCCTCTCGATAGTAGAGAATAGAAGATAGAAAACAGAGGCTGGGAAGGGTATGTTGGTGGTAGGAGGAGATAAAGAGAGGTTGGTTAATGGGTTCCATTTGTTAGAAGAAAGAAGTTCTGACGTTCAATAGCAGAATAGGGTGACTATAGTTAACAACAATGTATTATGTATCTCAGAGTAGCTGCAAGAGAAGACTTGAAATGTTCTCAGCTCATAGAAGTGATAAATGCTCAAGGTGATGATGGATAACGCAGATACCCTGACTTGATCGTTACACATTCTGTGCATGTAATAGATACTCACATATACCCAGTAAACATGTAAAATATCACATACCAATAAAAAATTTAAAAAGAGTGGAAGGGATATGTCACTACAGATCCTCTAGACATCAAAAAGATTAGGAGTATAATGGGCACCTTTGTGCCATTAGGAAAAATGGACAGATTTCCTGATGCACAAAACTGATGCTAAAACTGACCCAAGGAAAAAATAGATTAATAGCCTTATATCAATTTAAGAAGTCTAGCTCATAACTAAAACTTTTCACTGAGAAGACTTTAGGTCCAGCTGGCTTCTCATTGAATTATTTCAGATATTAAAGGACGTAAATAAGGATTCTACACAAATTTTTTGACAGAGGAGGGAACACTTCCAAGCTTGTTGTATGAGGCTTGTGTAGCCCTGATACAGACCAAACAAAGACCTTGGAAGAAAACTATAAGCCAATATTTTTCATGACAATAGATACCAAAATTCCTAACGAAATATTGGCAAATCCAGTCTATTGGTGTATAAAAAAAAATATTATGCCCAAGTAGTATTTACTCCAGGAGTACAATATTTGTTTAACATCTGAAAATCAATAGGCTGAGTAATTTGTCACATTAGAATAAAACATAAATACCTAACAATCATTTCAGTAGATTCAGAAAATGGAACAGTCTTAAATACCTTCATGAGAAAGATGGGAAACCAGAAGCAGAAGGTGATTTCCAAAGCAATGAAAAGCTACAGCTTCCCGGGTGGTGAACTACTGAATTCTTTCCTTTTAAGATCAGGAACCAAGGGAAGGGTCTGTGCTTTTGCCACTTTATTCAGCATCCTACTGTATGTTCTAACCAGTGGAATGAGGGCAGAGCAGTAATCAAGGGTCATGAATTGGAAAGAAAGAAGTCAAACTGTATTTGCAGAGAACATAATTGTGCATGTAGACCCTGGCAAGAAAACTACAAATGTGTTCTAGAACTAAAAGTGATTTTGGGTAGGTTATAGAATACACAAGTCAGTGTATAAAAATCAATTTTATTTCTATCAGCAGTCATCATTTGGAAAATGGAATTTTAGCTCATTATAATAGCAACAAAGTTTAAAATATTTAATAATAAATTTAACAAAAGATATGCATGACGTATATAAGCTATAAAACATTGCTGAAGAGAATTAAGACCTATATAGAGAACTATCCCATGTTTATGGTTTGGAAGAATCAATATTGTTTGGATCATTTTGGAGAGATTGCCATCCTTAGAGTCAGTGGCGTTCTAATCAGAATTCCAGCAGGCTTGTTTGAGGACTTGACAAGCTGATTCTAAAATTTATTATCCCAAATATTAATAATTTTAAAGAAGGCTAGAGAACTTAAGCTACCTGCTATTAAAACTTACTATAAGCTACAGTAGTCAAGACAGTGTGGGATTGGTGTATGGAGAGACTTTTAGGTCAATGGAACAAAACAGAATTAAGAAATAGAGCGACACTTTTATGGTAAATTGATTTTCAGCAGTGACACTAGGGTAAATCATTAAGAGTCCTTTTAACAAATTGTGCTGGAACAAGTAGATATCTTTGTGGGGAGTACTGAACCTTGAACTTACGTTATACCACACAGAAAAATTAATTATGGGCTATTGATCTAAATGTGAGAGTTAAAAGTGCAAAATTCCTAGAAGAAAAAAAATCTTTGTGACAATGCATTGAGCAAAGATTTTTAAAATAGGATACAAAACTACAAACTGTAAAATAAATAATGGGCTTCATCAAAATTAAGAGTTTTGCTCTTCAAAACATAATACAGAAAATGAAAAAGCACGCAACAAACTAGGAGAAAATATTTACAAGACACATCTGACAAAAGGCTTGTATCCAGAATATACACAGAATTTGTACAACTCATTAATGAGGAGACAACCAATAAAAATGGATAAAGGAGGTGAACAGACAATTCACAAAACAGTATATGAATACGTTCAGTATAACTAGTTATTAGGGAAATAGAAATTAAAAGCACAATAAGCCACGATTTTACCTCTCTAGAATGAGTGAAATTAAAATGACTAATGATACCAAGATGTAGAACAATCTGAACTCATCCATTGCTGATGAGAATGTAAGATGGTGTAGCCATTTAAAAAGGAACTTAGGAAAGTTTCATGTGCATTTCACATACGACCCAGCAAGTCTCTCGTGGGTATTGAACCCAAGTGAGATGAAAACACTCTGTCCCCCTCTCCTTCTCTCTCTGTCTCTCTCTCTCTCTGTCTGTCTCTCTCTCATATATTAATTCATGATAGTGTTATTCAAATAGGCTCAAATTGGTAAGAACTGAAATGCCCATCTTCTCATCAATTGATTAAAAAAACTATATAGTATACAGTACTATCCAGCAATACAAAAGAGTGAACTGTCGATACAACATGGAAGTATGGCGGAAACATCATGCAAAGTGAAGTAAGTCAAACACAGAAGTCTACATATGATTCTATTAATATGAATTTCCAGAAATGACAAAACTTTTTTGACCAGTGGTTTGCCTGGGACCCAGAGTCTGGGAAGGGCTAAAGAGAGATGAAGGAACTTTTTGAGATGATGGAATGTTCTATATTTTAAATAGGGTGGTGGGTTATATACTCGTATACAGTTATCAAAGCTCATCATCTGTACCCTTAAAGTGAATGCATTTTACCTCAATAAAGCTGTTAGAAAAAAAAAAATCCCCTCATATTCATAGGTAATGTTTCTTTGCTTCTGTTTATATACATTAAATTTTTTTCTCGTAAATTTAAATGAACTTGTTGAGATTATGCTACAGCTTATTTAAAATAAGTTCCACCTGGGGAGAAAATGTTTGCTAAGGGGACAAAGTAATAAGTTCAGTGGGGTTGCTGTTTTAGATGAAATGTTTAGGGAAGGCTTTTCTTTTTTTGATAAAAGGACATTTGAGTGGATACAGAGTGACATGAGTTCACTTAATGTTTTCACGTCTTGTCCATTTCTTACTGAATTTCTGTCTAGGCGTTTTGTAGTTTATGTTGCTATTACAAATGAGATATTTTTCTTACCTTATTTCATGGGCTAATAATCTTTAAATTACATTTGTTTGCATTTTCATTGCTTCTAATCTCCCATTTGATTTTAACAGAGACTATGCAGGTCATTGTTGTGTGTGTTAATCTCTGTTTTTCCTTAGCTCAGTGTAGCTTCAAAATGTACATAGAACCTGAAAGAGACCTGAAATGGAAACCAAAGATGCAAGTGCAGTGTTTTGTAACATAATTTTAATTTTACTGTCAAATAGAACGAGTATAGGATACAAATAAGGATGGTGGCTGAAGGGTGGGAGAAGTGAAAAGAAGGTATTCTTAAATTTCACTTGCAGATTAAGAGGGAATGTCTGCCAGCAGTTGACTGGCCAGGTATAGATTAGAAATGACCTCTGGCAAGATGTTTTGTTTCATTTGAATGGGAGGGCATCTTGTAGATTTCACGCCTGACTTTGAACTTCTGGTAAGCGATGCACCTGGAACCGGCTTGAGTGACTTAAGGGCTCAGCAGTATCTGCCCGGTGGAAACATTAGTGTCATGCTCATGCCTTACCAGCAGATGGCAGCAAAATGCTGTGTTAAAATGTTCTTACCCTACTTAAATTTAAGTCCTGTGGTAAACAGATACTGTATATTTTTCTTTCAGTTAAGACCAAGGTAGATATAATGCCCTTATTTCCCCTAAATAGATACAACTAATACTACCATTGTGTACTGACACTTTACAGTAAATGTTTTTAGAAATCTACATGATATGGCTTACCTAAAAACATCTTATTTTGTATAGGTTTTGTTAGCAACTCCTTCACTGAAATACTTTCCACAGTATTGTTATTTTACATATAGTTTTCTGCCTCAGATTTTTCTAAGAGAACCATTTGTCATAATATGTTCTAGACCTAAATAACGTTTATTAAACAATACGTGAGTTTTCACTCACCTGTGGAGGCTGTGTGTGTGTATGTATGTGTAGGTGTGTGTGTAAAACATTAATGATTTTTTTCTTTTATTAACAAGCCAAAAATTAAGGTGACTTTTACAAGAGAGCATTTTCATCCTGGGTAGTTAGGTCTGATCAATTGATCTTTTACATGGAATTGCTGACTTCTAGGAGGTGCCCGGCATAACCAGTCCTCGTCCGTCTTCTGCCCCCAGCCAGGGATGCCATGGGGTGAACGCCATCAAGAACCAACCTTTGGCTTAATGAAAGATCTGAGGCCAGTGACAAAAGACTGTGACTTGAGTCACATAGCAGATAAATTATTATAGTTGTTTTTCCTTCCCCAGAGATCAGTCAATTAGGAGAGGTTTTTGGAACTGTTTTAGAAAATATTTTTACAATGCTGAGGTTATTCACATAATGCATTGCTTAATTCTTATAAACTCCAAAGTTCGTGTAAAACTAAGAATTCAGAATAGACTTCTATCTTGTGAAAAAACAATTTGTCAAGATTACTTGACATATATCTGAGATGCTTTGGAATTTTTACAGACCACAGAAAAACTTTTTTTTATTACTTAATATACCCTAAAACAACACGGTGTGCCAGAGCATAGTGTATCTGTAATTTAGAGCAGCAGATGTTGCTACACATGCTTCTCTTTAAGACCGAGAAGAAGCACAAGAGAAAATAAAACAAAAAGTTCAAAACAGAAGAGAAACATGAAACAGTGCAGAGATGAAGGAGTTGAGTAGCCAGAGGCAGTTGGTTAAATTAGCAAAGACAGGGGATGTGGTGATCTGTACTCCGTGTTTTTTGTGTATATCTTTTTAAACACTTTGTCTTTCTCCTTTCATTAACCCAGACGTGATAACATTCTACAAAATTTATTTTCCATTAAAACCAGACTTGAATTAAACTGAGGAAAAACGTACTTGATATTCATTACAGTGTTTGGTTGCTTCACATTTTATATGAGAATTGGCCACAGTTTGCTGTGCCATGGTAATGTTTGTTGTTTTGTCTTGGAGTCTGCTAATACTTTCATTTTGGTTTTAACTCCAGCTGATCCTACAGTTAAAGACTTAATCGGAGGCTTCACGGCTCTTCACTATGCAGCCATGCATGGCCGGGCCCGCATTGCACGCTTGATGTTAGAATCTGAATACAGGAGCGACATCATTAATGCAAAAAGCAATGACGGCTGGACTCCCCTCCATGTGGCTGCCCACTACGGCAGGGACTCATTTGTCCGGCTCCTCCTGGAGTTCAAGGCTGAGGTTGACCCACTCAGTGATAAAGGTACCACACCGCTTCAGCTCGCCATTATCCGAGAGAGGTCAAGCTGTGTGAAAATCCTCCTGGACCACAATGCCAACATCGACATTCAGAATGGTTTCCTGTTGCGATACGCCGTGATCAAAAGCAATCACTCTTATTGCCGAATGTTCCTTCAGAGAGGGGCAGACACAAACTTGGGTCGCTTAGAAGACGGACAGACTCCTTTACACTTATCTGCCCTTAGGGATGATGTGCTGTGTGCACGGATGTTATATAATTACGGAGCAGACACGAACACACGGAACTATGAAGGACAGACCCCATTGGCTGTTTCAATAAGTATTTCTGGAAGTAGTCGACCATGTTTGGATTTCTTACAAGAAGTCACAAGTATGTAATATAATTATTACTTTATTGCATTTTTTAAAAATTTGCATCTTCTGAGGAGCTTAATGTGTTTTTGCAACTTAAGATGACTAGATATTAATCATTCCTATAACCACTGCTTGGTAAGCGATGCCTCATTCTTCTGAAATAAAAAAAAAACTTTGACTGTATCACAAGATTTCATAAAAATTCAATTGTGTTTCTAAATGTAATAGGGGTAGACAGTAAGAGTGAGGGAAGGAATGGAGAGAAGGACAGAGAGGAGAATTTTTTTTAAATGAACAAAGATCTGTGTTAGAACAAGGCAATTCCTGTTGGTCATAAGGATAATCTTACCTGGCTTCCATTGACTGCAAGTTGAGGAGTTAGAGGGGGAATTTTGGATCTTAGATTCCTTACCTGTGAAAATATCCTAGAATTTGTGCTTTATTGCTAAGTTGTTCACGTTTTAATTGTGGCTTTTCTGCTTCATGAGAGCCCACATGAAATGGAGCAGTGGTGCTGTGTATTTAGGGATACCACTCGTGGAAGTTAAGGATGCTAGAAATTGTTGTAAGAAAATATTTGCAGTGGGAAGTTTGGCACCACTGTCCCTGGACCACATGGCTTCCATTGTATTTGAACGTTTTTGTGTGGGTGCTTTTTTTAAAGCCTGGAAGTGTCTGGCCCACTTTGTGTAGTAACGCGTGCGTCCTAGTTGTTCCTCTGATGGGGTATCAGCTTGTGTGTACTTAGCCATCCTCTCTTGTCAAGCTTCCACGTGACCAGTTGAATGTGTGTCTCATGCTTAATGTCCACCATGAAGCTAAAATCTGTAAACAAAATGGATTTTGCTGTCTGCTGAACTTTTTAATGAGTTCCTTTTTCCTCACTGGTTTTGAGCCTTCGGTCATTATTATACAAGAGGACATATTAACATCCTGGGTACCAGCTACTAGAGGGCAAGGGCTCTACCTGACCTGCTTGTAAGTAACCCACTCTACCCCTTGGAGCGGGCCTTTGGAGTACACATTTGCTTTATGAAGAAACAAAATGTAATTTGAATTTTGCAGATTCATGGAAGAAAAGATGCAATTATTATCACTAATGTTTTCAGACTAAAGCGTAAGAAAAAATCACACTGCTTAGTCTACTTAGTGCTGGCCAGTACCAGTTTCTGTGATGTTGGAAATGGTCTCTCCTTGCTGTCCAGTATAGTAGCCACTGGTCCCATGTGGCTGCTGAGCACCTATTAATGTGACCGTTGCCACTGAGGAACTGAAATTTCAATTTTATTTAATTGCGATTTAAGTTTAAATGGCCACAAGTGCCTGGTGGTTCCTTTGTTGGTCCACACAGATCTGCCTGCCTTGGGAGAGGTATCTGGGGCTGACTGGTGGGTGTTCCATTGCAGAAAGCTTCTGAGACACACAGAAGTCGCCACAGTTGGGAGACGTGATACCCGCAGTGCTGCAGTCCTGCTTGCCTTGTTGTTGTTCTCTCAACTTCTACATTAGAGACTTAGTTATGATGAGTGTGGCCGCCCTTAGGAAGGCATGTTATATACTCACTTAAATGCCTCAGCCCCCTTTTTTAAAATACTTTGTTCAGTGGTTAATGGCATAGACTAGAGCTAGACTGCAAGAGTTTGAGCCTTAACTCTATCCCATGTTAGCTGTGACCTTGGGCAGGTCGCCTAATCTCTCTGTGCCTTAGTGTCCTCACCTTCAAATTAAGATAATACAGGCTTGTTATGAGGATTAAATGAGTTAATATTTATAATGCACTTAACACTTAAAATGTTCTTGTTCTTTGTAATTGTTTTTCAAGGTGAAGTGTGTAACTAATAAAGTGAGGGGGGATTAACAGCGAGGACTGGCTTGCCACCAACAGAGCAAATCTTTAGATTCATATTCAACTCAAGCCTCCCAGTTTCAACCCTGTATACAACTGTCCAGAGTCTGTACATGGAGGCACGCAGCCACGTGGCCGAGAGGAGCCGCTGGGCAGGACAAGCACGTGGGCGGCTGCCGTGTGTCCCTGAGCCCTCAGAGCTGCCCCTAGCAGTGCTGTTGGACAGCAGGAATGTTGAGTTAAAGACTCACATGCACTTTAAAATTTGAGCAGATAGAAATGTCAGTGGGGACTGCCTCTGTCTGTGCTTAGGTTCTCCACTGTACGAGGAGCAGAGCTGTGCGCCTAGGAGGTCCTCAGTAGTCCTGGCAGTCTGGCTGACTGCGCACAGCGAGGGGTGGGGACTGAGGAAGCACAGGCTGCTTTCCTGAGTGCAGGGTCCTCCGTCTGTTAAGGCTCCAGTTGTCCTTTGTCTTCAGGTGCCTCAACATAATTTAGTATTTCTTGACTCTCCAGTGGTGTTTCCTGCCAAAAGCAAATTTGGTGTTTCTGCTTCACCTGTGTGTTCTTTGGCTCTAAATAGGTTTTCTTTTCCTGGTGAACAATATGGGCTAGAAGGAGCAGCTGTGGCTGATGCTCTGGACTGAGCTTTCTCATGAAAAGCAGCTTGAAAGAAGGTTGGTTGGTTCAGGGAGCACTAAATCAAAGCTGAGAGCTTCTTCTAGCCCGCGTGCTGTGGGCACCGCAGCCCCAGGCATCATGCTGTTGGCTTATGATTGGAGATCGCAGACTGCCGAGGTATAAGGACAGCAGAGGGGCCACATGGTGGTCTTCATTCAGGGACATTTTACTCTTCATCACACTGTTTTGCCTAGAAACAGATTATTTAAATTGGAAGAGACCAAAAAAATTATAATACCAGAATTTAAAAACTCCTCTGGCCTTTTGGAAAAATTGCCGTAAAAACTCTGATCTATATAGTGCAAAAAAAAAAAAAAAACAGAGCGCACCCGTGGCTTGGTAATAAACTAACATCTGCTTGTGACTTGTTAGTGCTGAGTAGGGGGAGAGGCCATGAAGAGCTGCTGTTGCTGTTCCCTACAGCCAGCCCGCTGTCCAGCATTCAGACCTCAGAACCTCCCCCTTCCAGGACGTCAGGAGCGCAGCAGGGCCCATCCATGGAGGAGCCACTTCTCTGTGCCCAGGAATGATAAACACAGCTAAGAGGAGCCATAGCACCTGCCTGAATAATGAGCGCCACCTGTGGGAGGAAAGCTGCGTCCTGCTTAGTTGGCAGTGTTTATAAGAAGCCAGTTTTTGGTTTTTTACTTGTAGCCAAAAAAAAAAAAAAAAGAATGGAATGAATAAATTAAAGAGAGAACAGTGAAGGTGTGACCGATGTCAAGTAGAAATGGTAGTGACGGCTGGGCGCAGTGGCTCATGCCTGTAATCCTAGCACTTTGGGAGGCTGAGGCGGGTGGGTCACCTGAGGTCAGGAGTTTGAGGCCAGCCTGGCCAACGTGGTGAAACCCCATCTCTACTAAAAATACAAAAATTAGCCGGGCATGGTGGCACATGCCTGTAATCCCAGTTACTTGGAAGGCTGAGGCAGGAGAATCGCTTGAACCCAGGAGGCAGAGGTTGCAGTGAGCCAAGATTGTGCTACTGCACTCCGGCCTGGGTGACAAGAGTGAAACTCTCTCAAGAAAAAAAAGAGGAAAGAGAGGAAAGGAAAGGGGAAAGGGAAAGAAAGGAAGAAAGGAAGGAAAGGAAGAAGGAAGGAGGAAGGAAGGAAGGAGGAAGGAAGGAAGGAGGGGAAGGAAGGAGGAAGAAAAAAAAGAGAAATAAATGGTAGTGAGGACAGACAGCAGTGGACATTTTGGAGGTAAATAGCCCCTTGTGCCTGGGCCAGGACTAGGTTGAGGCAAGTGAAGTGGCCAGGGCACAAAACTTAGGAGGCCCTCATTCTCAGGCTCGTGCACACAAAGTGGAATAATGTGTACATAATGTTTGCACACACACCACTCCAGAACTAAGAGGATCCTGGAGGCTCTGGCATGTGGGCATTGGTTACAGTTCTCCAGCCTCAGGTGAAGAGCAGAAGGTTGTGGGAATGTTTGCCCCATTCAAAAGAGAAATTTAGTGGTTATGAACAGGAAAAGGGTGACACAAGCAGATGTTATTAAACAGATACAGTACTATAACCTTGTGAAAAGATTGTTCCTCAGTAAAGCTTGAGGAGTAAATAATACCACCCATCCTGAAGAATCAGATAGTGAGTTACTGAGTTTTTTTTCTTATCTTCTTCCTCACAGGGTAAACTCCCATAGTCAATGTATGGACCAGGGAGTTATTCAGAATATGAAATCTTTTAGAAAGAGATTCCATGAGAAAGCTGAACCTCAGGCAGTGACTAGCAGGAACGTTTAATCATATACGTATTCACGTGTACACACATATAAAAGTGAGGCTTTAATGATCGGCACAACTGCAATTTTGTTCAAAGAGAAGTAGGAGAAAATATATGTTTTTGGGGAAAACCCCACCTCAGAATGCTTAAGCACAAATTATAGACCTGGCAAGGTAAGTACTGTTCTCACCGAGCCACTTCTGCAGGTGAAAGGAAAGGATTGAAAAGAAAAGAGATAGGGCCAGGTGCAGTGGCTGACACCTGTCATCCCAGCACTTTGGGAGGCCAAAGCAGGTGGATCACTTGAGGCCGGGAGTTAGAGACCAGCCCGTCCAACATGGTGAAACCCCGTCTCTACTAAAAACACAAAAATTAGCTGGGTGTGGTGGCACGCACCTATTGTCCCCGCTACTCACGAGGCTGAGGCAGGAGAATCTCTTGAACCCGGGAGGCTGCAGTTACAGTGAGCCGAGATCACGCCACTGCACTCCAGCCTGGGTGACAGAGTGAGACTCCATCTCAAAAGAAAGAAAGAAAGAAAGAAATAGTAGCTGCAGTTCCTTGTGCAAATGGTATGGAAATTGGGGGAAACTTTCAGTAACACAGTCCAGTGGAAGGTAAGATAGCAGTAAACAGGATGGCTCCCTCCTGGAGAATGCCCCCTGGAAAGGAGGCGGTGTCTGATTGGCTAGATTATTTGCAGAAAAGAGGCCATACTGTGCTTTCTACCTGGGAATTCCTTTCACTGTGAGGCTTTTTACCCTTTACGTAGGAGGGAAAGGTTCAAAAGGCAAAGCAGAGTCAAAGGTTGGTTTGCCCCAGCAGACAAGGTACAGCACTGTTGGGGGGTCACCTTGTCACTCCTGTTTCCCTTTGCCAATGACACCCACATCTGTACTGTGTTGAGAATTTCACCTCCTCAGAGCTGCTGCTTATTAAGGCATTAAGACAGGATTTTACAATTACCATCTAATAATTTCATTAATCTTAATAATTAATGGTTGTTTTAAATTCCCCGGCTGGTAATTCCAACACCTGTGTCATATTTAAGTCTTGTTCTGATGCTTATTTTGTCTCTCCAGACTGTGTTTTTTTCTTGCCTCTTAGTATGTTTTGTGATTTTTTTACTGAAGCTAGACATGGTGGGTAACAGAAACTGAGGTAAACAGTCCTTTGACCTGAGGCTTTTTGTTAATCTGGCTGTGAATTGGGCTGTGAGTCATGTTTATTGCAGCTGTAGGTGCCAGAGGGTTCCGGTCCCTGCAGTGCCCTTGTTTCTGTCCCGTGTCTTGGCTTTGGGCTTCCCTAAGCAGCCTCGTTGGAGAGAGGGTGCATCCTGCAGCTTTCTCGGCTTTCATCCTCTGTTACACGGTGAAGCCCCATTGGTGCAGTTGTAAGGTGTGGGGAGGGCCAGTGGTCTGCAGTCTTCTGATTCACTCTCAGTCTTTCAGTGGGCCTGGGTCCCTAGGCTGCGTCTTCACACGTTTCTTCTTGTGTAGCTTTTCCAGCCCCATAAGCGAGACAGGAGGCCAGAGGGGACTGGACTCAGGAATGGGCTTTCCTCGTGGCTCTGAGACAAGGTTCTGAGAAAGTCTTTCCCCCCGGGGCTCGGGCCTTTGTCATGGAGAAGGTTCTGGGTGCATTTCACAAGGGTTACTCTCACCTCCTCATGCTGGAGCCATGAGAGTGTCTTTACTGGCTCTTTACCTTGAGGACTTGGTGGGGTTCCTGGGAGTAAAACTCACAGCTGAGTGGGGGGCTTCTTAATACTGGCTGCCACTCTCAGACCAGTCAATTCACAGTCAAATTTACCATTTCAGTGTTCGTCAAAATTACCATTTCAGTTTTCCTACCAGTTTATGGCTTCAGTGACTACGGCTCCAGGTACACAGATCTCAGCCATGGCTCTGAATTTGTTTCCTCTCCAAATTGTGTGGTGGAGGTTTGCCCCACATCTTCAGTTTTCTGATGGATCCATGAAAAGTCATTGACTTTGAGTTTGTTCAGGTTTTTTGTCTTGTAAGAATGGGAGTGATGATTTCCAAGCTCTTTACATGTTGGAACTAAAACTGGAAGTCTATTTAGTTTATCATTTTTACTTAAAATAGGAAAAACATATCTGTCCGTTGTCCTTTGAGCTGATTAATGTTTTGCCCACTGGGATCAGGTGTCTCCTGTACATCATCCCAAAGATCCCCCAACTGTGCCTGTGTCAGAGGCGCTGTTGAATCAGTAGAATGGGATGATAGCTAGCAGCTAATGGGCTTCTGATCTAGTGTCTGACTTGCCTTATAAACTTTGACAAGATGTTTAACACTCCCCACACCCCGCTGGGATCAGCTTCCTTCTCTGAAAAACAGGGGAATTGGAACATAGTCCCCAAGTCCCTCCGTTTTAAAAATTCTTGCCACTAACCACTCTTAAAGGCTATGATTTTCTGCTTCTTGTGATTTAAAACAAAACAAAAATTGTTTTTTATTTATTTATTTATGTTAGAATGACGTTTTTCAGTGTGGACTTTAGCCGGGGCTTCTCAAGATTGTTTTAGGTGCCTATGAAATCAAAACGAATTTCCTAACAATACTAAGATGTGATTTGCCTTTTTCACTGTGATGACATTTGTGTTGATGGTGTACAAGCAGTGGCAGGTGAAACTGCTGGCATGTTAGCGTGAATCGAGACAGTGGCCCCAGCCGGTACTGGTCGTTGTTCCCCGCCAGACACTCTCAGGAAAAGACATTCCAATTCCACTTAAGAATGTCCGTGATGAGGCGGTAAAATTAATTTTATTAAATCCTGTTCCTGCGAATGCTTTTTAAATGTTCTGTGGGATGGAAATGGCAAGCATTCTTACTGCGTACCAAAGGGCAGTGATGATGATTGAGGAAAAGCAACTTCATTTGTTTGAGCTGAGCCGGCAGCTTTTTCATGGGACACCATCTTTACTGGAAAGAGTAGAAGCTAAACTCTAGCCGTTTAGTCCTGGGTATTTGGCAGACATTTTCTTGAAAATGAGTAAAATTCACGTGTCACTTTAAGGAAAACAACTGACAGGACTTAGGGCCAGTCATAAAATTTGAGCTTTGCAAATGAGGATTTTAGAAAACTTGTATTTACTGCTGTGAGATTCGTAGTATCTAGAGACTTCTTCAATCAGTGGAGATATTAACAAAAGTGATTTTTTGATCTCATGTAATGGAACAGGTCAACATTTGGAAGATCCACATAACCCAATGAACCTTGTTTTCCAAATGACTAATGCGTAATGTGACAACAGTCATACATGGATAAACGATCCATTTCAAGTGCAAGGTGAACCAATGGATTTTAATGTAACAGAGTACGAAAGTTCATCAGTTTGGTTCCAGATTTCATATTGTAACTAACCATTAAGAAACACCCACTTGTCTAGTTTTGATGGAGTATCAGAGAAGATCCAAAGTTACTTGAAAAAAGTTATTTAAAAATTCCTTCCTTTTCCAACTGCGTATCTGAGTGAGGCTGGATTTTCTTCAGGTGCTTCAGTCAAGACAGCATGTTGTAACAGATGAAATGCAGAAGCAGATCTCTGACTCCAGCTGCCTTCTGTGAAGCCAGACATTAAAAGGGATTTACAGAAAACTGTAAGAGGTGCTGTTCTCGCAAAAATCCTTTTTGTTTTGGAAAGCAGCTCTTTTTTTTTTTTTACATAAAAATTTATTTCAATTGATTGTGGATTTTTTCTTATTTTAAGTGAATTGGATAGTTTAAAAATTTCTCAATTTCTAAAATAGTAAATATAGATAAGTATAACTGACATAAAGATTCTTTGAGCTTCTCCAATTTTAAAAGTGCAAGGGGGTCCTAAAACTAAAAAGCTGAGACCTAGTGATATACATTCCCTAAAATCAGATTTTTAAGGGTGTCCTGTTAGCCTAGTGTTTCAGAATTTGATGAATCTCTAATGTATTTCTGTTTAAAGTTAAAATCTGTGGATAATACGAGATGTTATTACATTATTGCTTGCTGTTTACTATCATATTTACTACGTAGGCTCTGCAGAGATCAGTGATTTCCTGAAGTTTGTTTATAAAACTGGCTGGCTAGTCCAAAGGTAGCGTCCACAGTCAGTTACAGATCAGATCCCTCGTTCTCCTCTTTCCTCCCTTCTCACTACTGCACTTGACTAGTCTTAAAGAAAAAGAAAAACTGTGGTTCTCCCGGATACTCTGGAGTCCAGCGGGTTCATCATTCACATCAGTTTGGAAGATAGGACCTTGGATCCTAGGTCCAGGTTTCAGAGGTTCGCCGTGCGCAGTAACATATCAAAGGGGCCAGGAAGTCCTTGAATAAATACATCATTTATTTGTTGACGAGTGTGAACAACTTACTTTCACGGCTTACTTTGACAGAGCATCTTTTTAATTATTATTTTAAGTTCTGGGATACATGTGCTGAATGTGCAGGTTTGTTACATAGGTATACATGTGCCATGGTGGTTTGCTGCGCCCATCAACCCGTCACCTAGGTTTTAAGGCCCGCATGCATTAGGTGTTTGTCCTAATGCCCTCCCTCCCCTTGTCCCCCACTCTCCCACAGGCCCTGGTGTATGATGTTGCCCTCTCTGTGTCCATGTGGTCTCATTGTTAAACTCTCACTTATGAGTGAGAACAGAGCATCTTTTACTCCTGTGGCGGGCTCTGGTCTAGGTGATTCTTAAGTCAGAGAATACGCTAGTTTGGTATTTACTCTCCATAGGAGGCTGAGCTGAGGCAGTGATCTGTTTGTAGTAGACAGTGTTCAAAGACTGGAAGCAACCACCAGTATGCTTTGGTGGTGTGTAACAGGGAGGGCTGGGCTGTATTTTGATTTGTATGTTTTAAGGAGTTAACTGACATGTATTTCTAAAAGAAAAAGATCAAGTAGATGGGAATTGAGTTGTGTAAATGGTTTTGCAGAAGACAGTCTGTCAGGTACTTAAACTAGGTGCTTTCTGGAACATTAATCACAGATATCTGAAGATACTATTTTATAAATATCACAGTAACCCGAAATATTTTTGTTTAAATTTCAGCAGTAGTCAAGTACTGTGTTCTAGCTGTAGAAGTAAGACTTTAAAGGCAGCGTTTCAAACTTTAAAATAACTTAAATAAGGAGTAAGAAAGATCACGACTCCTTTTTTTTTAATTTTAAGAAAGCGGGCTCGAGCTTTCTCAGGTTAAACCCCATATAGCAATAAGTATATGAGCAGCTGTTCGCACAAAATGCCTCTAAAACAAGTGCCTTCCCCTCTGTGTTCCTTTTGCATGCTACTTTGATATTTTTGTAGGATGGTTTATCCAAAGCAATGTTGCGTAGTACAACTCTTTGGAGAAGTAATTTATGTAATACATTTTAACCAGGGGCATTTTTGATTATTGATTTATAATTATATCATAGTCTTACTAGGTTTTTCAGTCCCAGTTATTAAGAATCACTTTTAGAAATAAATAGTACACAATTTTTGGTCAAATTGCATCACATTTTAAGGTTCTTTGATACAGAAAATATCCTGCCCTTTATAGTATTTATATTACTTTCTATTTTTAATATAGGCATCTAGAGATTTTTTGTCATTTGACTTAGTGCAAATGGAAAATATAGTTCAGAGCTCATTTACCTTTGGAAAAAAGCTACCAATAGAAAAATGTCATAAGCCTGATGTTGTATACATTGGGATTCTATCTAAGAGAATACCGTAATTGTTATTTTAAGGAGAGCTGGAAACTGCCTTTGTCCTATAAAGTAAGATTTGTTTAGCACATTTTATACTAGGGTCCCTCTGAAGGGAATTCAGAGGCAAGAGCAAAGGAATAAAATGTGTTTATGGTAGGATTTTTTTCTTTTCTTTTTTGTTTTTTTTGAGACAGAGTCTCACTTGTCACCCATGCTGGAATGCAATGGTGTGATCTCAGCTCACTGCAACCTCTGCCTACAAGGCTCACGCAATTCTCCTGCCTCAGCCTCCTGAGTAGTTGGGACTACAGGCACGTGCCACCATACCCAGCTAATTTTTGTATTTTTAGTAGAGATGGGGTTTCGCCATGATGGTCAGGCTGGTCTCGAACTCCTGACCTCAAGTGATCTGCCCGCCTTAGCCTCTCAAAGTGCTGTGATTATAGGCGGGAGCCACCATGCCCAGCCTATGGTAGGATTTTAAAATGGGAAGCTGAAATAAAACAGAGGTATTGGGCGGCCATCCCAGATGTTGACCTAAGATGGAGAGAGTCTGGAAGTTCAGGTGTGTAGAGCAATCCAGAGGACGCAAATCTTTCACTTCTTCCTTTGTGCCTCCCTCCACCTCCAATTTCTACCCCTCTCCAACCCAAAGAACAACTTTGGAACTTTGTTTTGCCTTCATTTTGCTCACTTTGGGTATTTAAAAATGTTTTTCCTCTCTACCTTTATGAATCCAGGTATTTTTAAACAAATAAGTTGATCCTATCATAAAAACGGTAATGGCGATGTCACAGGGAGGTGATTTAGGATATTTAATTTTCTAAATTATGCCGCTGGCCCTGGTTTTGTAATTTACGCTAGACCCTTCAAAAGATGATTTCCTATTTTATACCAGCCCAATTATTACTAATGATGGGCTTCTTTATAAAATGGAAAGACTAATAACCCTTTGAACTATTATGTAATTCCATTGTAGTTCATTAGTATGAATACCTGGTAGTTTTTTGTGCATCCCCTAAAGGGTTTGTAATTCTTTAAATTATGCTCTTTTGTGAGATGTCTTCCAGTTTTCCCTGTTATGATCCCGTGCACAGGGAAGTAGTTTTCTAACAGGGGAGGAATTAATTTTCTAAGATGCCTAGTAAATGGTGTGCACATTTGTATTGATTTTTCTTCTTTCATTCTCTTTATTCTCTTTCTCTGCCTTCTCTTCTTCTGCCACTGCCCTTCTCTTCCCTTGGCCCTTTAATCTCTGGGATAGTGTATTGTTGAATACATACAGCATTAATAGATGCTCAGTAAATACTTTTAGGCGATCTGTTGACAAAAAAATAAGTACTTCTCTTTCAGTCATAATCTTCTACTCTTAAAATGCCATTTCTGAAAAAAATAGCTCCTTAGACTGTCTTAGAAATGACAGTACTTACCATAAGCAGTCCTTATTATGCCTAAAATTTAGCTCACTTTTCACTCAGCAATACTGGTACATGGCAAGAGAAGTTCATACCTGTACACTCGTGGAGAAACAGTGTAGTGATATCCCTCACTTCATCTCTGCACATCTTTTTATACAGGTAAAAGCCCTCACATCTCTGCCTGATTCAAGTCAGGCAGGGATTTCCAGAATGTGATTTCTACCAGTTTGCTCAGGACTGTTTCCCACTAATGGGTTTCCAGTTGCTTCTTTACTGTTAAACTGTCATCTAGTTTTCTTACTGTCCTGACACCAGGAAGGTGGAGACTCCAGCTTCCAAAGAGGGGCCCTCTACTTTTTTGGTAACCAGAAGCAAACATCCTTACACATATTTAAAAATGTATTTACCTGGTACTTAGTATGTGCTTGGCACTATTGTAAGCACTTTTCCAAAATTAACTTGTTTAATGCTTGTAAAGCGTTTGAGGTGAGTGTGATTATTATGAGAACACAGGCAGGAAGCTAAGGAGCCCAAGATCACAGAGACTGCAAGTGGTGGTGGGGCCAGGAGCCAAATCCAGGCAGCCTGGCTCCAGAGTTGATGCTTTTAACCACTGTGATATGCCTCCATCATTAAAGGAAATTCTGCAGACAGGAGGTACACATGGTCAAGAAACCTTTAAAAGGTCAGATTCTCCCAACAACACACATTTAAAGGAAAAGAAAAATTAGTCTAGAGCATTTCAACATATTGACTAGAGCATTTCAACAAATTTAGGCCTCAGAATGTGCATTTTTCCCTGGGAAGGGCTTATGCAGAGATAAATAACTTGTGAGGATGGTAGCATTTCTGTCAGTGCTTCCCTTGAATTGAAGTTGTTGGCTCATTTTTGCCCTCTTGCATCTTATCATAGACAGTGAAGAAAAGCCAGTGATACTTAACGGTATTCTGCCTGAGGAATCTACTTAAGTAGATCATTAGGTCATTAGGACATTTCCTATTTACCACATTACCACATGTGACAGTGTTGACAGACTTTGCACTATTACATACATACAAGGCTTCCCCGTCTTCCAGCTTCTAGTAACAGTCAAAAAACTTTTTCATACAGCCCCAACCAACAGGCTTCTTAAAGCCCTTCTGGCTTCCTTGTAACACTCACCTCCAAGCCCTCCCACTGCCTGGTACCAAGGGCAAAGCCCCACTTTCAGGTCCCAGAGTCTCACTCAGTTATCTAATGCTGCAGAACTTTAGTGGCTTAAAACAACAAGAGACATTTGTTTTACTTCCCTGCTCCACACGTTATTTTCTGGAGCAATTTGACTGGGGCCTCTCTGCTTTGAAAATGGCTCACTCTTGCGGCCGGGCGCGGTGGCTCATGCCTGCCATCCCAGCACCTTGGGAGGCCGAGGCAGGCAGATCACCTGATGTCAGGAGTTTGAGACCAGCCTGACCAATATGGTGAAACCCTGTCTCTGTTAAAAATACAAAAATTAGCCAGGCGTGGTGATGCATGCCTGTAGTCCCAGCTGCCTGGAGGCTGAGGCAGGAGAATCGCTTGAACCCTGGAGGTGGAGGTTGCAGTGAGCTGAGATTGTGCCACTGCACTCCAGGCTGGGCCACAGAGTGAGACTCTGGCTAAAAAACAAAACAAAACAACAACAACAAAAAAGGCTGGCTCAGGTGGCCGGCAAGTTGGTGCTGGCAGTTGGCCGGGAGCTCAGCCAGGGTTGTCTGTCAGTGACCTCAGTTCCCTTGTATAGGTTGCTAGGGCGTCTTGGTGGAATGGTGGCTGTGTTGCAGTAGTGAATGTCCCAAGAGTCTGGCAAAAGCTGCATCACCTTTTATGACTTAGCCTTGGAAGTTACTTAACAACATTATCACCATTATCATAGGCCCACCCAGTTTCAAGGAGAGGGAACATAGACCTCATCTCTTAATGATAGGAGTATCCAGCCTCACTGTGGAAAGGCATGAGAGATAGGAGGTAATGTGGTCATCTTTGGAGAGAACAGTCTGTCACAAAACAAATCCATATCAGCAGATCCCCCATTCCATAACCTTTTGTCTCAGTCCCTTCTTCTTTTTTTTTTTTTTTTTTTTTTTTTTGAGGCAGAGGCTGGCTCATTCTGTCTCCCAGGCTGGAGTGCAGTGGCGCAATCTTGGCTCACTGCAACCTCTGCCTCCTGGGTTCAAGTGATTCTCCTGCCTCAGCCTTCTGAGTAGCTGGGATTACAGGTGCCCGCCACCACGCCTGGCTAATTTTTTTTATATTTTTTTAGTAGAGACGGGGTTTCACCATGTTGGCCAGGATGGTCTCAATCTCCTGACCTCGTGATCCGCCTGCCTCAGCCTCCCAAAGTGCTGGGATTACAGACATGATGCACCGCGCCCAGCCAGCCCCTTCTTTTTTTTACCTTAGCTAAGCAAATTCTAGTAATTTAGTTTTTACCACTATTTTGGATGATACGTTTTCATTTAAGTATGCCTGTATACACATACGTCAACTCTTTCCTCTTCTGTTTTTTGCCTGAATATGTTATGGTGGTTCTTTTTATTAATATTAAAAAGGGCCTGGCATGGCGGCTCATGCCCTTAATCCCAGCACTTTGGGAGGCTGAGGCAGCTGGATCACCTGAGGCCAGGAGTTTGAGACCAGCCTGACCAACATGGTGAGACCCCATCTCTACTAAAAATACAAAAGTTAGCTGGGCGTGGTGGCACACGCCTATAATCCCAGCTACTCGGGAGGCTGAGGCATGAGAATAGCTTGAACTTGGGAGATGGAGGTTGCAGTGAATTGAGATTGCACCACTGCACTCCAGCCTGGGCAATACAGTGAGACTGCATTGCAATAAATAAGTAAATAATACTTAAAAAGAGCCCGTCATCTATTAGGAAAATCAAATTCTTTAAAGAAAGAAGATTCACATGTAATTCACATTCCAGTTTGCATTTGCAGATCAAATACTGTAAGCATTTACTGAAAAATGACAATGATAATTTATTCTTTTCCTAAAGTAGCCCATGAATAGTGTTGAAAAATAATTCAAAACAGGCTTGGAAATGATTTGCTGTTGACCTGAGTGTGTTTTGCAGCACGTTGACTGTTTTATACTTTAAGGACAAGCCTATTAAGCATTCATTCAACTCATATTCGCCGAGTACCGTGTCAGCAGTTGGGTTTACATTGGCAAATGGGGCCAGACATGGTCCTCCCCTCATGGAGCATGTCATATAGTGAGGAAGATGGGCATTAATTAACACGTAATCACCAAATAAATGTGAACTCACAACCTTATTAAATGTTATAAAGGAGAGGAACTCTGGGAGTATCTGATGGTGAATCCTGACATAGTCTCCTGTGATGAAGTGCTATTTTGGCAGAGATCTGAAAGGTGGAGGAGACATAATCTTCCCAAGAGGCACATGAGTGTGTGTGTGTCACATCCCTGTACAGATCCATGTACAGACATCTGTGGATACACATACTCCTAGTTTACAGACATTTCCAAGAAAGCTGTCACTTCTGCTGCCATTCTGTTAAGAGACCACATAGCAAGTAACCTCTCGAAAAGCGTATGTTCATACAGGCCTTACAGAGCAGAGGTCTAAGTCAGCCTTTGTCATTTATGAAGAAGTACTTCCTTTTGAATAACGGTGATCACTGTAAGCAAGTACAATGGATATGAGGGATAAAGTACAAGAATAGTTTTCCAAGTATGGTCTAGTGGGCCCTGGAGTCCCCAAGACCCTTTTAGGGTAACTGTGAGGTCAAAATGATTTCTTCCCTTTTTTTCTTTTTTAAATAGAGAATGCAAGCCACAGTTTCTGTTTTATAAACACGAACTTTTGTATTATAAATACAAAATAAGAAAAGACAGTGATATGTTAGGTGTTATGAAGGGTGAAAACTTTATATAAACTTCAAAAGGCTGCTTTCTGCATCTGCATCAATGTAATTTCATGATTCTCTACCAATTTTCATTTATAGAAAGAATCTCTATAATCAAATTATCATTCGAGTTCATGCCCCCCGGAATATCTGTAGGAATACAGTTTATTATCTGCTCCTCCACTCGGAAGGAGCCCTGTGTCTGTCTAGTCTGCTCTCAGAACTTTCTCTTCATGAGCAGCCACATCATAGAGAGGAGCCTTACAACTTCTTGAATCCCACAGCTTGACGGTGTTATATAAGGATCCTGAAATCTGCTGTGGTTCATGGGTAGGAGACCGTTTTACTGATGTCTCCCAACCTGTATGTGAGGTTAGGGACGGCAACACGAAAGAACCATCTTTAGTTTGGGGATCCCACAGTCTGATATGCCTATCTGTGCTTCCAGATGCTAAACATTTACAAAGTGGAGAATAGGAAATACAATTAAACACTTTATTTCCTGTAAAGTTGACTTAAGATTGCCAAACGCGACATCCCACACGCTAATTTCATGGTCCCAAGATACGCTGCAGATTTCTTCAGCATCTGACCACAGCACTGAGGAGATTGCTTCCTTGTGGCCAGAGAAGGTCACTATGGGAGTCCTTGTTAGTCCCAACTGCTCTGTTTTCTGTTTCTTTCTTGGTCAGTTTGTGGATTCCTCCATTTCATCTTCTTCTGTAGGGACAGTAGACCAGATCCTTAGCATCTTATCTCAGGAGCCACTGCAAAATTTAGTTCCTGAGCTATCAATAGCTGTGGAATCTACACTTGGGCAGCAGCATAGGGTTTTCACTTTGTTTCTCTGGACATTCCACTCCCATAAGAGAATAGTCTGATCCATAGAGCCACTCAATAGTAACACAAACTGTCTTTTGTCACCCAGGCCACATCTGTTAACAATATCCATGTGTCCCACAATTGTCAATGTTGACTTTCCTTCCAAGGACCAGATTCGAGAAGTCTCATCATAAGAACCAGTCAAGATCCATACCTCTGTCCCTTGAATTGAACTGGTCCACTCATCAAGGACACTTCATTCTGGTTGGGGTGCGGTGTACTTCTCCGCGTATTCTCTTTCCACAACTTCTTTTAAGGAGGTGTTCTCCCGTTCCATGTGTTTGACCAAGGGCATTCACAGAAACTGACCCTTAATAAGGAAATCAAACTCCACATATTTGTGGAACTCATTTCTGCCCTTTAGTAATTAATTGATGATGTTACTAAGGTCAACACTTTAAGAGACAGCAGGGATTGAGAAGGCAACATCATTGATGGCCTATTTCTTGTGATCAGTGTAGAAGCTTGTTTGCAGCTGAGCCATGTCAGGGAGTGTACACGACTTGCCCACAGTTATGGGTTAGTAGGCTGAGAACGGGAGCTCCTGTCTCTTAGGACTACAAAGAGACAGCTCAAAATTACACTGCACAGGTAAGCGAGAAGTTGCGGTGTAATCCCGGACTCTGTTTTCTCTCCATGGGTCTCCTCCTGATTTTCATAATAACACTGAGACATGATTTGCCTTTCTCTCATTCCTTTTATCATGAGTGTCAGTTTTTTCCAGAGACGAGGTGGTGTGATTGATGTGACTTATCTCAACAGATTGAATTCAGAAGCATATATGAAAATTCAGCTATCATCTATTAAACCATACATTAAAAGCTTTGCAAAAATGTGAAAGAATGACGTTCTTGTTAAATTTTTTTTTGGTTTTGGAAAATATAGTTACTTTTCATAATGATGTGTTATTTATGTTAACATGTAATGGTTTATTAGAATGAATTTAAAAGTATTTCTAAAATGTCTGTTTTAACTTATAATATGGCATTTACTATAGAGATAGCCCACATAAAAGTTTCTGGGGGTTCGCAATAATTTTTTAAAGTGTAAAGGAGTTTTGAAAACAAAAAGTTTGAGAATGACTGAAAAATGGCATTCAACTTGACTTTAAGCATGTTACTTAATCTCTCTGAGACTCTATAAAATGGGGATGATGATCAAAGTACTTCCCTCGTAAAAGGATGAAAGGAGTTAATACATGTCATGAGCTCTTAACAATACATGGCGCAGAGTAAGTATTCAATATATATTAGCTTTATTATCATGTTTAATATGAAAGCAAAACTTCCTTGACTCCAAACACTACTGAAGCACAGTTGAAGAATTCTTCCTTGTTTTTGGAGCCATCTGTATTGTTTTTGTAAAACAAAATATTCCAAAGGGAAAGAAATAGGATTTTGTGATTTTTCTTTTGAATTGAGATATAACGGGTTTTTATTGGCAAGTGATCAGGGTGTGGAAGCTTGAAGCGATGTAGATTCAGAATACCTTGAGGCGCTTTTTCACACCCCCTTCTGCTGCACTCCTCAACTGTCAGCCTTACAACCAAGGTTCTGCTGTGTTCAGAATCACGGAAAACAGGTGAGCAGATCTGGAAAGCTTGTTTGGAAAGCTCCACAGAGACCGTGGTGGGTGTCCGGGCTCCAGTGTCCTAGACCCAGAGCTGAAAGGGAGGCTCACAATAGGGGACATCTCTTTCAGTCCCCACACTTTTCAGATTGAGAAGCCAAGGCTCAGAGGAATGATTGGCTCACAGTGGCTCACCCAGCGTGAGAGAGACCTAGTCAGGACGAGAACCAGAATTTTCCTGATTTATAACAGAAAGGATATGAGGCTTAGAATCAAAACTGTTTTTGGTCTCAGTTGAAAGCCTTAATTGGTTGTCTGATATTAAGCAACTTGTTTACATCTGATACTCAGTTTTCTTATTGGTAAAATGGAGTTGAAAATATCCACCATCCCACGGTTGTGAAAAGGATCAAATAAGGCATCGCATGAAGGTCCTAGGACACTTTGAGTTGGTATCTTTCCGGTCCTTTGCATGTCAAGTCCATAGAGAGAACTTCCAGGGAAATGAACAGTTCTTTTCAAAAGTGCCTTAAATATTGTGCTTTGTGGCTTTGTAACATTTTCTTTTTTCTGTCTTTTTAGGACAGCCCAGAAACTTGCAGGACCTGTGCCGAATTAAAATTCGACAATGTATAGGCCTTCAAAACCTAAAGCTACTTGATGAACTACCAATTGCCAAGGTCATGAAAGACTACTTAAAACACAAATTTGATGATATCTGATATGCCAGAACTGTGAGCAAGATTAGGAGTTCTATTCTAGATACTTAAAAGGCTTTTTGCCTTGCACAAAGTATATCCTATGCAATTTCTGATTTGCTGTGAAATCAGAAAGCAGGTATACACTTTTGGGTTTTCTGTTTGTTTGGTTGGTTTTCATTGTAGGGGAGGGATTTTTTATATATATATAAAAACACACACCACATGCTTGAAGGTCTTAATTTGGTTTCTTGGTCCAAGTTTAAGAGGTCCAAGCTTTGTATACAATACTGCATTTAGAAAAATTGTCTTTTCTTAAATGACACAAGCAGGTTTAGAGTGGAGAATTTACCCTTTCCAAATTTATGGTTCCTTGGTAAGCACGGTATTCTAAACCAGCAGAGCACTTGTTAACGTTTGGAGGCACAGTTTCACCCAGGGCGACCCTGGGTTCTTTTGGAAAATGCCCTAAGAAATGTTTGAAGTAACGCTGTCACCTCATTCATTTTTAATGAGTACAAACTGGCCGTTTCAAACTGTTCTTTTTCCTAATTAATGTAGCTTTCGGATGACATAAATCCAGTATCTCTGCTTATGACATAAATCCAGTACCTCTGCTTTTCTTTTGCTGTGCTCTTGTTTTTAACTTATTTTTTTTTTAACAACTGTAGTACACTACCCTGAGACACTGCATCTCGATTTCTATCTCTAGTTAGAGTTGTACTTTTAAAAAAATTAACGGGAAAGAAAATAACTTTGTGAAGCCAGTGTATTCTGTTTTTAAAACTGTGCCTGCAGTGCAATACTCCTTCTGGTGTATTTTATCCATTATTTCACTTGCTGGTCGTCATTTCACAGCCAGCTTTGACATGCCCGTGAGGACAGGAGCCGCCGCTTCAGTTGTCACTGCAGAGCCATCGTATGTCAGTTGCAATTTCCATCTGAAGCTATGTCTTTGACTTCACTTTAAGCAGAAAATTTTGTACCCTGGTGGTCGAGTCTTCCCTTAAAAATTGTTAAATCATTTGGCTTTAATGGTTCAATAATTTGGGGTGGCTTCATGGTGTTTCTTTTCTTCCCAGTTTAAAAAAAAAACTTTTTAAGCGTAAAATCTTTAAGGGGTACACATTTATAAGTCTGGCTAATTTCTAATATGCTAATTAAACATTTCCCATTTTAAGGTTATATACAGTGAGGCTCTTCAGGACAATTATTTTCTGGGTTGATTGGGCATATGTTTGCCGTGTAAACACGGATATGATAAAGTGTCAGTAACAATGGAAAAGGTCCCAGAGGCATTAGGCATCTAAGAGGATGCCCTCAGAAACGTATTCTGGCTTGATTTGTGTTATTAACTTCAGAAGAACCTTTTCAAATGTCCCAGTATCGTTCTTAGTGCTTTGGGAAAAAATATTTAACACACTGTTAATAAATTTGTTATCAGAAGTTTACAAGACGAAGGGCTTCTCTCGTCTGAATTTCTAGATTTAAGTCATGAAGTGTAAAACTGTTTCACCCAGAAGTGTAACTAAGCAGAACTAGGAGTTTTCTCTGGCTTCACCTTTTTCAGAGCCAGCAGTGCTGTTTTCTCAAGCACAGCGTTTGCTCTTAGACTCTGATCTGCTTGTGCCTAAGCATTGCACAGGTTTCCGAAGACGGGCAGCTTCAGAGAAGAGGATTATTCGGGAGATTGCTGGTGTGGCCCATAGACTCTTTGGCATAGACTCTTTCGCAGGCAGCCACTCTGAGTGTGGCCAGTTCTATAACCATCCCCAAACTAGCTGGAGCCTGATGGATAGGAACGGGTAGTCTGTCCTCTTCCCCATAAAAATGTTCCAAAAAGTTATCTCCAGAGAGAGTCCCTTATGAAGACAGTTGCCAAGCTGTATTCTCATTCTTTAAACCAATACCCAGGTCAGGGCTAGTTCACACTAGCACTGTTAGGGACATGGTGTGGCTAGAAATGAATTGAGTGTGACTTCTCCCTACAACCCCAGGCCCAGGGATAGGAGGAGGCAGAGGGGTGCCTGGAGTTTCTGCACTCTCATCAGTGATGTTCATGTTACACTTGCACAAGGGCTGATTTCCACGTATGTGTGTGTTAATTTATTCACTTAGTTTCAAAAGATTTTCTCTCCCCAGCCATTCAGAGGTTTCCAAACTAAGCCACTGAGTTTGAGTCAGGGAATTCCACGTAAAAAGATCAGATTAAGGTAAATTCTTTGTTCTGTATTGCTGCTGTGACTTCAGAAAAAAAAAATTATGAGAGCTCTTCCTGGAATTTTGAAATTTCTATTTAATGAAGAAGTGTATAATTCCATTATTTATTGTTTGAGGTTTGATTTATCTGGAAGCTTAAAAAGAATGTTTTATTTTTGTTGTTAATAAAATCCCAATCACATTTCACAATAACTAAAATGTCTCCAGGTGGGTTACTGGTAGATGATAGTGGTGACACCTGCAGGTCTGCATTTGAATTGGATTCACAGAGAAGCATTCCATGGTCACATAATGAATAGGGAGAACAGATATTTTCAGAAAAATCAACCGATTGTTTTTTCCAGAAACAGAACAGAAAATGTTCAGAATATTTTCAAATTTGTCAGATTCTTTTATGTTTCCTTTGAAATTTATTATTTAAGCCTATTACTAAACCTTTATAAAAATATATTTGGCAAATACACCAAAGAAACCAGCTTACAAAAGATTATGATCATTAATGAACTGCAAACCTCATCTTTCGAAAACAAGGTTTTGTGTTTTTTTTTTTTTGTAAATATTTGTGTTTATAAATGTACAGCAGAGTAAGAGTGTTTTTTAGATTATTTAATTCCCATATTTCTAAACTATTTACTACACAGTAATCCATGCCTGTTAGTTTGGAGGACTTGACTGTCTCATTTTTTAATTCATTGTCAGTCATGCTTGGAACAGCATTTCCACTAGAGAATCCAGCGTTCTGGCAGTAGCAAGAGTACACATCTGGAGCATGAGGGACTCTAGCATGACTCGTCAGATGCACACCCCAAGAGACAAGAATGTGTAGTTTAATGACCGGCGTGGACCATACGAAATTGAGATTCTAACTTTCCTGCAGGAGTGCTCATGAGCCCAGAATGTGATTGGGATAAGGCCATTTGCCCACAAATTTAGCTTTCATGTAACTCCTAGTGTGTTATATCATAATGTATTTTGTTCTTCCTTTTTAATGTAAGTTTTGCTTTGGGTCAATTTGAATTAAAAAAATCAAATCTGATTTAAAACATGTTGGAGTTGTATTTTATTTCCAGTCTACCTTAAGTTTTTAATATGTCCAGCTATTTGGTGAAAATAAATAAAACTCTATCCTTCCTTCATCAGCATTTTAGATCGCTGGGAGTTGTTTAAGAATATGATGATGTGGAAAACAATACCACTCTCCATTGTCACCAGATAAGCCATTTCTTACCCTCCTTTAATTTGTTCAATGCATTCTGCAAATACCCACCAACAAAAGATGATCACAGTGTTGAGTGTATCGACCCAGCACTGGGCCTTCTTGGGCCGTAATCGCCACCTGCCCCGTGCGTGCCACACCTTGACTCACGACAGGGTTTAGACCACAGCGCTTCTAAACGTAGGACAGCATGCAGTCAAAGCAATGCATCTGACGGAGTTACCCTGCAGGAGATGAAGCAAAACAACTTTGATTTCACATTTCCTCTATAAAACATAAGCACAGCTTGATTCAGGAGAGACCCGAAGTGAATGTGGATGATGGTGTGGCACTAAGAGAAAGGGAAGAGGGACTGCTTAGCACCCCGTGCAGAGATGGGATGGTTTGGAACTATAATCTTGTTGCAGCCTTGTCCAGGGTTTGGCACAAATGAAGGCCAAGAATAGGACATTTGAAACTATTTCTAATGATCAGCAGGGGAGTTCAGCTTTGAAAAATTGCTGTGTTGCTTGGAAACCTTGAGATCATTCCTTTTCCAATATGACAGAAGCAGTGTATTGTTTTCTCAGCTGAAAGACAGTTTACAAAAATGGTTTACAGCTATTGATAAAACATTATCTACTTGATAAAAAAATAGTTCCACATCTCACTTATTTGGATATCTAAGATGAAAGAAAATGGATTTGTATCCTCTGCCTGTATTTATATAACTTAATGTAACTGTGTGTGCTTAACTGAAGGAGTAACAGGGAAGTTTTACAAGTTTTGATGATAGAACTCAAGATACTAAGTTACAAAGATAATTTTTCTTTATTCTGTCTTTAGTTATTTTGTTATTACCTGTTAAATGAAACAAAGGGTCAGCCATCATATGGCCCACTGGATCTCATGACTTCTCTTGTATACCCCTGACAAATAGTGTTCCACGCTTTGTAATGTATTTCCTGAAGACCATGGCTGATTTGATGGATATTTCCTTATCTTGCAGAAGAACTCTGATTCCTGAGTGACAGTCAGCATTCTGAATCACATTTGAAAAGACTGAGTGATTTGCATATGGCCTATAAAAGATCATCAGTGTGGGAGTAAAACCCTGAACTAGCCCTGTTTCCCCAGTGCTTGGTCTCTCACTGTCCTGAGCGAGTATCTTACACTAAATGATTAGATGTGATCTTTAAGTCCCATTCATCCAGCTATGCCTAGAGCACCTCATGCTGCTTTTCAGTTGTGTATCTGCAAGGCAAGGGGTTGATTCATTCTGACCCATCAACTGTTGGAAGTAAAGGATCGCATTCAAGCACAGTATTTCTCTTCTTTTGCAGATGTGGCCTTTTAAAAACGTCATCATTTGTAGTTATTATAAATTTATTTTATTTGATTTTTGAGACAGAGTCTCGCTCTGTCGCACAGGCTGGAGTGCAGTGGCACAGTCTTGGCTCACTGCAACCTCTGCCTCCCAGGTTCAAGTGATTCTTCTGCCTCAGCCTCCCAAGTAGCTGGGATTATAGGTGTGCGCCACTACGCCTGGCTAGTTTTTGTATTTTTAGTAGAGATGGGGTTTCGCCCTGTTGGCCAGGCTGGTCTTGAACTCCTGACCTCAAGTGATCCGCCTCAGCCTCCCAAAGTGTTGGCATTACAGGCGTGAGCCACCACACCAGGCCTATAAATATATTTTAAATGTTGATTCCAGTATCTTGAAAATCTCACTCGGAACCTTTATGTTTCCTGTTTATTAGAGCACTGTTTTGAATTAAAAGTGTAATGTTATGTTGCATTAAGAAGTAATGAAGTGATTCACTTTTCTGTGAAACGGTAGTTTATGAATGAGAACAGAGATGGCTGAATTTGGACAATGACATTCAGTTTAAGTTGAGACATTTGGTTATGTGATGAGTAGACTGACACAGAAGTACTCCAGCTGCAGAGATTTCCTATTTTATCTGGCAAATGTAGTCATATTTTTCTTGCTGCTCAGTTTTGAGTTAATGTTGCTTTCCTTCCTCTGATAGTTTTAGGTCAGGTCACTTCTTAGTTTTCTTTTTCTTTACCAGAAAAAAGAACACTTGTGGGGCATGGACTTACTGTACATGACCATTTTAGATTTCTCTAGAGAGCTTCTAGATTTTCCCTCTCTTAATTCTGGTCACTTAACCCTTTAGTGAGGTACATGCCTGTGTACAAGGTGTAGGCTCAGCCTCATGAGGTTGTTTTAGTGTGCTGATTTTAGAGTTCCCAAATGGCTTATTTTCTCTGCCTTACCTGGGTAGAAATATAGCTTATCATTTTGGAAGAATGCCTCATTAGTTGGCTACAGCCATTTCCCATCTTGGGTAGAGCCAGAGAACAAATTACATTTCTTCCTGGTTTAACTGGCGCTCTTAAGTCATTTGCTATGAGTCCACTGGGCAGAGAGTTCCTTGAAGACAGACACTGGGTCTTGTTTGCCTGACCCTTGAACAGTATTTGCCAGCAGAATCCATTTTCTAGGGCCTCAGTGGCATGTGGCATTTGGTCCCTAGCGTGTTAACTTTGTTCCTTCAAGGCTCCAAGGAAACGGGGGCCAGGTCGTTCATAGCTTTAAGTCTCAGGTAAGTATGTCCCTCCTAATTCCTGCCACTGTTGCCTTTGGCTCTTCCTTCTTCCCTCCGCCGCCTCCCTTCAGCCTCCCTGCTGTCAGCGTCACCTGGCAGTGGAACCTAGCTACTGGTCTCGTATGGGCACTAAGACCTTCAGCAGAGACCACTGGATTCTGGTTGCCAGGAATTGTATCAGTCAGGATTCTCCCTCCCTGAGCCCCCATGGCGCTACGAGCCCCCAAAGGAGGCAGGGCAAGCCACACTCTGGATGGCTGACTCAGAGCTGCCCCCAGGCACCTGCGGCTCGCTGGAGTATCCGTGCAGGCTCCAGCTGTGCTTGGACAGCACTCTCCGTGAAGCTGGATGGGGACTGACATGCAGCCCCCGCCCCATCTCTACTCCATGTTGCTTTTTCTCCAGTGTTTCATATACGTCATGGGTGGTATCATTCTTACATAGGAAAGCCCTGGCCGACTCGGTCCTTGTTTGACCATTTCTGCCCTCTTTAGTACCTGCCTGGCACGGTGCCTTTCACACTGTGGATACTCCCACAGATTTTCAAGTGAATCCTTGTCCAAACCCTTCCTTGGGCAGGTGGGAAAGCCAGGCCTTCTTACGCTCCTAGCTGGTCCTCACCATCCCTGAATTGGTGTCACTCCTCTCCTGCTGGATCAGTTGTTTTCCACGGAATGGAAATCATCCCGTAATGAAGACAGAAATAAGAGAGTGAGACCCGTTTTGGCAGAAGTTGGCAAGGCTTAGGATTTCACATGTTATGCTTCCTGGATTTAAAGCCCACACATCTATAAAATGCCTGTAATTTCCTATAAAATGTGACCCAAGAGTTCAGCTTTAGCCTCCACCATGCCTTTCGTATAATCTTTTTTTTTTTTTTAATTGAGACGGAGCCTCGCTCTGTCACCCAGGCTGGAGTGCAGTGGTGTGATCTCGACTCACTGCAACCTCTGCCACCCGGGTTTGAGCGATTCCCATGCCTCAGCCTCCCAAGTAGCTGGGACTGCAGGTGCACACCACCATGCCCGGCTAATTTTTTTGTATTTTTAGTAGGTACAGGGTTTAGCCATGTTGGCCAGGCTGGTCTCGAACTCCTGACCTAAGGTGATCTGCCCGCCTCAGCCCCCGCAAAGTGCTGGGATTACAGGCGTGAGCCACCGCACCTAGCCGTCTTTCGGATAATCTTGACTAAAAGGAAACGTCTTGGGTTCTAGGACTCCCTTAGGAACTCCATGTGTCCTTCGCCGGCCTCAGGAGTGTGGCAGTAAGAGTTACTTCCTAGGCAAGGATGCTGCCGCTCTCAGCTCTGCCTGTCCACTGTTGATGAGGTGGGCAGGATAACTGAACACATAAGCCTGCACACACAGGCCAGTGGCATGCATACTTGGCTTGCTTTTTCTTTTAGCTTTCATGACAGGCAGCTAAGAGATTGATATACTGCCATCCTTTCATCATTTTTTACGATCCCTCACATTTATAACACACGCTTCCACTGAAAAGAGAAAAAGAGACTTGGGGAGGAGTAGAGAGAAGAACTTGGATATTTCATCTTAAAATAAAGTTGAAATAAATATCCTTGTATCTGATAGCACCCGTTGGGTGGTTGTATACATTTTACAGTTGACATTTACTTATGTGGAGTCTTCTCCTGACGTTTCTATAAGAAGCTGATAAATTATCAGTTTGTGAAATCATTAGGCAAGTAAAAAGTAAGATTGCCAATTTCAGTGTGCTGATTTCAAGACTCATGTCATTAGAGTTTATCCTAATTTATCAGCCTTTGAGACTAAGATAGTGATGCTTTATCCCAGAACTGTTGACTCAAATATACTA
Source organism: Homo sapiens (assembly GCF_000001405.40). Lineage (NCBI taxonomy): Eukaryota > Metazoa > Chordata > Mammalia > Primates > Hominidae > Homo > Homo sapiens. Next base: position 100,656,299 of record NC_000015.10, read on the forward strand.
TATGTAGAGCATCTTCAGGTTCTGTGTTTAAAATTACAGTGCACATGTCAATGACAAGGTGATCATGTCTCTTTTGCAACTTCCTGTCAAACCTAATACCAGGTAGATTTGAAAGTCACCACCCCCACCACCCCAGCCTCCCAGCCCCATCCCTGGCAGGTGTTTCTAGGGCATGAGGTGTAGTGGCTCAGCCCTCGCCTGCTGGGGTAATACCAGTGGAGTAGAGATGAACAGCCCTTGCCTCCTACCTATCCTTGTCAGGAGAGCCTTCCCTGAGAGGAATGGAGCGGGACACACAGCAGCAGTCCAACGACAGATTCTAAGGTGGGCCTGGCGCCTGGGATGGAGACAGGCAGCGGTGACAGCAGCAGCATCCTTACCCAGGAGCCCCTCAAAGATGAGGGCACAGCATCTTGTCTGGGGCCAGGAGAGCTCTGCCACCATGCCCTGCCTGCACTGGAGGCCTAGAAAGCAGCTGCTGCTTTGCTACAACCTGTTCAGGACTCATCTTTAGTCCTGCTTCTTGTGAAGTCTGTTCTCAGGATACATTTGTCCTATAATGTGTAAATGACATAAGCTTACCACCCACCGCAAGGGGTGTGTGCGTTTACATTAAAGCCTTAGATGAATGGGGATGAGGTTCTGGTACAAGGCATGCTGGTGCCGGGTGCAGTGGCTCACACCTGTAATCCCAGCATTTTGGGAGGCTGAGGCGGGCAGATCGCTTGAGGTCAGGAGTTTGAGACCAGCCTGGCCAACATGGTGAAACCCCATCTCTACTAAAAATATAAAAAGTTGCCGGGTATGGTGGTGGGTGCCTGTAATCCCAGCTATTAGGGAGGCTGAGGCTGCAAGAATCACTTGAACCCAGAAGGTGGAGGTTGTAGTGAGCTGAGATGGCGCCACTGCACTCCAGCCTGGGCAACAGAGCGAGACTCTGTCTCAAATAAAACAAAAAAGCATGCTGGGGAGGAAACTATAGCTCTGCCTCATCCACATCCACGGAGGGAAGGCTGGGCCTGTAGCTCCTCTTCAGAGAGATCAGCTACAATTGTGCAGGCCAAGGCGGGCTTCATTGTTCACGGCCTGTGGATTTACAGTAACCTATGCTCGAATTTTCTAGACTTTCCATCCCTTTCATCCCACCAGAGGAGGTGGCAGAGAGGCCGGTGCCCAGGCAGGAGTGTAGTCTGTGAGTCTGCGGGCTGGGGAGAACAAAGGACAAGTTTCCATCCTGCTGCACACCCAGTCTGTACCCAGGACAGCAGTGGCCTCTAAGGCCAGCTTCTTTGGGCGTTCCTGTTCCAGTTGGGAGGGTGCCCTTTCCCTCCACCTTCCTTGCCTTTGGGTCTGTCTGTGTCCTTGGGAAACTCCTGGTTGGAAGGGTTGCCCCACAATTCCTCTTTGTAATGAGGAAACTGGTTTGTCTGCCACTTTGGAAGCCCCCTGGAAGGCAGGGATCTGGCCTTAGGCTTGCGGCCCAGCAAAGAGCACGGCGCTGTGTGTGGTCCCTGACTGGCAGATGTTTGGTGAGTGAGGGCAGGCCCCTGGTCCTAACCCTGGTGCCAGGGAGAGAACTGGAAAGGAATCAGTGATTTGTTCATGTACGCACTCCTAACCTACATCCTTCCCATGCGTCCTGACCACCGCCCCCTCCCCACCCCACAGTGGGTGTTCCGGTCATTTCCACAGGTGAAGAGGTGGAGGGGTGTCTTCCCTTCTCTGCCCACTTCCTCAGGGCCCCTCACTGGGACGGCTTCCCCAGGCTCCTGAGCTGGCGTAGCTCACCCTCCTGGCTCCCCATGGGCCTGTTTTGTGACATGTGTCCTGCTCTCCTGCTGTGTGTGTGTGTGTGTGTGTGTGTGTGTGTGTATGTTCATTGTGTGTGTGTGTGTATGTTCATTGTGTGTGTGTGTGTGTGTATGTTCATTTGTGTGTGTGTGTGTGTGTGTGTGTGTGTGTGTGTGTGTGTTCATGCTCCTCGGGGCTCCAAATTCAGGGCTGGGAAGCCCCTCTGAGGGGAGACACATGACCCTTCCCAGGAAGCAGGTCTGTGGCGTTGTCACCATGTCCAAGGGGCCTGTGATCTCAGCAGTGTTAAGCCGCCGCACATGGGTGCCCCTGTGATAGTTCCCGAGCATCTGCCTGCTCTGCTGAGCTTGCCGACGTCAGGTGACTTGAGTGTACCACACAGGGCCTGCCATCTCCTGCCTTCTGGACCTCAGGTCCCCACCCCGAGGCCCTGCCTCAGGCTGGGTGGGTTTGGAGACCTTGGGCCATGTGGGTTCAGAGGCCTCAGGCTGAGTGAGTTCGGAGGCTGCCCCCGTGTTCCCCGAGTTCTCCCCCAGCTCTCTTTATGCTTCTTCACTGAACTCCACATGGGCCCTGTTTTAGATGTGCAGAGAGAGTCTGTCAGCACTCAGGAGGGGGCCTCCAGGCGGGGAGCGAACATCAAGACTGAAAGAGCCTGGAGGGCTCCCCGCTGGTGGCGATGCTGGGCTTGACCCTGGGGCTGCGTTGCTGCCGGTCCACTGTGCCCTCCTTTGCCCCGACGACTTGCAGGCCCCTATGTTGCAATAACCAGGCTGGCTTCCTCTGCAGAAAGGCCTTTGAAGGGAGACTCTCACAGCTGTGAGGGGATGCAACAGCGACGTCGAGTGTCTTGGTGATGAGCTGTGACATTCTGGTCACCAGGGTGTGCTCACCTGCCTGGAAGGAGCCCCCACCCCCAGGAGAGCCACTATGTAACCGATGCCAGGCCCTGCAGTGACTGGTGGCCGGGCAGGGTGGGGATGCCGGCACCTGAGTTCGGTTGCTGCCTCATCCGTGAGCCGGGCTGGCTCCCAGGTGTTGAAGTCCTCGTGGCATGCACTTCTGGACAGCTTTGTGCCTTGAGATAAAAAAGCACAGGCCGGGCGCTGTGGCTCACACCTGTAATCCTAGCACTTTGGGAGGCGGAGGCAGGTGGATTGCCTGAGCTCAGGAGTTCGAGACCAGCCTGGGCAGCACGGTGAAACCTTGTCTCTACTAAAATACAAAAAATTAGCCGGGCTTGGCGGTGTGCGCCTATAGTCCCAGCTACTCCAGAGGCTGAGGCAGGAGAATTGCTAGAACCCGCGAGGCGGAGGTTGCAAGTGAGCCGAGATCGTGCCACTGCACTCCAGCCTGGGCGACAGAGCGAGACTCCGTCTCTAAAAAAAATTTTTAAAAAGCATGTATATAGGCTCCGCGTGGAAACATCCAAACCGTGTGTTATATGAGGAGCCTTTGAGAATTCTGTAGAAACACTTACTCATGAAGCCTATAATTAAGTAACTTTGGCTAGCTTCATGGAAATGCTTGATGTTTAGGAAGTTATTAGAGGGTTCAAAAAAAAAAAACCCTACCCTGAGATTAACCGATACCATTACTTCCTACTCCATCTAACAATTATTTAATTAAAAAGTACTCTAATCACCTTGTGTTTTAGTGGGCAGTAATAAAAAGCCTGCTTAGTAGAAGCTCATCTTTGCATGACATGCACTTTGAGAGATTTTTCAGGTCAGAGTCTATCCCCTGGAAGTGATACAGACCCTGAGAGGAGTCCCACGGTGCTTCTAACTCAAGCCTAACCCCCGTTCGGTTCTGCCCTGGTGTTCCTTACTGCACATGTTCACGAAATCCCAGGAGGGTTTAGAAATGACCCTGGTGAGTGCCGCTAGCTCATTCGACACATACTTTTTGAGCACCTATGCTGAAGGACCAGATTTGTGCCAGCACTTGGAAGGAGCCCGCGTGGGAGCCCAGATGGTGGGCGAGAGGACAGAAGCAGGGCTGGCACGGGAAGATTGGGCTGGGTGGAGATCAGGGCTGGGGCTGTGCGGAGCCGGGGACTTCTACTTTCCAGATTCAAAACGTACGCCATCCCTGGGGTGTGGAATTACGGTGCCATCCCTGGGGTGTAGAATTACGGTGCCATCCCTGGGGTGTGGAATTACGGTGCCATCCCTGGGGTGTGGAATTACGGTGCCATCCCTGGGGTGTGGAATTACGGTACTCTCTGCATTAGTGCAGGTGAGCAAGCATCTGTACCCACTGGAGCGCTTTTTAAAATAGTGCGGGTCCTACCCCCAGAATTTCAGATGCAGCGGTTCTCAGGTGGGGCTTAAGAATCTCCACGTCTATCCGGGCATGGCGGCTCATGCCTGTAATCCCAGCACTTTGGGAGGCTGAGGCAGGCAGATCACCTGAGGTCAGGAGTTCAAGACCAACTTGGCCAACATGATGAAGCTCCATCTCTACTAAGCAGAAAAAAAAAAAAAAATTAGCCAGGCGTGGTGGCATGTGCTTGTAGTCCCAGCTACTCAGGAGGCTGAGCCACAAGAATTGCCTGAGCCCGGGAGGCGGAGGTTGCAGTGAACCAAGATCGTGCCACGGCACTCCAGGCTGGGTGACAAAGTGAGGCTCCGTCTCAAAAAATAAAAAATAATAATCTCCGTGTCTAACAAGCACCCAGGTGAGGTGTGTGCTGTTGGTCTGTGGACCCAACTTAGAACCACTGTGTGAGGGTATTTGGACTGTGAGGTGTGTGCTGTTGGTCTGTGGACCCAACTTAGAACCACTGTGTGAGGGTATTTGGACTCTTTGTAGCAAAGAAAGGACAAGGTAAAAAAAGAAAAAGAAAGAAATCCTACAGTCACTATGAGATGTTAGAAAAGCCACCTATCTGCTTATCCATGAGATGTAAGTAAAGATGCAGTGATTTTTCAGAACCCACACGTGAAACTGAGTCTTTGTATTTTATGGGCCGGCCTTGAATAGTTCTGCATGTGTTATGTGAACAAAGACTACAAATCTCTCCGGCTACACTACAAGCTGGCTCGACATCGAGACCTTCATGTCTCCAATTATCTTTTGCAACTACTTAATTTCAGTTGGGCACAGACAAAACCAGTAGCCTGTAGTTCTGTTATCCTGCTGTTAATGTTCTTCAGTCTCATTTGGTGGCTTGTAAATAATAATGTGTGCCAAACGTGAATAATGACAGCCCTAGCCTGCTCCAGGGTGGGAGAGACGATGACTCTAGCTGCCTCAGCCAGCATGTGCCTTGGCACTGCCCGTGAGGCGGCCTGCCAATGAAGTGTCTCTAAGAAGCATGGGTAGCATTGCCCCAATTGCCGATCGCAGATAGAAAACACCTTGCCAGCTCCAGCTGGCTGCAGCCTGACCAACCCACCCCGTAACCCCTGAACAGTAAAAGAAACCATGGCACCTACGAATCCTTTCCCAGCCACTCAATGCAGCTGAGCTTCTTGCGGGGGCATTAAGAAAAATAAATCAGCCAGGAGGTGAGCATAGCCTCACATCAGATGCTGCTGCTACTGTGGGTCCTGGAGCCACTGGTGGGACCACCGACATGGAGTCATCTCTGCATGGAATCTGCCTACTAAAACAGAGGTGGTCTGCCAGGCATGGTGGCTCACACCTGTAATCCCAGCACTTTGGGAGGCCAAGGCAGGCGGATTGCTTGAGGTCAGGAGTTCGAGACCCGCCTGGCTAACATGGTGAAATGCCATTTCTGCTAACAAATTTTAAAAAATCATCCAGGTGTGGTGGCCGGCACCTATAGTCCCAGCTACTCAGGAGGCTGAGGCAGGAGAATCACTTGAACCTGGAAGGTGAAGGTTGCAGTGAGCTGAGATCGCACCACGGCACGCCAGCCTGTGTAAAGGGCGAGACTCCATCTCATTTTTGGTTAACAGCTTTTTTGAGATATAAGTGTTATACAAAAAATCACACATATTTAATGTATACAATTTGATGGATTTGACATATTCCCCTTTGAAAGTAGAAAAACAGACCACTCTGAAGGAAAAAGGACATCCGAAGTTTCTCTTCAAAATACAGTCATCTACTACAGACAGCCCAGGGCTGGGTCCAGCCTGCCCTGCTCCAAAGCCTGGCCAGTTTTGTAGCCCCTCTTAATGAGAACACAGCCTGTCAAGATGTAAGGGAGAGGGGGTTCAGGAATCTTTCATCAGGCAAATGTGCTTAACAAAATATTTAGGATCTTTGAATCCTCACAGAGATTTCAATGGTCATATTTTCCAACCTCTATATCTATTAACTTGCCTAACAATATTTTTCTAGGGGGAAATGCTGCTAGATCCCTGGCCTACTGGTTCAGGACCCCAGACAAGTCCTGGCTTGCCATGATATTGATTTTATTTGACTGTTTTGGGTTGGGAGGGAGAAAGTGAGTTTGATGAAATGTACATGTTTTGGAAGTAAGTACATGACTGTGTTATTTTTCTCTGAGCCTTCATTTTAATTTTTTTTTCAAAAATGAAAAAGGAAAATTGTCTTCTTACCCACTCAATTGTTTTTTGTGGGCTGAGTCTATTTTTTCCTCAGTTTTTGAGTTTCAGCACAGAGGTTGGTGCATTGCAAGTGTTGACCCCTTACTTAGAAGTTTTATTCTGTTTTGGTGGAAAAAACAGACTCCTAAAGTTCATCAGTTAGGTTGGTTATTGACATGGAGAGATTCCTTTCTTTCTTTCTTTCAACTGTTATGTCCAATGCTTCCTATATCTGATGCACGGTAGTCCGTCCTGGAGGAGGAATGGGATCAGGAACCCACCTTCCAAATGTTTAGACCCCTGGAGAATAAAGAAGATAAACAAAAATTATTAATGCAGTAACACGAAAGCGAGGCTGCCGAAGAATTCGAGATGAACAGCTTCTGCAGTGCGCTCATGAGACCAGGCTCCATTTTCTTCCTGATTAGCTTGCTAAATAGACAGAAGAGCCTAACCTGGCCTCACGCAGGCTGACACTGAAGGCTGGCTGTGCTGGTAACTGGTGGTATGACTCTGGCTGCGTCATTTGCCCAGGGTTAGAGGCATGAGCCGAGGGCTCCTTCAGCTGCCACCCACTGTGATCCTCACATCACAGAGAAGCCAGCAGGGGGAGAAACCAGGAACTCAGGGCAACAGATGGAGCCAGGAGCCCCACATCCGTTGCCTGTTACCACGCTCCCCTCTCCACCCACCCTCTCACCATGGCTTATTAGAGGTGGCTTATGAAAAGGCTGGAATCCATGCTCCAGGGCCCGTCTTGCTCTGGTGGAGGGTTTAGCACCATGAAACTCACTTTGTAAAAGTGCACCAGCTGTGAGAAATAAGCTTAAGCCTCGGTAATCACTTTTTCACTTTTACCAATTACTCTCGGCTGCTTTGTGGCAGAAGTTAATACCGAGTAAGAATTTTCAAGAAGCCTCATTTTCCTTGTCTAATTAAATTAAATACTTGAAAGGTGATTTGCATCTTGATTTTCCCCCCATTTAGTTAACTGAAAATTACAGGGTCTTTCAGGAGTTTGAGTCACCTGATTCGCAGGCTGAGCCTCTGGGGTCAGGGAGCCCTCACCCTGGGACCCTCTCCTGCCAGCTTCCCACCCACCGGTTTTTTGTGTGCAGCTGTCCATGGTGAGGCCCTTGGACCAACACTACCCAGGAGAATTTAGGGAGGGCACGCCTTGTTAGTTTTCTAATACTGTCCAAAAATCAGCACAGGATGCCTTTGTCTCCAGGCTTTTAATACTCCCAACATGAAGCGGGTCTTTCTAGGGTGAGAAAACACAAGGACAGTCTCTTCCCATCCAGTTATTTTTGTTGCAAACCAGTAACAGAATTCGCCTGGACTGAATTCATCGGGCCAGCGTCTCTAATCTTCCTCTGTAGTAAAGATCTGGACTATTTAACCGCTAGAATTCCTGGCAAGTTATTTCAATGGAGACAACAGGATGCTGAAATTTGAGACTTACCGTACTGTACTTTCTGTTTTTTCCCCTTTCTGCCCTTTGTCTCTGAGATAACACACATGCATTGGAAACTCTAACGTGCTCTGCAGAAGTATTTCCTTGGACATAGGAGAGGCGTTGGGGGCATCAGGGAGCCCGGCCGATGCATCGAGTGTGAGTGAGTGCGTGAGTTTCCCTGAACATCTGAAGAGTCATCCTCTGTCAAGTGACTTTGTCTTGTGTAGGTTTCATGTTTGAACCAAATTATTCAGCAGTATTCCTGCTCTAAGTCACCTCCCCAATGCATATAATTACTGGGTGCATCTTTTGAAAAGTCCTTTTTTATTTCAAAATGAGCATATACCCTTAAAACATAATCAGTGAACAAATACCTTAGGTAAAACGTGAAAGCCTGTTCTTCCTTCCCAGTGCTAACCATGCAGTGTGGGTTCTTCCAGCTCTTTCTCTGTGCATCTATCTGCATGGAGTTTACAAAAATGATCTCTCTGCAGCTTACATGTTTCTACTCGCAGAAACCCTTTCATGTTACCACGTGCAGATATAATGAATTCTTGTTGTTGGCTAAATAACATTCCACATTCAATTTTTCTTCCAGCCAACATAAAGAGCCTTCCACATGGCCAGGTGCTTCTCCAGAAATACAACAGGAACAGGTTCTATTCTACTGTCTTTCTCTTGCTGATTTTTTTTTCTGGAATCTAAAGTATTTAACCTACTTCCCAATCACCTTATTATCATCAAGTGCTTTTATTTTTTCAGGCTGAAATTTGCTTGATGTGTATCTGTTGATTGTCCATTTACATAAAAATATAAACTCCATTAGAGCCATGATGTTGCCTGTCTTTACTGATAAACCCTCTCCACTAAAACAGTATTCGGCATGTGCCAGTAACTTAAAAACTATGGATTCTATGCATGGATGGATGGATGGATGAATTGTCTATGGATAAAGGCAGTTGGGGAAGAAGTCGAACTGCTCATTGATGACCTTGATTGGGTTTTCTTAAACTTCCAACTCAATTCTACCTACTTTAGACAGTTAAATGGAGACATGACTGACTCTTATGTATATTCATTTTATCTTTATATGTGCGTGTGTTTACCCATTCTTTTGTTAAAATATTAACTACTTCCATACAGATGGGCAAACAGGCATTCCCTGAGACCTCCTGGATCTTAGATACCTCACCCAGATCCAGGAACTCCAGAACTGGCCCTTGCCCCAGCAGGTGGGCTCTCTGGCACCTGGCTTCTATGCAAGGACCAGTGTCAGCTGAGACTGGCAGAGCCCTTGTCTGGAAAGTTGTTCGGTGTTTTTGATATCACCCCTGCCTTCATAGACTTGATAATATTCTGGTTTACTCTTTCAAGAGGATCATTTGGCTTTAACCTTTAAAAACACAGATCAGACATGTCACTCCTCCTCTCAAACCTACTGATGCCTTCCAACTCACCAAATCTGAAGTGCTTCCCGTGGCTTCCAGCCCTCTCTGGCCTGTAGCACTTTGCTGGAGCCGCTGTGAGTCCTGCAATCCCCACGTGCAGAGCACACCCCTGCCCTGCAGCCTTTCTGTGCACGGACTGTTCCTCTGCCAGAAGCACTCCTCCCTCTGGAACACAGGGCGGCTCGCTCACTCACTCCAGCCTCAGCCCAGAGGGCACCTTCTCCAAGAGCTCAACCCTGGCCCCTTGGCCAAAAGTCAGACTCCGTATTCCCAAGTCCCTTATCATGCTTTATGTATTTCATCATAGCATGACTTATGTATATATGTCTATGTGCCTGGACTATAGCAGGCCCTCAGCAAATATTTGTGGAATGAATAACTAAATGAACTAAAACATCCTGTAATGGGTATATATATATATATATATATTTTTTTTTTTTGAGACAGAGTCTTACTCTGTTACCAGGCTAGAGTGGAGTGGCACGAACTCGGCTCACTGCCACCTCTGCCTCCCGGGTTCAAGTGATTCTCCTGCCTCAGCCTCCTGAGTAGCTTGGACTACAGGTGCACACCACCAAACCTAGCTAATTTTTGTATTTTTAGTAGAGATGGGGTTTCACCATGCTGGTCAAGGAGGGTCTCGATCTCTTGACCTCGTGATCCACCCACCTCAGCCTCCCAAAGTGCTAGGATTACAGGCATGAGCCACCGGGCCCAGCCCGGTATAATTCTTTTAGTTCAGCATCCAGAGGACTGAAGACCAATGTGAGAACATTTTCTCATCATTCATATAACCAAGTACAGGAACTGGGCAGTATTTGATTTTCCTTGATTTTTGAGCTATCATCATCGGTGCGTATATGGATGGCTCTCTTCCATTTTCAACTGATCCTCCCACCTTGGCCTCTCAAAGTGCTGGGTTACAGGTGTGAGCCACTGCACCTGGCCTACCCTGCATTTTGATTTTACAATGCTCTTGTTTCCTCTTTTCATGCCTAGTAGTTTTATCATGCATACTTGTTGGCCGGCAGTATGTTCTCCATTATGCTTTTCAGAAGACAAAGTAGTGGAGTACATGGCTTTTAATTAGAATAGATTTTTCCCTAACTTAATTTTATGTTTTAGTTTTAAAACTATTTTTGTTCTTTTGGTTTTCTTTTTCTTTGTTTTCTTTCCCCAGCTGTTTAATATGAAAGCATCTGTGGTTTCCACATTTGCGAAGATGTTAACATCACTGAGTTATCTTTGTGTGTACATGGACGCCTATATATCTTTTTTTCTGTGCTATTTAAAACTAAGTTATTGGTTGGGCATAGTGGTTTATACCTGTACTCCTAGGACTTTGGGAGGCTGTGGTGGGAGGGTCACTTGAGCCCAGGAGTTAGAGCCCAACCGGGGCAATCTAGCAAGACTCTACCTCTACAAAAAATTTAAAATAATAGCAGTAGTCCCAGCAACTTGGGAGGCTGAGGTGGGAGGATCACTTGAGCTCCGGAGGTTGAAGTTGCAGTGAACCATGACTGTGCACTGTGCTCTAGCCTGGATGGCAGGCTGAGAACTTGTCTCTGAAAATAAATAAATAAATAAATAAAACGAAGGTGTAGACATTATGATACTTCGCTTGCATCCAAAAATACATTCTTCAATATAACCAGAATACTGATATCATTCATAAGAAAACAATGGTAATTTCAAAGTCTAATACAGAGTTCTTATTCAGATTTCCCCAGTTGCCACAAGAATATCTGTTATAACTGTTTTGATTTACTTTTTAAAACCAGGATTGAATCTTGGTTTACACGTTGCATTTGGTTGTGTCCCTTTGATCTTTCATTCCAGAATAATGCATGCTACCTAAAAAAAAAAAAAAAATCTCAGGAGTTGACTAAAGAGTCCAGAAAATTTGTCTTAGATAATATCCCATATTCTGGATTTGCATGCCTGTTTATCCCTGGTGTCACTTAGCTTGTTCCTCTACTTTTGGTATATCCGGTAAACTGGAGGTAAGTTTGGCAGCAGGCTGGGTCCAGGGTCAGCGTTTTTGGCAGGTATGTTTCATAGATGATGCTGTGTGCTAGGATATGTTTTTAGAGTTTCATCTCTAAAGGCAACTGAAAGTAGACAGCTCCCAGGCCTTGTAGAGTGATTACTAATTGACTTGAACATTAAACAGGCAAGAATTATTTCTACCCGAGGAAAACCTAATGAGGAAAACATCTGGCCCCTCAGCAGAGGCTGGGAAATGCTTGTGTCTCTTCCAGGGACTAGCCAGCGCCTGGCGACGTGCAGCGCTTTGTTAACGTGCATTTTCCGACTCCATATGTTCCTGCGGTTGAGGGGAGGCGAGGCGCGGGGCAGCGCGTGGAGAGGAAGGCCTGGCCAGGCCACTTCGGTTTTGTTTGGACGGAGGATTTGGCTCTTCATTTATTTACACCATGGTGGATTGTTTTGTCTCTCACCTCCTCTCTAATCCCATATTTCATCTCTCTGGCCAACAACCGAATAATAAAGTAAATAGATAGGACAAGCTGGTGGGTCCCACAGAGCTGGAGCTGATGAGACTCGCTTGAAAATTCCCTTCCTTAGATTTTAAATTCTGTGACTCAGACTTGTGTTTAAACACACACACGCACACACACCCCTCACAGAAATGTGGGTGGGAAAGTGGAGGACTGAGGGTCATTATGTCTCTCTGTTCCCACCTAACCTAAGTGGCCATTTCTAGATGCCATTTTAAAATTGTTTCCTTCCTGTAATAAGAGCCTCTTGTACTAAAGAAAATCATCTTTCCTGAAATGTGGGTTTCTGGGGTCTGAAAAAGACACATTGTGAGTGTAAGGATGTGGAGCATCCCGGCTCTGTGTGAGGGCACAGGGATCCCCTCAGAGGAGGGGGCTTCCGCCTGGCCCTGAGCCCCCTGTGGCCTGCCCTCGGGCCATCCCTTCCTCCTCTGGACTCGATGATCCTCAGGCCCTGCTGGCTGTGATGGCCTAAAGGCTGTGGTTACTGACAACTTAGCAACCTGGGTGCGTGGATGCATGTGTGTGTGTGTGTGTGTGTGTGCTTGCGGGATGCTCTCTCTTCCAGGCAACTCTTCTCAATGACTCTATGAGGCAGGCACTCCATTACCGCAAGATGAAGATGAGGAAACTGAGGCACAGAGAGGCTGAGGGAGTTGCCTGAAGTCATATGGTGAGGAAGTGGTGGAGGTGAGATGGTAGCCACATGTCTGTCTCTAGGAACTCTCAGGGGACTCCCCTGCAGACAGACAATGCTGCATGTAGTCCAACTGATCCCTTGGCTGGCTTTACTGTGACATCTTTAAACCGTTCACCCAGCGCCCAGGTGACGTGTCTTGGGCCACTAGCCACTGTGGGTTGGGTTTTGCTGGAAGCCACCTCTGCACATTCCACTGTGAATTGCTTTCCCCACTCAGACTAGGGGCTCCATGGCTTCTGGCTGACCCTCGAGCATTGCACAGGTTGATAGGGCTGTTTGGTTCCTTGTCAGCCAGTCCAGTGAAGGGCTGGGTAACTGTAGGAGAGCCCAGCTTCCGAATCTAAATCAAGCAATACCAATCAACGAAAAACACCATGGTCTTCTGGCTTGAAAAACTTCTTGGTGAATAAGAGGCAACATTACATTTCATTTTCTGGATGTATCTTTCCACCCACCCACACCAACCCCCCAAGAAAATCTAGTTACTGCGACCCAGTAACAACCAGCAAGCTTGAGGTATGTTCAAGTTCAGACAGAGAGTGATGTGGCGATGACTGGAAACCCATGCCCAGCTCTGAAGGGGTTTCGCCTGCACGTGGGCTTCAAACGGGGCTGTCCTCCCAGGGGCGGCTGCTGGAGCACCGAGGGATGGACAGCACTCCCAGCGCGGGAGCAGCAGCCGGTTCACCCCTGCGGGGCTAGGAGCTTTCTGCAAGAGATGGCTCGGCTCAGCTGACTCCTGGCAGGAATTTGCCTGCCTTCCGAGGGTGGGTCCAGCCCCCACCACCATCACAGGAGTCTGGAGAGCGGGAGAAGACCTGATTGCTTCCCCCTGGGTAAAGTGAGCCCTGAATGAGGCAGGCTTTTGTAGATGGATCTATACGTTTGACGGCCTCATTCTCTGAATCCTGAATCAAGACTTAGATCTCTCAATGAGCTTTCATGCTGTTTGGAGGTTTAGGAGGCAGCTTGGGAGAGGGTATTTTGTAGCTGAAATGTGAATTTCTGGGACATTTTGACAGCTTATGAGGACTGAGGTTTAGACACTTGGAATTGTAACTTTCCTGGAGATTCCAGGGTGTTTGGTCGGCGTATTGGTTTGTGAGGGCTGTTTCAGAGTGCCACAGCCTGGGGACTTAAACAGCAGAAATGGATCGTCTCTCAGTTCTGGAGGCTGAAAGACAAAAATCAAGGTGCTGGCAGGGTGGGGTCCTACTGAGGGCTGGGAGGGAAACTCTGCTCCAGGCCTCTCTCTAGCTTCGGGGAGGGTTTCTGGAGATCTTTGGCATCCCTTGGCTTGTTGAAAACTCATCCTGATCTGTGCCTTCATGTCCATGTGGCAGTCTCCCCGTGTGTGTCTCTCTCTGTCCACGTCTCTCCTTTTTATTTTATTTATTTATTTATTTATTTATTTATTTATTTATTTATTTATTTTTCTGAGACGGAGTTTCACTCTGTCGCCCAGGATGGAGTGCAATGGCAAGATCTCGGCTCACTGCAAGCTCCGCCTCCCAGGTTCATGCCATTCTCCTGCCTCAGCCTCCTGAGTAGCTGGGACCAGAGGCGCCCGCCACCACGCCCGGCTAACTTTTTGTATTTTTAGTAGAGACAGGGTTTCACCAAGTTAGCCAGCATGGTCTCAATCTCCTGACCTTGTGATCTGCCTGCCTCAGCCTCCCAAAATGCTGGGATTACAGGCGTGAGCCACTGCGCCTGGCCCTCATCTCCTTTTTATAAGGACACCAGTCTCATTAGATTAGGGCCCACCCTAATGACCTCATCTTAACTTGGTGCAGCCTGCAAAGACCCTATTTATTAGTAAATTGCAGTCTGCAGCGCTCGGGGTTAGGATTCAACACATGAATTTTAGTTGGGAACACAATTCCACCCATCAGAGTCACCATATTTGGCTCCACTTAGCCATGGCCTGCTTGGTGCAGTCATCCTCCACCTGCTCATAGCACACTTGATTAAGACTGGAAGGATGAGGGCTCACTTTTCAAAGCGTGCTCATTGAAGTGGCAGGAGGCTGTGAATCACAGGGACCCCGTGCTGGGAGCACTGGGTATACGTGGAAGTCGCTTCAGGGAGAGAAGAGGAGATGGGGAGAGTTGGGATGTTTACACTATTGCCTGGGAAGTGATGGGCTCTGCTCCCGGGCTGCCTCACCCCAGCCCTGTTAATACATTGGCTGTTCAGGACCCTTTCCCCAGAGCCCCAGGCTGGGTTCTGGCACGAAGGCCCACACCCACAATGGAAAGGCTCGAGGTATTGGAAAGTAAGTCCCCCCGCCCCCACAAGACTTCCTGAGAGCTGCCAGGTGAGCATGGCAGGAGGTGACCACACTGTTTTAATATCTGGAAGTCACCAGAAAGGGGCGAGCCCTGCCGATGGTTCTGTTGTTAAAGGGGCCATTTCCAGCGCAGCTTTGGGGGCACAGGTAGAAACAAACGTTTCATGAATGAACCTCCACCCGGCGATTGCTCTTCAACGTGGAAATGGCAGCACTGCGTAGCAGGGAGGGGAACTCTGCACTGGGGGTCTACTGGGGAGAACTTAAGGAAAGCTCATTTGCATCTTGAGTTAAAGCACCCTGGGCGCTGTGCCTCTGTCTGGGAATCTCTGTGGGTGTGTGGAATTAGATGCACCTGCGTTCAAGTCCTGACTGCACACCTCTGTGCTGCGTGGTGATGGGTAAGCCACCTCACTCCCAGAGACTCAGTTCCCACACAGGGACAGTGGGTACAGGGCTCCTGTGAAGAGGACCCAGATGATGGGTGTCAACAGGCACTGGCAAATGACAGCCGGCAAGTTAAGCAAGCTGCGTCCAGCCACATCGCCCAGCCTCCTCCTTGCTGGGGTCATTTCCCCCACCCGACCTCATTGCAGAATCCATACTTTTACAGATGGAGGCAAAAAGCACTCCCTAAAATACTCATGAGTCTAATTCCTGTGACTCTAACCCAAAATACTCCTGACTTTAAACCAAGACTACCCCAGTTTTTTCCTTTTTAAGAGGAATTACCCAATAGAGCTTGGAATTTGTTTATTAGTGGTTATTTGTGCACATTTGCAAAAGGGGGAGACCAGTTGGAGACCACAGTATTTATGAAAAGAAAAAAAGCTCGTGTCCTGTTTTCATGTGTGTGTGTGTTTTAATGAGTCATTCGCTACAGCGTGATCTGCTGGGCACGGGGATTACCGAATATTCTAGAGTCTAAGGCTCTGGATTTTACCGTTATTGTAAGAGGCACCATCAGAGCAGTAACAGCTTTTCAGAAGGGAAAAATGCCACCATCTTAACATACGCGTCCATTGTAAAAGTCATCATGAATTCAGAAATGTTAAAAAGAGGGGAAATGTCAACCAGGAAATATGGTGTGTGAATGCTGACCATCCGGCAGAGGGCAGGACAGCCACAGCCTCAGTAGAGGGTGGGACACAGAGCAGGGGACAGTCTGGGGGTTGCTGTTGAGTGTGGGCTTGGAAAGGCAGCTCTGTGTGGGTGGGAGCCTCATATGCGTGAGATCGGCCCAAATGTGCCCCCTCAGAAAAGCACAGGTTGTACTTTTCATCTCCACGTCCCGCTTAAGGAACCCATTTTTGGACTTTCTGTTTTTAATTGTAGATTGATAAATTATAGTTGTATATGTTTATGGAGTACAAAGAGTTGTTTTCATCCATGAATACAATGTGAAAAAATTAAATCAAGCTAATTAACATATCACCTCAAAACTTTTCATTTTTTTGTGGTGAGAACATTTGAAGTTTACTCTTAGTGATGTTAAAATGTACTATACATTATTATTTACTATTTTATTATGATGTGCACTATATCTCCAAGGAAAATAAAATTCCTCCTCCTTTTAATTGAGGCTCTGTACCCTTTGACCATTGCCTTTCAATTTTCCCTAACCCCTGGCTCTAGTAACTGCCATTCTATCCTCTGCTCCCTTCCCTCCCTCCTTCCCCTCTCCCTTTCCCTTTTTTTTTTTTTTTTTTTTTTTTTTTTTTTTTTTTTTTTTGAGATAAGGTCTCACTCTGTCACCCAGGCTAGAGTGCAGTGGCGTGACCCTGGCTCACTGCAGTTTCGACCTTTCAGGCTCAAGCAATCCTCCCGACTCAGCCTCCGGAGTAGCTGGGCCCACAGGCCTGTGCCACCACACCTGGCTATTTTTTTTTTTATCTTTTGTTGAGATGGGGGTATCACTATGTTGCCAGGGATGGTCTCTAACTCTCCAGCGTTCCTCCCATCTCAGCCTCTCAAAGTACTGAGATTACAGGCATCAGCCACCAGGCCCAGCCATCTGCTTGTTTTCGATTCCACATGTAAGTGAGAACATGTGGTATTTGTCTTCCTGTGCCTGGCTTATTTCACTTAGCATAATGTTCTTCAATTCCATCCGTGTGGCTGCAAATGGCAGAATTTCCTTCTTTTTAAAGCTAATAGTACTCCATTGTATATATGTACCACATTTCCCTTATCCGTTCATCTGTTGATGGACGCTTAGGTTGATACTATATCTTGGCTATTGTGAATAATGCCACAGTGAACATGGGAGTGCAGATACCTCTTTCACATACTGATCTCAAATGTTTTGGCTAAATCACCAGAAGGGTGATTGCTGGATCTATGGTAGTTCTATTTTTATTTTTTTGAGGAACCTCTATAGAGTTTTCCACAATGGCTGTACTAATTTACCAACAGTGTTCAAGCGTTTCCTTTGCTTCATATATATATTTTTAATTAGGTCTTGAGGCTTACTTTTGTTTTTTCAGACTGAGATGAGGTTTTGAATCCATTTTTTGGTATGTGAAAGTTTTTTTTATATATACTTTAAGTTCTAGGGTACATGTGCACAACGTGCAGGTTTGTTACATAGGTATACATGTGCCATGTTGGTTTGCTGCACCCATTAACTTGTCATTTACATTAGGTATATCTCCTAATGCTATCCCTTCCCCCACCACAGGCCCCAGTGTGTGATGTTCCCCGCCCCATGTCCACGTGTTCTCATTGTTCAATTCCCACCTATGAGTGAGAACATGCAGTGTTTGGTTTTCTGTCCTTGTGATAGTTTGCTGAGAATGATAGTTTCCAGCTTCATCCATGTCTCTGCAAAGGATATGAACTCATCTTTTTTATGGCTGCATAGTATTCCTTGGTGTATATATGCCACATTTTCTTAAACCAGTCTATCATTAATGAACATTTGAGTTGGTTCCAAGACTTTGCTATTGTGAATAGTGCCACAATAAACATATGTGTGCATGTGTCTTTATAGTAGCATGATTTATAATCCTTTGGGTGTATACCCAGTAATGGGATCACTGGGTCAAATGGTATTTCCAGTTCTAGATCCCTGAGGAATCGCCACACTGACTTCCACAATGGTTGAACTAGTTTACAGTCCCACCAACAGTGTAAAAGTGTTCCTGTTTCTCCACATCCTCTCCAGCACCTGTTGTTTCCTGACTTTTTAATGATTGCCATTCTAACTGGTGTGAGATGGTATCTCACTGTGGTTTTGATTTGCATTTCTCTGATGGCCAGTGATGATGAGCATTTTTTCATGTGTCTGTTGGCTGCATAAATGTCTTCTTTTGAGAAGTGTCTGTTCATATCCTTTGCCCACTTTTTGATGAGGTTGTTTGTTTTTTTCTTGTAAATTTGTTTAAGTTCTTTGTAGATTCTGGATATTACCCCTTTATCAGATGGGTAGATTACAAAAATTTTCTCCCATTCTGTAGGTTGCCTGTTCACTCTGATGGTAGTTTCTTTTGCTGTGCAGAAGCTCTTTAGTTTAATTAGATCCCATTTGTCAATTTTGGCTTTTGTTGCCATTGCTTTTGGTGTTTTAGTCATGAAGTCCTTGCCCATGCCTATGTCCTGAATGCTATTGCCTAGGTTTTCTTCTAGGGTTTTTATGGTTTTAGGTCTAACATTTAAGTCTTTAATCCATCTTGAATTAATTTTTGTATAAGGTGTAAGGAAGGGGTCCAGTTTTGGCTTTCTACATATGGCTAGCCAGTTTTCCCAGCACCATTTATTAGATAGGGAATCCTTTCCCCATTTCTTGTTTTTGTCAGGTTTGTCAAAGATCAGATGATTGTAGATGTGTGGTGTTATTTCTGAGGCCTCTGTTCTGTTCCATTGGTCTATATCTCTGTTTTGGTACCAGTACCATGCTGTTTTGGTTACTGTAGCCTTGTCATATAGTTTGAAGTCAAGTAGTGTGATGCCTCGAGCTTTGTTCTTTTTGCTTAGGATTGTCTTGGCAATTTGGGCTCTTTTTTGGTTCCATATAAAGTTTAAAGTAGTTTTTTCTAACTCTGTGAAGAAAGTCATTGGTAGCTTGATGGGGATGACATTGAATCTATAAATTACCTTGGGCAGTATGGCCATTGTCACGATATTGAGTCTTCCTATCCATAAGCATAGAATGTTCTTCCATTTGTCTGTGCCCACTTTTATTTCATTGAGCAGTGGTTTGTAGTTCTCCTTGAAGAGGGCCTTCACATCCCTTGTAAGCTGGATTCCTAGGTATTTTATTCTCTTTGTAGCAATTGTGAAAGGGAGTTCACTCATGATTTGGCTCTCTGTTTGTCTGTTATTGGTGTATAGGAATACTTGTGATTTTTGTACATTGATTTTGTATCCTGAGACTTTGCTGAAGTTGCTTATCAGCTTAAGGAGATTTTAGGCTGAGATGATGGGGTTTTCTAGATATACAATCATATCATCTGCAATCAGGGACAATTTGACTTCCTCTTTTCCTAATTGAATACCCTTTATTTATTTCTCCTGCCTGATTGCCCTGGCCAGAACTGCCAATACTATGTTGAATAGGAGTGGTGAGAGAGGGCATCCTTGTCTTGTGCCGGTTTTCAAAGGGAATGCTTCCAGTTTTTGCCCATTCAGTATGATATTGGCTGTGGGTTTGTCATAAATAGCTCTTATTATTTTGAGATATGTTACATCAATATCTAGTTTATTGAGAGTTTTTAGCATGAAGGGCTGTTGACCTTTGTTGAAGGCCTTTTCTGCATCCGTTGAGATAATCGTGTGGTTTTTGTCGTTGGTTCTGTTTATGTGATGGATTACATTTATTGATTTGCGTATGTTGAACCAGCCTTGCATCCCAGGGATGAAGCTGACTTTATTGTGGTGGATAAGCTTTTTGATGTGCTGCTGGATTCAGTTTGCCAGTATTTTATTGAGGATTTTCACATCAATGTTCATCAGGGATATTGGTCTAAAATTCTCTTTTTTTGTTGTGCTCTGCCAGGCTTTGGTATCAAGATGATGTTGGCCTCATAAAATGAGTTAGGAAGGATTCTCTCTTTTTCTATTGATTGGAATAATTTCAGAAGGAATGGTACCAGCTTCTCTTTGTACTTCTGGTAGAATTCGGCTGTGAATCTGTCTGATCCTGGATTTTTTTTGGTTGGTAGGCTATTAATTATTGCCTCAATTTCAGAGCCTGTTATTGGTCTATTGAGAGATTCAACTTCTTCCTGGTTTAGTCTTGGGAGGGTGTACATGTCCAGGAATTTATCCATTTCTTCTAGATTTTCTAGTTTATTTGCGTAGAGGTGTTTATAGTATTCTCTGATGGTAATTTGTATTTCTGTGGGATCGGTGGTGATAAGCCCTTTATCATTTTTTATTGCATCTTTTTGATTCTTCTCTCTTTTCTTCTTTATTAGTCTTGCTAGCGGTCTATCAATTTTGTTGATCTTTTCAAAAAACCAGCTCCTGGATTCACTGATTTTTTGAAGGGATTTTTGTGTCTCTGTCTCCTTCAGTTCTGCTCTGATCTTAGTTATTTCTTGCCTTCTGCTAGCTTTTGAATGTGTTTGCTCTTGCTTCTCTAGTTCTTTTAATTGTGATGTTAGGGTGTCAATTTTAGATCTTTCCTGCTTTCTCTTGTGGGCATTTAGTGCTATAAATTTCCCTCTACACACTGCTTTAAATGTGTCCCAGAGATTCTGATATGTTGTGTCTTTGTTCTCATTGGTTTCAAAGAACATCTTTATTTCTGCCTTCAATTCGATATTTACCCAGTAGTCATTCAGGAGCAGGTTGTTCATTTCCCATGTATTTGTGCAGTTTTGAGTGAGTTTCTTAATCCTGAGTTCTAATTGATTGCACTGTGGTCTGAGAGACAGTTTGTTGTGATTTCTGTTCTTTTACATTTGCTGAGGAGTGTTTTACTTCCAACTATGTGGTCAATTTTGGACTAAGTATGATGTGGTACTGAGAAGAATGTATATTCTGTTGATTTGGGGTGGAGAGTTCTGTAGATGTCTATTAGGTCCGCTTGGTGCAGAGCTGAGTTCAAGTCCTGGGTATCCTTGTTAACCTCTGTCTCGTTGATCTGTCTAATACAGAGAGTGGGGTGTTAAAGTCTCCCATTATTAATGTGTGGGAGTCTAAGTCTCTTTGTAGGTCTCTAAGGACTTGCTTTATGAATCTGGGTGCTCCTATATTGGGTGCATATATACTTAGGATAGTTAGCTCTTCTTGTCGAATTGATCCCTTTACCATTATGTAATGGCCTTCTTTGTCTCTTTTGATCTTTGTTGGTTTAAAGTCTGTTTTATCAGAGGTTAGGATTGCAACCCCTGCTTTTTTTTGTTTTCCATTTGCTTGGTAGATCTTTCTCCATCCCTTTATTTTGAGCCTATGTGTGTCTCTGCATGTGAGATGGGTCTCCTGAATACAGCACACTGATGGGTCTTGACTCTTTATCCAATTTGTGTCTGTGTCTTTTAATTGGGACATTTAGCCCATTTTCATTTAAGGTTAATATTGTTATGTGTGGATTTGATCCTGTCATTATGATGTTAGCTGGTTATTTTGCCCATTAGTTGATGCAGTTTCTTCCTAGCCTCGATGGTCTTTACAATTTGGCATGTTTTTGCAGTGGCTGGTACCGGTTGTTCCTTTCCATGTTCAGTGCTTCCTTCAGGAACTCTTGTAAGTCAGGCCCGGTGGTGACAAAATCTCTCAGCATTTGCTTGTCTTTAAAGGATTTTATTTCTCCTTCACTTATGAAGCTTAGTTTGGCTGGATATGAAATTCTGGGTTGAAAATTCTTTTTTTAAGAATGTTGAATATTGGTCCCCACTCTCTTCTGGCTTATAGAGTTTCTGCCAAGATATCTGTTGTTAGTCTGATGGGCTTCCCTTTGTGGGTAACCTGACCTTTCTCTCTGGCTGCCCTTAACATTTTTTCCTTCATTTCAACTTTGGTGAATCTGACAATTATGTGTCTTGGGGTTGCTCTTTTCAAGGAGTATCTTTGTGGTGTTCTCTGTATTTCCTGAATTTGAATGCTGGCCTGCCTTGCTATGTTGGGGAAGTTCTCCTGGATAATATCGTGAAAAGTGTTTTCCAACTTGGTTCTGTTCTCCCTGTCACTTTCAGGTACACCAGTCAGACGTAGATTTTGTCTTTTCACATAGTCCCATATTTCTTGGAGGCTTTGTTCATTTCTTTTTACTCTTTTTTCTCTAAACTTCTCTTCTTGCTTTATTTCATTAATTTGATCTTGAATCACTGATACCCTTTCTTCCACTTGATCAAATTGGCTATTGAAGCTTATGCATGTGTCACGTAGTTCTCATGCCATGGTTTTCAGCTCTATCAGGTCATTTAAGGTCTTCTCTACACTGTTTATTCTAGTTAGCCATTTGTCTAATCTTTTTTCAAGGTTTTTAGCTTCCTTGCGATGGGTTCAAACATTCTCCTTTAGCTCAGAGAAGTTTGTCATTACCGACCTTCTGAAGTCTACTTCTGTCAGCTTGTCAAAGTCATTCTTTGTCCAGCTTTGTTCTGCTGCTGGCGAGGAGCTGCGACCCTTTGGAGGAGAAGAGACTTTCTGGTGTTTAGAATTTTCAGCTTTTCTGCTCTGGTTTCTCCCCATCTTTGTGGTTTTTTTCTACCTTTGGTCTTTGATGTTAGTGACCTACAGATGGGGTTTTGGTGTGGATGTCCTTTTAGTTGATGTTGATGCTATTCCTTTCTGTTTGTTAGTTTTCCTTCTAACAGGTCCCTCAGCTGCAGGTCTGTTGGAGTTTGCTGGAGGTCCACTCTAGACCCTGTTTCCCTGGGTATCACCAGCAGAGGCTGCAGAACAGTAAATATTGCAGAACAGCAAATATGGCTGCCTGATCCTTCTTCTGGAAGCTTCGTCCCAGAGGGGCA
This sequence comes from Homo sapiens, assembly GCF_000001405.40. NCBI lineage: Eukaryota > Metazoa > Chordata > Mammalia > Primates > Hominidae > Homo > Homo sapiens. The sequence goes on from NC_000015.10 coordinate 100,678,975, forward strand.
CCTGCCTGTATGAGGTGTCAGTCGACCCCTACTGGGAGGTGTCTCCCAGTTAGGCTACACGGGGGTCAGGCACCCACTTGAGGAGGCAGTCTGTCCATTCTCAGAGCTCAAACCCTGTGCTGGCAGAACCACTGCTCTCTTCAGAGCTGTCAGACAGGGACGTTTAAGTCTGCAGAAGTTTCTGCTGCCTTTTGTTCAGCTATGCCCTGCCCCCAGAGGTGGAGACTACAGAGGCAGCAGGCCTTGGTGAGCTGAGGTGGGCTCCACCCAGTTCAAGCTTCCCTGGCTGCTTTGTTTACCTACTCAAGCCTCAGCAATGGCGGACACCCCTCCCCCTGCCAGGCTTGCTGCCTCGCAGTTCTATCTCAGACTAACAGTGAGCAAGGTTCTGTGGGTGTGGCATATAATCTCCTGGTGTGCCGTTTGCAAGACCATTGGAAAAGTGCACTATTTGGGTGGGAGTGTCCCATTTTTCCAGGTACAGTCTGTTACGCTTCCCCTGGCTAGGAAAAGGAAATCCCCTGACCCCTTGTGCTTCCTGGATGAGGCAATGCCCCGCCCTGCTTTGAGTTGCCCTCTGTGGGCTGCACCCACTGTCCAACCAGTCCTGGTGAGATGAACCAGGTACCTCAGTTGGAAATGCAGAAATCACCCATCTTCTGCATCTATCACGCTGGGAGCTGCAGACTGGAGCTGTTCCTATTCGGCCATCTTGGAATGGAATCTTTTTTTTTTTTTTTTTTTTTTAGATGGAGTCTTGCTCTGTCGCCAGGCTGGAGGGCTAGAGTGCAGTGGTGTGATCTCAGCTCACTGTAACCTCCGTGTCCTAGGTTCAAGCAATTCTCCTGCCTCAGCCTCCTGAATAGCTTGGATTACAGGCAAGCACCACTACACCTGGCTAATTTTTGTATTTTTAGTAGAGATGGGGTTTCACCATGTTGGTCAGACTGGTCTTGAACTCCTGACCTCATGATCCGCCTGCCTCAGCCTCCCAAAGTGCTGGGATTATAGGCATAAGCCATTGCACCTGGCCGAGGTTTTCTTTTATCTGTTTGGCCTGGGAAAAATTGTTGAGAGTAGGCCATATAGGGGCATACGATTGTCCCCAGCAAAGTGGTGCTATTTGCAACCTCCTCTCCCCAGCTCACACTCTGCATTCCCCAGGTGGGACTGCCTCACTCCTCTGGTGTGTGGGTTGCTTTGAGCTGATACTATTTTTTCTTCATTCAATGGAGTGGCCTTCTATCTCTCATATTCTAATATTGACAGTTTTTCACATTTTAACATTTCTGAAACAGGTTGTGGCTTAAAATTGATGGCATCTTATAGTTTATGACATATGGCAGCTGACTCAGACTCACCTGTCAGCCATTCTCAGGCCAGGTTTGTGTCCTGATGTTGCCCCTGGGGTGAAATTAAAGCTTCTTTTTATTTTTAGTTTTTAAGTTTGTGTGTGTGTGTGTGTGTTTTGAGATGGAGTCTTATTCTGTCACCCAGGCTGGAGTGCAGTGGCGCAGTGATCTCGGCTCACTGCAACCTCCGCATCCTGGGTTCAAGCAATTTTCCTGCATCAGCCTCCACAGCAGGTAGGATTACAGATGTGCCACCATCACACCTGGCTAATTTTTGTATTTTCAGTAGAGATGGGGTTTCACCATGTTTGCCAGGATGGTCTCGAACTCCTGACCTCAAGTGATTCACCCACCTCAGCCTCCCAAAGTGCTGGGATTATAGGCATGAGCCACCTTGCTGGTGCAATTAAAGCTTCTTGTGGGTCTGTGGGCCCCCCTCATCTCTCCTTGGCGTCTCAGCCATTTCCCCAAGTGCGACATTCTCTCTCACCTCACCGTCTCTGTGTCTGCTGCTTCTGAGGCCTGAGTCTGGCTAGGTTCCCATGCCATTTCAGTTTCTCCCTTCTGCTGGTTGAATCCGAGGCATTCCGAAGGTCTCAGCTGAGACATCCTGTCCTGCAGGAAGCCTTCTCTGACCACCCCAGAGTAGGTGGGGAGTCTTGTTATTCCCTGTATCACCTGCTTGTGGGACTCTCCTTCCCACAAAACTGTGAGCTTTGTGGACATGGGACTCCTTTTTCATCTAGCACCTGGTGCTTAGCACGAATTTCTTAAGAAAACAAATGAACATTATGACCATCATGTTATGACATCTGGAGAAAAGATGAAGATAAAAGTGTTGCAAAGGCAGCTCGTAACAACAATCCATTATCCAGAAGCCTTTATGCACCTGATCAGATTCGGGGAGAGAGAAGAGACTGGCCAGCATGTGGGGGTGAGGAAGGTTTCATGGGCACAAAGGACTGGGCCCCACTTTTCTTCTAACTCAGACAGTGGCTGTGCCCCATAGGGACCCTCTTTCACAAACCTCATGACACATCCTGTCAGAATGTCCTCTATGTGTCTTCGCAAGTTGAGAAACTTGAGGCATGTGGCCAGACCTTGTATATGGAGACACAGAGAGTTGTGTGGAGTGCAAATCCTACCCCTCATGGGAGGAATTCAGACATCCACCCTGCCTTCAAGAGTTGACTTGATGGCTACTGGGCGTGGGGAGCAGGCCAGGAGCCTTGGAAAATCTCCGGCAGATGGATCTGCTCACTCAAGGGTCAGTCCCTCTAAAATGAGGCCTTTCTGTTTCATTAGTGTTTGGTAATGAAGTGGTGGATGTTGTAACCACACAACAGGTTCTTCTTGCCCACTGCCCAGAGAGGGCCCATTTCCCAACACAGGGAAATTGTAGTAGAGAGGGAGTTAATACACACAGAGCTGGCTCAACAGGAGAATGGAGAATTATTATTACTCAAATAAGCCACCCTGAAATTTTGGAGGCTAGTGTTTTTTAAATATAGTTTGGTGGGCGGGGGGCTAGAGAATGGGTATTGCTGACTGGTTGGGGATATGATCATGGGGGTGTGGAAAATGGTCCTCATGCACTGAGTCCGCTTCTGGGTGGGGACCACAGGAGTTGCTGGTCCTGGTGGAGTCGTCCAGCAGTCAGAAATGCAAAAGTCTGTAAACACATCTCAAAAGGCCAGTTTCAGGCTCTACAATGATGATGTTATTTACAGGAGTAATTGGGGAAGTTACAAATCTTATGACCTCTGGATTCATGGCTGATAATAGTTTAACTATGAATTCAGGCTCCTCTAAGCTGCCTAAGCCACTGGCCTTTCATTAGTTTTACAGAGGCAGTTTAGTTTAGGGGGAGGGCTGTTATCATTTAAACTATAGACTAAATTTCTCCTAAAGTTAGGTTGGCCCACAATCAGGAATGACCAAGGGCAGTTTGGAGGTTAAAGGCAAGATGGAGTTGGTTAGGTCGGGTCACTTTTACTGTCATCATTTTCTCACTGTTATAATTTTCGCAAAGGTGGTTTGAATGTCATTGAACTACCTCTATCAAAAAACTCTGAAGTCTGATGGTTTTGCAGCATCCATAAATGAAGGGTGCTTTAAACACTTGCTAGCATTTCAGGCATGAAAGGGTATTTTAATGCAGGGTTGGATCTGTAACTCTAGAGGCAATTGGTATTTCCAGTCAAATACCGCAATAGACAAAAGCTCCAAATCTTATTTCTTCACAGGCTCTTTTATCGTGGACTCTAACAGAGTCTTCTCTAAACCTCAAAGTTCCTTGAGGGCCGTCTGAGCAGGCAGGGGGTGGTTTCCTGTGGACTCTGCTGTGGTTGAGACTTTACTAGTGGGCCCCAAGGCCAGAAAATGTCCCTGGGGGGGTGGGTCTCCTGGTTCTATTTTTGATAGCCCCTTTTGTCCCTGCCCCTACCATGCAGAACTGTCATCTACACACGTTTTCCTCTCCCTTCCTCTTGCTGAAAATATGAACTGCTCCTTTAATTTTGGGGGCCTGGCTGGCATGTGGGCCTTTTTGGAAGTGCTGAGGCACTAGTGGCAGTAGCTCCATTTGTGGAGAAGAAAGGAAGGGTTTCCTCTCTCCATCCTCCAAAAATACTCATGATTTTGCCCTGTGGGTCTGGAAGAGAATCTGGGCTCATCATTCCAGAGAGGAGATGTTTTGCCCCTATGCTCCGAAGTTGTCATCTCCCTTTTTATTCTGGAAGCTGGCCTTGGAGGGCTCTCAGGTCTTGGCCACAGAGCAGGAAAGAGTTGCCTCGATGAAGCGCCTCTTTAGGGCAAGGATGGAGGTGACTTCCTTATTTCCTCCTTACTGCTGGGCCCTCCTGAGAAAGGAGGAGCAGTGGCCATCCTGAGCTCCCCAAGAACCCCTGCATATAACAAAAATATAATTCCACTTATGATCTCCAGGGCTTTAAACAAATTACCCTACTTTCCCCAAACGGAGTTTGTCCTGGCTGACATTTAGACACTCTCAGGCCTTAGGGAAGGACAGAGGACCAATATCATCCTTCAGTATCTGATTCCATTTGAAATGAGAGGTTCTGAATTCCTCTTCAGGGTCACAAGACACATCCTGTGGAATTTGGTGTCTTGGCTGAGTTTCCTTGAGAGCAGACATTCTGCAGAAGTGGGGTTAAGGCAAGCCACGTCCAGGCACCCTGTGCTCATGGATGGATTGAGACGAAGGCCAGAGTCTCAAAAAGACCCCTGATGACAAGCCGGCTCCCATGCTGCGGTTCCAGCAGATGCTCTGGTGGAGTGCAGGACATGAGGCGCACTTCCTAGGACACCAGGGTAGGGCTGCCCAGGTGCTGAAAGAGATGTGGAGGGTGAGGCAGGCCCCCGAGGACAGTGGAGCTGGAGCTGCTCCAGGAGAACAACCCTTGTGTTCCCTCCTTGTCAGGCAGCTGGCTGGAAAGTAGCTGTGGGCTTTCTAGAGTGCAGCCTGGGCTGCATCTGCATCAGGACAAGATCAACGGGAGAGCACTGATTCTCCATCCGAGATGGAGGCAGGTGGCCGCACACGCCAGGCACCGATTGACTGATATATTCATTCATCCATTTAAGTTCATATAGCTAGGGATGATTTAAAAAAACTGTTATTTTAGGTTCAGGAGCACATGTGCAGGTTTTTTTAAATTTTAGGTTCAGGAATACATGTCCAGGTTTGTTCAGGGGTACATGTGCAGGTAAATGTGTGTCACGGGGATTTGTTGTACAGATTTAGTCCCCAGGTACTAAGCCTAGTACCCAATAGCTATTTTTCTGATCCTCTCCCTCCTCCCAGCCTCCACCCTCAAGGAGGCCCCAGTGTGTGTCGTTCCCCTCTATGTGTCCATGTGTTCTCATCATTTAGCTCCCACTTGTAGGTGAGAACATGTGGGATTTAGTTTTCTGTTCCTGGGTTAGTTTGCTAAGGATGATGGTCTCCAGCTCCATGCATGTCCCTGCAAAGGACATGATCTTGTTCTTTTTTATGGCTGCTTAGTATTCTATGGAGTATATGTACCACATTTTCTTTATCCAGTCTGTCACTGATCGGCATGTAGGTTGATTCCATGTCTTAGCTATTGTGACTAGAGCTGCAGTGAACATACGCGTGCATGTGTCTTTATGGTAGAATGATTTCTATTCCTTTGGGTATATACACAGTAATGGGATTGCTGGCTTGAATGGTAGTTCTGTTTTTAGCTCTTTGAGGAATCGCCACACTGTCTTCCACAATGGCTGAACTAATTTACACTTCCACCAACAGCGTGTAAGTGTTCTCTTTTCTCAGCAACCTCATCAGCATCTGTTATTTTTTGGCTTTATCATAATCAAGGGCTGTTTTAAAGAGCTCTGAAAGCAGCTTCCTACCTGCCACCAGCTGACCCTAGGTGTGGTGGGAAGGGGTTCCCAACAGCACCCTGCACGCCACTGTGGTGTGTTCTGGGGCGCGGGTCACAGTGGGCCTGGGCTGGCCGCTGGGGACCCCTGGCCCAGATGTCACCTCCCTGGAATGCTGGAAGGCTGGCAGAGTTCAGTCCTAATTGGGAAGGGCATGGCCAGAAGTGACTGCACCCTGTCTGGTTTGCCTGCCTGTCTTGGTTTTTTTTTTTTTTTTTTTTTTGAGACGGAGTTTCAGTCTTGTTGCCCAGGCTGGAGTGCAATGGTGTGATCTCGGCTCACTGCAACCCCCGCCCCCCGGGTTCAAGTGATTCTCGTGCCTCAGCCTCCCAAGTAGCTGGGATTACAGGCATGCGCCACCACGTCCGGCTAATTTTTGTATTATTAGGAGAGATGGGCTTTCTCCATGTTGGTCAGGCTGGTCTCAAACGCCCAACCTCAGGTGATCTGCTTGCCTCGGCCTCCCAAAGTGCTGGGATTATAGGCATGAGCCACCGCACCTGACCTGTCTTGGGGTTTTAGGGGGGTTTCCCTCTTTGCCTTTCTAGATGAGTTTCAGCCTCATAGTTTCCTACTCAGAAAGGAGGGCGGAAGGGAGCTGATGTTTCCTGAGCCCTTGCACCAGCCACGTTAGCTGTCTTATCCTTTGAAAGCCTCTAGCCACCCTGCAGGAAGCATCATTCTCCTGTTTAGCAGGCTGAGAACTGAGAGAGGGACAGGCTAGGCTCCTTGTGGAGTCTGGGTGCAGATTTGCACCATGGGGGAGCTGACCCCCGTATAGCCTCCCTTCGCGCCTACTGGGGAATGAGCCCTTGTCCCCCTCACAGCAGCCTGGGCAGCATCTGCTGGACATGCCCTGAAGGGACGGAAGTCATCTTGACAAAAGACTTGGAGGCTGGGCGCAGTGGCTCACACCTGTAATCCCAGCACTTTGGGAGGCTGGGGCAGGTGGATAACCTGAGGTCAGGAGTTCGAGACCAGCCTGACCAACATGGGGAAACCCCGTCTCTAATAAAAATACAAAAATTAGCCGGGCGTGGTGGTGTGCACCTGTAATCCCAGCTACTCAGGAGGCTGAGACAGGAGAATCACTTGAACCCGGCAGGCAGAGGTTGCAGTGAGCCAAGATTGTGCCACTGCACTCCAGCCTGGGCAACAGAGTGAGACTCCATCTCAAAAAATAAATAAATAATTAAAATAAAATAAAAAAGACTTGGAGGTTTGAAGCTGCCACTGCTGTTGGCCCTCAGGGTGCTGGTCTCAGCTGTTGTGGGGAAATTAGCCCCTTGGGAGGTGGCAGGCTCAGGATGGGCGGCCACACCCAGGGAGCTCTGCCAGGAACTCAGCAGCTCCAGAGGGGGAGGGATGAAGACGGCCGTTGGAGGCTGAAGGGACACTGGCTGCCGGAACAAATGACCCCCTGCATCTCAGCGGTTTCGCATGTAGGCCTTTGTGTTCCACTCTATGGAACAGCAGTCCGAGGCAGATGTGCTTGGGCAACGGCGACTCGTCCATAGAGACCTGGATCTCTCCCTCTCATGTCTTTGCCATCCCCCAGGCCCCTGGATCTGCTCCTTCTCCAGCTGGAGAGTGGAGGGAAGGCTCAGTCATGTCTGCCTCAGAAACGACACTCAGCACATCTGCCGACATTCCTCTGGCAAGAACTAGTCACTTGGCCTTGGCCTTGCCTGGAAGCAAGGGAAGGGGGAAACGTCGTCCCCGGCAGGGCTGCTGCTGGACAGGGCTGTCTCCAGGCACCACCCCACACTCAGAGATGAGCACACATTTTTGGTGAGCACGTAGCCTTCTCGGCAGTAGCAGGGTCAAGGCCCAGAGGGAAGCGGGTGACTGTGAGGAAAGGCTGCTCCCCGAGGGCCACATGCTGGACGACAAAGACGAGGGTGAACCCGCAGTTCCCACTCATGGGAAGATGTGTCAGCTGCCCACATGAGCCGAGGCTGGGACCAGAGCATGGCCCCTTGCAGGCAAGATGTTCTCGGACCATGCCTTCTCAGCTGGCGCCTTCGTCCTCGAGTGGACTTAGAGCCAGGAGCCCTGGTGGGGAGCAGTGGGGAACAAAACAGTGACGAGACAGATAGTTAGAGCAGAGTCAAATGTGAGGGTCCTTTCAGGCCAGGGCATCCCAGAGGTCAATGCGTCCTTGGCAGAAGCTCCTCAGTTCTCTCCTGGAGACAGCTGGGCTCATGGGCTAGTGACCTGCGGTTCACATAGAGGGGTCATCCTCTCTTGTCTTCCCCGGCCAGTGGCTTGGAAATGGTCACCCACAAATCCACCAAAAAAAGAAAGGCATATGTGAATAGATGAAGTTGATTCTGGATTTGAATTACGAGATTGATTGGGATGACGAAAACCTTGGAAATCTGGATGACTGATTTGAATTTTAATCCTTCAGCGTGTTTCACAAGTGAGGAAAGCAAATGACTAATATTTTATTTTCCAGAATCAATCTTTCTATGTCTGTTTGGCTCCTTGGATATTCATTCAAAAGACATCATTTTAGATGTCGTGAAACAAAAACCATCTATAACCCCAGTAGGAAGTGATTGAGGCATGAGTAAGACCCAATGAGGGGAGGACCAATGGAAGGGACTTTTTCCGAAAACAAAAGAAAAGTGATTTAAAGAAAAGAATATTTGCTTGGTGACATGGATATCTCGCAGACAGTCGTCCTTGGGAGAAAAAACTAAAGTTTAAGTGCACATCCCGATCCACTGTATCTTTTTCCGCCTTCTATATTACCATTCCCCACACGTCTGCTCAGCCAAAAATGATATAATATGTAAAACCAGAAATCCGAGTGGGAGAAACACTGAATAATGATAATTAAATGGGTAAACACGTGTTCTGCCAAAAGTTTAGCAATGCTGTAATCAAGTGAGTAAGAGTTTCTCAGAGGTACTCAGTGTGAAGCTTCTTGGTGCATAAGGAAATTCAGTGAACTTTCAACTGGAGCAGCGTGAGTCAAAGGCGGGAACGCACTCCTCCGGCTTTATTCAGAAACCCTCAGGGTGGACTGAAATGGGGGATGGAAAGGGAGAAATGGAAGGGAAAAAACGGGGAGGCTTCTAATGGATCAAATGTGGCCAGCCAAAAAGAAAAAAAAAAATCCTTGCAGGAAGCAGAGAACAGGGAGGCATGGCATCACTCAGCCCAGGATTACAAGAACCAGAAGAGCAAATTCCAGGAAGAGTGAGTTGTACAGCCTGTAAATGCTGATGCTGAGTGAGGAAAGTAGCTCTATTATGCACAAAAACATCCAGGTTTTCTCCCAAGTCAGAGTGTCAGACAGGAATGATCCCCGCGTTAAATCACTCCGCAGCTGTGTCGCATCAGCTGCATGGGTGGCAGCGTACAGGGGAGAGAGAGAGAGAAAGAGAGAAAGCGCGGGGGGATTGAGGAGAGTCCTGGGGCAGGCGAGGGGCTCAGGGCTCTCGAATTGTGATAGTAATTTGCTCTCAAAATAAATCAAGCAAACCCCTAAACATTGTGTAGGAAAGAGGCAGCCAGCACAATGTAGGGGCAGAAGCTTGACTCCAGACCCTTCCTAGTTGATACTGGGGGGTGGTGTCCCACCCAGGACCCCAGGGCCATAGTTCAGTCATTGCTATGGGCCACAGGTGCTGCTGCTGTGAGGACACTGACCCCAGGCACAGACCCTGCTGTGCTCTTTGGCTCAGAGCATGAAGACTCGCTACTCAGGTCTGAGCCCCAGCAAGCCTGATTTCCCAGCCTCCTGGCTGTAGGCATGGTGTCAGGAAAGAAACTCAGAGTTTACGCCTAAAAGCACCAAACCTTAAAACGAAGGCAAACCTTCCTTCACAGCCTCCCCACTGCCTCCGTGCCCTGCCTACTCCTTCTCAATAGGCCACAGGAAGAGGGCATTGTGCACCCTTTGCCACCCTGGTCCCTGTGTGGGGAGGGGCCTTGTTGGGGGAGCCTGTAGGTTTGGGGCTGCAGGAAGGCGTGCTCTGTGTGCCCCAGTGACACTGATGCAATAGAAATGGAATGTTGCAGCACGACCCTCAAGCTCACCAGGAGGCCCATCGTGTGCCACCAAGTCAGAGGTGAGATGAAAATCTGCTTATTGCATGGCCAACACGCCAAGACATCAGTAACACCAGGCGAGGGCTGTCATCAGTGTGCTCTCCCCAGTAGTGGAATGCGGGGAGGCCTGTAGACCCCAGACTCTCCCAGGGCAGGTGGTCCCCCAGCATGCAGAAAGCTCCTTGCGATCTGAAAGCACATCACACAGAGCAAGGAAGTTCTTTGCTTCTGCCTTCCCTTTGTTTACCCCCACTGCGCTCCGACTGTGATTAGGGGCATGGAAACTTTGTACGACAGACCCAGGCTGGAGTCTTGGCTGTGCCCTTTCTAGACAGTGACCTAGAGCATGTCCTTTTTCCCGTCGGTGTCTCTGATTCCTGTGTAAAGAGTGTGTGGAGGAGAGCTCCTGAGCTTGCCTGGATCCAGTGCTCTGCTCTGGTGGACCACAGGGAGTTTCTATTTTCCTCCCTTCTCAGACAGGGCCATAGCACTGCTCCCAGCCAAAGGGCTGGGAGGGGAAGTGATGAGGATCACTTCTGGGCCAAATCATTACATCATTTGTGATGTTGGTTTTACCCGTAATTTCTTTGGAGAAATGCTCCAAAGTGAAGAAATGGCTCAGGTGAGTCTAGATGAACCCAACCAGCCCACTGAGATGGCCTGAGATTCCCAGGTGCACGCATGCATGGACACACACACACACACACACACCCCTAATGGAGACAGTCCCTGATTTGAGTACTAACAGGTTGTCCTGTCCCATACCTGCCTAGAAGAGTTGTGCCATCTGGTGTTTTGTAAATGCCTGAAGGCCCCTGGGAGAAAGGGCCCTGGCCAGGCTGGATGGATGCCTCCACAATAACCAGTGAGGATGCTAAATTCCCAGGGCAAACTTGGGAGGCGCTAAGGTGCCTTTCTCTTATGATTATAGTTATCTCGTCACCTCGCGTAGATGATCAGCCCCTGATATTGAAACTCGGGAAATGAAACTGCGCCCATCCTTGGTCCCTGGGTCCCAAATGGAGTCCACTTTAGCACAGGGGTTTCAAACCAGGGTCTATGAGTTGGCTTCGGGTCCTTGTTAATTCGTTGAGAAGTGTGTGCCAACAATAATTTTTTTGGTGGAAAGGGTACATAGCTTTGTTGGATTCTCAAAAGAATCTGTGATCTCCTGAACCTTAAGAACAAGTAGATCAGGTTAATACGTTCTAAGGTAGAAGGAATTTTGGTCAATTGTGCAAATAAACTGAAAGATATTCTTGGCCAATAGTTTCAGAGAAAGTCGGTGTGAAGCCAATTCTAGGCACTTGATTAACATGATTGTTACTTTCCCTGTAATTCCTGGCCTGAAAGCCTCCCTTGGTACCACTTTTCCCAGCCAAGTGGTGCTTTCTTCCAAATGCCTTGAGGTGCCTCTCAGATTTTGGAGGGCGGCCAGTGCCATGACTTTAGGACACGTTTAACTTTCTAGGCCTCCAAAGCGCCAGGCAAGTGGCCCCTTTTCTTTTTGTTTGTCCCCTCATCCCCTTCTCGTCTCCTTATTGTTTCATGGATTTTAAAAGATTTTTATATTTTATTTTGTTCTCGATCTCATTTCCACAAAGGATATGAAGCGTCTGATTTTCTCAAGATGTAGGGTGTGTGAATTCTTTGTGTATCTTACAAATGTCCTTTCACCAGAATGTTTAAGGAGGGCCCGGATACTCAAGAATCAGTTAATAAAATCATCGCATTCACTGAAGATTGACCGCAGAAGCGTTTCCATTTGCGTCGTCACTGACAAGGCACGATGCATGTGTCTGCTCTCTGCCTTGGGAAACAGCGATCGTCTCCAGTATTGATTCTTTTGTTGGATGGTTGGACGGTTCCTTGGGGATTTGATGGCCTTACAGCCACCATCCTAAGATTGCCTCCTCGCTGGTGACAAGGCTAAGATTGTTTTGTGGATATGGCTATTGTTACTGTTCTTTCAGTATGTTCTTGATGTGAATTTGTTTTATTGTGATTTTTCTTTCTCATTACAGGAGAAATGACCTAATGCATTTAGAGTTTTGATTATGTTCCAGCTTGTTAAGGGTTTTGCCCTGCTGAACAGTTTGTGAGTTGAAGAGGCCAGAAGCATAAGGAGCTCCAGGAAGCTTCCAGCTGGCCCCTGGCAGGGAAACATGTGCCTACATTGGCAGATGTAGGCTTGAGACAGACACATGTTTCTCCATGTTGAAGCCTAAGCTTCTCCAGCTCCTGAAGAGGGACACTGTGTTTGTCATTGGCCAGGGAGTCCCCTCCAGCCTTTCTCTTTTGAACACTTTTACCCAGGGGTATAAATGATTGTGACTCTCAGTCCAGAGCTCCTGTTGAGACCCTGTATTGAGAGGTGTGCCAACAGGTGCAAGGAACCAAATCAGGCCTCTGTTCCAGCTCCTCTCTGACTTGCCTGTTCAGGGCAGCGACAGCCACATTCCCCTCAGACAATAGGAGTCCAAGTTGGCCCTTGTCCATTCTCACCCTGGTGCTCTGACTGTACACCAGGTGCTACCCAGTGCAGTGTGGTGAGCAAAGGACATTGCAGCTTCTTGGCTCTGGCTTTTGGGCACAGGTGCAACTGACCCCCAGTCCAGAGCCCTGATGGAATTAGCCCTGCCCTGGGGTCTGGGAGCAAGCTCATGGAGACACGAAGAAGGGGCGGTCCAGAGGGGTAACTCACAGATGACTAGTGTCAAGAGCAGAACTTGACGCCAGGCCCAGGTCCAGGAATGTAGCATCAGGTGGATCTGGGGTGACCCAAGAGAGCTGGACATCCTCAGATGCCTTTGTGGCTCATCATGTGAGGGGGTAGTCTTCTGTGGAAAGAGCCAGCAGACAAAGAATCAACCAACGCAATCATTTTGGCCACTTACCAATCCCTTGGGTAAAAGTCCATTGGGTGTTTAACTGGCTCATCACATAGACATACAGCTTTTATGATGGTTTGACTTAGGGTTTTCCAACTTTACAGTGGTGCAAAAGTTATACACGTTGACTAGAAACCATACTTCAGTACAGTATTCAACAAACTGCATGGGGTATTCAACACTTATTATAAAATAGGCTTTGTGTTAGATGATTTTGCCCAACTGTAGACTAATGTCAATGTTCTGAGCATGTTTAAGGTCAACTAGGCTAAGCTATGATGTTTGGTAGGTTAGGTGTATTAAATGCATTTTCGATTTATGATATTTTCAACTTATGAAGGGTGTATTGGGATGCAACCCCATTGTAAGTCAGGGAGCATCTGTAGTCTTTATAGGCCAATGTTCTCATGGAATAATGAGGCAGACACTCAGAGAAGCTGTGTGAGGTGCCCAGAAGTCTTGTCATTTAGCTCAGGTTCAGTCCTACTCCCTCTGTTCACGGCTCCTTCACTCCCACCAGACAGTCCCATTCATTCCCTTAACATATTGTCCTGAGTTTGGTTTTGACATTTCCTTGTCTTCAAAGCCCAGCAAATTCAATGCCTTGCATCTGAACTCTTCCTCTAGGGAGTTTGGAATACTCTCTATGCATCTTTTTAGACTTCTGGAATGTTGTTAACCTTAAAAGTAGGAAATCGTTGAGGAGGCACTTGAAAGTCCCTGGCTTACAGTATCACGCTTAGTCATTCCTCACTGAGAATTCTCTCAACTTTCATTTCTTAAGGGTTACCAAGCAAGTCACATCCTCAACTTTCATTGGCAAGACCTTCATGGTTGCTATGAGCCAGTTCAAAGAGAGCAGGGTCTCGGGCTTTGGCCTCAGACCAGCAAGCTGGGGCTGGCCTGGCCTTTGCCCTAATTCCTGGATATCTGTAACATCCCATGTCACTGGATAAATGCAGTGAAGCCATTCCTCCTCTAAGGGTCAAAGATCTGTGGTCAGGCCACAGAGCAAAGCCGAGTTAGGAAGACTCCAAGGTAACAGAGTTTTAGGAGCACAGAACCAGTGCAAGGAGCAAGCAGCTGAGAGATGCTGGAAGTGGTGTGGAAGTGGCGTTCCATTTCAGGGGATGGCTTCTCACTCTCACCCTCTGGCTTCCATTTCTTATGGGCAGTCACTGCCCTCAGTAAGACTGATGGCGCCCATGTTCTCCTCTTAGCTCTCCTTTGGGATGTGCACGGACCTCAGGCAGTGGGCATCATTAAGCATGTGCTTCAGCATAGTGAAAAGATAGGATGCTGAGGGTGTTGCCCCCGTGGGGGCCCCTCTTCATCTGCCGCTTCCAAGTGGCTCCCGTACTAAGACACATTCTGTGGCTGCAGGAAAATGAACCTTTGCCCACCCAGTCTGTCCAGCATGATGCTTCAACTCTGCAGCAACGACATGCTTCGACTTTGCAGACAGCCTTAGGGGTGGATATCAACTCTACAAGCATTTAGTGAATAAGCACACTGTCTTGTAAGGAATATATACAAATATATGTATAGCATTAATGGAGTTCCTGCCACATGCTAGGAGGCTCTGGGCACTTTACCCTATGGTGCAGCATTTAATCCTCATAGAATATTCCTCATAGAAAAAAGGTAGGTGCTATTATCATCTCTACTTTAGAGACAAGGAAAGTAGACTTAGCAAGAGGAAGTGGCTCTCCTCAGGCCACATGGGTAAAGTGGCAGAATGAGGCTCAAACCTGGGGCTGTGCGGCTCCACTGTCCACATACCTCCCACGAGCTGGTCAGCCTCTGAGTGATAATAGTGGCTTTGAAGGCTTAGAGGGAATGGCTGTAGCTGGGTGTCCAAGCAAGCCATATCTGTAAAATGAGTGCCTTCTAAGTGGGTAGAACTCAGAGGAGCAGAGAGGAAAGGAGGGAAATTCCAGGTGGGTTGGGCCAGGAGTGCAAACATACATAACTGGTTTGATGGATGGAGAGTGAACAAGTTTGGCCAGAATCAAGCAGCGTTTCTCAACAGGGGCACCACTGGCATCGGGATGAGACAATTGTTCAGTGTGTGGGACTGTTCCAGGCATTAGAGGGTAATTCTCATGCCTGGACCCTGCCCAGTAAGTGCCACCCCCATCCTAATGACAATGAAAATGCTTCTACCCATTTCCAAACACCCTCTAGGGCACCCCAGGTTGAGAACCACTAGAGAAATGAGAGCTGGAAATCAGCTGGGGACTGTTATTGGGATAAGACTGAGGAGGGCCTTGAAAGCCAAACAAGGTTAGCCTTGAGACTGGAGACGATGGGGAGTGACTGAAGGTTTATGAATGAAGAAGAGTGTGCGGGGCGGCCAGGGGGAGGCACTGGAGAGGAAGAGAACCTAGACTCCAATGAGAGCAGACTCTCAAGGTAGCTGAGAATGCCTGTAAGCCACCTTCTGCCAGTCCTACAGGGATCAGTGTCATATTCACATGAAAGAGCCCAGCACCACCACCAACAGAGGTACAATGACACAGAAGTGTGCATGACTCCCTGATCAATCTCTAAATCAGGGGCTCTGCTCAAGGCATGGTGGGGAATCAAGGCTAGATAATAAAGAGATAAACTACCCTGATATTACTAACAGAAAGGAAGCAAGGAAGGAAGGAAAGGAGGGAGAGAAACTAAAAGAAAGATGACTGGGAAGCTTGCCAATGATTATTTCTTTGCCTTTTTAGTTCAGTTTATTTAAACTGTCTCTGAGCCTGCATCCCTTTATCCAAGAGGTCATCAAACTTTGTCTTATAAACTTCATCACAGGATTAATTTGCAAACAAGGAACGTGCTGTACCAGCCATGGGTACTTGAGCTAGGAGTCTCAAGGAACTTAGTACATACTAACAGACCCTCAGAAGCCTTAGCCCTTGACCTTTAATATCTCCAGGCAGAGAAAAGTACAGGGCTGTGGAGTAGAGGAAGAAGCCCTCTGAGGTCCATGTGAGCTGGCTGTCTCCACATGTGTCCTGAATGAGAGCAGCTCCGCTGGGGAATGAAAACCAAAACCTAGACCCCTAGCTGCCCTTTGGGACCACTGGGCATTGCTCTTTGGCCTGGAAAAGATGCCGTAACTGCTAGCATTCCAGTTATCAGACAGCTTCAAGAATGATATGTAGTTTTGTTTATAAGGAAAAATGCCAAGCCCCTGAGAAAATTCCCAGAACAATGATTGTAACTCATGACAAGACAGAGTATATGAAGTTTTTCTGGCGCCTTGGCCCAGGCTGTTGATGTAGGACCTTGTGGGATTTTCTTTTTCATCCTCCAAGAAGTTATGCTTTTTCACCAAAATACTGATTTTTAAAAATGAAACTTCATGGCTCTTTTGGGAGGATTCAAAGGAATTCTATCCTAATATCACTATTTCTAAAGAACTTTCTCCACTTCATTTCAGCTGGGCTGTAAGTTCTCATTTCCCATCCAGAGTAGGGGCTGATTTTGTAATGCGTTATCACACTGATACTGAATTTTAACTCAGAGGGTGGGGTGGCGTGATCTTGGTTTAATAAAATTTAAAATTCCCCAAGTCCTACTAATACCCACAACTCTATGACGGCAGAACAAATTTTGTTATGTATTTAGTGAGGAACACTACCCTGGATCATATTCCAAACTTCTGCCAGTTCTGAAAATGTCTAGCCAATATCTCTTCAAATACTGACTTTTCTCCATTCTTTTCCTCTCCTTCTCTGACTCTGATTAAATGCATGTTGGTCTTCTCATTCCGTCGTCCACATTTCTTAACTTCTCTTTCACATTTTCCATTTTTTGTCACCGTGCTTCATTCTAGATGATTTATATTGACCTAGCTTCCAGTTCCCAAATTCTTTCTTCAGCTTTTTCTGCTTTTGTTGAACCTGTTGACTGAGTTTTAAATTATGATTATTCCTTATTTTTATTCCTAGAAGTTCCATTTGGTTCAATTTCAAATTTGCTATGTCACTTTTTATAGTTTCCTATTCTCTGCAGGATATTTTAAGCTTCAAAAATCTTTTAACATCAAGAAGTGTAGTTATTTTATAATTCATGTCATATGATTCTAGAATCTGACTTTTTGCAGGTTTGTTTCTGCTGTTCATTCTTTCTATTGGATCTCACTCATGGTGCCTTGTTTCCTTATGTGCTTGGTTATTTTTTATTGTATAATGCTGACTGTCCTTGAAAAATTATTTGTGGGATGAAGTGCTTCCCTTCGGGATTTGCATTTGTTTTTTCCTGAAGTTGCCTGAGGTCACTGCTAGTCAAAGAGTACTTTAAACTAAATTCGCACTTAAGATTAGTTTGGGACCATCCCAGGAATGTGAATTTGGGATGCAGATCTCCCTAAAGGCCTACTTACGATTACAAATATTGAGAGGACATCGCCATCCTCTCCTGCTCTGTTCAGTGCCTCATTTAATTCCCTCACTCGGATGGGAGAAGATTACTACTGACTCATTTTTATTCTGAGGGTATAGCTTTTTGGGCTCATGATTTAATGTGGGGAGATTCTCCTGTTATACTCTTCACTTTTGTTTTTCCCCGTCACCATCAGGAACCAATCAAAGTTCAAGTTTGCTGGATCAGCAGTTGCCCTCAAAGCAAAAGCAACTCCAGTATTGCTCTTTCGTTTCTGGGGCTCCCTCTTTCTCTTAAATGTTTGGCCTAATAATTCCTCACTATTAGGTTGCAACATATGATATTATTATTAGTACACCATTTTTGACTGTCAAAAAGACAACTTTAATAAATCTAATATTTAGCCAGCTTTTGGATGCTTCAAAATATGTGTCTCTCCTATTTTATCTGACATTTGTCATTGTTTTCTGCAGAAGGGTTGACCCAAATAATCCAGTCTGCCAAATTCCCAGAAGTAGAGTCTGCCTTTCAGCTCTTCCGGTCGATGCTTGTGGGAAGACTTTCCCCTCTCCAAAGCCAGCTCACCCATGTGTGATCTCTGGGAACTTTCTCCCACATAGTACCTTCTTATCTTGGGTGACCACAGTTTTTCTCTTTCAGTTAACCCCTTCTCTTCTGCCATTTTGGCTTAGTAGTTCATGTTTCTCTCTCTACTGGAAAACTTTTACAACAAGCGGGAATGACTTCTTTCTCATCATCTAACTACTGCAAAGAGTAAATTAATACAGAGAAAGACCATGAAAAATGAAAAATAAGTGAACAGGAAACATGGCTGAAAGGCAAAAAGATGTTTTGAAAGGTTAATGTGAATGGAAGTCCAGAATTACAGCCATGTAGTTGCCTGTCAGAGCAGCTGATCCCATTTGTAGCAGGAAGATAGAGGGCCACCGAAAGAGATCTCCAAAAAAAATACAAAATGAATAGATTATGGAGTGTACTTAAATATAATGAGAGGAGAATGTATCCAGAGGAGATGTTAATGAATAGCTAAGCAAAACAAAACAATAACAACAATACACATGCACACACAGGAAAACAAAGAAGCAAAGAAAGAAAGGAAGGAAGAAACAAAAACCTAAAGCCATTATTAACTTCAGGGAAAAGAAAAGCTGTAAAGCAAAGGAAAGATGGTCACTATGTGTATGGCTCAGCTATAGATAATATTTACATATCCATGACTATGTGGATATAAAAATTGGTTTATTGTGGTAAAACTATATTAGGAGAATGGGGAGTATGTGTGTGGGTGAGGGGTGGTATAAGAGAGCTAAATTCTTATTTTCCCATTGTAGGAAGTCAATAGGTAGTATCTAAACTTAAAAAAAATAAAAATGTGCTCATATGAACATGTCATTTAGAAATATGGCTCTGTGAAAATGTTGAAAGAAGTAGGTAAAATAGGTCAAGGTGGCTGCATCTGAAGATTCAGAATAAAAAGTAAGTGTGGCAAAAAAAAGTGAGTGTAGCAAGAAACTACTTTTTAAAATTATAAATCTAGTATCATTTGACTTTTAAAACTGTGTGCTTTTATTACTAAGATAAAACATGAAAATTAAATTAAAAATATAAATATTACAAACAGACAAAATTATCATGGTTGATTGCATATCTTGAAAACCTGAGAGACTAATTAAAACTTAGTATTGAGTAGAACATGTAGCAGGTTTGCTGGATACAAGGTAAATATACAAAAATAAATAGCCTTTCTCTATTATCAAAATTCAGTTAGAAATGAAAATGGAAATCTCCTACTCATCTTAGTTATTTAAAATCCTGCAATATTCATAGGAATAAAAATAAAACTAGCAAGAAGAATCTAACACCTACTGAAGAACATTATACAACTTTATTAAAGAAATTAAAACAACATTGGAGAGACATATCACATACCTAAATAGAAAGTCAAAATTGTATAAAAATGAAAATGAAATGTGATTTTAAATGGAATCCCTATACTATATCTTTAAATAAATATATCTTAAAGGTAATTGAAAAGAACAAAGTCTGAGAATAGCCTGGAACAACTTATAAAAGAATGGTGTGAGGGGAGTAGTTTGCCTCAGGGGATACTACAGCTTTAAAACTGCTTTAACAAAACAGTATGGCATTGACACACAAATATTCACATAGAGCAGTGAAACGGAACAAATCCAGAAACGGTAACATTTTCTTCATCATCTTTGGCTTGTTTCATTGTTGCAAACATGTATTGCTTCATAATTTAAAAAATCTAATAAAGATAATTCAATAATAATCCAATGAAATATTTTCATGTATATGCATTTTAAGTATTTCTTTAGAAAAACAATGGTATTGTCAGATGACTTTCTCTTTTTCTGCATGTGTTTTTCTTCTTTTAAAAATTCTAACGCTCATTACCAACTATCCAGTAACACAGAAGTATATTAAGAAAAACTTGCAGGTTTCTCTTCAAGACTCAGTCCTTGTTCCCTTCTCAGAGGAGATTTAGGGTGTGTTCTCCCTCTTAATCACTAAGATTGCTTTGCATGGTCCAGATTGCGTGGTCATTTTATGGTCCTATATACTACTGTACAAAGGAAAGATTGCTGCAAATATATTTAAGGATTTAAAAACTTAAATGAAATAATTTTTAAAAATTTAAAATAATTCTGCACTTACTATTCTTTGACTATTTTTAAACATATCTTTTTAAAATGTCTCATGCAACAGAAACATAGATTATTAAAAGTTCTTCATCACAGGTCCCATCTTCCCACCTCACTCCCAATCTGATTTCTCTTGCTAGAGTAACAGGTTGGTAAGGACCATTCTAGTTCTTTGTTTCATGACATATATATATATGAGATATATATATATCTCCCTACAAATATTGTACATATATAAATATATATATATATAGAGAGAGAGAGAGAGAGAGAGAGGCACTTGAAAAATGGGTCATAACAAATGTACTGTTTTGAGGCTCTATCTTGCATTTAAGAATATACCTTTGGTCTCTTTTTGCTTCTGTACGTTTAGAACCACCTAATTCTTATGAATGATTGCATGATATTTCACAGGAGTAATACACCATCATTTATTTGGCCAGTCCCATTCTAAGAGATCTTTAAGTTTCTCCTACTTTAGCTATTATTAGCAATACTGCGGGAAATGTTCCTGAATGTGTAGCCTTGTGCACGGTGTGAGGATTTGGGTCAGGTACATTCCTAACTGTGAGATTACTGGATCAGAGGGCCGCCTGCTTTGTCAGTGGGCATCGCTCAGTGCCCTCCAAAACAGGGTGCCCATTCCATACTCTAAGAGCTTGTGATGCAGCCTTGTGATGGATTCCTTTCTTTCATAACCAAACCCACATGTCATATTATCAATCTTTAAAAATGTTTGCCAATCTGGTACATTTTTAAATGTCATCTCATTGTTTGAACTTGTGTTTTTAAGTGTAACATTTGTATTTCTTCTGTGAATTGTGTTTTGGTGTCATTTGCCTGGTTATTCTGCCCAGGTGGCTCTTTTTCTTTTACTAATTCTTAAAATTTTTTGTAGTTGGTGAATTGGGATTATTTATCATACACATTACAAATAATTTCTCCCTGAGTCTCTCTCACCATTAAACTTAGAAAATGATGTTATTAATGTACAGAACTTCTCAAATTTGTAGGTAGTTGAATATATCATTATTTTATTTTATGGCTAATGGA
Source organism: Homo sapiens (assembly GCF_000001405.40). Lineage (NCBI taxonomy): Eukaryota > Metazoa > Chordata > Mammalia > Primates > Hominidae > Homo > Homo sapiens. The sequence continues at coordinate 100,699,831 of NC_000015.10, forward strand.
TTCGATATCTTGCTTAGCAAAACTTTCTGCATATTAAGTATGAAGATATGTTCCTATATATTTTCTAATACTTTTATAAATTTATTTTTTGCAATTGATTCTTTGATTCATTTGAATTTTATTTTTGTATATGGTGTTGTGTTAGGGATCTGAGTAGTTCAATTTTTTTTTTTTTTAAGACAGGGTCTCACTGTGTCACCCAGGCTGAAGTGCAGTGGCATGCTCGCAACTTACTGCAGCCTCAACTTCCCAGGCTCAAGGGATCCTCCCACCTCAGTCTCTTGAGTAGCTTGAACCACAGGCATGTGGCACCATGTCTGGCAATTTTTTTTTTTTCTTTTTTTGGTAGTGACAGGATCTCACTATGTTGCTCGGGCTGGTCTTGAACTCCTGGGCTTAATTGATCCTCCTGCCTCAGCCTCCCAAACTACTGGGATTACAGGTGTGAGCCACTGGGCTGGGCCCTAAGCAAATAATCCATCATACTAGTTAAAGGTCCAGCCTTCATTTATTGAACATTTGAGTCTGTCTCTGCTGGTTTGAAATGACACCTCTACCATATATTGAGTTCGTTTCAAGACTTGCTGGGTTTTTTTTTTTTTCATCAATCTGTCTATCCTATTGCCAATAATACCACAATGCTTTAATAACTAAAACTTTATAGAATAGTTTGATATCCAATATCTCAATAACCTTTCAATTTTCTTATTTTCAGACACCTCTGGCTCTTCTTTCAGATATAATTAAAATAGAACCCATTTTGCAAATTCTATAGGAATCCTTTAAGATATTGGTTGGCAATTTATTCAGTTTGTGTACTATTTTGGGGAGACGTGAGCCTTTTATAAAAATGAGCATTTCCATTGAGGAACATGGAGTTATTCATGTCTTTTAAAAAATGTCCTTCAATAAATTTTTGTTGATTTTTCCATATAGAATTTATAATCTTCTATTTCTATGGGAGTTTAAAAATTGTTTAAACTTGTTTTTGTTTTTGGCCAGGCATGGTGGCTCACGCCTGTAATCCCAGCACTTTGGGAAGTCAAAGTGGGTGGATCACTTCAGGTCAGGAGTTCAAAACCAGCCTGGCCAACATGGTGAAACCCTGTGTCTACTAAAAATACAAAAATTAGCTGGGTGTGGTGGCACACACCTGTAGTCCCAGCTGCTTGGGAGGCTGAGGCAGAAGAATTGCTTGAACCTGGGAGGCAGAGGTTGCAGTGAGCTGAGATTGCGCCACTGCACTCTAGCCTGGGTGGCAGGGTGAGACTCCATCTCAAAAAAAAGGAAAAAAAATATTGTTTTTTTCCCATTACAGTTCTAAATGGTGATTGCAGCTGTATCGGAAGTCTATGTCTTTTTTGTACAGTGTGGTAGGAAGGTTAAAGTACTAGGGGAAGAATAGGATGACACTAGAAGTTATTTCCTCACTTGTTTTTATGAAAGCACTGGACCTCATCTTCATCACCAATTTTTTTTTTTTTTTGCAAAATATGGTGAATCATGGATAATGCTTCACGTTATAATTCTTCAAGATCTTTTGTCGTTTTACTATTCATTTATTAATTCATTGATTTGTAACTGAAGACGGAGTGGATACATCTTCCTGGGAGGGATATCAATACATCTCAGGGGTTTTAAAATGTATTAGGAAATATTTCATACATACAAAGAATGTGTAGATTGTCTACATAAGGAATAAAGAATAATATAATGGGCTGGGCACGGTTATGCCTGTAACCCTAGCACTTTGAGAGGCTGAGGTGGGCAGATAACCTGAGGTCAAGAGTTCGAGACCAGCCTCGCCAACATGGTAAAACCCTGTCTCTCCTGAAAATACAAAAAATTAGCTGGGTGTGGTGGCATGTTCCTGTAGTCCCAGCTACTCTGGAGGTTGAGGCAAGAGAGTCACTTGAACCTGGGGGGCAGAGGTTGCAGCGAGCCAAGACTGCACCACTGTACTCCAGCCTGGACGACAGAGTGAGACTCCATCTCAAAAAAAAAAAAAAAAAAAAGAAGAATATAATGAACCCTCATCTACCCACCTCTCAGCAAAATAAATAGAACATCATTAAGTCTTTGAAGAACCTTTGAAGTCTTTCTGATTTCATTCTTTTTCTTCTCTTGCAGAAGTAAGCAATATCTTGAACTGTTTATCATTTTTTTGCATTTCAGGAATATGTATATGTGTGCAGGCAGTTTTTCAAAGTCACACACACATTTCAACACACCTTCCTTTCCATCTCAGGCTGTTCTAGTGAGGATCTTTGCCATAATAAGCCACTGTTACCCTGGCAATGTATGGAATGCCCCAGAGTTTGAGGGTTTGAAAATTGTTAAGCTTTGGCTTCGAATCCCTTTGGAATAAGAAGTACTGAAGTCTGTTTGCAGGCTTTCTATTCTATCTTGTGGTTATGTTTATTTCTCCATTAGAGCCCACCTTGATGGTTGTGGTTTGGGGTTAGCTTTGTTTTAATATCTATCTAGTAGTGCACCGTGACCTCTCCCACACACAATGTTTAAACTACTATCACCTCTTCATTTTCCAAGAAAAACTTCGTATTCATACTATCAAGCCTCTCAAAAAGTCATCTGAGGGTTTTGATTCAAAGTATGTTACATTTATATGTTAATTTGGAAGAGTTTTTATATTTGTGATACTGAATCTTCCTAATCAAGAACTCAGTATTTGTTAAAATTTTATTTCCCTCAGTCGAGTTCATAGCTTTCTCAGTAGGTCCTGCTTGCTCCTAGTAAGTTTGTCTGTATGTCTATATTAACTTTTAATAGTATGATTTAAAAAGTCTTCTTTTACATTTTGTTTTCTACAAAGGAAATCTATTGATTTCTCTATCATTGCTTTTGAAGCCAGTCAGAAGGTGTCCATTTGAAAATATTCAGATAGACCTACCTAGTTCATAGAACAGGTGAGTATCAAATGAGAATAAGCAAAAGCTCTTTTAAACTGCAAAGTAATATATGAATGTGACCTACCCTTGTATTGTAGTTTTAAATTGGTGCCCAAGTCCTTACCCAGTTGTATTTGCCACAGCTATGCCATGCCATGCTCTGGCAATAAATTAACCTTGTAAGAAGCAGAAGTTTATTTCTTGCACCTGTAAGGCCCAGCAAGAGTGGTCAATAGTTCTTCTCCACGTGGTGACTCAAGGATCCAGGAGACGTCCATTTTGCCCCAGGTCACTGTAACACAGAAAGAGAGGGATGGAGGACACACACTGCCTCCTACTGCTTGTCCTGGAAGTAAAACCCATCTTTGGTGCTCACAGTCCATTGGTCAGAATTAGTCACATGACCTGGCCTCATAACAAGGGAGGCTGGGAAATCTGGAGTGCTCACAGAGAGGGTAGGTGAGTACTGCTTCCACCACACCAGCACAGTCATAAAGGCTGATGTGTGTGGTCTGGCACTTTCACCGAGAAGTTTCAGCCACAGAGGATGGGCCTTGCAGCTGCTGACAATGTGTGGGAAAGTGTGCTGAACCCAAACAAGCTCTTGGGTTCATGGCCGATTTCCTGGATTTCTCATTCACACCTTTTGTTCTTTCTGACTGGGCTTCTCTGTGTAAACATCCTCACTCACTCAATTCTTTGGCTTAGTCGTCACTTCTAATTCCTCATGGGGCCCTGGGTGACTTCTGAGGGAGCATCTTACCAGGCTTTCCTTGGGCCCAGTGGGGAGTCTGCTGGAAGAGAGCACCTCCAGCTCCTGGGGAGAGCAGAGGAACCCAGTGTCAGGACTCAGTCTTTTGGCTGCAAGCAACAGAAACCCACTCAAATTGACTTCTGTCTTCTCTCACACCCCATATCCAATTGCCAGGAAACCCTGTTGATCTTTCTGGAACTGCCGCTTCTCATCAGGTTTGCTGCCCTCACCTTTGTCTAAGCACCATCAATTCACATCTGAATGATGTGCGCTCTCAGGCAGCCTCCCTGTTTCTCCCCGTATTCCAGCCTCGAGAAAGCGGCCAGTGATGGTTTCATAGTGGAAGTCAGGTAGTGCATTCTTCTGCCCACGCCCTCCAGTGGCTGTCCTGGCCTGAGCCCCCCATACTTCCCCCGCCTTTTTTCCCATGGCTCTGGCCTTCACTCAGTCTCTGTTCCAGCCCCAGTCTCGTTGCTGTTCCTCAAACCTTCTGGGAGGGGCGTGGGAAAAAGGTGATTTCTGCTGGCCAGTGTGTACAGGCCCAGGACCACTGCAGCTCCCCATGGACCCCACGCCAGGGCCTGTCCCCACCACAGGGGACACGCAGCAGGCTGGAAACACTCCCCTCCCTTTGACACCTGGGGGAAATCGGAACAGATTGTAAACTCCATTGATTCCTAAGAAGGGAGGGGACGAAGGGATTTTTTTACTCCTATGACTGTTTGTAAGCAGATATCCCATTACATGACTAGAGTAAGGCCTCAGCACATTTTGAAAACTATAAGAAGCATATGTTGCTATAGATTCAACCATATTCACTGATCATGTAGTGGGCCCAAATG